>NC_000004.12:102671381-103296381 GCF_000001405.40 Homo sapiens | reverse complement strand
TATCCTTTGCCCACTTTTTGATGGGGTTATTTGTTTTTTTCTTGTAAATTTGTTTAAGTTCTTTGTAGATTGTAGATATTAGCCCTTTGTTAGATGGGTAGATTGCAAAAATGTTCCCCATTCTGTAAGCTGCCTGTTCACTCTGATGGTAGTTTCTTTTGCTGTGCAGAAGCTCTTTAGTTTAATTAGATCCCATTTGTCAATTTTGGCTTTTGTTGCCATTGCTTTTGGTGTTTTAGTCATGAAGTCCTTGCCCACCATGCCTATGTCCTGAATGGTATTGCCTAGGTTTTCTTCTAGGGTTTTTATGGTTTTAGGGCTAACATTTAAGTCTTTAATCCATCTTGAATTAATTTTTGTACAAGGTGTAAGGAAGGGATCCAGTTTCAGCTTTCTACATATGGCTAGCCAGTTTTCCCAGCACCATTTATTAAATAGGGAATCCTTTCCCCATTGCTTAAAACAAAAGTTTTTAAAATAATTTCTAAAAGTTAGTTCAATTTTTAAAAAAGAAAGGGCCTGTCATCCCAGCACATTGTAGCTCAGAGGACTTGCAGAAGGCTGAACAGATTGTACAGTTGACCCTAAAATATTGAGAATCTCATACTCTAAAATCATGTACTTTCTTCTGTATGGTACACATCTTAGGCTGAATGTTGCTTATTTATAACTACTTTTTCCCACTGAATGCTACTCTTTAGAGTTATTTAAAAACTCTAAAGTTGACTTGAATCTTAATTTTCTAAAAACAAAACAAACCCCAAGATCAGGGAGAATTAAGCAGAACACCATAGTAGGCATGACATTTGCTTTGGAATTGGGCAACGTTCTGGGAGAGGATTCTGGGTCTACCACTTAATTTGGTGTGCAATCTTGGGCACATTGCTTAATTCCTCTGTGCTCCAGTTCTTATATCACTAAAGAGTAGTTTCTAATAGTGTCTACTTCATAGAGTTGCTGTGAAGAATAAATATGATAGTGGATGATAATGGATATAAAGTGGATAGCACATTATCTGGCTGAAAAAACAGTAGCTCATATTAATAGGTCGTTTATTTGGCCCTTACCAACATGCATGTGGAAAACCTGAGGCAAATTAGGCTGTTCATACTGAGGAGACAGCAACAAGCAACTTTGCTTAACCCTAGAGCAAGGAGCCTGGGATAAAGAGTAATGAGGAAAACGGAGTTAGACTTCAGAATGGAACAGATGAGAATAGTCTAAAAGAAACTGCTAAAGCAGGAAGTAGGTAAACAGCAAGAGACTTCACAACAAGGGAACAATCATCCCAGTAACATTTCAAGTTTATAATTCTTGCTGCTCCATGTCTTAGAGATTGCATAGAAGGAGGATGTCATGAATCTTGCTAAAAATGCTGTCAGTAGCATCCAGGCAGAGACTGGATTATCTTAGCAAGAGTGAAAACACAAGGCAAGGATCTGTTATATTTGCGTAGGCATCAATCTTCTCCCTGCTACCCTGTGGCTGGCAACTTCAAAAAAACAAAAAACAACAACTTTTAGTGGGAAAAAAGGGTACAAGGCATTGTGCTAGGCATTTGGGAGAATGCAAAAAATAAGCCAGACACCAATTTGGCCTTAGGAGCCAAAAAATTAATAATTAACAGAGAGGTTTTTCTGTACAATGAATTCAAAGCAGTATCTTGCTGTGTTCAATAAGTATGAGAAATACAGTTGCTGTAGATGTTCAAAGGGTAACAAAGCTCCTCTGTCTGGGCTTATGAGAAAGCCTTCTTGGAGGAAATGGTATTCAGCGGGGCTGAAATGAGTAGCCTCCGGATACCTGATATAAGATAGCCTATATTTGAATAACGCTTAAATCCCTCAAAATACAGAAAAACAACGTGGCAGTAGCTTGATATCTTTTGTTTGTCCGCTAGTTCCTACCTGATACTAGCCCTAGGGCACTGCATTGTGTCTTACAGCTTTCACTAAACCCTACCTATGCCTTCATAAATTGTCATTTTTTAAAACTCACTCAGTTACCCAGTTTGAGTGTGCCATCTCTTTCCTGGCAAGAACCTGGCACATACAGTCACTTTCTGGGTATTATATTCATATTGCTAAGCTGAAGACTCTTAACAAGCCCTAAAATGTAAGTCTTTGCCTTTGAAGAGTGAGATATTTGAGGTTTAAGACCACAATCTGACTATCTAAAAATTCATGAAGGAGATGAGTCTAGGCAATGGACATAAGCAGGTACATCAGTAGTTGTGCAAAGCCTTGTCCTTTCCCACATCACGATTAGTAATTGCGTATGCATATTCAGAATCAGAGGGACAGATGTGAAACATGCCACCTCAGTAAGATCAACAGCCCCTAACTTTGCACTGCTGGACCAGGCTAAAGACAAGTGATTCTCAATCAGCCAGGATCTATAGTAATTAGGAATCTTTCTCACCTGTGCCTAAGTATGACCCCACACCCTGTTGTTCCTGCTGCTGCCACCATCACCACATGCTCCAATGGCTTCCTACTCCTCACTGTCCTAGAAGAAGCCTGCAAAGACCAAACAAAAGCTCAGGAATAAGGTGATTAAAATAAACTAGGCTCCTAAATTTGGGAGAATCTGCTCCTTGCTTGGGTACAATGTTGCAAAGGCAGCCTTGACATTATTAGTAATACTACTCCCTTAGGTGAGGTAGGTTCATGTGTTCATTTTATTATACTTATCTCCCTTTTCCCACTCCATCTGGCCTCTTCTTTTGTCATTCAGCAACCAAAGACTCAAAGCTGTTCTTACAGGAGACTCCACTGAAATTTGGAGAGAGGACCTGAGGCTCACATCACTGCTCAGCATTGCCGACAAGTTACAGTTAAGGATTAGCCCTCCCTTCTGCCATTTTTGCCTCAGAGGCATCTTCAACAGTTGTGTCTTCCCAGGCTCTAGACTCCTATCAGATTGTAGGTCCCTACCTGCCTATACCCTTTCCTCACCTCATATCTCCTCCCTTAATTACTCACCCCGAACCTCCCCCACCACCCCAAAATTACTGTTTATTTCCCAGGCAGAGAAGTTTTGCAATGTCTCTTTCTCTCACTGCAGTCCAGATCCCACATCCTGCTAATCAAAAACTTACATTAAGGAGACCTCCTTCTTGTGATAAGGGCCTTTACATGTCAGGGCATGACAGGTACAATCAATATTGCAGACTTTTAGAGCTCTTTGTACAGTTTTCTGCGCCTAGTGTGTGCTTGATAAATATTGCTGACTGATTGATTCTTGCTTTAGTGATTCAGACGGCTCATGTAGAAGGAACCAGTTTGAAAAAAATAATGTGTTTGAGTTGCAGGCTAATAAGAATTGTGGAGGCGGATTCTAACTAGAGAAAACTAGGGGAAATATCCATGAAGAAATGTAATGAGCCAAAATAAAAGGTATTCTTTTTGAACTAAAATGTTATGTGATTTCTCCCAATAAAATATTAATAATTTCAGCTCAGTAAAATTGGTGTTGGGGGAACCTATCTATCCAAAAATATGTTATGAAGTAAAACCTCTGATGACTGAAAGTTTTGGAGCAGGGGCTGATAATCAGTTGTTACAGGTGTGAGAAAAGAAATACTAGTGGTAGGTGTAAAGCTCTCCAATACCTACACTTCAGTAGTAGGGGAAATTTTATATGCAAACCAAAATGCCACTACAGAGTATAAGTATCATAAGAGAAGACAAACTGATAGTAGAATTCAAAGAAAAGTCTGCTGTTTTGGATGTGAATTTCTAACTGAATTCTTTGCGCTCCTTTCCTTTGTTATCAGCTGACCACAAAAGTGAAGGGGCAACATAATCAGTGTAAGGTTAAATCTGAGAGAGCATAAAAAGCTGGATTGTTATCAGAAAACAAACCCGCTGCCTTATAGCCGAAGCCAGCCAGGAAAGCAACTAAAAACCTGCATTAATTCTAGACGGTGAAAAAGAAAACTATACCTGTGCCTTGGCTAGTCATCTAATCATTTCCACACTGGCTTTCCTTTCCACATCCATAACTGGTCATGCCTGGAGACCTGCACCACCAAAGGACGCGTTGTTCTTGAATTTTTCTAGTTTCTATGAAATGTTTGTTGCTGATTTTTAGTTTTAAGCTTCACTTTGAATGATAGCTTATTCCAGAATATTTTAATGTATATACTACAAACTATTAAGAGATGGAAGTTATCCTCCTTAAAGAAAATGAAATTTTTCCCTATAAAAATCTAAATATCTATAATAGTTTGAATATTTTTAGATCAAAAATTTTAAATCCTAATCGCTAGATAAATCCCCACTTTAAAAAGCAGTTTTTTTATTTAAAAATAGCAAATTTTGAGATTAAATATTACCTATCAGTGCACACTAAACGTCACAGAGATTTTTTTCCTCTTTATTATTTTCTGGAAGTGGAAAGATATTTCTTAGTGGGCCAACAAAATGACCTGTTAATATGAGCTACTATTTTTTGAGCCAGATAATGTATGCACTTTATATCCATTATCATCCATTATTATATTTATTCTTCACAACAACTCTGTGAAGTAGACACTATTAGAAACTCCATTTCACTGATAAAAGAACTGGAGCACAGAGGAATTAAGCAATTTGCCTGGGATTGCACACGAAATTAAGTGGTAGACCCAGAATCCTCTCCCAGAACGCTCCCCAATTCCAAAGCACATGTCATACCTACTATGGTGTTCTGCTTAATTCTCCCTGATCTTGGAGTTTGTTTTGTTTTTAGAAAATTAAGATTCAGGCCAACTCTAGAGTTTTTAAATAGCCCTAAAGAGTAGCATTCAGTGGGAAAAAGTAGTTATAAATAAGCAACATTCAGCCTAAAGATGTGTACCATACAGAAGAAAGTACATGATTTTAGAGTATGAGACTCTCAATATTTTAGGGCCAACTGTACGATCTGTTCAGCCTTCCTCAAGTCCTCTGAGCTACAATGGGCTTCTCGAAGCATGGCACTCAGACAACCACCTGCATTCAGTACATTCCAGAAACTGCTCTGCCCATTGGTAGTAACTCGTCATTCATTGGTGGGTTATGGTGATGCCATCGCAAAGTCAAACAAAAGCATCTCTAACTACTCTTACAGCACCCAGGGAAGTTCTCAGTGCCTTCCCCACTCCTCACTATCAATCTACATAACACCATTCAGCAACAATTAGCTGTTCCCACTGCTGCTGGACCACAGCAACTAATTTTATATTCAAGATTATGATTCCTGACAGCATTCTTTTAAAGTACCTATTTTGATCTTATTTCATTAATCATTGAAGCTTTTACTTGTGTTTCTATCCTGCTAATCCCAATGGTCTTGAGGACTGACCTAAAAATCTATTCTAACACTACAGTTACTTATAGATTTTTATGGTCTTGATATGTAACTGTATGTTTAACTTTGTTCCATCTAATTATTTCTGAGTTTTGTCTCTTATTCCCCTGAACCCATACTCATATTTCTTCAAAGTCCCATAATACATTTTAGTACTCATGAGACAAATGAACACATTTTTTCAACACAGATTTTCTTGTCAAATTAACTGATATAAATAAGCATACAAAAACTAGTAAACTGTTGTGTAAATTGAAATAAAAATTTCCAGAATACTCACTCAAAGTATGCCCTAGAGAAACCCAAAAACATCACTCAGAGAAAACAGTTAAAGTCCTTCCAAGTAAAATGGATACTATCATTCATCCTAGGCAGTATTGTAAAAATAACATTTTATTGGATATGTTGAAAGGTGACATGCAGTAGTGTTTTAAAAGAAAGCTGTCAACTTTTTCTATTGGTTTGAAAGTTGTATTTTAAGGAAAGAAAAGCTTTGATAACCTAGATTAGCCTTGGAAGTACAGCTAGGCAGGAATACAGCAGTTAAAGACAAAAAGAGAAACCAAATAATGGGTCCAGTTAAGCAGTCACATAAAATTTTTCACATAATGATATAAAACCTAATTACAAAATGACAGGCATTCTAAATCATCCTGCCTTGATTGATTTGAGTTGTACTCATAATATTTAAATTCATGTTCTGTCACTGGTATACCTTATTTAAGCACTGGCTAATGCTCATCTTCCATGAATTACCAGGCACCACAGACATATATGTGGTGGCAAGTGGCAAGAAGAAGAAAAGTAAATATTTTCACCAAGTCTTCAACTATGAACCAAGGAGCAGCAACAGCCATGTGTTGAAGCTCATCAAGCCCAAAGACATATTCCTCAACACCTGGAAACTTTCAATGATGCATTTTACCTAATTCAGTATTATGTTCTTCCAATTGTTCAAGCCAAAAATTTTGGATGTAATATTTTTATTTATTTCTTTTTCTCACATCCTACATCCAATTCACCAGCAAATCCTGTAGTTTCTACTTTCAAATTATATGCTGAATCCACTTCTTACCTGCACCACTACCCACTCCCAAGCCTGTTCCAATGCACTTGCATCTCTCACTTAGATTATTGCAGTAGTCTCCTTCTTAAGTAGTCTCTCTGCTTCCACTCTTACACCCTACAGTATGTTCTTAACAGAGCAGCAAGAACAATCCTTTTAAAACATGAGAAAGATGAAGTCATTCTCTGCTCATAACTTTCAAGGGCTTCCCATCTCATTCATAACAAAGCTAAAAGACTCATCATGGCCTACCATGTCCTATAATTTAACCACTGTCTGCTCCACCACCACTTCTCTAAAATTTTCTGTTCTTACAAATTTATTTTTAATTGAAAAATAATAATTCTGTATATTTGTGAGGTACAATGTGATGTTTTCATCTAGCTATACATTGTAAAATATTCAGTCAAGCTAATTAACACATACATCATCTCACCAACTTATTTTTCTTTGGAGAGGATTTTAAAAATCTATTCCTTTAGCAATTTTGAAATATACAATATATTGTTATTAATGATGAAGCTCTTCCTCTGTTACTCTCTTTCTTACTCCACTCCAGCCACATTGTCCTGCTTGGTGTTCTGCCAACATACCTAATTCATTACAGCAGCTGTCTTTATTTGGAATTCAATCCCACCCGCCCTATCCACCCAAAATATCTTCATAACTGTCTCACTTTCTTGAAGTTTAGGCTCAAATATCACCTAATCAAAGAGGACTTCTTTGCTAATCTATATAAAATGACAAGCACACACCTCACCCCTTATTTCCCATTGCCTCTATCCTGATTTATGTTTCTCTAAACAATATTTACCACATGCCTATCATGTATCCTTGTATTTTTTGCCCTCTCTCCACTGAGATATAAGCTCCATGAAAGCAGAGACTTGCTTTAATCTAGATCTTCTAGCCCTAAACTTAGAATCATGCCTAGAACTTAGTAGAACCTAATAAATATTTGTTGAATTAATAAATAAATAAGTTTATTAATAAGGGGTATAATTTTAATAATTTACAACAACTTCTCTATGTGATTTCAGCAAGCATCATTTCCCTTTGAAAAGGAACACTTGCCATTTTTTTAGTTTTTCTGAAAAGAAAACCACTGTATAAATGTTAGCTTTTTTTTTTTTTTTTTTTTTTTTTTTTGAGAAGGAGTTGCCCTCTGTCGCCCAGGGTGGAGTGCAGTGTGTTATGATCTCCATTCACTGCAACCTCTGCCTCCCAGATTCAAGCAATTTTCCTGCCTCATTCTCCCAAGTAGCTGGGATTACAGGCACGCACACACTCCTGGCTAATTTTTGTATTTTTGATAGAGACGAGGTTTCAATGTGTTGGCCAGGCCGATCTTGAATCCCTGATCTAGTGATCCGCCTCCTCGGCCTCCCAAAGTGCTGGGATTACAGGCGTGAGCCACAGCACCCAGCCCAGCTTTTCTTTATTGCTATAACCTTAAAGTTGGAAGTGATTTCAAAGTTTCTCTAGCTTAATTGCTCCTTTCCACAACAATACATCACATCTTTGAATATCTTTGACTATTAGAAAATTCCTGCTATTTGAACTAAAATCTGCCTATTTGTAACATGCATCCTTTGAATCTTGTTCAGTTATGTTTTATATGTTCAGAAAGAATATTTTAAGAAAAAAATGAACTCGGAGAAAAGATCATAAAGCAGAATTTAAGAACTTAAAAATTGCTTCAATAAAGGAAATTATTCCCATGGTAACATGTCACCTATATCTTATTTAGAACTGACTGACTGCCTCATTCTCTGAGTAAACAGACCCTGCTATAAAGAGGCCATCACCTTAGGAGACTTACACTCAGAATGGCTGCCCTTATACCACAGGTACCACATGAAAAATAAGCAAGAATGATACAGTAGTATTCTGAGAAATGCTGAAAAGCTATCAAATTCTTTTTAAAGATTCTTATAGAAAACCAAGATTTAAAGTCACAGGGAAGAATATTAGGACAGAAATTTACATCATTAGATAGGTAGTTATATTTCTACAAATTCTACTATGTGTGATGTGTGTGTCACTTTATTATAATAGAGTTTTTTTAGGTTTTTTATTTAAAAAGATATTTTTAGAGAAAAAGCATGTGATGAAAACACTAACATGAGATTTAGCCTCTGTATTAGTCCATTTTCACACTGCTGATAAAGACATACCCAAGACTGGGCAATTCACAAAAGAAAGAGGTTTAATGGACTTACAGTTCCACATGGCTGGGGAGGCCTCACAGTCACAGTGGAAGGCAAGGAGGAGCAAGTCATGTCTTACATGGATGGGAGCAGGCAAAGAGAGAGAGCTTGTGCAGGAAACTCCTCTTTTAAAAACCATCAGATCTGGTGAAACTCATTCACTATCACAAGAACAGCATAGGAAAGACCTGCCCTCATGATTCAATTATCTCCTACAGGTCCCTCCCACAATACATGGGAATGCAAGATGAGATTTGGGTGAGGACAGAGCCAAACCAAATCATTCTGCCCCTGGCCCCTCCCAAATCTCACGCCCTCAAATTTCAAAACCAATTATCCCTTCCCAAGAGTCCCCCAAAGTCTTAACTCATTTCAGCATTAATCTTACAGTCCGACGTCTCACTTGACACAAGGCAAGTCCCTTCTGCCTATGAGCCTGTAAAATCAAAAACAATTTAGCTCCTTCTCAGATACAATGAGGGCACTGGGTAAATACAGCCATTCCAAATGGGAGAAATTGGCCAAAACGAAGGGGCTACAGGCCCCATACAAGTCCAAAATCCCACAGGGCTCTCAAATCTTAAAACTCCAAAATGATCTCCTTTGATTCCATGTCTCCCATCTGGGTCATGCTGATACAAGAGGTGGGTTCCCATGGTCTTGGGCAGACTGGCTCTCTGGCTTTGCTGGGTACAGCCTCCCTCCTGGCTGTTTTCACTGGCTGGTGTTGAGTGCCTTTGGCTTTTCCAGGTGCATAGTGGAAGCTGTCGGAGGATCTACCCTTCTGGGGTCTGAAGGGTGGTGGCCTTCTTCTCACAACTCCACTAGGAAGCGCCCCAGTGAGGACTCTGTGTGGGCTCTCCCACACGACATTTTCCTTCCACACTGCCCTAGCATAGGTTCTCCATGAGTGCTCCACTCCTGCAGCAAACTTCTTCCTGGACATCCAGGTGTTTCCATACATCCTCTGAAACCTAGGTGGAGGTTCCCAAACCTCAATTCTTGATTTCTATGCACTCACAGGCTCCACAACGCATGGACTCTTCCAAGACCTAAGGCTTGCATCCTCGGAAGTGATGGCCCGAGCTCTACATTAGCCCCTTTCAGCCATGACCAGAGCAGCTGGGATGCAGGGCACCAACTCCCTAGACTGCACAGAGCATGGGTACCCTGAATCTGGCCCATGAAACCACTTTTTCCTTCTAGGCCTCCAGGCCTATAATAGGAAGGGCTGCTGTGAAGACCTCTGTCATGCTCTGGAGACATTTTCCCCATTTTCTTGGAAATTAACATTTGGTTCCTTGTTACTTATGCAAACTTCTACAGCCAGCTTGACTTTCTCCTCAGAAAATGGGATTTTCTTTTCTATCACATTGTCAGGTTGCAAATTTTTCAAACTTCTATGTTCTGCTTTCCTTATAAAACTGAATGCCTTTAATGGCACCCAAGTCACCTCTTGAATGTTTTGCTGCTTAGAAATTTATTCTGCCAGATATCCTAAATTATTTCTCTCAAGTTCAAAGTTCCACAGACCTCTAGGGCAGGGGCAAAATGCCACCAGTCTCTTTGCTAAAATGTAACAAGAGTCACCTTTGCTCCAGTTCCCAACAAGTTCCTCATCTCCATCTGAGACCACCTCAGCCTGGATTTCATTGTCCATATCATTATCAGCATTTTGATCAAAGCTATTCAACAAGCCTCTAAGGAGTTCCAAACTATCCCACATTTTCCTGTCTTCTTCTGCACCCTCCAAACTGTTCCAAACTCTTCCTGTTACCCAGTTCCAAAGCCATTCAACAAGCCTCTAGGGAGTTCCAAACTTTCCCACATTTTCCTGTCATCTTCTGAGCCCTCCAAACTGTTCCAAACTCTTCCTGTTACCCAGTTCTAAAGTTGCTTCCACATTTTTGGGTATTTTTCAGCAGCACCCTACTCTACTGGTACCAATTTACTGTACCATTTTCATGCTGCTGATAAAGACATGCCCGCAACTGGGCAATTTACAAATGAAAGAGGTTTAATGGGCTTACATTTCCACATGGCTGGTGAGGCCTCACAATCATGGTGGAAGTCAAGGAGGAGCAAGTCACATCTTACATAGATGGCAGTAGGTAAAGACAGAGAGCTTATGCAGGGAAACTCTTCTTTTTAAAACCATCAGATCTCATGAGACATATTCACTATCACAAGGATAGCATGGGAAAGACCTGCCCCCATGATTCAATTACCTCCTACCAGGTCCCTCCCACAACATGTGGGAACTCAAGATGAGATTTGGGTGGGACACAGCCAAATAATATCAGCCTCTTAAATCTTTAAATGTATAATATATTATTAAAAATAAGTACAATGTTCTACACTAGATCTTTAGAGCCTATTTATGTTACTTAACTAAAACTTTAAGTCTTTAACTTTAAAACTTTAAGTAATGGGTTAGTCCATTACTAATCAATGTCCATTGATAAGTAATGGACCATTTCCCCCTCCGTCCAGCCTAGGTAACCACCATTGCATATTCGATTCTATGAATTTTTCTATTATAGATACTTTATATAAGTGGAATCATGCAGTACTTGTCTTTCTGTGACTGGCTTATTTCACTTAGCTAAGTGCATTCAAAATTCACTCATGTAGTCATATACTGCAAATTTCCTTCTTTTTAAGACTAAATAGCATTTTATATACATTCCACATTTTCTTTATCCATTCATCTATTGATGGACATTTAGGTTGCTTCTATATCTTGGCTATTGTTAATAGTGCTGCAGTGAAGATGGGAATTCTAATAACTCTTTGGGATCATGATTTCAATTCTTTCAAATAAATACCCAGAAGTGGGATTGCTGGATCATACGGTAGTTATATTTTTAATTTTTTGAAAAACCTTCCTACTGTTTTCTATAGCATATATACCATTTTGCATCCCCACCAAAAGTGTGCAAAAATTCCAATTTCTCCACATCCTTGGCAACACTTGTTGTCTTTTGTCTTACCATCTTTTCATGCACTTATTTATCATCTGTGTATAATAGTTCCCCCTCATTTACTTAGGGTACATATGTTCCAATATGCCCAGTGAATGTCTGAAACCACTGATAGTATCAAACCCTATATATACTATTTTTTTTATATATGATAACCAAGTTGGCTACTAAGCAACTAACAGGCAAGTTGTATATACAGCATGGGGATACACTGGACAAAGATATAACTCATGTCCTTAGTAGGGTGGAGCAGGACAGCACAAGGCTGCATCATGCAACTCAGGACAGCATGCAATTTAAAAATGATGAATTGTTTATTACTGGAATTTTCCATTTAATATTTTTGGTTTTGGAAAGCAAAACCATGGCCAGGGAAGACTACTGTATTATCTTCAGTGGAATGTCTTTTCATGTCTTTTGCTCGTTTCTTACTTCAGTTACTTTTTAATGTGAGCTTTTAGAGTTCTTTATATTCTAAAATTTGTCTTTAGCAAATGTGTCAGGTTTGCAAATATTTTCTCACAGTTTGAGATTGGCCTTTTGTCCCATAATCCTTGGAGTCATTGTAAACCATCATATAATCTATAAACAGTTTTATTTCTTTTTTTCTGATGCTTTTTATTCCCTTTCTTGCTTATTTCACTGGTTAAAATTTCGCACACTCTGTTGAACAGCAATGTTGAGTCAACATTTTTGTCTAGCCCCAGTCTTAGGGGAAAGCATTCAGTTTTTTAAGTATGACATTAGCTGGGGATTTTTTAAGATGTTGTTTAATGTTCTGGAAGTTTCCCCCTATTCCTAGTTTTCTGAGAGTTTTTCTCATGAATGAGTGTTTAATTTTGTCAAATGCTTTTCCTGAATAAACCAATATAGTCATATGGTCTTTTTCTTTAGTCTGTTAATTTTGTTATTTAATTTATTTTCAAATATTGAGCCAGCTTTTTCTATTTGTGAATTCTATTTGTTAGTATTTTGTTAAGAAGTTGTTATCTATATTCATAAGAGATACTGGTCTTCAGTTTTCTTTTTTACATTGTCTCTTTTTGGTTTTAGTATCAGAATAATACTTGCACCACAGAATTAGTAAGGAAGTATTCTCTTCTCTCCTGTTTTCTGGATCAGATTGTATAGAATCAGTGTGAATTCTTAAACATTTGATAGAATTATCCAGTGAAAGTGTCTGGGCCTGGAGCTTTCTTTTTGAGGGGAAATGTTTAATTATAAACTTGATTTCCTTGTTAAAGGGCTATCAAATTATCTATTTCATATTGTGCAAATTGGATTTATGTTTTTTGAGATGAAATTGGTCCATTCCATCTAAGTTGTCAAATTAATGTTTATGGAGTTGTCTGAGTTATTGCCTTATTAGGCATTTGATGTCTTCAAGATCTACAGAGAGATCTTCCATTTCATTTCTGATATTTGTTATTTGTGTCTTCTCTCTTTTTACTTTGCTATAGCTTTGTCAGTTGTATTAATATTTTCAAAAAACAGTTTTTTGTTTCATTAATCTTTTATATTGTTTCTCTGTTTTTGATTTCACTGATTCATGTTCTTGTTTTATTGCTTTCTTCTTTCTACTTGCTTTGGGTTTATTTTGCTCTTTTATGGATACTGAAGTAGAAGCTTAGATTTTTGATTTGAGACTTTTTCCTGTTTTTCTAGTGTAATCATTTAGTGCTATAAATTTACCTCTTGAAATTTCTTTAGCTAAATTCTACAAATTTTTATATATTGTATTTTCATTTTTGTTCAGTTCAGTGCATGTTTTTATTTCCTTCAAGACTTCTTCTTAGTCCCATGGAATTTTTAGGCATGTATTGTTTAGTTTCAAAGTGTTTGGGGGTTTTCCTGTTAATTTTCCTTTGTCAATTTCAAGTTTTATACTATTGCAGTCAGAGAATACACTCTGTATGATATCAATATTTTTAAATTTGTTGATATTTGTTGAGTGACTGAATATTGTGTCTCTTGCTATGGGTACTTGAAAAAAAATGTCTTCTGCTGTTGGGTGGAGTGTTCTGTAAATGTCAACTAAATCCTGTTGGTTCATGATATTGTTGAGCTCTTCTACTGATTTTATGTCTACTTATTGTATCAGTTGTTGAGAAAGGGTTGTTGAAGTGTCTAAAAATAATTGTGAATTTGCCTATTATTACTTTCAGTTTTATTCATTTTTCTTTACATAATTGTGCACTTTTGTTGTGTGGTGCACACACATTAAGATTGTTTGGTGGGTCGATGCATTTGTCATTGTGTAATGTCACTCTCCATTCCTTGTAATTTCTTTGCTCTGAACTCTAATTTATTTGATATTAATATAGCCACTCCTCCTTTATTTTCCTCAATGCTTGCATATATTTTTCATCCTTTTACTTTTGACTTATGTGTATAAATATAGTTGAAGTGAGTTTTCTGTAGAAAACTCATGTAGTTGGTCATGTTTTCTATCCATTCTACTGATCTTTGTCTTTTAATTAATGCATTAGTGTAAGTGATCTAAATGCACCAACTGAAAGTCAGAGAGGAATATTATATAAACTTTAACGTAATCATTGATATGTCAAGGCTTGTTTGCCATTTTATTCTGTTTTCTGTTGATTTTTCTGGTCTTTTTATATCTCTTTTTTTCATCTTCCTGTATGTTACTTGAGCATATTTTAGAATTCCACTTTGATTCATGTCTAGTGTTTTTGAGTGTATTTCTTCTGATAAAAGTTTTAGTGGTTACCCTAAGTATTACATTAGTATCCACTGGTATTTACATTTTACCAGTTTGAATGAAGTGTATAAACTTTACACTCTCTATGTTTCTTTATCCTCCCCAACTTATAATTGTCTTAAATATTTCCTCTACATAAATTGACAGCATTACACAGTGTTTTTTTTTTCAACTGTAAAGTATAAATTCGAAAACTGAAGAGGAGAAATTAAGTCTATTGTATTTACCCATATTTTTATTTTATGTTTTTTCTTCATTTCTAAAGTTCCAAGATTTCTTTTTTCATCATTTACTTTCTGTTTAGACAACTTCCTTTAGCCATTTTTTAGAGTAGGTAGCTGTTGGCAAATTCTCTTAGTTTTTGTTCATCTCAGAATTTTAATTTTTTCTTCATTCATGAATAATATTTTCACCCAATATGAAATTCTGGGTTAATAATTCTTTTCTTTAAGCACTTTAAAATGTTGTAATGCCTAAACTTTCTTCTAGCATCTATGGTTGCTGATGAGAAATCTGCTGTCATTTGAATGTTTTTTTTCCCCCTTTACGGAATGTGTTTTTAATCTTTGGCTCTTATCACCACTGTGTTCCAGATTCCCTGGCCAGTTTGTCTTCGTCTATCTTCCTTTCATACCTTTCAGAGTCTTCTTATTTGCTTTTTGTTGTTGCTTTTGTTTGGTTTTTGGTTTTGGGGTTTTTTTTGAAACAGGATCTGACTGTGATGCCCAGCTGGAGTGCAGTGGTGCATTCTTGGTTCACTGCAACCTCTGTCTTCCAGGCTCAAGTGATCTTCCCACCTCAGCCTTATTTGTTCTTTATTTAATGTCCAGAGTTTGTAGTTTCACTGAGAGGAAGAAATAAGGAAAATGAAATCTACACTATTCTCTCCAAAGTGGAACCTCCTTAAAATTTTTATTTAAAAAAGTGAAAAAATAGTCCTCTACATCCAAAATCAAATTCCCATCATATACTTATTACTTTTATTTATTAAATTTTACTTTTACTGAATATTGCATAATTACTGAGTTTGCCTATTGCTGAATATCTCTTAATTACAAATATAATACCTAGGAAAAAATAGCCTCTGTAAGGCCAGCATTGAAAATTATTCAGTGGTATTTTTGTGTCTCTGTCTCCTTCAGTTCTGCTCTGATCTTAGTTATTTCTTGCCTTCTGTTAGCTTTTGAATGTGTTTGATCTTGCTTCTCTAGTTCTTTTAATTGTGATGTTAGGGTGTCAATTTTAGATCTTTCCTGCTTTCTCTTGTGGGCATTTAGTGCTATAAATTTCCCTCTACACACTGCTTTAAATGTGTCCCAGAGATTCTGGTATGTTGTGTCTTTTTTCTCATTGGCTTCAAAGAACATCTTTATTTCTGCCTTCATTTCATTATGTACCCAGTAGTCATTCAGGAGCAGGTTGTTCAGTTTCCATGCAGTTGAGCAGTTTTGAGTGAGTTTCTTAACCCTGAGTTCTAGTTTGATTGCACTGTGGTCTGAGAGACAGTTTGTTATCATTTCTATTCTTTTACATTTGCTGAGGAGTGCTTTACTTCCAACTATGTGGTCAATTTTGGAATAAGTGCTATGTGGTGCTGAGAAGAATGTATATTCTGTTGATTTGGAGTGGAGAGTTCTACAGATGTCTATTAGGTCTGCTTGGTGCAGAGCCAAGTTCAGTTCCTGGATATCATTGTTAACTTTCTGTCTTGTTGATCTGTCTAATGTAGACAGTGGGGTGTTAAAGTCTCCCATTATTATTGTGTGGGAGTCTAAGTCTCTTTGTAGGTCTCCAAGGACTTGCTTTATGAATCTGGATGCTCCTGTATTTGGTGCATGTATATTTAGGATAGTTAGCTCTTCTTGTTGAATTGATCCCTTTACCACTATGTAATGGCCTTCTTTGTCTCTTTTGATCTTTGTTGGTTTAAAGTCTGTTTTATGAGAGACTAGGATTGCAACCCCTGCCTGTTTTTGTTTTCCATTTGCTTGGTAGATCTTCCTCCATCCCTTTATTTTGAGCCTATGTGTGTCTCTGCACTTGAGATGAGTCTCTGAATACAGCACACTGATAGGTCTTGACTCTTTATCCAATTTGCCAGCCTGTGTCTTTTAATTGGAGCATTTAGCCTATTTACATTTAAGGTTAATATTGTTATGTGTGAATTTGATCCTGTCATTATGATGTTAGCTAGTTAATTTGCTCATTAGTTGCAGTTTCTTCCTAGCATTGATGGTCTTTACAATTTGGCATGTTTTTGCAGTGGCAGGTACTGGTTGGGTTTTTGGTTTTAGGTCTAACATTTAAGTCTTTAATCCATCTTGAATTAATTTTTGTACAAGGTGTAAGGAAGGGATCCAGTTTCAGCTTTCTACATATGGCTAGCCAGTTTTCCCAGCATCATTTATTAAATAGGGAATCCTTTCCCCATTTCTTGATTTTGTCAGGTTTGTCAAAGATCAGATGGTTGTAGATGTGTAGTATTATTTCTGGGGGCTCTGTTGTGTTCCATTGGTCTATATCTCTGTTTTGGTACAAGTACCATGCTGTTTTGGTTACTGTAGCCTTGTAGTGTAGTTTGAAGTCAGGTAGCATGATGCCTCCAGCTTTGGAGTTCATGTCATTTGTAGGGACATGGATGAAGCTGGAAACCATCATTCTCAGCAAACTTTCACAAGGACACAAAACCAAATGCCACATGTTCTCACTTATAGGTGGGAATTGAACAATGAGAACACTTGGACACAGGAAGGGGAACATCACACACCGGGGCCTGTTGTGGGGTGGATGGAATGGGGAGGGATAGCATTAGGAGATATACCTAATGTAAATGACAAGTTAATGGGTGCAGCACACCATCATGGCCCATGTGTACATATGTAACTAACCTGCACGTTGTGCGCATGTACCCTAGAACTTAAAGTATAATTTAAAAAAAAAGAAAATTATTCAGTGGTAATAAATATTACAATACGTGCAGTGCAAAACACCTCGTTTTAAAAGAAGTTGTGAGCACAACCAGCCTTTTAAGTCTATTGAGTTATCAGGTCAAATTGTATTTAGCTATTTCTACTCTAACTAGAATATAGACTATAGATATTCTATTGCTTTTATTTCTCTATAAAACCCTAACTAATAAAGGTTTGGTGCCAGGAGTTGTTCTGGAGGGGAACAGAATTTTAAGCATGAATATTCTGAATTGGTTTTCTAAAATTTCTGGAACTGGCTTTCTAATCCAATTAAAGTCCAGTAATAAAGAGAGCAATGATCAACCATGGCATAACATGGCAATAGAGATATATAAAATATCTGAATTGGATACTACCATTTATAAGAAGCGAAGAGCTGGCCAGGTGTGGTGGCTCATACCTATAATCCCAGTACTTAGAAGGCTGAGGCAGGAGGATCACTTGAGCCCAGGAGTTCAGGATCAGCCTAGGCAACATAGTAAGACCTTGTATCTATAAAAAAATTAAAATTAGCCAGGGGATGATCATGCCACTGCACTCCAGCCTGGGCAACAAAGCAAGATCCTAGCTCAAAGAAAGAAAGAAAGGAAGAAAAAAGGAAGGAAGCTGGGTGACTACTTCAGAACATTTTTTAAAACTAACTAATAGAATAAGACTAGCTGGTTGCTCCTAATGTTGCTGGACAAAAAAAAAAAAAAGAAAAAAAGAAAAAAAAGAGGATGCACTCAGGGATTCAAATTCCTCGATGAAGTGCTTTTAAAATGATCAGAAATCTCCTATGTTTGTTCTGAACAAAATCCTTATCTCCTGCGGCTACAGGGCTGAGCTTGCTGGAAATCAAACACGGGTCCTCTCCTATGATCGGCTAAATTACAATTCAAGTTGAACTATCAGCCTCACAGAGTGTCTACTGTTAAAATGAACTTTGATTGGAAAGAATGAGATATTGTAAGTTGGGATGGGGACATGTGGGAAGACCCTAATGATGCTAGAGACAATAAGCTTCTAAATTCTGATGAGTCTTCTTTGAAAGTGAAAGAGATCTCCTCACTCCCAGCAGTAGCAACCTTCCCACATCTTTTATTATCAGCCTTTCTATGCCTAGCTGAGTATTAACCTTGCGTTGCCTGAGAAAACTGTAATGGCCTCCCTTGATGCAGTTGCCCTGCAAGACAATGCTGATTCTCCTAGGGATCCACCTCCACCAAAGACCCACCTATTTGTTTCTAGACCTATAAATAGACTCAAGTTCCAGCAGGCCCCTAATGTAAGGTACAAAATGTGACCCATGAGAAGGTACATTACACTCCAAAAGAACTACCCGAGTTTTCTAATTTATACATATTACAATCTAGGAAATATGTCAGGGAATGGATTGTAAAGGTGTGAAGTAACCATAGAAGCAACATAAATATGGATCAAGCTAAATCTACTGATATCAGCTCACTAAGCAGAGATTTTGCATGTAATCTTGAGCTCAGGGAGCTAGAATGAACTCTAGCAGTACATTTGTTGGTGGGCTGAAATAGACCAAAACGTAGCCCACAGTAAGGAAACTGGAAATGCCCAACCTACCTTTGTTGAATGTAGAGGAATAAATACAAACACTTAAGGAGATTAAGGAGATTAGAATGTTAGAGTGGATTGGCCAGGCGCGGTGGCTCACGCCTGTAATCCCAGCACTTTGGGAGGCCAAGGCAGTCGGATCACAATGTCAGGAGATCGAGACCATCCTGGCTAACACAGTGAAACACCATCTGTACTAAAAATACAAAAAATTAGCTGGGCATGGTGGTGGGTGCCTGTAGTCCCAGCTACTCAGGAGGCTGAGGCAGGAGAATGGCGTGAACCTGGGAGGCAGAGCTTGCAGTGAGCTGAGATCACACCACCGCACTCCAGCCTAGGTGATACAGCAAGACTCCATCTCAAAAAAAAAAAAAAAAAAAAGAATGTTAGAGTGGATTTGTTACTGAAGACCTACCCACCCGTGCTGGGAGGATCCAGAAGACATACCTTACACCATTACTGTGAGAAATTAATCTGTGAGGAAAGCTTCAACATTGGGCTACAGGGCTCAAGATTGCTCTTCTCAGTAAGCCGGAACTTGCAGTGGAAACTGCACATGCTACACTGAGAAACATAAATACAATGAGAGTAATTAGATCCTAGAGTGGCAGGAGCCAAGTGACAGCACTCAGCTATCAAAAGCATGGCGGGCATTGTTACTGTGATGGATAACAAAGTGAAAGCAGCAAGCAGAATGGTCTGACTCGTACAGGCCTGTGTAATTAGCTAGTTGATCATGACATTCCTGGAAGTGAAATGAATAAGAAACCACGAAATATATATTTGATGTGTATAAGCAGAAAAGTTCTAGGTCAAGTAAACAAAAGTCTAATCTGAATCAGAAAAACAGAGACACATGTTCCTTAATCTGTTTTTCTACTTTAGCCAGTTTACAGACTCAGAACACCTCGGGTGAAAGGGTAGCCAATTCCCCTTGAGGAAGAGCCCTGGTACATTGCCAAAAATTTGTACAGCTAATCTTTCTCCCACCCTTCCCCAAAGGGACATACAGTTATCAGGGTAACTGTTCATTGAGGAAAGGGGAATAATCAGAACTTTTAGGGGCTCCTGGGCACTGGCTCTAAACTGACATTAATTCCTGGAGACCCAAAACATCACTGTGGCCTACTAGTCACAGTAGAAGTTTATTGAGTCAGATGATCAATGGAGTTTGAGCTCAGGTCCATCTCACAGAAGGTCCTCAAATACACCCTGTGGTTATTTCTTTAGTTCTGAGAAAGCATAATTAGAATTGGCCAAGCATGGTGGCCCACGCCAGTAAACCCAGTGCTTTGGGAGGCTGAAGCTAACGGATCACTTGAGTTCAAGACCAGCGTGACCAACATGGCGAAACCTTGTCTCTACTAAAAATGCCAAAACTTAGTCAGGTGTGGTGGTGCTCACCTGTAATTCCAGCTACTCAGGAGGCTGAGGCATGAGAATAGCTTGAACCCAGGAGGCGGAGGTTGCAGTGAGCCAAGATCATACCACTGCAATCCAGCCTGGGTGACAGAGCGAGGCTCTGTCTCAAAAAATAAATAATAGAGTAAATACACTCAGCAACTGGCAGAATCCCCACATTGATTCCTAATCTGTGGAATGAAGGCTATTATGGGAGAAAAAATGGAAGCCACTAGAACTGCCTCCACCTAGGAAAATAGTAAGCCAAAAACAACATTGTATTCCTATAGAGATTGTAGAGATTAGCGCAACCATAAAGGACTTGAAAGAGGCAGGGTAGTGGTTCCCATCACGTTCCCATTTAACTCTCCCATTTGGCCTATGCAGAAGACAAATGAATCTTACAGAATGACCATAGATTATTGTAAGATCTACCAGATGGTAATTTTAATTGCAGCTTCTGTACCAAATGTGGTTTCATTACTTGAGAAAATTAACACATTCCTAGTACCTAGTGTGTAGCTATGGAAAAGTATACTTTTTCTCCATATTTGTCCATAAGGCCCACCAGAAACAGTTTGCTTTCAGCTGGCAAAGTCAGCAAAACAATGTCACAGTTGTAGTTCAGGTACATATCAACCCTCCAGCCCTATGTCTTAATTTAGTTCACGGGGATCTTGATCATTGTTCCCTTCCACAAGAAAGCACACTGGTCCAATACATTGATGATATGTTGATTGGACACAGTAATTAAGAAGTACCAACTACTCTAGACGTAAAGGTAAGATATTTTCATGTCAAAGGATATAAAATAAATCTGACTAAAATTCATGGGCCTTCTACTCCAGTGAAATTTCTAGGGATCAGTGGTATGGGAAATGTTGGGATATTTCTTCTAATGTGAAAAACAAGTTGATGCATCTGGCCCCTCCTACGGTAAGAAAAAGGCACAGTGCCTAGTGGGCCCCTTTCAATTTTGGAAGCAATGTATTCTTCATTTGGGTGTGTTACTCCAGCCCCCTTACCTAGTGACTTAAAAAGCTGGTAGTTTTGTTTTTTTTGTTTTGTTTTGCTTTGTTTTTTTGTTTTTGTTTTTGTTTTTTTATTATTATTATTATACTTTAAGTTTTAGGGTACATGTGCACAACGTGCAGGTTTCTTACACATGTATACATGTGCCATGTTGGTGTGCTGCACCCATTAGCTAGTCATTTAGCATTAGTAATATCTCCTAATGCTATCCCTCCCCCCCGACCCCACAACAGGTCCCGGTGTGTGATGTTCCCCTTCCTGTGTCCATGTGTTCTCATTGTTCAATTCCCACCTATGAGTGAGAACATGTGGTGTTTGTTTTTTTGTCCTTGTGATAGTTTGCTGAGAATGATGGTTTCCAGCTTCATCCATGTCCCTACAAAGGACATGAACTCATCCTTTGTTATGGCTGCATAGTATTCCATGGTCTATATGTGCCACATTTTCTTAATCCAGTCTATCATTGTTGGACATTTGGGTTGGTTCCAAGTCTTTGCTATTGTGAATAGCGCTGCAATAAACATACGTGTGCATGTGTCTTTATAGCAGCATGATTTATAATCCTTTGGGTATATAGCCAGTAATGGGATGGCTGGGTCAAATGGTATTTCTAGTTCTAGATCCCTGAGGAATCGCCACACTGACTTCCACAATGGTTGAACTAGTTTACAGTCCCACCAACAGTGTCAAAGTGTTCCTATTTCTCCACATCCTCTCCAGCATCTGTTGTTTCCTGACTTTTTAATGATCACCATTCTAACTGGTGTGAGATGGTATCTCATTGTGGTTTTGATATGCACATCTCTGATGGCCAGTGATGATGAGCATTTTTTCATGTGTTTTTTGGCTGCATAAATGTCTTCTTTTGAGAAGTGTGTGTTCATGTCCTTCGCCCACTTTTTGATGGGGTTGTTTTTTTTTCTTGTAAATTTGTTAGAGTTCTCTGTAGATTCTGGATATTAGCCCTTTGTCAGATGAGTAGATTGCAAAAATTTTCTCCCATTCTGTAGGTTGCCTGTTCATTCTGATGGTGGTTTCTTTTGCTGTGCAGAAGCTCTTTAGTTTAATTAGATCCCATTTGTCAATTTTGGCTTTTGTTGCCATTGCTTTTGGTGTTTTAGACATGAAGTCCTTGCCCATGCCTATGTCCTGAATGGTATTGCCTAGGTTTTCTTCTAGGGTTTTTATGGTTTTAGGTCTAACATGTAAGTCTTTAATCCATCTTGAATTAATTTTTGTATAAGGTGTAAGGAAGGGATCCAGTTTCAGCTTTCTACATATGACTAGCCAGTTTTCCCAGCACCATTTATTAAATAGGGAATCCTTTCCCCATTGCTTGTTTTTGTCAGGTTTGTCAACTATCAGATAGTTGTAAATGTGTGGTATTATTTCTGAGGGCTCTGTTCTGTTCCATTGGTCTATATCTCTGTTTTCGTACCAGTACCATACTGTTTTGGTTACTGTAGCCTTGTAGTATAGTTTGAAGTCAGATAGCGTGATGCCTCCAAAAGCTGGTAGTTTTGAGTGGGGTTCAGAGCAAAAGAAAGCTCCCCAGTAAGTCCAGGCTGATGTGCAAGTTGCTCTGCTACTTGAGCCATATGATCAAGCAGATACAATAGTAGTTGAAAGGTAGAAATGGCAGATAGGATGCTACTTGGAGTCTCTGGTAGACCCTATTGGAAAATTGCAGGGTAGTCCTTTGGAATTTCAGGGCAAAGGTCTGCCATCTACCACAGATAATACTCTCCTTTTGAGAAACGGCTCCTGGCTTGCTACTGGGCATTAGTAGAGGCTGAATGCTTGACAATGGGCCACCAAGTAACCATGGAACCTGAGCTGCTCATCATTTACTGAATGTCATCTGTCTTACCATGCCATAAAGTTGAGCACGTACAGCAGATCTCTACATCAAGTAGAAGTGATACGTATGTGATCAGAACTAAGGACATCCAGAAGGAACAAGTAACATGAAGAATTGGCCCAAATGCCCATGGTCCCCACCCTTGCTACACTGCTGTCTCCCTCTGAGTCTGTACCTACAGTCTCATGAGTTGTTTTCTCTAATCAGTTGGCAGAGGAAGAGACTCAGGCCTGGTTTACAGATGGTTTTGCATGATGTACAAGCACCACCAAAAAGACAGCAGCAGCACTACAACCACTTTCTGGGACATCACTGAAGGGCAATTTCCTGGTGAAGAAAATGTCTCTTGGTGAGCAGAACATAGGGGAGTGCACCTGGTTGTTCATTTTTCTTAAAAGAAGAAATGACTTAATTTGTGATTGTATATCAATTCCTGAGCTGGGGCATAGGGTGGTCAGGAACTAGGAAGGAATGTGATTGGAAAATTGGTGACAAGGAAATTTGTGGAGGAAGTATATGGATAGATCTCTCTGAATGGGCAAAAAACATGATGATACTTGTGCCTCATGTGAATGCTCACCAAAGGGTGACCTCAGCAGAGGAGTATTTTAATAATCAAGTGAATAGGATGATTGTTTTTGTGGCTAGCAATCTATCTCTTTCCCCAGCCACATCTGTCATCATCCAGTGGGCTCATGAACAAAGTGGCCATGGTAGCAGAAATGAAGGTTAGGTATGGACTCAGCAACATGGACTTCCACTTACCAAGGCCAACCTGGTTACAGCCACCACTGAGTGATCAGTCTGCCAGCAGTAAAAAACACATATGATTCCCTGATATGGCATCATTCCCCAGGGTGATCAGCCAGCTACCTGGTGGCAGGTTGATTACATTGGACCACTTCCACCATGGAAGAGCAGTGTTTTGTTCTTACTAAAACCAACATTTACCCTAGATATGGATTTACCTTCACTGCATGCAATACTTCTGCCAAAACTATCATTTGTTGACTTATAGAATGTCTTATCCAGCATTATGATATTCCACACAGCATTGCTTCTGATCAAGGATCTCCTTTCACAACAAAAAAAGTTCAGTAAGAGGCCC
This sequence comes from Homo sapiens, assembly GCF_000001405.40. Classification (NCBI taxonomy): domain Eukaryota; kingdom Metazoa; phylum Chordata; class Mammalia; order Primates; family Hominidae; genus Homo; species Homo sapiens. The sequence continues at coordinate 103,272,128 of NC_000004.12, read as the reverse complement.
ATGCTTATGGAATTTTACTGGCCTTTCTATGTTCCACCACCATCCTAAAACAGCTGGTTTGATAGAATGGTGGGATATTCTTCCAAAGACTCAGTTAACTACCAGCTGGGTGGCAAGAACTTGCAAGGATGGGGCAAGATTCTGAGGATATGCTCTGAATCAACGTCTGATAAATGATGCTGTTTCCATCATAGCCAGGATTTACAGGTTCAGAAATCAAGAAGTGAAAAAGGAGTGGTGCTGCTATTACCATAGTGACCCACTAACAAAATATTTGCTTCCTATTCATGCAACCTGATATTCTGCTGGCCTGGATGTCCTAGTCTCAAAGAGAAGATGCTTCTACCAGGAGACACAGCAATGATTCCATTGAACTGGAAGTTAAGGCTGCCACCTGCCCACTTTGAATTCCTCATGCCTCTGAATCAATAAGAAAAGAACAAAGTTACTATGTTGGTGATTGATGCTAATGACCAGGGGAAAATTGAACTACTACTCCACAATAGAAGAAAAACAATGTCTTGAATGCAGTAGATCTTTTAGCATGCCTTTTGGTATTAGCATGCCTTGTGATTTAGATCAATGGAAAACTATCACAACTCAATTCAGACAGGACTACTAATGACAGACCTTTCAGAAAAAAAGGTTTGGGTCAATCTACCAGATATAGAACCAAAACCATACAAAATGGGTAATGGAAGAAGGCAGTTACATGTACCAGTTATATCAGCTACAATCCTGTGACAAGTTATAAAAATCAAGTAACTAGTTATAAAACTCATGTAAACAGTTATAAAAATGAAGACTGTAATTGTCATGAGTACTTTGTTATGAACATATGTGTTTCTGTGTGTATCTGAAAATATCGTTTTCTTCTCTCTCTTATTCCCCTATCATATAACAAGATGTACTGATTTTATGTGAGTACAACATAAATTTTATTTTACAACAAAATTATTAAATTACAGAATATTCATAAAAAGAGTAAACAACACTCCAAGATTTACCTCTTCTTTTAGGAAAGGTGCTATCATCAGAATGTTGGTGTCCCCCCAAAATTTGTGTGTTGGAACATAATGCTAAATGTAATAGTATTAAGAGGTGAGGCCTTTGGGAAGTGATTAAGTTATGGGGATCCATTTTCATGAAGGGGTTAGTGCCCTTATAAAAGAAGCTCAAATGAATTCCCTCGCCCTCTCCCACCATGTGAGGGCCCAGCAAGTAGGTGCCATCTTTGAAGCAGAAAGCAAACCCTCACCAGACATTGAATATGCTGGTGCCTTGATCTTGGACACCCCATTTCCAGAACTATGAGCAATAAATTTCTATTGTTTATAAATTACCCAGTCTAAGGTATTTTGTTATAGCATTCAGAGCAGACTAAGACAGAAGAGGGAGTGTATTTTTGGTTGTATGCAGTGTAATTATATCATGGCAGAACTATGGTCTTGCTATTGTCTCTGTCTGGAGATTAAATATAATTTAAGGAGATGCATATGGGTGCCAAGTTGAAAAAGGGTGGATGTGTGACAATTAGTTGTATTTATCAACCTCTCTGAATCAGGGATGCCTAGGCATCTGGTTAAACATTACTTATGTTACTTCTAAGTGTGTCTATAAGGATGTATCAGGAGGAAATTAGCATTTGAATTAGGAGAATGAGCAAAGAAATTCATCTTCCCCAATGTGAGTGGGCATGACCCAATCCACTGAGGGTTTGGATAGAACAAAAATATGAAGTAATGGAATTTGTTTATCTCTTTCTCTTTCTCTCTCTGACTGACTACTGAGCTGGAATATTGATCTTCTGCCCTTGATGCTCTTGGTTCTCAGGATTTCAGACTCAGAAGGGAAATCTACACCATCAGCTCTCCAGGTCTCAAGCCTTCAAACTACACCATCAGTCTTTCTGGGTTTCAGAGGAAAGATTGTGAGACTTCTCAGCCTTTATAATCACATGAGCCAATACCTTATAATAAAATAAATCTCTTTGTAGATATAGATGATAGATACAGGTATAGCCTGTTAATGGTTTCTCTGGAGAACCATAACTAATACACCTAGGTTCCCCTCAGAGTCACAAGACGGCTACCAGAGTTCCAGGTATCACATTTAGACAAGACAACATCCAGCAGTACAAGAAGCAGTCCCAAAATTAAAAATTAAAAAAACTTAAAAAAAGCAATCTCAGAACTGGGCACAGTGGCTCATACCTGTAATCCCAGCACTTGGGGAGGCCAAGGCAGGTGAATCACTTGAGTTCAGGAGTTTCAAACCAGCCTGGCCAACATGATGAAACCCCATCTCTACTAAAAATACAAAAGTTATCTGGGCTGAAGCAACAGAATCGCTTGAACCCAGGAGGCAGAGGTTGCAGTGAGGCAACATCATGCCACTGTTCTCCAGACTGGGTGACAGAGCAAAACTTCGTCTCAAAAAATAAATTAATTAATTAATTAAATTAAATTAAAGAAGCAATGTCATCCTCTACATCTTTTAATGGCAGAAAGAAAATAATTCCCAGAGGCTAATAGATTTTATTTCACATATCAGCGATCTAAATCAGAGTTTCTCAATCTCAGCACTATGAGCATTTTGGATCTAATAATTGTTGTGAGGGGCTGTTCTGTGCACTGGGTAGTATTTGCAATGGGCATGCAAAAATATTAAAATAATTACATAGTACTCTATTCTTAACTTTCAAAGTTTTCATAGCAATATTGAAGCAAGTCAATACATAATTAATAGATGTGATATGCTCTGTTGTGCTTAAAATTTCATGACCAGAACTGTTGTAGGAGATGGCCAATAGAACGTAGGACTAGCTTGCAGCTCCAGCTCAGATGGACACAGCAGTATGTGGAGACACATCATGAACTTTTGCTCCAAGAACTACCATAGGGACACATCAGGAAAGCCAAGAGAATCCATGGACCCTTTGAAGGAACTGGATCACTGCTGCAGGCTCCCTGAGATGGTGAAAAAGTGTGAGTTTGCTTGCTTTCTCAACAGGGAGGCTTGTGCTCTGGGGCATGTTCTCACACCTGATCACCAGTGCCTGGAAATGGACCCAGTGCTATTGAGGGGGCACAGTGGGAATGACATAGGCCTTTAGGACTACAGGCTGCATGGGAGCTGGGTGAGGCTTGTGACTACCAGCTTTCTCCCACTTCCCTAGTGACCTGTATGACTCAGCAGAGGAAGCCATAATCTCCCTGGGAATGTAACTCCATTGGACTAGGAACCACATCCCCATCCCTTACAGCAGCCACAGCAAGCCCCATCCAAGGAGAGGCTGAGCTCAGACACATCTATCCCTGCCCCAACCTCATGGTCTTTCTCTACCTAACCTGGTAGCCAAAGACAAAGATCATAATCTCTTAGGAGTTCTATGGCTCTGCCCACTGCCTGAGACATCAGAATACCTAACCAGGTATCCCTAGAGCAAGTTAGCATCCTCCCTATAGGACCACAGCTGATGAAGTCTTGAAAGTGCCACCTCCTGGCTGGAGGCCGACCAACACAAAACCAGTGCTCTAAACAAAAACACAACCAAGGACCCTCACAGAGTCCACTTCACTCCCCTGCTACCCACATCAGAGCAGGTGCTGGCATCCACAGCTGCAAAATCTGAAGACAGATGACAACACAGAGCTCTTTGCAGAGACTCCCTAGTACCAGCCCAGAGCCTAGTAGCTCTGCTGAGTGGCTAGACCAAGAAAAGCAAAACCAATCACTACAGTTCAGCTCTCAGGAAGCCCCATTCCTAGGGGAATGGGGAGAACACCATATCAAGAGAGCACTCTGTGGGAAAAAAGAATCTTAACAGCAGCCTTTGAATTCCAGATCTTCCCTCTGACATAGTCTACCAAAATGAGAAGGAACCAGAAAAACAACTCTGGAAATATGACAAAACAACGTTCTTTAATGCCCCCAAAGGATCACACCAGGTCACCAGCAATGGATCCAAACCAAGACAAAATCTCTGAATTGCCAGAAAAAGAATTCAGAAGATCAATTATTAAGCTATCAAGGAGGCACCAAAGAAAGGTGAAGATCAACTAAATGAGTAAAAAACATGATACAGGATATGAAAGGAAAAAAATTCTTCAGTGAAATAGAGCGCATAAATAAAAAACAATCACAATTTCTGGAAATCAAGGACACACAAGAAGTTTAAAATGCACTGGGAAGTCTCAGCAATAGAATTGAAAAAGCAGAAGAAAGAACTTCAGAGCTGGAAGACAAGGCTTTCTAATTAACCCAATCCACCAAACACAAAGAAAAAAGAACTTTAAAAAATGAACAAAGTATCCAAGAAGTTTGGAACTATGTTAAACATCTGAACCTAAGAATAATTGGTGTTCCCAAGGAAGAAGAGAAATCTAAAAGTCTGGAAAACATATTTGAGGGAATAATTGAGGAAAAAATCCCCAGCCTTGCTAGAGACCTAGACATCCAAATACAAGAAGCTCAAAGAACACCTGGGAAATTCATTGCAAAAAGATCATCACACAGGCACATAGTCATCAAGTTATCTAAAGTCAAGATGAAGGAAAGAATCTTAAGAGCTCTGAGGCAAAAGCATCAGGTAAGCTACAAAGGAAAACCTAGCAGATTAACAACAGATATCTCAGCAGAAACCCTACAAGCTAGAAGGGATTGGGGTCTTATTTTTTTGTTGTTGTTTTCTTTTGTTTTGTTTTGTTTTTGAGACAGAGTCTCGCCCTGCGGCCAGGCTGGAGTGCAGTGACATGATCTTGGCTCGCTGCAACATCCACCTCCTGGGCTCAAGCAATTCTCCCACCTCAGCCTCCCAAGTAACTGGGATTACAGGTGCCTGCCACCACACCTGGCTAATTTTTGTATTTTTAGTAGAGACAGGGTTTCACCATGTTGGCCAGGCTGGTCTCGAACTCCTGACCTCAGGTGATCCACCTGCCTTGGCCTCCCAAAGTGCTGGGATTACAGTCGTGAGCCACCAGGCCCAGCCTGGGGTCCTATTTTTAGCCTCCTTTATCAGCCAAGAATTTTGTATCCAGGGAAACTAAGCTTCATAAATGAAGGAAAGATACAGTCTTTTCTAGACAAACAAATACTGGGAGAATTTGCCACTACCAAGCCAGCACTTCAAGAATTGCTAAAAGGAGCTCTAAACCTTGAAACAAATCCTTGAAATACACCAAAATAGAATCTCCTTAAAACATAAATCTCACAGGACCTGTATAAGAACAACATAATGAAAAAAAAAACCAAGGTATTCAGGAAACAAATAGCACAATGAATAGAATACTACTTCACATCTCAATACTAATGTTGAATGTAAAGTGCTTAAATGCTGTATTTAAAAGATACTGAATGGCAAAATGGATAAGAATTCACCAACCAAAATTCTGCTGCCTTCAGGAGACTCACCTAACACATAAGGACGCACATAAAGTAAAGAGGTGGAAAAAGATATTCCATGCAACTGGAATGGTGAACACGAGTAGCTATTCTTATATCAAATAAAACAAAATGTTAAGCAACAGCAGTTTAAGAAGACAAAGAGGACATCATATAATGATAAAAGCACTAGTTCAACAGAAACATATCACAATTCTAAATATATATGCACCTAACTCTGGAGCTCCCAGATTTATAAAACAATTACTACTAGACCTAAGAAATGAGATAGATGGCAACACAATAATAGTGGGGGACTTTAATACTCCACTGAGAGCACTAGACAGGTCATCAAGACAGAAAATCAATAGAGAAGCAATGGACTTAAACTATACCCTACAATAAACAAACATAACAGATATTTACAGAACAGTCTACCCAAAAACTGCAGAATATTCATTCTGTTCATCAGCACATAGAACATTCTCCAAGATAGACCATATGATAGGCCACAAAACAAGTCTCAGTAAATTTGAGAAGACTGAAATTATAGCAAGTACTGTCTCAGACCACAATGGAATAAAATTGAAAATCAACTCCAAAAGGAACCCTCAAAACCATGCAAATACCTAGAAATTAAATAACCTGTTCCTCAATGATCATTGGGTCAACAATGAAATCAAAATGGAAATTAAAAAATTGTTTGAACTGAACAATAATAGTGACACCAGCTGTCAAAACCTCTGTGATACAGCAAAAGTGGTGCTAAGAGGAAAGTTCTTAGCATTAAATGCCTACATCAAAAAGTCTGAAAGAGCAGAAATAGACAATCTAAGGTCATACCTCACAGAACTGGAGAAACAAGAACAATCCAAACCTAAACCCAGCAGAGGAAAAGAAGTAACGAAGATCAGAGCAGAACTAAATGAAATTGAATCAAAAATAATACAAAAAAATGAAACAAAAAGCTGGTTCTTTGAAAAGATAAACAAAATTGATAGACCATTAGTAAGATTAACCAAGAAAAGAAGAGAGAAGATCCAAATAAGCTCAATTAGAAACAAAATAAGAGATTACAACTGATATCACAGAAATACAAAAGATCATTCAAGGCTACCATGAACATCTTTATGCACATAACCTAGAAAACCTACAGGAGATGGATAAATTCCTGGAAATATACAACCCTACTAGATTAAAGCAGGAAGATATAGAATCTCTGAACAAACCAATAACAAGCAGAAAGATTGAAATGGTAATAAAAGTCCAGGACCAGATGGATTCACAGCTGAATTCTATCAGACATTCAAAGAATTGGTGCTAATTCTATTGACACTATTCCACAAGATAGAGAAAGAGGGAGTCCTCCCTAAATCATTCTATGAAGCCAGTATCACCCTAATACCAAACCCAGGGAAGGACACAGCAAAAAAAAAACTACAGACCAGTATACCTGATGAACATGGATGCTAAAATCCTCACAAAATACTAGCAAACTGAATACAACAGTATATCAAAAAGATTATCCACCATGATCAAGTAGGTTTCAAAACAGGAATGTAAGCATGGTTTAACATACATAAGTTGATAAATATGATACACCACACAAACAGAATTAAAAACAAAAATCACGTGATCATCTCAATAACTGCAGAAAAACTATTGATGAAATTCAGCAACTGCTTATGATTAAAACCCTCAGAAAAATAGGCATAGAGGAGACATACCTTAAGGTAATAAAAGCCATCTATGACAAACCCACAGCCAACATTATACTAAATGGAGAAAAGCTGAAAGCTTTCCCCCTGAGAACTGGAACAACACAAGATTCCCATTTTCACCCCTTCTATTCAACATAGTACTGGAAGTCCTAGCCAGAGCAATCACACAAGAGAAAGAAATAAAGGGCATCCAAATCAGTAAAGAGGAAGTCAAACTGTCACTATTTGCTGATGATATGATTGTATACCTAGAAGACTCTAAAGATTCATCCAAAAAGCTCCTAGAAATGACAAATGAATTCAGCAAAATTTCAGGATACTAAATTAATGTACACAAATCAGTAGCTCTGCTATACACCAACAGTGACCAAGCTAAAAATCAAATCAAGAACTCAACCACTTTCACCACAACTTTAAAAAGAAATAAAATACTTAGGAATATACCTAACCAAGGACACGAAAAACCTCTACAAAGAAAACTACAAAACACTGCTGAGAGAATTCACAAGCAACACAATATTGATTCTACCCATTCCATGCTCATGGATGAGTAGAATCAATATTGTGAAAATGACCATACTACCAAAAGCAATCTACAACTTCAATACAATTTTCATCAAAATACCACCATCATTCTTCACAGAACTAGAAAAGACAATTCTAAAATTCATATAGTACCAAAAAAGAGCCTGGATAGCCAAAGCAAGACTAAGCAAAGAGAACAAATCTGAAAACGTCACATTATTCGACTTCAAACTATACTATAAAGCCATAGTTACCAAAACATCAAGGTACTGGTATGAAAAATAGGCACATAGACCAATGGAACAGAATAGACAACCAAGAAATAAAGTCAAATACTTACAGTCAATTGATCTTCTACAAAGCACACAAAAACATAAAGTGGGGAAAGGACACTCTATTTAACAAATCATGCTGGGATAATAGGCAAGTCACATGCAGAAGAATGAAACTGGATCTTCATTTCTCATTTTATACAAAAATCAACTAATTGCTAGATAGATCAAAGACTTAAATCTAAGACCTGAAACCATAAAGACTCTAGAAGTTAACACTGGAAAACCCCTTCTAGACATTGGCTTAGGCAAATACTTCATGACCAAGAACTCAAAAGCAAATGCAACAAAATCAAAAATGAATAGATGGGACTTATTGAAACTAAAAAGCTTCTGCACAACAGAAGAAATAACCAGCAGAGTTAACAGACAATCCACAGCATGGGAGAAAATCTTCACAATCTATACATTTGACAAAGGACTAATATCCAGAATCTACAATGAACTCAAACAAATCAGCAAGAAAAACACAAACAATCCCATCAAAAAATGGGGTTGACTAGACAGTTCTCAAAGGAAGATATACAAATGGCCGACAAGCATATGGAAAAATGCTCAGCATCACTAATTATCAGGGAAATGCAAATCAAAAGCACAATGAAATACCACCTCACTCCTGCAAAAAAAGACTATAATCAAAAAATCAAAAAATAACAGATGTTGGCATGAATGCAGCAAAAAGGGAACATTTTTACACTGTTGGTGGAAATGTAAACTAGTACAACCACTATGGAAAATGATGTGGAGATTCCTTAAAGAACTAAAAGTAGATCTACTGTTTGACCCAACAATCCCACTTCTAGGTATCTACCCAGAGGAGAAGTCAATATAGGAAAAAGATACTTGCTCATGCATGTTTATAGCAGCACAATTTACAATTGCAAAGATATGGAACCAGCCCAAATGCTCATCAATCAACTAGTGGATAAAGAAAATGTGATATATGTATACCATGGAATACTACTCACCCATAAGAAGGAACAAAATAATGGCATTCACAGCAACCTGGATAGAATTGGAGACTATTATTCTAAGTGAAGTAACTCAGGAATGGAAAACCAAACATCATACATTCTCATTCCTGTGTGGGAGCTAAGCTATAAGGATGAAAACGCATAAGAATGATACATTGGACTTTTGGGACTCAGGGGAAAGGATTGGGGGGTGGCGAGGGATAAAAGACTGCACATTGGGTATAGCGTACACTGCTCGGGTGATGGAGGCACAAAAATCTCACAAATCACCACTAAAGAATTCATTCATATAACCAAACACCACTTGTTCCCCAAAAGTATTATTGAAATAAAAAAAAAGTTTTTAAAAAGTTTCATGACTAACATATACCACAAATCACATAAAATATTAAACTGGAAGCTATATTTGAGTAAACTATTTGATATATGGAAAATTAAGTAGAATTCAGATTGAATAAAAGATACATTTTCTAAAAAATTTATTTTTCCTTATTGGTAACTAGGACCAGATATTCTCTACCAGTAATGGGGCTCTAACAAGAAAAAAATGACATTCTTATTGTAACAAGAAGATTTAATCTTTTTAGACCACAAAGAAAGATATATAAGTTTTCTGCCTGGAATAACATTATGACAGAGCCAAGTATAGAAAAAATGCTAAACTTTTCAAAATAATTGCTGAATTCATGCTTTCATGATTTTATTATTTCTTGAATTATGTTTTTAAAATATTTTAATGAGTCACTAAAGGCAATAAAAATTTGCTTATCCATTCTTTTTTGTAGCCATAAAGATATTAGATCTATCTCTAAATCTTTCAGAGCAGCAGTATTGAAAGTCAATAATAATATTCATTACAGGTTGCTGTAGAGATTCACAAAAGAAGAAAGGAGTAAAAGAAACCTGAAACCATTTTCAGTTACAAATTCTGGATATAAATTGAGTGAGTCTCAGGTGACAAGTGCTGTGAAAACACAAAACCTAATATGACACATAATCTCTGTGCTCAATTTAAAATTCAGAGAAATAAAAACAAACCACATAAAAAGCAAGTGATTAATATGAGAGTGCAATTATGTTAAATGTAAATATTGTGCTAGTGACTCTAAGCAAAGGTCAGCAAACAAAACAGGTTTCTAGCTTTCACTCTTCTTGAAAAGCAGAGAATTACCTGAAGACTCTATTTGGGGTTATGATGTATGAAAGATGAGAGCAGAATTCTGAAAAATTGGGAAGTAGAAAACCACAAAGAATTATTTCAAGAGAATACAAAATAGAATCACAGGGCCAATTATTAATCACAGGAGGTAGCCAGAAAGGGGCACAAAAACAATTATCATAAGCTGACTGGCTTGAAACACCAGAGTACTGCAAACATCCAAGAAGAGCTCCCAACTTCAAGTAAGGTATTTTAAATGTACTGCTAAACACATACAAATTAAGTCTATGAAGGAAATTTTGGTTGAAATAAGTAAATAGCAATAAAAGTGAGTGAGGAGAGTGCCAAATGTAATGGAAGTTTGTCCTGTTAAAAGCACTGTAAGAAATATTCCCCCTTACTCTTTAATTTTGCTACTTACTATGGTGTTTTACATTAATATTTTTAGATAAATATAAAAATTTGTGTTTTATGTAAAGTACTGATGAATAAGACTAAAATAGCAACCATCCATTCAAGACAACCTGCTTCATTCAAGTAAAACCTTCAATGTTATTACTGCAAAGCAAAATGTAACCACATGCACTACAAAGATATGTATATGAGTATAGACTTTATATTAAAACAGTGAATGACCTGCTATATACTTTATTTTTGCTATTTACTGCCACAATTCAATCCAACAGAGATTTATTGAGAATTCATTATGGGCCAGGTATTGTGTTAGATACGGAGGTGTAGAGATAAACCAACAAATTAATATGGAGCTTCTAAATTCTCTAGCATCAGTTTTCATCCCATGATTTTCCACACCCACCTTTTTACATTTCATTCAACTGAAACCACATTTAATCCAATATAAAGTAACCTAATAAAAAGCATTTGAAGATGCTTATCTCAGTTTAGATGTGATCTGAATATTTTTCAATTTCAGTGAAACAAGCAAAATAACCCAAATATAAAATACAAACTAAAGTATTGCAAGTTTTACTACCATATTGCATCTTACACAAATAATCATCCTCTTTAAGCTTTCTTCTTTTAAACTCTTTCTCTAACATACACACGTATATACATACACACACATACACACAACTTTAATCTACATTTAATTTTTTAGACATAATCATTCTGAACTAATTAGCTACACATAATCTCAGCACTTTCATTGGTCATTTAAATTATTTTAAACCTAAAATCATGATATCATAAAATGGATATAAAGGATGAATAGGGACAACCCAATGCTTTTGCAGGTAAAAAACGTCAAGTAATTTGGGCTCATTCACATGACCAGCTGTTTGCAGAGTCAGGGTTCTTCTTGCTCTTATTCCAATTCTCTTTCCACTAGCTACAATGTCTCCCTGTACACATTTTGGTGTACGCTCATCCTGGTTTCTCCACTCTTGATATCATTTCTGAGAATACTGGCATACTTGCTATAAGCCACATAAAACATTACTATATTAATTACTTTATAGTGGCACTTCCTATATTACACCAAAAGATTAAAAATATCTACAGAGAAACCAACAATATCCCCAGACTTTAATCATAGCAATTATTAAATGTCTTGCATTATCCATTGATAAAGACTTTTATTTTGCAAATGGCGTTTTAGTTTCTTTCTTTCTAATAGTCCAAAAGCAGTTGTAGCTACAATTTAGCACACTTTTCACTGATGTACCACTTCAGTCCTTTCAGAAATCTTAGCCCATAAAACTTTTTTCTAAAATATTAGCATGAAAATTCTAAGGACAGATTAACCACTCACCATAAAAGACAAACCTGATAAAATACTAGAAAACCCAGCCAGGTGCGGTGGCTCACGCCTGTAATCCCAGCACTTTAGGAGGCCGAGGCGGGCAGATCACGAAGTCAGGAGATCAAGACCATCCTGGTTAACATGGTGAAAACCTGTCTCTACTAAAAGTACAAAAAATTAGCTGGACGTGGTAGCATGCGCCTGTAGTCCCAGCTACTCGGGAAGCTGGGACAGGAGAATCGCTTGAACCCAGGAGGCGGAGGTTGCAGTGAGCAGACGTCATGCCACTGCACTCCAGCCTGGGTGACGGAGTGAGACTCCATCTCAAAAAGAAAAAAAAAAACTAAAAAACCCAAGTGTACTTTCTAAATGTGTAATATATTCAAATATTCTCCAATATATAAGAGAAAAATTTCATTCAATAAGTACTTATTGAATGCACACATTTTACATGTTATGTCATGAATTTTAAAGTCAAATCTATGCATCTATAGTCATTTAGCATATGAACTTTAAGTATCCATTCAAAATTGATGAAATAGGAAACAGAAAAACAGTAAAACCGATATATAAATTAAAATCTGCTACTTGGATACATTTCTAAAATAGAAAATGATTTAATAAAAATGAAAGAGCATAAATACACAAAATAAGAAATGACAAAGGCCAAATAACCATATAAATCAATTTTAGTTTTGAAAACTGTATTATGAAACTATACTCAAATACATTTTAAAACTTGAGTGAAATGGAAAATTTTCTAGTGATTACAATGTAACACAACTAACAGAAGAAAAAAGAAATGTAAAACTGTAAACAAGCCAATTACCATCAAAAAAGAAAACAGAAAGAAAGATAAAAGAGCTACTCCATAAAGAGCACCAGACTCAGATGTTTCTGGGGAGAGTTCTACGCAATATTTTTAGATCACACAATTCTAGTGTTATTTAAACTGTTTCAGAGCATATATAAAAGAGAGAAAAAAACAAATTCAATTTAAAGATGCTGGGCTAATACTGATACCTTAAGTTACAAAGTTCACACAAGAATAAAAAAACTGCAAACTAATATCACTTATGATTATCAATGCAAAAATTATACATAATGTATTGGCAAATGTCATCCAGTAGCACACTGAAAGGAAAACACAGGATGACCAAGTAAGTTTATTCCAGGAATGCAAAAATTGTTCAATATCACGAAATCCTAATAGCTCAAAGGAGAGAAAATCATACAATTATCTCCACAGATATAGAAAATGCATTTAGCATAGTTTAGCAGCAATTCTCAATTTTAAAAAAGAAGAAAATAGTTAATAAAACAGGACTCAGTGGATGCTTTTTTAATATGATCTTACCCTTGATGGAAGAACATTAGATGAATTTTTACATAAGGTTCTCTGCTTACTATTACCATTGCTGTTTAATATTTCAAGGGATTAGATAGGTGATTAGATATGCATTGTAAAAAACACCTACCAACACCAAGGAGGACAATGAGCTGGACACAGGACAGAGAATTCTATATGCCAAAAGGAGAGTTAGAAGGCCATTGCAATAACCCAGGTATAAAAGCACAAGTGCCTGAACTAATGTAGTGAAAATTGGAATAGAGAGCCACAAGCTTTAAAATTATACATGGTCAATTCAGTAAAACTTAATTGTTGATGGAATAAAAGAGATTAGTCCCAGATACTTGGGCTAGTTGACACATCATACAGTTACTGACTAAGATAGAGAACACAGGAGGATATTTGTATGAGAAAATTCCTTCAATCTTTAAAAACTTGAGTTAGAAGAAATAGTGAAAATCAATGAGGGACCATCTACTACATAGTTGGATATTCGGGTTTGGGAAAAAATTCAACACAAGAACTCTTGATTTCTCTATCATGTTTCTATCTAACCCTCACAACAAGTTCATGAGATCAGTATTATTATCCTAACTTTACAAATAAGCAACAAATCAATAAATTACAGGAAAAAAAAAGAAGACCTGGGGTTTTAAAACTCTGTCTCAGTATACTGCCTCTAAGACAGAAGTATGATATAGAAAGAAACTAACAAAGATGATGTCTAATCATATACAGAAGGAAACAAGAGAAAAGAACATCAATGAAAATAAAAACAGGGACTCAAGGGTTGATATATCAATCACACTAACTTATAGTTGCATGTGTACATGAAATGTTCGTGAAGTACTTTTACATGTATTACAAAAATCTCAGGTATCATCATTTCTCCCTTACAGCATTAGAAAACTTTAGGGCATACTAGTAAGTCACACTCCCGACAAACTCTACTGCCATTATGTTAAGATTTATTTTTGACACCCTTTCTGATGTTCTTTCTACTTCTACTAAGGTATGGTACCACTACATAGCAGTATATGGACTAAGCACTATTAAAATCTTACTAAAAATAACTCAAAATTTTGACAAAAGAAACTAAGTGACTCCCATTAGTTAGATTATTGAGATATTACTGAATAAGACTTATCATGAAGATGACAATAATTATTTTCAAAACTTTGATAGAGAAGTAATTGCTCTGAAGTGAGTCAGGCAAAACATATAACCATATTGGATGTGGACTTGTTTCTGCTGATTCACTGTGAGAAACAACATAGTCAGAATTTAACTAGAGCAACCTTGAAGCACTACTTAGGAAACTTAGGTGGTTTGAGGGCACACGTAGTATTTCTCCTTCTGCTTCTATTAAAGATCATGATTTTGGAAATAAAAACTCAACAGTGGCTACATAGATATGATACAAGAATAAAACTTATTGATTCATAAGCCTTACTGTGCCAATCTAGTGGAGAGCATTTAGATGAGAAAGAAGAAAGAAAGAAAGAAAGAAAGAAAGAAAGAAAGAAAGAAAGAAAGAAAGAAAGAAAGAAGAAAAGAAAGAAGGAAAGAAAGAAAGAAAGAAATAATGTTATTACAGATTCAGATTTCCACGTAGAAAACAGGAATGAATCATCCCTAACACAGGTGACAAATTCAGCACAGGCAAGAGATGGTAGTGATAAGGAGTTTCGATTATCTGAATATCTGCTAGAACTCAAATCTTGCTTTTGAAAAAACTGCCTTAGATATATTCTAGTCTTCTCTCCCTCTTTTATTTTTATTTTTTGGTCATCACTTCTTCCCTTTCTGATAATATCCTCATGCTTCCCTTTCTGATAATATCCTCATGCACAAGCCTGAAGAAACATATTTAACTGCTATTTTAACATGTTATTTTGGACTAGTTTGTAATATGAGCAGGATAGAAATTTAAATAGGAAATTACCTCTTCTAATAGCAGAAGAAATACTAGACATAGTCAAACAGCAAATTTAAAATGTATTGAGAAAGGAGAGAAAAATATTATGATCTCAAAGTTTTTAACACAAATGATACAGAAGTGACATAAAATCTGAAGATAGCTCTCAAAAGACTAAAGCCAAGACCATGCTGAAATTGTGGAAAACCTAAAAACAAGTGAGACATTTTAATCTAATTTCAGGGAAGCAATGAACAAGCAATGCCTATTTCTCTGCTAGAGGTAGATAATGAAAAGTTAATGGATGATAAAGAGATGGCAGAATGATCCATTAAGCATATTCATTTTCATTTTCTCCAAGAAGTACAATCTTTATGAATATGTTACCCTAAAGCTTGCCTGAGCTGTTCAGATATCACCACAAATTCTAAACAATCCTGGAGGGTCAATGGGGCAAGATACTCTCCAATGAAGAGCAAGTACTAAACATTCCATTTAATTCATAAATATTTCAGTGTATGTCTAAAAGAAAAGGATTCTTTTTATTTAAAAAATTATCACTCTTTTAAACATTAACAATTATTTTATATGAAAAACAGTATGGAGATTTCTCAAAGAACTAAAAGTAGATCTACCATTCAATTCAACATCCCACTACCGGGTATCTACCCAAAGGAAAAGAATTCACTATATCAAAAAGATACCTGCGAGGAGGAGCCAAGATGGCCGAATAGGAACAGTTCCGGTCTACAGCTTCCAGCGTGGGCGACGCAGAAGACGGTGATTTCTGCATTTCCATCTGAGGTACGGGGTTCATCTCACTAGGGAGTGCCAGACAGTGGGCGCAGGTCAGTGGGTGCGCGCACCATGCGCGAGCCGAAGCAGGGTGAGGCATTGCCTCACTTGGGAAGCGCAAGGGGTCAGGGAGTTCCCTTTCTGAGTCAAAGAAAGGGGTGACGGATGGCACCTGGAAAATCGGGTCACTCCCACCCGAATACTGCGCTTTTCCGACTGGCTTAAAAAATGGCGCTCCACGAGATTATATCCCACACCTGGCTCGGAGGGTCCTACGCCCACAGAGTCTCGTTGATTGCTAGCACAGCAGTCTGAGATCAAACTGCAAGGCGGCAGCGAGGCTGGGGGAGGGGCACCCGCCATTGCCCAGGCTTGATTAGGTAAACAAAGCAGCCGGGAAGCTCGAACTGGGTGGAGCCCACCACAGCTCAAGGAGGCCTGCTTGCCTCTGTAGGCTCCACCTCTGGGGGCAGGGCACAGACAAACAAAAAGACAGCAGTAACCTCTGCAGACTTAAATATCCCTGTCTGACAGCTTTGAAGAGAGCAGTGGCTCTCCCAGCACGCAGCTGGAGATCTGAGAATAGGCAGACTGCCTCCTCAAGTGGGTCCCTGACCCCTGACCCCCGAGCAGCCTAAATGGGAGGCACCCCCCAGCAGGGACAAACTGACACCTCACACAGCAGGGTATTCCAACAGACCTGCAGCTGAGGGTCCTCTCTGTTAGAAGGAAAACTAACAAACAGAAAGGACATCCACACCAAAAACCCATCTGTACATTACCATCATCAAAGACCAAAAGTAGATAAAACCACAAAGATGGGGAAAAAACAGAACAGAAAAACTGGAAACTCTAAAAAGCAGAGCACCCCTCCTCCTCCAAAGGAACGCAGTTCCTCACCAGCAATGGAACAAAGCTGGATGGAGAATGACTTTGACGAGCTGAGAGAAGGCTTCAGACGATCAAATTACTCTGAGCTACGGGAGGACATTCAAACCAAAGGCAAAGAAGTTGAAAACATTGAAAAAAATTTAGAAGAATGTATAACTAGAATAACCAATACAGAGAAGTGTTTAAGGAGCTGATGGAGCTGAAAACCAAGGTGCGAGAACTACGTGAAGAATGCAGAAGCCTCAGGAGCCGATGCGATCAACTGGAAGAAAGGGTATCAGCAATGGAAGATGAAATGAATGAAATGAAGCGAGAAGGGAAGTTTAGAGAAAAAAGAATAAAAAGAAATAAGCAAAGCCTCCAAGAAATACGGGACTATGTGAAAAGACCAAATATACGTCTGATTGGTTTACCTGAAAGTGATGGGGAGAATGGAATCAAGTTGGAAAACACTCTGCAGGATATTATCCAGGAGAACTTCCCCAATCTAGCAAGGCAGGCCAACATTCAGATTCAGGAAATACAGAGAACGCCACAAAGATACTCCTCGAGAAGAGCAACTCCAAGACACATAATTGTCAGATTCACCAAAGCTGAAATGAAGGAAAAAATGTTAAGGGCAGCCAGAGAGAAAGGTCAGGCTACCCACAAAGGGAAGCCCATCAGACTAACAGCAGACCTCTCGGCAGAAACCCTACAAGCCAGAAGAGAGTGGGGGCCAATATTCAACATTCTTGAAGAAAAGAATTTTCAACCTAGAATTTCATATCCAGCCAAACTAAGCTTCATAAGTGAAGGAGAAATAAAATACTTTACAGACAAGCAAATGCTGAGAGATTTTGTCACCACCAGGCCTGCCTTACAAGACCTCCTGAAGGAAGCACTAAACATGGAAAGGAACAACCAGTACCAGCTGCTGCAAAATCATGCCAAAGTGTAAAGACCATCGAGACTAGGAAGAAACTGCATCAACTAACAAGCAAAATAACCAATTAACATCATAATGACAGGATCAAATTCACACATAAGAATACTAACTTTAAATGTCAATGGACTAAATGCTCCAATTAAAAGACACAGACTGGCAAATTGGATAAAGAGTCAAGACCCATCAGTGTGCTGTATTCAGGAAACCCATCTCACGTGCAGAGACACACATAGGCTCAAAATAAAAGGATGGAGGAAGATCTACCAAGTCAATGAAAAACAAAAAAAGGCAGGGGTTGCAATCCTAGTCTCTGATAAAACAGACTTTAAACCAACAAAGATCAAAAGAGACAAAGAAGGCCATTACATAATGGTAAAGGGATCAATTCAACAAGAAGAGCTAACTATCCTAAATATATATGCACCCAATACAGGAGCACCCAGATTCATAAAGCAAGTCCTGAGTGACCTACAAAGAGACTTAGACTCCCACACAATAATAATGGGAGACTTTAACACCCCACTGTCAACATTAGACAGATCAACGAGACAGAAAGTCAACAAGGATACCCAGGAATTGAACTCAGCTCTGCACCAAGTGGACCTAATAGAAATCTACAGAACTCTCCACCCCAAATCAACAGAATATACATTTTTTTCAGCACCACACCACACCTATTGCAAAATTGACCACATACTGGGAAGTAAAGCTCTCCTCAGCAAATGTAAAAGAACAGAAATTATAACAAACTATCTCTCAGACCACAGTGCAATCAAACTAGAACTCAGGATTAAGAATCTCACTCAAAACCACTCAACTACATGGAAACTGAACAACCTGCTCCTGAATGACTACTGGGTACATAACAAAATGAAGGCAGAAATAAAGATGTTCTTTGAAACCAATGAGAACAAAGACACAACATACCAGAATCTCTGGGACACATTCAAAGCAGTGTGTAGAGGGAAATTTATAGCACTAAATGCCCACAAGAGAAAGCAGGAAAGATCCAAAATTGACACCCTAACATCACAATTCAAAGAACTAGAAAAGCAAGAGCAAACACATTCAAAAGCTAGCAGAAGGTGAGAAATAACTAAAATCAGAGCAGAACTGAAGGAAATAGAGACACAAAAAACCCTTCAAAAAATTAATGAATCCAGGAGCTGGTTTTTTGAAAGGATCAACAAAATTGATAGACTGCTAGCAAGACTAATAAAGAAAAAAAGAGAGAAGAATCAAATAGACACAATAAAAAATGATAAAGGGGATATCACCACCGATCCCACAGAAATACAAACTACCATCAGAGAATACTACAAACACCTCTACGCAAATAAACTAGAAAATCTAGAAGAAATGGATAAATTCCTGGACACATACACTCTCCCAAGACTAAACCAGGAAGAAGTTGAATCTCTGAATAGACCAATAACAGGATCTGAAATTGTGGCAATAATCAATAGCTTACCAACAAAAAAGAGTCCAGGACCAGATGGATTCACAGCGGATTTCTACCAGAGGCACAAGGAGGAACTGGTACCATTCCTTCTGAAACTATTCCAATCAATAGAAAAAGAGGGAATCCTCCCTAACTCATTTTATGAGGCCAGCATCATTCTGATACCAAAGCCAGGCAGAGACACAACAAAAAAAGAGAATTTTAGACCAATATCCTTGATGAACATTGATGCAAAAATCCTCAATAAAATACTGGCAAACCGAATCCAGCAGCACATCAAAAAGCTTATCCACCATGATCAAGTGGGCTTCATCCCTGGGATGCAAGGCTGGATCCATATAAGCAAATGAATAAATGTAATCCAGCATATAATCAGAGCCAAAGACAAAAACCACATGATTATCTCAATAGATGCAGAAAAAGCCTTTGACAAAATTCAACAGCCCTTCATGCTAAAAACTCTCAATAAATTAGGTATTGATGGGATGTATTTCAAAATAATAAGAGCTATCTATGACAAACCCACAGCCAATATCATATTGAATGGTCAAAAACTGGAAGCATTCCCTTTGAAAACTGGCACAAGACAGGGATGCCCTCTCTCAACACTCCTATTCAACATAGTGTTGGAAGTTCTGGCCAGGGCAATTAGGCAGGAGAAAGAAATAAAGGGTATTCAATTAGGAAAAGAGGAAGTCAAATTGTCCCTGTTTGCAGACGACATGATTGTATATCTAGAAAACCCCATTGTCTCAGCCCAAAATCTCCTTAAGCTGATAAGCAACTTCAGCAAAGTCTCAGGATACAAAATCAATGTACAAAAATCACAAGCATTCTTATACACCAATAACAGACAAACAGAGCCAAATCATGAGTGAACTCCCATTCACAATTGCTTCAAAGAGAATAAAATACCTAGGAATCCAACTTACAAGGGATGTGAAGGACCTCTTCAAGGAGAACTATAAACCACTGCTCAAGGAAATAAAAGAGGATACAAACAAATGGCAGAACATTCCATGCTCATTGGTAGGAAGAATCAATATCGTGAAAATGGCCATACTGCCCAAGGTAATTTACAGATTCAATGCCATCCCCATCAAGCTACCAATACCTTTCTTCACAGAATTGGAAAAAACTACTTTAAAGTTCATATGGAACCAAAAAAGAGCCCGCATCACCAAGTCAATCCTAAGCCAAAAGAACAAAGCTGCAGGCATCACACTACCTGACTTCAAACTATACTACAAGGCTACAGTAACCAAAACAGCATGGTACTGGTACCAAAACAGAGATATAGATCAATGGAACAGAACAGAGAGCTCAGAAATAATGCCACATATCTACAACTATCTGATCTTTGACAAACCTGAGAAAAACAAGCAATGGGGAAAGGATTCCCTATTTAATAAATGGTGCTGGGAAAACTGGCTAGCCATATGTAGAAAGCTGAAACTGGATCCCTTCCTTACACCTTATACAAAAATCAATTCAAGATGGATTAAAGACTTAAATGTGAGACCTAAAACCATAAAAACCCTAGAAGAAAACCTAGGCATTACCATTCAGGACATAGGCATGGGCAAGGACTTCATGTCTAAAACACCAAAAGCAATGGCAACAAAAGACAAAATTGACAAATGGGATCTAATTAAACTAAAGAGCTTCTGCACAGCAAAAGAAACTACCATCAGAGTGAACAGGCAACCTACAAAATGGGAGAAAATTTTCCCAACCTACTCATCTGACAAAGGGCTAATATCCAGAATCTACAATGAACTCAAACAAATTTACAAGAAAAAAACAAACAACCCCATCAAAAACTGGGCGAAGGACATGAACACACACTTCTCAAAAGAAGACATTTATGCAGCCAAAAAACACATGATAAAATACTCATCATCACTGCCCATCAGAGAAATGCAAATCAAAACCACAATGAGATACCATCTCACACCAGTTAGAATGGCAATCATTAAAAAGTCAGGAAACAACAGGTGCTGGAGAGGATGTGGAGAAATAGGAACACTTTGACACTGTTGGTGGGACTGTAAACTAGTTCAACCATTGTGGAAGTCAGTGTGGCGATTCCTCAGGGATCTAGAACTAGAAATACCATTTGACCCAGCCATCCCATTACAGGGTATATACCCAAATGACTATAAATCATGCTGCTATAAAGACACACGCACACGTATGTTTATTGCGGCATTATTCACAATAGCAAAGACTTGGAACCAACCCTAATGTCCAACAATGATAGACTGGATTAAGAAAATGTGGCACATATACACCATGGAATACTATGCAGCCATAAAAAATGATGAGTTCGTGTCCTTTGTAGGGACATGGATGAGATTGGAAATCATCAGTCTCAGTAAACTATTGCAAGAACAAAAAACCAAACACCGCATATTCTCACTCATAGGTGGGAATTGAACAATGAGATCACATGGACACAGGAAGGGGAATATCACACTCTGGGGACTGTTGTGTGGTGGGGGGAGGGGGGAGGGATAGCATCGGGAGATATACCTAATGCTAGATGACGAGTTAGTGGGTGCAGCACACCAGCATGGCACATGTATACATATGTAACTAACCTGCACAATGTGCACATGTACCCTAAAACTTAAAGTGAAATAAAAAAAAAAAAAGAAATGTAAAAACATACTAAAGTTTTCTTAAAGGGGCAGAGTATTCACAATTTATGAGTTCCATTTGTCTTTGTGGTGTTAAATGAACAACTTATAGTAGAAATGAAAAGTGATTTGAGAAGTTTTCTGGAATCTTAAACACTCCAGAAGAGTTTTGTTTGCTTAACTGACTTTCACAACGAGATGATAAGAAACTGAAGTTTGTAAGGGTATCAGTGGGAAGGAAAAGAAAGCAGTGGTTATGAAAATTCTGTAAAAAAAAAGCTTTAACAGCTAAGAGCAAGGGCAAAAGATAATAGCTGGTGTCCTTGAGAGAGGTCCAGATGTTTGAAGGAGACATTGGATATTGCGAAAGATAAATCCAGTATCAGTTTCTCCTGAGTTCGAGGTATCACCATTTCCTCCTTTCCACCTCTGTCTCTTTTTGCTTCATGGGTCTGGTAGGAAAGATTACCCCAAAAGTTACAACTGTATTGCCCTGTGGGAAACTAACCAACGTGTATCTAATTTAGGAATCTTATTTCAGTATTGCTTTGCTAACAGACTATAAATCTCTGTTCACATACTCTAGGAAGTAGAGATCTTGTCTTTTGGATGGTTCTCTCATTAATGGGTTGAATAAAACTTTGATATGTGCAAAAAGGGAAAAAAAAAAGATACCTGCACATGTATGTTGATTGCAGGACAATTGCAAAAATAAGGAGTCAACCTAAGTGCCCAACAACTGATGAGTGGATAACAAAAATGTGGGGTGTGTGTGTGTCTGTGTGTGTGCATGTTTATATACCACATATATATATATACACACACAACACATATATATATACACACCAGATATGTATATTACACATACATACATACCACATATATATACACACCAGTATTCCATGATGTATATACATATATGTATGTATATCATATATATTTTTTATTTTATATGAGGCATTAGTTCATGTAACTAAAAGTGATTTTGTTTTATATACTTTTTTATATATACACACACATACACATATACACATACATGTGTATATATCATGGAATACTACTCAGCCATAAAAAAAGAACAAAATAATGTCACTTGCAGCAACTTGCATAGAACTGGAGGCCATTATCCTAAGTGAAGTAACTCAAGAATGGAAAACTAAATACTTCATGTTCTCACTTATAAGTGGGAGCTAAGCTATGTGTATGAAAAGGCAAATGGAGTGGTATAATGAACACTGGAGACTCAGAAGCAGGGAGGGTTGGAGAGGGGAGGGGATGAAAAGTTACCTATTGGGTAAAATGTACACTATTTGGGTGATGGATACACTAAAAGCCCAGACTTCACTACTATACAATTCATTCATGTAACCAAAAACAACTTGTATCCCTAAATCTATTGAAATTTTTTTAAGTCCTGCTTATTAGAAATGGCCAAATACAAACTTTAATATACCCCTTATGTATATAAAAGAGAGAATAAAGAACAATATACTTTAATTTTAGGGATGAACATCTTTTATTTAATGTGTCCTTCTTACTTTGTTCTTCTGTAGGGCAAAAGAAGCATTTCATATCTCTATGTATTATTGCCAAGGCGTCTATTTTTGCAAACTCTAGTAGCGTATAAGCCACCTGTCCATCAAATAGCCTGACAAAGTTCCAGTGTGAATAAGATTCACAACATAGAAGAAGTGTATTATTTAAACCAGCGTTTCTTAATGAGGATTGGTGGTATTATATCTCTAACAGGCATTTGGAAGAGTGTGAAGATGTAAAGATGTTTTAGTTGTCACAATAGCTGGGGGATATGGTCATAATTTAGTGGGTGGCACCAGGGATGAAAAACACCCTGCAAAGCATGTGAGACTATTCTTACAACAAAAAAATTACCCTCCCCAATGTCCCAGCAGTGTTCACGTTGAGAAACACTTATTTAAGCCATGATTGTGTTCATGGCACACTTTACACAAAATACTGGAATTTTTGGATGCACATTCAAAGAAATGCAGTTGTAGTCACATATTACTGCATTTCCTTGGATGACCTTTAGCACTGTCTTGCTGTTTGAATAGAAGCGTTTACTGCCTTGAATTCCATCCCATAATCTCCACCGGCCAAATTCTCATTTGTTTCAGTAAACCCAAATCTTTCCTAGGTGCTAAGTTTGTGGATGTATGCCACCTCTTCTATGTTCCTTGCAGCAATTTTTGCTCCACTCTTCACCACATCTTTTTTCCAGCTTTATGGAAGTAGGATCAACTACACCACATCTTATGACACTCAGGGCTGTGAGTTCAGTCTGCCAGACATTTCTAAAATAGCTTTCATTCTCAGCTGTAGCCAAAACTCGATGAGCAAAATCTGGTACCACATTTGTGGGAAATGTCTAGCATTCAAGCCCAGGAAGTCAACTGAGAATCAATGACATACAGACCAACAGATTTTGATTTCACATATTAACAGGTAACTTTTTCAGCTCTTTCTTTTCACCTTCCATGACTTTCTTTAATATTTTCACCAAAATAAACATGAGTTCTTACGAAGGACAGTTTATTAGCAGTCTTTTAGTTACTACTCCTTTGTTATGTCCATCTTTTTCCAAATGAGGTGGGCTCTTATCAATAGTGAAACCCATCATTAGTTAGCTGTGCCTTCTATTTCCTCTTTCACTTAGTACACCCGCAGCTAAAGTGGCTTGATTGCCCTAGGGTGCTAATCAAACACTTTTTCAATAACAGATGGTTCAACAGCTGTTGACATTTGATGAATCTACTTGTTCTTATTCCAGAACATTTTGTTTATTCTCATTAAATGCAAAGGGAAGAAATGAAAGAAAACACAGGAGAGAACTTGCAAACTGAAGTGTTTTCCAGGGAACTTTCTGGCTTAACCTATGAGCCATGAAATTAGTGATATACTAAACAAGTTGAAAATGTTACAATTTAAAGAGCTTGACAGAATGGAAGGTGGGGTGCTACTCCTTTGCCCATGAATATAAGGAAACACATAAATTATGGATATAAATTATAACTAACATCAATACTGCAAATAAACCTCCTTAAACAGGGGTTGGCAAACTGAGGCTCATGGACAAATCTAGTCTGCCACCCATTTATGTATGGCTCAGGAACTAAGAATGGTTTTGATATTTTTGAATGGTTGCAAAGAAAACAGAAGAAGAATACTATTTCATAATACGTAAAAATTATATAAAATTCAAGTTTTATTACCTATAAATAAAGTTCTGTTGAAACACCATCACATTCATTCTTTTATGTATTGTCTATGGCTGATTCTGCACTATATTGGCAAAGTTGAATTGTTACAACAGAGACCATATGACCCTTAAAGCCCAAAATATCTACTACATGGTCTTTTATAGAGAAAGTAAAAGGTGAAGAATGGCAGGAAAAGTTTAATTATCTAAATGGATGTTAATTTAAGTAAACTTTTTTTGAAAGCTGTAGCAGTGATACAGAAGCACTAGACCTGTGTTCTACAGCTGATTCAATGCCAAATAAATCAATCTTCTAAGTTAATTTGCACAATTAAGAAATAGAAATGAGAATACTTAACTCGCCTTTCTAAAAAGAAACTATGTAACTGAAGTATGATATAAATAATACACAAACTATAAACTAGCTATTATAATTACTATACCAACTATGTATACCATAATACATAATATACAAATGCAATGAACATTCACAAAGTGAACATACTTTTGTAGCCTCCATGAATTTCAAGAAATAAAATATTACCAGTACCCTAGAAGTCCCCCTAAGGCCACTTTCCCAAAAGAAACCACTATCCTGATTTCTAACATTACTGATTTGTTTTTCCTATTTGTGAACTTTATCGAAATAAATCAAACGGTATTTTTTTATGTCTGGTTTCTGCCCAACATTGAATTGTGGAGCTTTACCCATGTCACTGTAATGTAGCATTAGCTCTATTGTATTTCATTGCTATAGATTGTCAATTATGTACAACTTTAAGGTAGGACTTAGTTATCTTTGTTTCTTTTCTTTTTTTTTTTTTTATTCTTATGTTGCACACAGGCCTGGCTCCACAACCATGAGATAAGTGCAGCCACACAGGACCAACACTCAGAAAGGCACCGTACTTTGGGCTTAAAGCTCCACAGTCACTTTCTTGAAATCCTTAATTTTTTGTTTGAACTTGTATTATGGAAGTGAAATCTGATAGGACAATGGAGCATGTTTCAGGACTTGGAGTCTTAGTCCTATAGACCCTACAGCCTGCTGCCTTCCCACCTCCCCTGGATAGGTTTTCAGCCACCTGCTCTAGGTCCCTGGTACTTAGTACCTGGGATTCCAGCCAGCCATCCCCTCCAAGCCCCTGCTCTGTGACTGTTGCTGCCCTCCAGCCAGGATTGTGAGGACCCTGGTAGTGTCATCAGGGGTGACAAGCCTATGTTCACCGTCATCCTCCATCTCCAGTTGGGGTCTGCTCATGGTGCAGGATGGGCAGATCAGGATCAGACGTGCATGCCCTGTGGTGTCTCTAGGAGTGTATGGCAGCAACATTCCCTGCCACGGGTTAGTCCCAGTATTAGGACTGCAATTTTTTAGTGGTTTCCTATCCCAGTGGGTTGGAGCAAAGTTTCTATAGCCTATAATGAACAAAACATATGAATCATTTCAGATACTAACATGTTTGCTGGTTTCTTAATTTTCCTGTCCCTATTTTGTACTATATAAGAAATAGGCACATCCTTTGCAATTTGGAGGTTTCATGCTAGTTTGGTAAGATAAACAACAAACAAATAAATACATGTTAATTATCAGGTGGGGATCTTCACTGCAAGAAATATCATGAAGCAGGGTAAAGGGTAGTGGTGGTGGTGGTGCTATATTACTAATGTAATATAGTGCAGAATATAGGATGAACATACTATTCATTCCACTGTTGATAAGCATTTGGTTGTTTCCTTTTTTTCATGGCCATTACAAATAATGCTGCTATGAACATTTTTATGCATATATTTTAGTCATATATTTACACATTTCTGTGTAGTATATACAAAACTTTCTTTTATTTGTTCACTTACACCCCAAATTGTTGCAAAAAGCATTAAAGAGGTTTTTTACAACTGCTATAGGACAAGTTGCAAGTAATCAATAACCAGTGTCTAAGCTCCACTTAAAAAGAAATTGTCGGCCAGGTGCAGTGGCTCACGCCTGTAATCCCAGCACTTTGGAAGGCTGAGGTGGGCAGATCACGAGGTCAGGAGATCGAGACCATCCTGGCTAACACAGTGAAACCCCGTCTCTACTAAAAATTCAAAAAATTAGACAGGCATGGTGGCAGGCACCTGTAGTCCCAGCTACTCAGGAGGCTGAGTCAGGAGAATGGCATGAACCTGGGAGGCAAAGCTTGCAGTGAGCCGAGATAGAGATAGCACCACTGCAGTCCAGCCTGGGCAACAGAGTGAGACTCTGTCTCAAAAAAAAAAAAAATTGTCTTTGTTAGGAATGAAAGGTGAGGCTCTGGACAGATGAGTAGAAGAGAACAATTAGACCAAAAACCACTCTGAATTTGTTTAACGAAAAAAATGTATGGGCAAGAAAGAATATAAAAGGGAGAAGTGGGAAAAGTTTATAGAGAGAAAGGATTAAGGCTACATGACAGAAGTCTACCACCTACAGAGATAACAGGTCTATGAAAAAAGCCACCAAAGAACTTTTAAAAAGAGGCATTTAAAATCTTAAATATTAAGTGGCCTGCATTGTATCATGTAAACCATATTCATTTAGTCATACCTGAAAAGTCAGCTGCCCACACAAACGCCTTAGTTAGGAAATTGCTCAAATTGTTTTCTCATGAACACCAAGGAAAGAGGGAGTTACACATCTGGCATAACAGTGCAGAATAGGGGCAGCAAAATTAAGAAATCAGCAAGCATGTGTTGAGTGTCAGAAATGATTACTGTATTTTGGTTGTTTCAGGCTATAGAAGCAAATAAAGACAACTAAGACACAGTATTACCTTGAAGTTCTACATAATTGGCAATCTATAAAAATTAAATAAATTGGGGGGTGGTTCCAAGATGGCCAAATAGGAACAGCTCCAGTCTACAGCTCCCAGCGTGAGCGACACAGAAGACGGGTGATTTCTGCATTTCCAACTGAGGTACCAGGTTCATCTCCCTGGGGCTTGTCAGACAGTGGGTGCAGGACAGTGTGTGCAGCCCACCAAGCATGAGCTGAAGCAGGGTGAGGCATCGCCTCACCTGGGAAGCACAGGGGGTCAGGGAATTCCCTTTCCTAGCCAAGGGAAGCTGTGAAAAATGGCACCTGGAAAATCAGGTCACTCCAACCCTAATACTGCGCTTTTCCAATGGTCTTAGCAAAGAGCACAACAGGAGATTATATCCTGCACCTGGCTCAGAGGGTCCCATGCCCACAGAGCCTCGCTCATTGCTAACACAGCAGTCTGAGATCAAACTGCAAGGCAGCAGTGAGGCTGGGGGAGAGGCGCCCACCATTGCTGAGGCTTGAGTAGGTAAACAAAGCTGCCAGGAAGCTCAGACTAGGTGGAGGCCACTGCAGCTCAAGGAGGCCTGCCTGCCTCTGTAGACTCCACCTCTGGGGGCAGGGCATAGCTGAAGAAAAGGCAGCAGAAACCTCTGCAGACTTAAATGTCCCTGTCTGACAGTTGTAAAGACAGTAGTGGTTCTCTCAGCACGGAGTCTAAGATGTGAGAACAGACAGACTGCCTCCTCAAGTGGGTCCCTGACCCCTGAGTAGCCTAACTGGGAGGCACCCCCCAGTAGGGGCAGACTGACACCTCACACAGCCTGGTACCCCTCTGAGATGAAGCCTCCAGAGGAACGATCAGGCAGCAACATATGCTGTTCAGCAATATTTGCTGTTCTGCAGCCTCTGCTGCTGATACCCAGGCAAACAGGGTCTGGAGTGGACCTCCAGCAAATGCCAACAGACCTGCAGCTGAGGGTCCTGAAAGTTAGAAGGAAAATTAACAAACAGAAAGGACATCCACACCAAAACCACATCTGTACATCGCCATCATCAAAGACCAAAGGTAGATAAAACCACAAAGATGGGGAAAAAACAGAGCAGAAAAGCTGAAAATTCTAAAAATTAGAGCGCCTCTCCCCCTCCAAAGGAATGCAGATCCTTGCCAGCAATGGAACAAAGCTGGTCAGAGAATGACTTTGACGAGTTGGGAGAAGGCTTCAGATGATCAAACTTGTCTGAGCTAAAGGAGGTAGTTCGAACCCAACACAAAGAAGCTAAAAACCTTGAGAAAAGATCAGACAAACGGCTAACTAGAATAATCAGTGTAGAGAAGTCCTTAAATGACCTGATGGAGCTGAAAACCATGGCACGAGAACTACATTACAAATGCACAAGTTTCCGTAACTGATTCGAACAATTGGAAGAAAGGGTATCAGTGATTGAAGATCAAAGGAATGAAATGAAGTGAGAAAAGAAGTTTAGAGAAAAAAGAATAAAAAGAAATGAACAAAGCCTCCAAGAAATATGGGACTATGTGAAAAGACCAAATCTATGTCTGATTGGTGTACCTGAAAGTGATGGGGAGAATGGAACCAACTTGGAAAACACTCTGCAGGATATTATCCAGGAGAACTTCCCCAACCTAGCAAGGCAGGCCAACATTCAAACTCAGGAAATACAGAGAACACCACAAAGATACTACTCAAGAAGAGCAACTCCAAGACACATAATTTTCAGATTCACCAAAGTCGAAATGAAGGAAAAAATGTTAAGGGCAGCCAGAGAGAAAGGTTGGGTTACCCACAAAGGAAGCACATCAGGCTAAGAGCAGATCTCTCGGCAGAAACTCTACAAGCCAGAAGAGAGAGGGGGCCAATATTCAACATTCTTAAAGAATTTTCAACCCAGAATTTCATATCCTGCCAAACTAAGCTTCATATGTGAAGGAGAAATAAAATCCTTTACAGACAAGCAAATGCTGAGAGATTTTGTCACCACCAGGCCTGCCCTACAAGAGCTCCTGAAGGACACACTAAACAGGGAAAGGGACAACTGGTACCACCCACTGCAAAAACATGCCAAATTGTAAATATCATCGATGCCAGGAAGAAACTGCATCAACTAATGAGCAAAATATCCAGCTAACATCATAATGACAGGATCATATTCACACATAACAATATTAACCTTAAATGTAAATGGGCTAAATGATCCAATTAAAAGACACAGACTGGCAAATTGGATAAAGAGTCAAGACCCATCAGTGTGCTGTATTCAGGAGACTCATCTCAAGTGCAGAGACACACATAGGCTCAAAATAAAAGGGTGGAGGAAAATCTACCAAGCAAATGGAAAACAAAAATGGCAGGGGTTGCAATCCTAGTCTCTGATAAAACAGACTTTATACCAACAAAGATCAAAAGAGACAAAAAAGGCCATTATATAATGGTAAAGGGATCAATTCAACAAGAAGAGCTAACTACCCTAAATATATATGCACCAAATACAGGAGCACCCAGATTCATAAAGCAAGTCCTTAGAGACCTACAAAGAGACTTAGACTCCCACATAATAATAATGGGAGACTTTAACAACCCACTGTCAACAATAGACAGATCAACGAGACTGAAAGTTAACAAGGATATCCAGGAACTGAACTCGGCTCTGCACCAAGCAGACCTAATAGACATCTATAGAACTCTCCACCACAAATCAACAGAGTATACATTCTTCTCAGCACCACATCACACTTATTCCAAAACTGACCACATAGTTGGAAGTAAAGCACTCCTCAGCAAATGTTAAAGAACAGAAATTGTAACAAACTGTCTCTCAGACCACAGTGCAATCAAACAAGAACTCAGGATTAAGAAACTCACACAAAACCGCTCAACTGCATGGAAACTGAACAACCTGCTCCTGAATGACTACTGGGTACATAACGAAATGAAGGCAGAAATAAAGATGTTCTTTGAAACCAATGAGAAAAAAGACACAACATACCAGAATCTCTGGGACACATTCAAAGCAGTGTGTAGAGGGAAACTTATAGCACTAAATGCCCACAAGAGAAAGCAGGAAAGATCTAAAATTGACACCCTAACATCACAATTAAAAGAACTAGAGAAACAAGAGCAAACATATTCAAAAGCTAGCAGAGGGCAAGAAATAACTAAGATCAGAGCAGAACTGAAGGAGATAGAGGCACAAAAAACCCTTCAAAAAATCAATGAATCCAGGAGCTGGTTTTATGAAAAGATCAACAAAATTGATAGACCGCTAGCAAGACTAATAAAGAAGAAAAGAGAGAAGAATCAAATAGACGCAATAAAAAATGATAAAGGGGATATCATCATTGATCCCACAGAAATACAAACAACCATCAGAGAATACTATAAACACCTCTATGCAAATAAACTAGAAAATCCAGAAGAAATGGATAAATTCCTGGACACATACACCCTCCCAAGACTAAACCAGGAAGAAGTTGAATCTCTGAGTAGACCAATAACAGGCTCTGAAATTGTGGCAATAATCAATAGCTTACCAACCAAAAAAAGCCCAGGACCACATGGATTCACAGCCGAATTCTACCAGAGGTGAAAGGACGAGCTGGTACCATTCCTTCTGAAACTATTCCAATCAATAGAAAAAGAGGGAATCCTCCCTCACTCATTTTATGAGGCCAGCATCATCCTGATACCAAAGCCTGGCAGAGACACAGCAAAAAAAGAGAATTTTAGACCAATATCCCTGATGAACATCAATGCAAAAATCCTGAATAAAATACTGGCAAACCAAATACAGCAGCACATCAAAAATCTTGTCCACCATGATCAAGTGGGCTTCATCCCTTGGATGCAAGGCTGGTTCAACATACACAAATCAATACACATAATCCAGCATATAAACAGAACCAAAGACAAAAACCACATGACTATCTCAATAGATGCAGAAAAGGCCTTTGACAAAATTCAACAACCCTTCATGCTAAAAACTCTCAATACATTAGGTATCGATGGGATGTATCTCAAAATAATGAGAGCTATTTATGACAAACCCACAGCCAATATCATACTGAATGGGCAAAAACTGGAAGCATTCCCTTTGGAAACTGACACAAGACAGGGATGCCCTCCTTCACTACTCCTATTCAACATAGTGTTGGAAGTTCTGGCCAGGGCAATTAAGCAGGAGAAAGAAATAAAGGGTATTCAATTAGGAAAAGAGGAAGTCAAATTGTCCCTGTTTGCAGATGACATGATTGTATATTTAGAAATCCCCATCGTCTCAGTCCAAAATCTCCTTCAGCTGATAAGCAACTTCAGCAAAGTCTCAGGATACAAAATCAATGTGCAAAAATCACAAGCATTCTTATAAACCAAAAACAGACAAACAGACAGCCAAATCATGAGTGAACTCCCATTCACAATTGCTTCAAAGAGAATAAAATACCTAGGAATTCAACTTACAAGGGATGTGACGGACTTCTTCAAGGAGAACGACAAACCACTGCTCAATGAAATAAAAAAGGACACAAACAAATGGAAAAACATTCCATGCTCATGGATAAGAAGAATCAATATCATGAAAATGGCCATACTGCCCAAGGTAATTTATAGATTCAATGCCATCCCCATCAAGCTACCAATAACTTTCTTCACAGAATTGGAAAAAACTACTGTCAACTTCATATGGAACCAAAAAAGAGCCCACATTGCCAAGACAATCCTAAGCCAAAAGAACAAAGCTGGAGGCATCATGCTACCTGACTTCAAACTATACTACAAGGCTACAGTAACCAAAACAGCATGGTACTGCTACCAAAACAGAGATATAGACCAATGGAACAGAACAGAGCCCTCAGAAATAATACCACACATCTACAACCATGTGATCTTTGACAAACCTGACAAAAACAAGAAATGGGGAAAGGATTCCCTATTTAATAAATGATGCTGGGAAAACCGGTTAGCCATATGTAGAAAGCTGAAACTGGATCCTTTCCTTACACCTTATACAGAAATTAATTCAAGATGGATTAAAGCCCTAAATCTTAGACCTAAAACCATAAAAACCCTAGAAGAAAACCTAGGCAATACCATTCAGGACATAGAGGACATAGGCATGGCCAAGGACTTCGTGACTAAAACACCAATAGCAATGGCAACAAAAGCCAAAATTGACAAACGGGATCTAGTTAAACTAAAGAGCTTCTGCACAGCAAAAGAAACTACCATCAGAGTGAACAGGCAACTTACAGAATGGGAGAAAATTTTTGCAATCTACTCATCTGACAAAGGGCTAATATCCAGAATCTACAAAGAACTCAAACAAACTTATAAGAAAAAAACAAACCCCATCAACAAGTGGGTGAAGGATATGAACAGACACTTCTCAAAAGAAGACATTTATGCAGCCAACAGACACACGAAAAAATGCTCATCATCACTGGCCATCAGAGAAATGCAAATCAAAACCACAATGAGATACCATCTCACACCAGTTAGAATGGTGATCATTAAAAAGTCGGGAAACAATAGGTGCTGGAGAGGATGTGGAGAAATGGGAACACTTTTCCACTGTTGGTGGGACTGTAAACTATTTCAACCATTGTGGAAGTCAATGTGGTGATTCCTCAGGGATCTAGAACTAGAAATACCATTTGACCCAGCCATCCCATTACTGGGTATATACCCAAAGGATTATAAATCATGCTGCTATAAAGACACATGCACACATATGTTTATTGTGGCACTATTCACAATAGCAAAGACTTGGAACCAACCCAAATGTCCATCAATGATAGACTGGATTAAGAAAATGTGGCACATATACACCATGGAATACTATGCAGCCATAAAAAAGGATGAGTTCATGTCCTTTGTAGGGACACGGATGAAGCTAGAAACCATCATTCTCAGCAAACTATCACAAGGACAAAAAACCAAACACCACATGTTCTTGCTCATAGGTGGGAATTGAAGAATGAGAACACTTGGACACAGGAAGGAGAACATCACACACCAGGGCCTGTTGTGGGGTGTGGGGAGAGGGAAGGGATAGCATTAGGAGATATACCTAATGTAAATGATGAGTTAATGGGTGCAGCACACCAACATGGCACATGTATACATATGTAAGAAACCAGCACGCTGTGCACATGTACCCTTGAACTTAAAGTATAATAATAAAAAAAAGATATAACTGGAACAACAAAAATAAAATAAAATAAAATAAAATAAATAAATTACTTTTTTCTAAAAACATGTGGGTTTGTCTAAACAAACAAACCAAAAACCTCTTCCTTTGTCAAGAAAAGGAAAAACATTTATAACTATGTTCCCTGGAATGTAAAGAGCCTACCATCCACATTCACAGAAACTTATCTTATTAAATATTGATTCAGGGCTTTCACAATTTTTAACACAAAAATTATGATAATCAACTGTAAAAGACAAATATTGAATAGATCACTTTTTTAACTTTTAGTTTTTAAATAATTGTAGATTCACAGGAAATTCAAAAAAAAAAAAACCATGTACAGGGAGGTGCCTTTTACCCTTCATCCAGTTTCTCCCAATGATAACATTTTTGCATAACTAATGTACAATATCAAAACCAAGAAAATTACATCGGTACAATCCACAGAGTTTATCAGATTTCACTAGTTTTGTAAGTACGTGTGTGTGTGTGTGTGTGTGTGCGTGTGTGTATGTGTGTGATCTGCTGTAGATCTGTGTAACCATCACCCTGAAGATACAGAACTGATTTATCACTGCAAGGCTCCCATAACCACTACCTCTTTATGGCAACACCCACTCAACTCCAACCTCCCATCCCTAACACCTGGCAACTACTAATTTGTGTTCCATCGATCTCTACAATTTTATTTCAAGAACACAATATAAACAGAATCTGATAGTATGTAACTTTTTTTCTTTTTTTAGATAGAGTCTTGGACTGTCACCTGGGCTGGAGTGCAATGGCGTGATCTCGGCTCACTGCAACCTCCGACTCCTGGGTTCAAGTGATTCTCCTGCCTCAGCCTCCCGAGTAGCTGGGATTAAGGCGCTCTCCACCACGCCCAGCTAATTTTTTGTAGTTTTAGTAGAGATAGGGTTTCACTATTTTGGCCAGGCTGGTCTCGAACTCCTGACCTTGTGATCTGCCCACCTCGGCCTCCTAAAGTGCTGGGTTTACAGGCATGAGCCACCATGCCTGGCCAATAGTATGTAACATTTTAAGATTGGCTTTTCTCGTTCGGCCTAATTACCTTAAGATACATCCAAATTGTTGCTTGTATCAATAGTTCATTCCTTCATATTGCTAAGTAGTATTGAATGGTATGGATGGAACACAGTTTGTTTAACCATTCACCCGTTGAAGGACATTTGAGTTGCTTCCAGTTTTTGATATTACGAATAAGC
The DNA here is from genome assembly GCF_000001405.40 of Homo sapiens. Classification (NCBI taxonomy): domain Eukaryota; kingdom Metazoa; phylum Chordata; class Mammalia; order Primates; family Hominidae; genus Homo; species Homo sapiens. The sequence goes on along the minus strand of NC_000004.12, from coordinate 103,236,845 downwards.
TGCTAAGAATATTCATGAACAGGATTTTGCATGAACATAAGTTCTCATTTCCCTATGATAAATGCCCAATAATGCATATTTACTGCATATTTAGTTTTCTTTTAAAGAGACTGCCAAGCTGTTTTCCAGAATGGCTGTGCCATTTTACATTCCCACCAGCATTGTATAATTGATCCAGTTTCTCTGCCATTCTGATAGTAGTGATATGTTTTCTATAGTGATGCTTTCATGGCAGGTAGGTTTTTAAAAGATTCTTCTCATTACGTCTGATAGGTTATCCATTAACAGTGATGGAATATGCTTCTTAAATTTTTTTTTACATCAACAGATAAAATTGTATGTATTTACCATTGTATAATATGATGTTATGAAGTATATATACACTGTGAAATGACTAAATCTAGCTAATAAGCATATGCATTACCTCACATACAATACTCTTAACCTAAATAACAGAAAATGTTTTGTCACTACTGATATTCTTTGCACTTTGAATGAGAAAGCATGTATATTCAAAATATTGTTCTGGTTTTTAAATGAGAAAATGCATATTAGGCATGTTTCATGTACATTTAAATGCTAAATTAGTGTAGGCTATTAGTAATAAACTAGTAACAGTAATAATAGTGGTAATAATTTTAGTAGGAAGAGTGGTAGTAGCGGTACAGCACTGCTAAACCCTCCATGGTACAGAGTTTCTGTAGGATAAAAATAAGTAATTAATTCTATGTACCTGAAAAATAAACGCATATTTATTTTGCAGGATAAATTTCTATAATAAACCAAGTTTGTTAACACTTGTTAAGACCAAGCTTATTAATCAAGTTGTTTAACACTTGCATAACCTTATTAATATTTTTTATTTGAATGTGCATTTGTCAATTTCTCCCTAAAATTCTATCCATGTTTACTTTCCATATTTCAAAGCTTTATTGCTAGCACATACAAATTCATGATTATTATGTTACTTTTGTACTGTTTCTTTTAGGACAACAGATATCTGGTGCATCTCTTTTCATCACTCTATTGTCAATATTCCTGTGTTATTTTGTTTTAAATCAGTCTCTTGTAAAAGCAACATTAATGTGTTTTTTCTTTGTGTCCAAAGTGATAATCTCTTTTTTATGAGTGACTTTTTAGAGAAATTTTCTATGTATCAGGGCTCATTTCTACTCTGATTTGGTATTTTCTATCTCATACTTTGTCCATCCTTATTCCTGCTTTCTGTTGAATTGATAACATTTTCTATACTTCTTCCCGCAAGCACACCCACACGCATACATGCACATGCACACATACACATGTACATTGTTTTTCTCTTCATGTTTGAGGGTTATAAATTTCCTCTACTAGTTGGAACCTATAGTATAATAATTTGTAAGATCATATTGGAAGAAATGACAGACCAAATATCATTTGGGTAGATCAAACAGGGTTTACTGCTCTAAAGGATAGGGAAGAAAGCCATCAAAAATAGAATTTACAGAAAAAATATTAGTAACATTCTCTAGAAGAGATAGCAGTTCAAACTTTAAGAGCTTCACCTGTATGGATAATAATGTCTACATAATTAAGGGACATATCAGAAATTCAGTCAGCATAAATGTCCTTCTCCTTGTCCATATGCTCATATGCCAGTCAGGATCTGTGGATGCGGGTTGACAAGGTACAGGTGGATGACAATCTGGAGTCATGAACTGTGTAATATGGCAGGGTATAGAATAGCACAGCACACTCAGACACAACCACAGCCCGGACTTGTCACCTTCAACCTCACCAATGAAAGCCTCATCCAAGTATATTTCTGAATTCAGGAAGTGGAATTTACGCACAGATATATAGGTATCATGGTAAAGGAGATTCTAGCTAATCTATAGAACCTAACTGGTGCATAGTTAACCGTAAGTTTTTCTAACAAAATCTGAGGGCGTTATTGGAGACATTTTGTTTCCTCCAAAGCAAACAAAATCTTTAACATGCTTCAACTACACTTTGAATATTACTACTACCCTGTATTCCTTATTGTTTTTTGCTAGGGTTTTGTTATCTCTTACAAACAAACACATTCTAAAAGCTGAGTTATTTTTATAATCTTTTGTTTTAACTTTTATTTTAGGTTCTGGGGTACATATGCAGATTTGTCACATAGGTAAACTGTGTCACAGGGGTTTGTTGTACAGATTATTCCATCACCCAGTTACTAAGCCTTGGACCCAATATATTATTTTTTTCTGATCCTCTCCTGTCTCCTACCCTCCACCCTTAAGTAGAACCTGCTGTCAGTTGCTCCCCTCTTTGTGTCCATGTGTTCCTATCATTTAGCACCCACTTATAAGAAAGAACATGCAGTATTTGGTTTTCTGTTCCTGTGTTAGTTTGCTATGGATGATGGCCTCTAGCTCCATTCATGTTCCTGCAAAGAATATGATCTCATTCTTTTTCAATGGCTGTATCATATTCCATGGTGTATATGTACCATATTTTCTTTATCCAGTATACCACTGATGGTTATTTAGATTGATTTCATGTCTTTGCTACTGTGGATAGTGCTGCAATGAACATTCACATGCATGTGTCTTTATGGTAGAATGCTTTATATTCCTCTGGGTATATACCCAGTGTATTAGTCAGTTTTCATGCTGCTGATAAAGACATACCTGAGACAGGGCAATTTAGAAAAGAAAGAGGTGTAATAGACTTACAGTTCCATGTGGCTGGCAACACCTCACAATAATGGTGGAAGGCAGAAGGCATGTCTCACATGGTGGCGGACAAGAGGAGAGAGAGCTTGTGTGGGGCAACTCCCCTTTTCACAACCATCAGATCTCATGAGACTTATTTGCTATCATGAGAACAGCATGGGAAAGGCCTGCCCCTATGATTCAGTTACTTCCTACCAGGTCCCTCTCACAACATGTGGAAATTCAAGACTAGATTTGGGTGGGGACACAGCCAAACCATATCATTTCACCCCTGGCCCCCTCCCAAATCTCATGTCTTCACATTTCAAAACCAGTCATGCCTTCCCAACAGTCACCCAAAGTCTTAACTCATTTCAGAATTCACTCAAAAGTCCACAGTCCAAAGTCTCATCTGAAACAAGGAAAGTCCCTTCCACCTATGAGCCTGTAAAATCAAAAACAAGTTAGTTACTTCCTAGATACAGTGGGGGGTACAGGAATTGTGTAAATACAGCTATTCCAAATGGGAAAAATTGGCCAAAACAACAGGGCTACAGGCCCCATGTAAGTCCAAAATCCAGCAGGGCCGTCAAATCTTAAAGCTCCAAAATGATCTCTTTTGACTTCATGTCTCTCATCCTGGGTCATGCTGATGCAAGAGATGGGTTCCCATGGTCTTGGGCAGCTCCACCCCTGTGGCTTTGCAGGGTACAGCCTCCCTCCCAGTTGCTTTCACAGGCTGGCATTGAGTGTCTGTAGCTTTTCCAGGTGCGCAGTGCAAGCTGTCAGTAGATCTACCATTCTAAGTTCTGGAGAATGGTAGCCCTCTTCTCACACCTCCACTAGGCACTGCCCCATTAGGGACACTGTATGAGGGCTCTGACATTTCCCTTCCAAATCACCTTCACAGAAGTTTTCCATGAGGGCCCTTCCCCTGCAGCAAACTTCTGCCTGGGCATCCAGGCATTTCCATACATCTTCTGAAATCTAGGAGGAGGTTCCCAAACCTCAATTCTTGACATCTGCACCCTCACAGTCTCAACACTACATGGAAGCTGCCAAAGCTTGGGCCTTACATCCTCTGAAGCCATGGACTGAGCTCTATGTTGGCCCCTTTCAGCCATGGCTGGAGCAGCTGGGACACAGGGCACCAAGTCCCTAGACTGCACACAGCATGTGGACCCTGGGCCCAGCCCATGAAACCACTTTTTCCTCCTAGGTCTCCAGGCTGTGATGGGAGTACTGCTGTGATGACTTCTGACATGCCCTGGAGACGTTTTTCCCATTGTCTTGGGGATTAACATTCAACTTCTCATTGCTTATGCAAATTCCTGCAACCGGCTTGAATTTCTCCTCAGAAAATGGGATTTTTCTTTTCTATCACATTGTCAGACTGCAAATGTTCTGAACTTTATGCTCTGTTTCCATTTTAAAACTGAATACCTTTAACAGCCCCAAGTCACCTCTTGAATGCTTTGCTGCTTAGAAATTACTTCGCCAGATACCCTAAATCATGTCTCTCAAGTTGAAAGTTCAAATCTTTAGGACAGGGGAAAAATGCCACCAGCTCTTTGCTAAAACATAACAAGAGTCACTTTTGCTCCAATTCTCAACATGTTCCTCATCTCCATCTGAGACCACCTCAGCCTGGATTTTATTGTCCATATCATTATCAGCATTTTGGTCAGAGCCATTCAACAAGTCTCTAAGGAGTTTCAAACTTTCCCACATTTTCTTGTCTTCTTCTGAGCCCTCCAAACCGTTCTAACCTCTTCCTATAACAAATTGCTCCCAGCAACTTTCTGGGTATCTTTCCAGCAGTGCCCCACTCTACTGGTACCAATTTACTCTATTAGTCTGCTTTCCCACTGCTGATAAAGACATACCAGAAACTGGGCAATTTACAAAAGAAAGAGGTTTAATGGACTTACAGTTCCATGTGCCTGGGGAGGCTCATAATCATGGTAGAAGGTGGAAGGCATGTCTTACATGGTGGCAGACAAGAGAAGAGGGAGCTTGTGTGGGGAAACTTCCCTTTTTAAAACCATTGGATCTTATGAGACATATTTGCTATCATGAGAACAGCACAGGAAATGCCTGCCCCCATGATTCAATTACCTCCTACTGGGTCCCTCTCACAACACATGGAAATTCAAGATGAGATCTGGGTGAAGAAACAGCCAAACCATATCACCCAGTAATGGGATTGCTGGGTCAAATGGTAGTTCTGCTTTTAGCTCCTTGAAGACTCACCATACTGCTTTCCACAATGATTCGAGTAATTTGCACTCCCACCAACAGTGTATAAGTGTTTCCTTTTCTCCTCAAGCTTGCCAACATCTGTTATTTTTTGACTTTTTAATAATAGCCATTCTGACTGGTATGAGCTGGTACCTCACTGTGGTTTTGATTTGCATTTCTCTAATAATCAGTGATATTGAGATTTATTTCATATGACTCTTGGCCACATGTATGTCTTCTTTTGGAAAGTGTCTGTTCATGTCCTTTGCCCACTTTTTTATGGAGTGTTTTCCTTGTAAATTTGTTTAAGTTCCTTATAGATGTTGGATATTAGACCTTTGTCAGATGGATAGTTTGCGAAAATTTTTTTCCATTCTGTAGGTTGTCTGTTTACTCGGTTGATAGTTTCCTTTGTTGTGCTGAGCTCTTAAGTTTACTTAGATCTCATTTGTCAATTTTTGCTTTTGTTTCTAGCAGGACAAGCTGCAGACAAAACCCCTCAGATACCAAGTTAAAGAAAGAAGGGCTTTATGTGGCTCAGGAGCTTCAGCAAGACTCACATCTCCAAAAACCAAGCTCTCTGAGTGAACAATTCCTGTCCCTTTTAAGGGCTTACAACTCTAAGGAAGTCCACATGAGAGGGTTGTGGTCGATTGAGCAAGCAGGGGGTATGTGACTGGGGGCTGCATGCACCAGTAATCAGAATGGAACAGAACAGGACAGGGATTTTTCACAATGCTTTTCCATACAATGTCTGGAATCTATAGATAACATAACTGGTTAGGTCAGGGGTCGATCTTTAAACAGGCCCAGAGTGTGGCGCCAGGCTGTCTGCCTGTGGATTTCATTTCTGCCTTTTAGTTTTGACTTATTCTTTCTTTGGAGGCAGAAATTGGGTATAAGACAATATGAGGGGTGGTCTCCTCCCTTATTCCCCTGCTTTGAGAATTTCACTTATTAGTGTGAGTTCTCACTACCCATGTCTTCTTGCAAGACACATCAACAGTGATTAATATAGTATACCTGTGCTGAAGGATTTTGGTGAACTAAGGTAGCGATGAAGTTTTTTATCATTTGAAAAAGTACAGGTAGCAAACAAGGGAGCAGTAAGCAGGTTTCTATTACCATTATAACTCCTATTATAAGAGTTTTAAATCCTCCTAGCACTGGGAACCATTTTCCAAACATAGCCCCAGGATCAAATCCATGCCACATTTGCACGGGCACATGTGCCAGTTTTGTCATATCTCTAACTATGTCTTCAACTACTTGCCCTAGACCACCTATGTGTAGACAGCAATTAGTAAGGTTAAATTTCCCACAGACCCCTCCTTCAGCTGCTAGCAAGTAGTCAAGAGCCAATCTATTTTGATAGATAGCATTTCTCATCTGAGTTTCTTGCCGGGCCAGAATAGTCAAGGCTCTGCTATTCTTATTAGTGATTATTTCTAAGACAGCTTGTAACCGTATGATTTGGTTGAGCATGTAAATGGGATCCGGTATCCCCATAAGCCATCTTGTGCCTAAGTAGCAGGCCCATAATATTGTATGATTCTCTTAGGGGGCCATTCATCATCTTTCCAATTTCCTATAGCTATGCTTCTTTTTTCGCAGGAAGCATAGACAGGGAAGCCCAGGAGTTTGCCTGTCTTTATGGGCAGTAGGAAGAAAGATGGTTTAATAGTGCCAATAACACAACTACCTGCCCACTGGTTGGGTAATTTGGCATAAGCTCTATGTCCACATATCCTGTATAATCCAGTGGGGGCTGTCCAGTACTGGTGGGACTCCAGGTGGGTCCACACGGTTTGCAACTTTGGGAATTTACCAAATGAATTTTTCTTAATGTGCTTTGAACTCCACTCGGTGGCTGTTTTTGTAATACTATTATACAATTTTTGCCCAAGGCAGCTGAGTCTTCCCACAGGAAGGGTGAAGTCCTTCCCTAGTCTTGCTATACAGTATTGTCTAATGATTGAGACTTTTAGGACCTAGAAGTTATCAGGGTAATTCTTTTGAGTCAGGAATTCAGCAGAAACTGGGTCTGTAGGTACTAATTCTTGGGCTTCCCATGGCCATTGATCTCCTATACAGTTCCTCCACATATATAACATGAAGTGACATTGAGAGACTAGACTACATGCTTGGCTAATTGCAAAAACAAATTTCTTGTTTTTCCTGGAATTTTTGGTACTGGCACATTCAGTTTATCATACAAGGTTTGAAATATTGGCTCAGGAGAGCGTTTATAAACTTCTCCTTAAACCACAATATTTACTAGAGGATCTAGTCCAGCCCCATTGATTCCTAGGGTTACACACTCCCTTCTTTTCCAGCGAGGATTAAGGGGGTTGGTTATTACTAGTTCTAAGGGGTTACACTGACAACCGGTACAGGAACGGCCACTTTTCCTTTTCTGAAAGTGGATGGGATACTTTTCATTTTTTATCCAAGTAGCCTAAATGACACAAGACCAGTATCCACATTCATTTCCACACAGTCCTAATTCATGACAAATGTACTGATTTTCTGCCATATAGCCTCTTTTCTGATTAAGAGAACCACATCCTATTGCTAACTTATTACTATTAATGATAGCACAGGCATCAAATTTCAAGGTGACTTGTCTGGGCACCCCTTTTTCTTCTGTTTTGGCTAACTCACATCATTTATGAGCCCCCATCAGTTCTCAGTCCTTAATCTTACTTCAAAAAACCAAAAAACTGTGGTCATGGGAGGCTCAGATGGGTCATAACATGCATCGGGTTGGTCATTTCCTGGGCTACATACCTTGTATAGAACAGCATTATACAAACAAGTTATTTTTAGAGTCCTGGTACACTTATAATAACCATAAAATAATAGGACTGTAGCAACTTTTTGTCCTACCTCAGTGACTTGATGTATACACTGGGAACAGTCCTCAGTCTGAGGAAGGTCAGTTGAAGTCCTAACTCTGTAAGTCCAAATTTTAAGGAAAATGAGTCCCACAATGAGTTTTCTCATGCTTCGGCCATGTGTGGGCCAGTCAGCTTCAGGGTGTGAATGGAGCAGGGCTTTGTCGTTTCCTTCAGAGTCACTTTGCAGGGGTTGGCAAAGCTGTTCCTGTCCATGTACAGCTCACAGTCTACTGATGTTCTAGGATGGTCTTGGAGGTTGGGCCCACTAGAATAAACTGAGTCTAATACCTCTACACAGTCATGTTCAACTGAGCTCTCTGATACTGGGAACAAGGTGGCAGGGTTTAGGGTGTTGCCAACTTTGATGGTTATGTGGGGATTTTCACATAGCTAGCTTTGGTACTTGGTTAATCTAGCATTTGTTAGCCAATGATGTCCTTTGGTATTCATCAAAGTTACCACAGCATGGGGGGCCTTTATATTCAGGTTTTGCCCAAGGGTTAGTTTATCTGCTGCTTGTGCTAACAGGGCCATTGCTACCAGGGCCCTTAGATATGAGGGCCAGCCTTTGGAAACCCCATCTAGTTGTTTTAAGAGATAGGCCACTGGCCTTGGCCAGGGCCCCACAGTCTGGGTTAAAACTCCAACTGCCATTTTTTCTCTTTCTGATGCATAGAATGTAAAGGCTTTTGTCAGGTCAGGTAGCCCCAGGGCTGAGGCCAACATGAGTTTTTCTTTTAACTCATGAAAAGCTCGTTGCTGTTGGTTGTAACAGATGTAGTTTATCCAATCTACATTTTTATTAACTGTTACCCACCAAAATGTTGACTTAAAATCCTGCAGCTTTTTTATTTCAGCTTTAAATTGATCTGGTATTCCCTGTGAGACTCCAATTGCATCTAAATAGACGTGAGAGTCGAAAGACCCATAAAGGAGTTCTCTCACTTTACAATGTCTTATTTTTCCTCCCTCCGGTTGATGAAATGCCAGGGTGAAAGGGATAGCCAATTGAACTAAAGTACAAGTGCCACTCCAGTTATTCAGCAGAGTGCCCAGTAAAGGTCCACCACAATACCACCACACACCTGCTCGGGGATGAACAAGGACTGACTGATTGATAAGCTCTTGAAAATTCTTAAGGTTTCTGCATCCCTTCAGGTCTCCAAGGAACGCTAAATTTCCTCCCTGTTGTGAGAGACACAAAGTGACCTTAGTGTTGGGAGACGGAGGCTGGATGGGCCTCAGGGGCTGACCCACAGGGTGCCGGACTTTGGGATGTAGCAGAAAGAGCTTGGCATGACTTATTACTCCAGGCCGTAGAATCCTAGAAAAGAGCTACCATGCAGCCCACGCCTGGTCGACTGGAGTACCACCTTAGTGGAAAGGGGACAATCTGGGCCTCTGGCCTGCCATGTGCACAAGCATAACAATTGCTTTTGTTTAACATGTGGATGGAATAGTTGATCCATTTCAACCAGGCATTTGGACCTTGGTATCCTGTCTTAATTGCCAAAGTTTGTTTTAAGTCTTTAACTTCTATGATCCTCTAGTAAAATGAATGTATAATTTTAGGAAATTACAAAAATCTGTTGGGGCAGACCATCCTTGCTCTTTAGTGGTCCACAGAACGTTAGACCAACTACAGCATAAAAGCTCCACACTGGGGGGCTAGACTCCTGGTTGACACTGGAGTCTTTATCGAAATTTCCCCAGATTAAATGGTCCTAATTTACTAATGCCCAGTCTGAGGAGAGTCAGGAGGGACAGAGGTACTTTTCTGAAGTAGAGAGCTGTCTTTGACTTGGCAAGTCCCCACAGGGTATAACAAGGCAAGCATTAAATGCAACAGTTTGAGGTGAAATTGACTTGGTTATGTTAATAACTAGATGGTCAGCAACAGAACAAGGAAAAAAGAAAGAGTAATAGAATAGATGAAAGGGTTAAATTTTTCTTAGCTTTCGTTTGGTAGGGTTTTCCCCTGGGGCTATGGCCCACCACTCTGGAGGGGGTGGCGCTTTCTTGACTCGGGTGTGATGAGTCCATCCTTTTTTCACTGTACGAACAGCATTCTCGGTGGTTAGCAGCACAAGGTAGGGTCCTTCCTAGGCTGGCTCGAGTTTCCCTTCTTTTCAACTTTTGATGAGAATGTGATCTTCAGGCTGGTGCTGGTTTACTGGAAATTCTAGGGGTGGTACATGTGTTTAAAGACTTTTAGTTTTGAGGGAAAGGAAAGTGGAAGATAAACCAAGTATATAATTTTTAAGAAATTGACCTTTTGTTTTAAATGTGGGGACATCAGCAGTGGACTTTATTTTATAGTCCTTAGTGCCTTTCTACTGAGAAATTTCATTCAGCACCTATTTTTATTAGTTTTTAGATCAAAGAAGCCAAACACCATTTTATATTTGACAATGCTTCCTGTATAATTTTATACCAGATAAGCTAAATTTCACCTTTATATTAGTGTGTTACTAATGTTAAACTTAGTTTTAATAAAACGTTGTAGATATATTTATTTAATTTTTAATGTCAGACCATAAGGTAAGATTTTTATAGACTCTTTTTAACCTTTTATAATCTTTGTTAAAGAGCAGGTTAGTGCTTTAAGAAAAACCCTTTGTGTTTTTCCTTTAATGTCCAGTTCAAAGAAAAACTGGATGATACGCCTTTAACTTTAGCTAATATGTTTACACACAGAATTTTCTTTACAATTGACATTTTAAAACTTGCTTAAACCTTCAAAACAAAAATGTTTTTGATATTTTAGTGTATGTAAAAATTTGCTTTCTCATGCCTCCTTATAATCCTTTTACCAAAGGTATATTTTACTTTCCTTATACACCTTGCACATAAACTGTTTCTTCAATAGTACTCAGGAGGCCTTATTACTTTTAAATTATGCATTTCTGGCATAAATTCTTTTTTATAACATTTTTTCATGATTTTCACAGACAATTCTTTGACATGCCTCAATTTTCTGACTTATTACAAACATTTTTTTCTTTAAACAACCAGTTAAGTTATTTCAGGACAATAATTTACCATATAACATTCTTTTTACATAAATTCTGCCCTCCCCCCTTTATTTCACTTTTTTTTCTGGAAGATGATAACCATTCTTTTCCAAAGTGAACTTCCTTTATGTCTGTGGACTAGACTGTCTAAGGCCACAAGATTAGAAGTTACTATAATACATGTTACACTGTTAACTTTTAGCAAACTTTACTTTTGTTGAAAACCTTGTAAGTTTGGGATTTCAATTATCCTTTGCTATTAATAAGATCTTGTTTAGTCCAAATTAACTTAGAACCGGTATAGATGGCTTTTTTTTTTTTTTCTCCCTTCAATTACCCAGAAGGAAACATCTATCCTCCTTTCCTGAAGGGAGTTCCTCCTAGGTCTGGTCAGACCTTTGTATGGTAATTAAGATTTAGATCCCCTGTTAGGAAACCTTCTGAGTTAAGGGAATTTTCAGTGGTTAATGTTAAATCACCTTTTTTTTTTTTTTTTTTTTTTTTTACTTAGGATACTTCTGACCTGGTGAGATGTGCTCACAATGAGGTTTCCTCTAAAAGTTATTTTTCTACTTTCTTCTGTTAGCAAAGCAGTTGCCGCTACAGATTGAATGCATCTGGGCCATCCACAGGTTACTGGGTTAAGGATTTTTGATAGGGAGGCTACAGGTTGTCAGTGGCCTCAGTGCTTTCGGGCTATGCCCTTGTTTACACTTACAACAAGGTGGTATTGTCGTGTTGTAGTGTCATGGAGAAGACCTTCAATTATAGGTTTTAAATTTACCCTGGCTTTTAAAGGAATAGGGTACACTGTTTTATTTTTTCTTAACTACTTGTATATTACTCTCTTTCTCTGTTTCTTTCTGTCTTTGACTTTGTTTCTTTGACTTCCCTTTTGCCTCTGTCTCTTCCTCTCTCTCTCTGCCTGTCTCTTTCTCTCTCTCTCTCCTTGACTCCCTCTTTGTCTCTCTGTCTCTTCCTCTGTCTTTTCCTCTCTCTTTTTGCCTCTTTCTCTCTCTGTCTCTTTCCTCTCTCTCTCTCTCTCTCTGTCTCTCTCTGCTGGTCTTTCCTTTCCTCTGCCAGCAACTTATGCTGCTATTCTCTCAACCACTGTGGTGGGGGGTGTCTAAAACCAGCTGTAACCAAATCTCTATGTACAGGAACTGGTCTGGGTGCCCTGGCTTATGGGTTACCTTGTGCCATACCTTTGAAACAAGGGACCTGTCCAGGCTTCATTCCGATGGCCAACGCACCTCTAATCTTACACAAAGTTTTAAGTTTTCCTGGTGTCACAGTACTCCATAGTCTCCCTTAAATCCTTTCTTGAAATTTTTCAACATAGTTCCTGGTGGGGCGGGCTTACTTTGTGCCTGACCCATGCTTCCTTGAGACAAAACACCATGCTCAAACCACACGTACACCACAAAACAAAGAACGGGTAAAAAGGCACACACACACACTTTTACAGTTTACACCAAACCAGAATCAAAACCAAAATCAGAGTACCAAGAAATCCAAGCCAGGTCAAAACCAAAACCAAAGTATCAAGCAATCCAAGTCAAGTTAAAAACCAAAGTGCCAGTACAGGCATGTCGTGGGTGATCAGGCCACGCTTCCACTCAAATGGAGTGGGCTAGTTCCAAAGACTGGTCTTACCAAGTTTCAGATATCTGGACCCCAAGTACCAGTTCCTTCCCAGTGTTCAGCCACTGTGTTGATCCTCCACAGAGGCCTGCCATGCACCACTCTGACAAGGCATTCTACCAGGTCAAATGCCTACCCAGGAGTGCTCTCAGGATCCATGTTGCTCAAGCAGGCCAGAGTCCCCTGCAGGGATGCTCCACAGGGCAGGCCTAAGCTGCCTAAGGGGCTGCCTCAACCATCCATCCATTAATTACCTCACTTCCTGGTCAGGGAACCAAGAAATGTAGCAGGACAAGCCACAGACAAAACCCCTCAGACACCGAGTTAAAGAAGGAAGGGCTGTATTCAGCCGGGAGCTTTGGCAAGACTCACATCTCCAAAAACCAAGCACTCCAAGTGAGAAATTCCTGTTCCTTTTAAGGGCTTACAACTCTAAGGGGGTCCATGTGAGAGGGTTGTGATCAGTTGAGCAAGCAGGGGGTACGTGACTGGGGGCTGCATGCACAAGTAATCAGATCAGAACAGAACACGACAGGGATTTTCACAGTGCTTTTCCATACAATGTCTGGAATCTATAGATAACATAACCAGTTAGGTCAGGGGTTGATCTTTAACCAGGCCCAGGGTGGGGCGCTGGGCTGTCTGCCTGTGGATGTCATTTCTGCCTTTTAGTTTTTACTTCTTTCTTTGGAGGCAGAAATTGGGCATAAGACAATATGTGGGGTGGTCTCCTCCCTTATGTTGAGATTGCTTTTGGCATCTTTATCATGAAATATTTGCCAGTTCCTGTGTCCAGAATCGTATTGTCCAGGTTGTCTTCCAAGGTTTCTATATTTCTGGGTTTTACATTTAGGCCTTTGATCCATCTTGAGTTAATTTTTGTATATGGTGTAAGGAAGGGGTCCAGTTTCAATCTTCTGCATGTGGCTAGCCAGTTATCCCAGCACCATTTATTGAACAGAGATTCCTTTCCACACTGCTTGTTTCTGCTGACTTTGTCAAAGATCAGATGGTTGTAGGTGTTTGACCTTATTTTTGGATTCTCTATTCTGTTCTATAGCTCTATGTGTATGTTTTTGTACCAGTACCATGCTGTTTTGATTACTCTAGCCCTGTAGTATAGTTTGAAATCTGGTAGCATGAAGCATTCAGTTTTGCTCTTTTTGCTTAGGATTGTCTTGGCTATTTGGGCTCCTTTTTGGTTCCATATGAATTTTAAAATAATTTTTTCTAGTTCTATGAAGAATGTGTTTAAAAGTTTGGTACAATTAACATTGAATCTGTAAATTGGGTGGTATGGTCATTTTAATTATACTGATTCTTCTGATTTATGAACATGGAATGTTTTTTCATTTGTTTGTGTCATCTCTGATTTCTTTCAGAATTGTTTTGTACTTCTCATTGCAGACATCTTTCACCTTTCGGGATAGCTGTATTCCCAGGTTATTTATTCCTTTTGTGGCTATTGTGAATGGGATTGTGTTCCTGACTTGGCTCTTCACTTGGCTGCTGCTGATGTATAGGACTGTTAGTGATTTTGGTACATTGATTTTGTATCCTGAAACTTTGCTGAAGTTGTTTATTATCTTAATAAGCTTTTGGGCCAAGACTATTGGGTTTTCTAGGTATAAAATCATGTAGTCTGCAAACAATGGTAATTTGACTTCCTCTCTTCCTATATGGATGTCCTTTATTTCTTTCTCTTGCTGATTGTTCTGGCCAGGACTTCCAATACTATGTTAAATAGGAAAAGTAAGAGAGCATCCTTGTCTAGTGCAGGTTTTCAAAGGGAATGCTTCCAGCTTTTGCTCATTCACTATGATTTTGGCTGTGGGTTTGTCATAAATGGCTTTTATTATGTTGAGGTCTGTTCCTCCACTGCCTAATTTATTGAGGGTTTTTAACATGAAGAGATATTGAATTTTATAGAAAGCCTTTTCTGCATCTATTGAGATAATCATTTGATTTTTGTCTTTAGTTCTGTTTATGTGATGAACCACGTTTGGTGATTTGCATATGTTGAACCAACATTGCATCCCAGGGATAGAGCCTACTTGGACATGGTGAATTAGCTTTTTGATGTGCTTCTGCATTTGATTTGCCAGTATTTTTTTGACAAACAATATTTGTCAAGGATATTGGTCTGAAGTTTTATTTTTTGTTGTGTCTTTGACAGGTTTTGGTATCAGGATGATGCTGGCCTCATAGAATGAATTGAGGAGTCCCTCCCCTCAATTTTTTGGAATAATTTCAGTAGGAACGGTACCAGCTCTTCTTTGTACATCTGGTAGAATTTGGCTGTGAATTCATCTGGTCCTGGGTTTTTTATGGTTGGTAGCCTATTTATTACTGATTCAATTTGAATATCATCATTGGTCTGTTCAGGGTTTTAATTTCTTCTAGTTCAGTCTTGAGAGAGTGTATGTGCCCAGGAATTTATCCTTCTCCTCTGGGTTTTCTAGTTTGTGTGCATAAACGTGTTTGTAGCAGTCTCTGATGGTCATTTGTATTTATGTGGAGTCAGTGTTAATATTCCCTTTGTCATTTCCAATTGTGTTTATCTGGATCCTCTCTCTTTTCTTCTTTATTAGTCTTATTACAATAATAAGATAAATAGTGGCCTATTTATCTTTTTTCTTTTTTCCAAAAAACCAACTCCTGGATTTGTTGATCTTTTGAATGGTTTTCTGCTCAGTTTCCAATTTTGGTTATTTCTTGCCTTCAATTGGTTATTTCAGCTCCAATTTTGGTTATTTCTTGCCTTCTGCTAGCTTTGTAGTTGGTTTGCTCTTGCTTTGCTAGTTCTTTTCAATGTGATGTTAGGTTGTTAATTTGCTATCTTTCTTACTTTCTGTTGTGGGCATTTAGTGCAATAAATTTCCCTCTTAACATTACCTTAGCTGTGTCCTAGAGATTCTGGTATGTTGTATTGTGGGTCTTATTAGTTTCAAATAACTTTTTGATTTCTGTTTTAATTTCATGATTAACCCAAAAGTCATTCAGGAGCAGGTTATTCAATTTCCATGTAATTTTGTGGTTTTGAGTAATTTTCTTACTCTGGATTTCTAATCTTAATGTACTGCAGTCCAACTGAGTGGTTGTTATGATTTCAGTCCATTTGTATTTGCTGAGAATTCTTTTATGTCTGTTTATGTAGTTGATTTTAGTGTATGTGCCATGTAGCAATAAGAAGGTATATTCTGTTGTTTTGGGGTGGAGAGTTCTGTAGGTGTCTATCAGGTCCATTGATCCAGTGCTGAGTTTAGTTCTTGAAAATCTTCGTTAAATTTCTGCCTCAATGATTGGTCTAATACTGTCAGTGGAGTGCTGAAGTCTTCCGCTTTTATTGTGTGCAAGACTATGTCTTTTTGGAGGTCTCTAAGAACTTGCTGTATGAATCTTGGTGCTCCTGTGTTGGGAACACAGGATATATTTTTAGGATAGTTAGGTATTCTTGTTGAACTTAACTCTTTACCATTATATTAATATAATGCCCTTCTTTGTCAATGTTTATCTTTAATGGTTTAAAGTCTGTTTTGTCTAAAATCAGGATTGCAGCCCCTGCTTTTTTCAGACTTCCATTTGCTCAGTAGATTTTCCTTCATCCCTTTATTTTGAGCCTATGGGTGTAACTGCATGTGAGATGGATCTCTTGAAGATAGCATACTATCAGGTCTCGCTTTTTTATCCACATTGCTATTTTTTGCCTTTTAAATGGGGCATTTAGCCCATTTACATTCAAGGTTAGTATTAATATGTATAGATTTGATATTGTAATTGTGTTGTTAGCTGGTTATTATGCTGGTTTGTTTGTGTGGTTGCTTTATAGTGTCACTGGTCTGTGTACTTAAGTGTGTTTTTGTATTGGCTAGTAACAATACAAAACTCTATGGTAATGAACTCCCTCAGCACTTGCTCATCTGAAAAGGATCTTATTTCTCCTTCGCCGAGAAAGCTTAGTTTGGCTGAATATGACATTCTTGGTTGAACATTTTTTTCTTTAAGAATGTTGAATATAGGCCCCCAATCTCTTCTGTCTTGTAAGGTTTCCACTGAGAGGTCAACTGTTAGTCTGATGTGGTTTCCTTTGTAGGTGAACTGCCCTTTCTCTGTAGCTGCCTTTAACATTCTTTCACTTCAACTTTGAAAAATCTGATGATTATGTGTCTTGGGGATGACCTTCTGGTGTAGAATCCTGCAGGGGTTCTCTGTGTTTCCTGAATTTTATTTTTGGCCCCTTTAGTGAGGTTGGGGAAGTTTACATGGATGATATCCTGAAATATATTTTCCAAGTTGTTTGCTGTCTCATCATCCCTGTCAAGGATACCAGTGATTTGTAGATTTGGCCTCTTTATATAATCCCACATTTCTGAAAGTTTTTGTTCATTCCTCTTCATTCTTGTTTATTTTCATCTCACTATCTTACTTCAGAGAGCTAGTCTTCAAGTTCCAGGATCCTGTTCTCAGCTTCATCTATTCTGCTGTTAATACTTGTGATTGCATTATGAAATTATTGTAGTGTCTCTTTCAGCTCTATCAGACCAGTTAGATACTTTCTTATACTGGCTATTTCATCTGTCAGCACAGGTATCATTTTATGGTGATTCTTAGTTTCCTTGGATTGGCTTTTGCTGTTCTCCTGAATTTCAATGATCTTCATTCCTATCCATCTATGTCTGCCATTTCAGCCAATGAGTTGGTTAAGAACCCTTCTTTGAGAACTAGTGCAGTCATTTGGAGGACATAAGACACTGGCCTTTTGAGTTACCAGAGTTCTTGTGTTGGTTCCTTCTCATCTCTGCATGTGGGTGTTCCTTTAACTGCAGTGAAGATTGAGTAAAATCAATAGACTTCTTGACTTCTTTTCTGGATGTTTTCACAGGACCAAGGCTTTGTGCAGGGTAATTATTTGTAGCTTCTTGTCTTTGGTTTCACAAAGTTGGTGAGATACTTTAGGTGTTGAAGTTTTGGGATGTGATCCAGTGGGTGGCACTTAGGCATAATGGTCAGTAAGAGTCTCTTGCTCAGTCTTGTGGCTCTCCTATATTTCCTCACAGCTGTAGCCATGCTGCCTCTCTATGCTCTGAAAGTGTGAGCTCCTCTCCCACTTCAGTGCTGGCTGTAGATCACAGCTTGGCATTCCCAGGCTGCCCAACACAGTTCTGGGGTAATCTCAAGGTTAATGTTTCCTCCCCAACTTGGAGGCAGCAGAGGACAGGACCTTCACAGTGGTTGTGATGAGGGTCTTTTACTTGTCTCCTGGGGGCTTTGCTCTAGAGAGATACAGGTCAGCTATCTCTCAGTGTAATCAGCCCAAGTTAGGGGTCTGTGCTGTGGACCCAAGCTGGGGGTTCCCTGCTTAGTGATGAGCAGTGGGGTGGGTGGGACTCATGCAAGATGAACTGGCCTCCTCTCCTTGGGTCAACTGCTGCTTGTTGAAGTATGGATAAGGTACTTAGGGCTTTTGCTCCTTTGTTAGTCCAAGGGTAGAAGGGGTAGTACCACTGCAGAGGCCATGGCAGGGGGACTTTGGGTTGCCTCTGAGGGCCCCACCTCCAAGAAATGCAGAGCTGCTGTTACTGGGAGTGTTCAGCCAGTGGGGTGGGACAGCAGCACTAGTGGTATGAGCTTAGAACTCTGTTGTTGGGGAGTAGGGGGTCAAGGGCTCACTGGGAGGAGATACTGGTCTCCCCATATGGTGGATGTGGTGTTCTGTAACCTGAGGTATAGTCCTCAGGCTCTTTGTCTCTTCCCCAGACCAAGGGCAGCAGGGATAGAACTGCTGCTTTGGCAGTGGCAGAATGGCTGTGGGATGCCTCTGGAAGCCTCTTCACAAGAAAACTCCAAGCCACTACTAGTGGGTATACTCCACCATGGGTGGGATGTTTCTGCAGTTATGAGGTGGAGGCCCTGACTGGTGAAGAGTGTAGGGGGAAGATTCCTAGGGCAGAGGGGCTGGACTCCTCTCCATATGGTGGCTGTGGTGTGCTGGAGGTACCAGGGAGTGAGTGACTAGGCCTTTATTCTTTCCCCAGCCTGTAGGCTATTAGGGCAGTACCACTGCAACTGCAGTGGCAGAGGGGCTGTGGGTTGACTTTAGGATTTTCTCCTTACAGAAATGCTGGGCTGCCTCTGATTGAAGTGGTCAGGCAATGGCAGGGTGGCTGTGGTGGTGTCTCAGGTCAAGCAGCTCTGCCCAGTGAAGAGAAGTAAGCACCAGGACATGTACGGAAAACAGTCTGGCCATTTTCCCATATGGCTGCTGCAGTATGCTGGGGTTCCGCTCCAGTCCCTAGTCACCTTGGATTTTCTATTATTACCTGAAGGTATCAACAGTGAAGTCTGCAAAGCAGCAAAGATGTCAGCCTGCCCCTTTCTCTGGAAGCTCCATCCCAGGGAGGTATGGATGGGTTTCCAGCCCAAACACACTGGCAGAGATGGCAGGAGACCCTGGTCA
Organism: Homo sapiens; assembly: GCF_000001405.40. Lineage (NCBI taxonomy): Eukaryota > Metazoa > Chordata > Mammalia > Primates > Hominidae > Homo > Homo sapiens. Next base: position 103,217,908 of record NC_000004.12, on the reverse strand, counting down.
GGAGGTCCCACCCAGTGAGGAAGAACAGGATCAGGGACCTACTGCATAAAAGCAGCCTGGCCACTTTTTCATAGGGCAGCTGTGCTGTACTAGGGGTCTGCTTCAGCCCCCAGTCACTTTGAGCTCTCCAAAGCCTGAAGGCAACAATGGCTAAGGCTGCAAAACAGCAAAGATTGTGGCCTGCCCCTCCCTCTGGAAGCTCCATTCCAGGGAGGTTTGGAACTGATGTCTCCTGGAAAACACTGGTGGGGGTGGTTGCAGACCTCAGTCAATAGATTCTGGCCAGTGAAGAGAAATAGGATCCAAGCCAGTGGGTCTTGTCCTGCCAAGTGCTGTAGAAGCAGGGCCTGCAAACTGTCACTTCTCAGGCCCCTGGATTCATCCCTTTTCTTATGGGTATGTATAGGGGTCTAACCTTCTGATTTGCTGGACTTGCAACCACTTTTGCTTGGATGCCCAGGTATCTAAGTCTCCCCAGGTTCCATATGTACCTGAGCAGCTGCTCTGCCAAGACTTCACGTAGCTCTGTGTGTCAGACTGAAGTCCCTGGTGGAGAGGTTCACAAGGAGCTCTCTTGACCCAAGGGTTGCAAAGATCCATGGGAGAAGCATGGGTCCCTGGGGTCACTCACTCACTCACCACTTCCCTGAAAGAGGGAGGCTGCCCTGGCTCCCTGTCACTCTCAGGTGGGCAGTAATCCTGCCTTGCTTCTCTCTGTTCCCAATGGGTTTAGCTGTTTTCCTGATGAGTCCCAATGTGTGTACCTGGATGTTTCAATTGAAGGTGCTGTATTTACTTGCCCCTTCTATTTCTCTTTCTGAGAGCAGAGCACACTAGCTGCTTCTAGTTGGCAATCCTGGCCAGCCTCCCTCAATCTTCTTTTTAAGTTAGTAAAATTCATCAACATATTTTGCCACTTCCTGTGTTTATCATTTTTTTTAATTTCGTTCCTCCTCTCTTTACGGAATATGCTTTAGTTAAGTTCTCTTATTTCTATGTCTGTGAACGTCTATATTTTACCCTCACTCTTGTGATAGGTTAGCTAGATATAAAATTCTAGTCGACAGTAATTTTACCGCAGCAATTTGAAGATAATTAACAAATATCTTCTGGCACATACTATTAGTAGTGAGAAGTCTGCTCACATTCTCATTGTCAGGCCTTTTAGGTAATCTTTTCTCTTTTTCTTTCTGGAAGATTTTAAGACTTTTCTCTTTATTCTTCATGTTCTCTAGTTTCACAAATTTGTGACTAGGTATGGAGTTACCTTTAACGGTCCTACATGCTTTTTGGGGTACACTTTCAATCTAAGAAGTCACATCTTTCTCAAACTTTGAAAATTCCTCAGAAATGATCTCTTTGAATATTGCTTCTTTATTTCCTTTATTTGCATCTCCTGGAACTTGTAGGGTTTCATAGAGTGTCTATAAGTATGTATGTTGCAGTCTTTGCAGCTATCCTTCATTTCTTTTAATGAATCCTTCATATTTTTAAATCACTTTTTGTTTATCTCAGCTACATTCTGAGCCCATTTCTAAATATTATCTTCCAATTTACTAATTTTCTATTTGATTTTGACCTGTCTAGAGTTTATTCTATGTGCTAATAATATCTTTTTTTCTTTCTTTCTACTGATTTTTCATATTCCCGTATAATTTTCCATACATGACATTACTGCAGGACAGTTCCATGGGTGGTGTTGAACCAACCCAGTTCTCCCCCATTTCTTACTTGTAGTTCTGCAGAATTAACTAGAATGTGCTGGACATGCAACATCCTGAGATAAGGAGGAGGTGGCCAGAAGAGCACAGACTCTGTCCCTGTTGCCCCTAGAAACAGTATATCCTTCATCGCTTCAGCCAGCGTGTCTTATTGTTCCCACGGTGAAAAATTGAGGGTGGGCTGGTTTCCAGGGTCCCTCAGCTGTGGTACAAGGGACCCTGGAAAGCAGCCCACCCTGGGTTTTTTACCCTGGGAGCAATAAGGCACTCTCAGAGGAGACTCCATCTGCTCTGAGCAGATTTCCTGAGCCCCCGGGGACTGGCTCATCATAACTCGTAGGCTTCTGTTGTCCCTTTCTGCCCATCTATAAGTAACAAAACTATGCAATTTGTGTGTGAGAGAGTTTTTTTATCTCACAAGACTCAGGTACATAGTAAAAGTGCAGCCCAGGATTCTGAAGTGGTAAGCAGTGCACAGTGAACCTGCTTCACAAGCACCAGTTCCTCATTCTACATCACCATCACCATTTTCACTACATTTCCAGTATGTAGGACATCCATCAGTAGACATTATAGTTTGTTTTCCCAATCTAAAGATTTTTTACATTTTTAATTATTGTAGTTACATAGTAGGTGTATATATTTATGGGATAAGTGAGATGTTCTGATACAGGCATGCAATGTAAAATAAGTACATCAAGGAGAATGGGGTATCCATCCCCTCAAGCATTTATTCTTTGAGTTACAAACAATCTAATTATACTGTTTAAGTAATTTTAAAATGTACAATTAAGTAATTATTGACTATAGTCACCCTGTTATACTATCAAATAGAGGTATTATTCATTCTATCATTTTTTGTACCTGTTAACCATCCCTACCTCTTCCCCAGCCCCCTACTACTTTTTCCAGCCTTTGGTAACCAGCCTTCTACTCTCTATGTCCATGAGTTCAATTGTTTTGATTTTTAGATCCCACAAATAAGTAAGAACTTGTGATGTTTGTCTTTCTCTGCCTGACTTGTTTCACATAACTTAATGATTTCTAGTTCCATTCATGTTGTTGCAAATGACTGGATTTCGTTCTATTTTATGGCTGACTAGTACTCCATTGTGTATATGTACCACATTTTCTTTACCCAGTCATCTGTTGATGGACTGTTAGGTTGCCTCCAAATCTTACCTATTATAAACAGTGCTGCAACAAACATAGGAGTACAGATACCTCTTTGATTTCTTTTGGGTATATGTCCAGAGTGGGATTGCTGGATTATATGGTAGCTCCATTTTTAGATTTTTGAGGAACCTCCAAACTATTCTCCATGGCAGTTGTACTAATTTACATTTACAGTGTACAAGGGTTCCCTTTTCTCCACATTTTCACTAGCATTTGTTATTGCCTGTCTTTAGGATATAAGCCATTTTAACAGGGGTGAGATAATATGTCAGTATAGTTTTCATTTGCATTTCTCTGATGACTCATGATGTTTAAGCATCTTTTCACATGCCTGTTTGCCATTTGTGTGTCCTCCTTTGAGAAATGACTATTCAAATCTTTTGCCCATTTTTTTCATCGGATTATTTTAGATTTTTTCCTATAGAGTTGTTTGAGCTCCTTATATACTCTGGTTATTAACCCTTGGTCAGATGGGTAGTTTACAAATATTTTCTCTCATTCTATGGGTTGTCTCTTCACTTTGTTGTTTGTTTCCTTTGCTGTGAAGAAGCTTTTTAACTTGATGTGATCCTTCTTGTCCATTTTGCTTTGATTGGCTGTGCTTGTGGGGTGTTGCTCAAAAAATTTTTCTCAGACCAATGTCCTGGAGATTTTCCCCAAGGTTTTCTTGTAATTCTTCCATAGTTTGCGGTCTTAGACTTCAGTCTTTAGTCCTTTTTGATTTGATGATTTACATGGAGAGAGATAGGGGATCTAGTTTCATTCTTCTGCATATGGATATCCAGTTTTTCCAGCACCATTTATTGAAGGGACTCCCTTTTCCCCAGTGTATGTTCTTGGCACCTTTGTTGAAAATGAGTTCATTGTAGGTGTGTAGGCTTGTTTCTGGGTTCTCAGTTCTCTTCCATTGGTCTATGTGTCTGTTTTTGTGCCAGTTACATGCTGTTGTGATTACTATAGCTCTGTAGTACAATTCGAAGTCAGATAACATTAAAGTTTTTTAATTCAATTATTATGCTTTCCATTTCCAAGATTTCATTTTTTATATGCATATGTTCTTCATTTTTGTTTTTGTTTTTTTTTCTTGTTGTGAATTATCCCTTCATTTGTATGTTTGAGGGGCCTCAACATGTTTTAAAAGACCCTTCAGATCATGCTTTTATTTTCATTCATCTAGGATACATTGACCTTTCACTTATTGATTTTATTGGATGTGTTTCCTAAATTTAATTTTCCACGTATTTTGAAATTTGGATTTTTTTTCTCTAGTTGAAGGTTCTTGCTGATGTTCTCTTGTCTCCGCTCACCTCTCTTTTTCCCAGTAGTTTTACAGTCCAGAACCAAATATCATATTGGTTGGTCTGAGCTCCTGCCTCTCAGTACTATTGAACATAAAATAAATTAATTTGCTGCACCAGAAGGAAGCTTGGCTCAACATCTGTTCAAAACACTATATCCAGAAACCTTCATAGACTCAGGCTTTATTAAACCACAGCTCTAGGCAGATACTGATAGTAAATTTTATCAGTCTCCTCTGCTGAATAGAAAAGTTCTATTGTAGTTCCTGAATTCAAACTCAAATCTGGCTTGGTTTTCTTGCCCGACCCTTTAATTCATAGGGACTAGACTCCCAGCAGATCCTGGGCTTTAGCCTTTTCACCACTTTATACTGCTATGTCATTTCTAGTTCATAAAAATTCTAACTTAATTTTAATTTTCTCTCCTATATATTATCTATCATTGATAATAGTTTGAATACAGGAAGTGGAGTAAGGAAACCATCTTTATTACTATATAAGACAAACTCTAACTTTATGAATTTAATTGTTACTTAAAGAAATAAAACAGTATACATAATGCTTCAAAAGCAAAAACATGTTTGAGAGAGATAAAATTAAAAACTTGTACATGATTATTTGACTCTTGCTATCCAGTGGTTAAAAATATCTTAGCAAAAAAAGAAGCAAATATAACTAAGATTCGGAAAGAATGTACTTTATGGCCATTAGCAGAAAAAAATAAGAGTGGTAGAAAACAATAAAGTTAAAAGCACATTTGTACTTCAACATTTACCATTAAACACCTCAAATGTTAAGATGTCTCTGTGTGTGTGTGTGTGTGTGTGTGTGTGTGTGTGTGTGTGTGTGTGTGTAGAGCACAAAGGTCTACAAGGAATGGAGATGTACTTGAAATTTTTAATCTCTTGGTCTAAGCTATCACTAAATGTGATTAAAACAAAAAATGCATAATTAGAGCAAAATATTGTTATCTGTTTTGTTCAAAGATGCATCCCAAGTGCCTAGTTCCTGACATAAAGAGATACTCAATAATCAATCAGCATTATGTAGTTGACATAATGTATCTTGCCTTCATTAATTCAGTTGAGAAGGCTCCTGTTTTGGGGGCAACAGTTAAAGAAATAAGACTGGTTAAGTGATACAATTAGGTAGGCTAATTGTTAGTTCATGATCTTTCTTATTGTGTGATTATTAGTGGACTGAAGTGATCCTGGAGGGAAATGAAAATAAAATAATAGCTTTAGACATCCTGATTCTGGGAGAGACAGAAAGAATGTCATTTGTAGCCATCTGCCTGGAAAAGCTGATATTATCTCTCTAGAGGCACTTGCTCTAACAGGGGATGTTTAGCTCCACTACTTGCCCTCTATCTTACCGACTCCTCCCTACAATCCAGGAGAGTCCACCAAAGCCCTACATTCCTTTTTCCTTTTACTCTACATGGAGACCTCCTCTGGTTTATCTGGATAACCAGATAAATACCACTGATGACAAACCAGAGCTCAATGCCTCCAAAGGGAATGGACCATAGCAAGTCATACCTATATAGTGGGCAGCAATCCTTGTCCCATCTTTCCTAGCTCCCATTATAAGCCATTAAGTCATTCTGGCCAACTTTGTTCCCAATATAGAACACTCTAATTCAAATGACAAAGTTTGGTCAAGGTACAAAGATTGGTAAGAATGACATTGTAGTCCAGTTTGAGATACTTTCATTTTATTTTACTATTTTTTCAATTGACAAGCAAAGAAGACCCAGAACATTTGATGATGCAAGTGGATTCTGCTCTCATCTTTCTCACAGAGATGATACCAGGATTTGGTGAAGAAGCCACATGTCAAAGAATCCCAAAACTGCTGGCTTTTTAGTCAGATTCCCTTTTAAACAGGGAACATCAGACTTTGGAAAGCAGGGTGGAGTAGACTGCATTGGGAAGCAACTGTATTGACTTTTTTTATTTGGGGATGTTGGAAGATTCTCTCATCTGTGGTTCTCTTGGTATAAGTAATCCTTTATCACCTTCACTGTTTGCTCATGGCCAACTCATGCCTCAACCACCTAACTCCTGTGTTTCACTCTCCTCTGGGGACCCTTCACTCCAGGAGGGTCTTTGGGGAAACCTCCACTAAAGGAGGGTCAATCCAGCCTCCTTTTTGTGGGTCTATTTCCAGCCTATAAGAAATAATACAAGAACTAAGCCCAGTTTGGGGGTTGATCATTTCTTTTTATGTTTTCTTTTTATAACTTGTTCTATTTTTATTGAAATACTATGTGCACATAAATTTCAAATAAGTTAGTGCTAGAAGGCTGAAAACAAAAACCATACTTTACACTCCCTACTCCGCATCTACTGCCCACACCCCCTCCTCAGAGGCAAACTCTTTCAAATCTCTTAGCTATATATTATGGGCATTTAACTCTATGTTTCCAAATAGTAGATGCATAAATTCCTACAAGGTTGAGTTAGGTTGCTTCATACAGCAGCAAAAGTTGGTGGTAGGATAAAGTGATGAGTTATGATATTTCTTTGGGGGTTCCTTGGAACTTGCTTTCACTTTCAGTTAACTCTCTAAAAGTTTCTTTTAAGATGACAGATTTTCTCAGAAATAGAAAAGTCAAATTACAAACCTGTTTAGAAGAAACTAAAAAATTAACAACAGAAAGTACACTCCAGCAAAGAGCTCCATGTTACGCTATGGCAAGCTCTACTATTAGGTTCCCAGATAAACCCATAGCATTATTATTCTGTGCACCAAGAAAACTCATGATGTTCTTGCACGTTCATTTGCCAAAATATTCAGAAAATAACTTTCAAAAACCAAACCAAATAGTTATGCTTAAAATACTTACAAAAATATAAGCAATAATAAAGTTAAACCAGGATGTTTTACTGGTGAGCAGATCTCATACTTCACCAAATTTAATAAATGTTTTATTATAAAAATTCAATGTGTCTTCTTGTACTAGGATGAAGACATTGAAGGCTGTGAAAGTCAAAGGAGGCTCGGCGCAGTGGCTCATGCCTATAATCCCAGCACTTTGGGAGGCCTAGGTGGGCAGATGACCTGAGGTTGGGAGTTCAAGACCAGCCTGACCAACATGAAGAAACCCCGTCTCTAGTAAAATACAAAATTAGTTGGGCGTGGTGACATTTGCCTGTAGTCCCAGCTACTCAGGACGCTGAGGCAGGAGAACCACTTGAACCTGGGAGGCAGAGGTTGTGGTGAGCCAACATCATGCCATTGCACTCCAGCCTGGGCAACAGGAGTGAAACTCTGTCCCCCCACCAAAAAAAAGTAAACAAAACACATGAAATTGTAATCAAAATAGTCATTCTTACCTACCATGGAAATGTAAACTATGTGCCCTGCTTGTCAATTTGTTCTGCTAATTATGCAATGCCCTTCTTGGATCCTGGAATAAAATGGCATTGTTCTCAATATTACTGGCATGCACGTATTTTAGAGACTTCGTATTACCCACAGCTATAAGCCTTTTAAAAATTATATGTTAAGGCCCCTTCTACTTATACTATAACAAGTACTATTTTCAGGAAAGCAGTTACTTCATAGGTATTTTCAGCTACTTCCTTCAGAACAGAAATAACTTCTTTGGGAAACGATCATCAAGAAAAATAGGGCCTTTTATTACAAGTATTCCATTTGTTCCATTTCTTGTGAAATCATCAAGATAGTGAAGGCATGGTAACTGTATCAACAGATGCTTCAAAAGGAAGTACATCAAATGTTTTAATAGTTTGACAAATTAGAGTATAAGGAAAATGAGTTAGAGCCTACTCTCGAAGAGCTCACTGCCTAATAAGGAAGATAAAATACTCAGTCATAATACTACATATGATGCTACAGGAACTCAGAAGATAAAATAACCAGAGGCTGCTTGGAAGATAATGTCTGACCTCATTCTGGAAAAAAAATCAGCCACAGAAAGAAGGGGAGGCTGAAATACATCAGTGGAACTACTATGTCACTTACCACTTATACTAATAGTGGTATTACTGTATCTCTTGTGCATCAGTGATTAAATTATACCTGTGTGTATAGGTGTTACCTGGCCCTCTTTGCATCACCTTATGGGAATTGGGGTTTAGAAAACCAACACAAAAATGCAAATACTTTGGCTATGGCTATTGGTTTGATTAGTAAATTTTTCTTCATCCTTGTCCCAGAAGTCTTGAGTCTTCCACCAGGATTCATGAAACTGTGGCAGACTAACTTGTTAGCTTTCAAGAGGAGTAAAATTTCAGCCCTTTCAAAGTTCTTCACAGTGACTGTGTCACATATTGTTACATTTTGCTGTATAACAAACAAATACAAAATTTAATGGCTTAAAACAGTAACAACTAAAGATAGACACATTCATCAATGAAATGGAATACAGAGTCCAGGAATATAACCAGATAAGTAAGATCAAATGACTTTTTTTACAATGGTACACAAGTGATTCAATGGAGTAAAGACAATTTTTTCAACAAATGAGCTGGAACAAATGACTATCCATATGCCCCAAAGTAAATATCAACCTATATCTCACACCTTATATAAAAATTAACACAAAATAGACCATAGATCTACTTTAAAATGTAAACCTATAAAACTTTAAAAGTAAGCGTAGAAGAAAATTTTTGTAACTCTGGGTCATGCCAAGAGTTCTTAGATATTATACCAAAAGTACAATTCATGAAAGAAAAAAATTACAATCTGGGCTTCAAAAAATTATAAACATTTGATGTGTGTAAGCCACTGTTAAGAGAAAAGCACTGTTAAGAAAAACCACAAACTGAGAGAATATGTTTGCAAACTCTATATTTAGTAAAGGACTTGAATCCAGAATATATTGAGAACTCTCAAGACTCAAAAGTAAGAAAACAATCAAATTTTTTGAAGTGAGCAAACTATCTAAACAGGTACTTCACCAAGAAGATATATATATATATATGGCAAGTAAGCACATGCAAATATGCTCAACATCGTTAATTACTAAGGAAATGCAAATTAATACCACAATGATATACTACTATATACCTATTAGAATGTCTAGGGGTTTTCTTTAATGACCATACCAAACTCAAATGAGGATGTGTGAAGCAATTGGAACTCATTCACTACTGGTGGGAATGTAAGGTATAGCCACTTTGGAAAACAGTTTGGCAATTTCTTATAAAATTAAATTTTAGATATTTTATCCAAGAGAAATAAAAAGTGATGTTCACACAAAATCCAGTGTATAAACGTTTCTAGCAGCTATATTCAAAATTTCTAAGCACTGAAAACAAATGTCCCAAATGTCCTTCAGCTGGTGATTGAATAAAACAAACTGTGATAAATCCAAAAAACAGAATCCTACTCACCAATTAAAAGGAACAAAGTACTGATACAATAACACAATGAATCTGAAATCCATTAACGTAAGTGAAAGAAATCAGGCTCAAAAAGCTATAAACTGTAAAATTCCATTTATGTCATTCTGGAGAAGGCAAAAGTAGCACACAAAACAGATCAGTGGTTTCCAAATCTTGGATGTAAGGGAGGGTTGACTACAAACAAGCAGCACAAAAGAATTTTGGAGGATGATGGAACTGTTCTGGTGAGTATCACACAATTCCGTGTATTTGTCAAACTTCATTAGAACTATTCACCAAAGAGACTGAATTTTATTATTTCTCACAATTTAGGGGATCAACTGGAGTTAGTTGGATGCTTCTTTGGCTCTATGCAGCATTAGCCAGGGAAATTTACAAAGCAGCATTGATCAGAAACTGGTCTAACCTGGAAGGTCAAAGAGGCTTCACTCGTGTCTGGCATGTTAGAGCTCCTCCATGTGGCCTCGTCACGTGGCTAGCTTGGGCTTGTGAAGTTAGCCCAAGAGATTACGGTGGGAATGACTCTGCCAGCTCTGGGCCTAAACTTTCAGAGGCCTAGCAGCTTCCATCTTATTCTGCAAAGCCAGCCATCATGTAAGAAATTTAGCTATCCTGAGACTACTGTGCTAGGAAGAAAGAGGACCAGATTAAAGACGAGGGTAAATCGAATCCATCTTTTGATGGTTAGAGTGGTGAATGCACAACAGCGAGGGGAGAAAATCAAAGCAGCCATCTTTGGAGACTACCTAATGCCCAAAGGCACTAAAAATGCCCCAAAGCACTGAAAAATGTCCATTTGGTTCAGAAATTTACTTACTGTGGTGCACATAGATTAATTGTATTAACATGACAGTAGGATTGTAAGCCAAATTATAAGTATATGAAGATTAAATGGAAAACAAAGAAGTGAGACAGTAAATATAATTACTTCATAGACTAAAAGAAAGAAATGAGAAAGGCTTTCAGATACATGCAGGGTAACACAAAGAAAAGCTTTCAAATTATATATATTAAAAAAAAGACCTAAAATATTTATACACTGAGTGGACAGACCCATCAAGAGAGTTAAAAACAAAAGCCACAAGAAAGAATTAAATTTGTAAATGAAAGAAATAAAATAACAAAAGTTAAAAGAAAAAGTAATAAAACATGTTTATAACCTCAAAGTAGGGAAGAATTTCCCAAATGGACAAAAACAAGGACGCTATAAAGAAACCTTACACAAAGACAATTTAGAAGATGATGACTGACCAAATGGAAATATTTGCTAGATAGGTAATCTGTAATACTTAAAGACTTATAACACGTCAATTAGAAGGACAATCCATATGAAAAAAAACTGGGCAAAGGAGCAAAGGACTACACAGTACAAATGTACAATGCAAAAAATAAGATATAAATATTACCAATAAACAGTGATGAGATGCTCAATCCTACTAGTAATCAGGGAATTGCACATGAAAATAAAATATCTTTTTCCTATAAAATTGACAAAAATTAGAAATATTGATTTGTACCCAGTGATGATGAAGAAATGGGGAAGTGGACACTCACAGACTCTTGGTTGTAATATAATTGGTACAAATTATTTGAGAAGTAATTTGGTAGTACTTGTTATAATTCAAAACAAGCACATCATTTGAGTCGGCATTTTAGCTTCTAGCAATCTAGTTTATGAAAATAAAAGCGTAAGTATGGAAAGACATATGCAGATGGATTTTTGTATTATAAGCAATATTGAAAATTAGAAACAATCTAAATATACATAAAGAAATGATTGAGGCCGGGTGCGGTAGCCTACACATGTAATCCCAGCACTTTGGGAGGCCGAGGCAGGTGGATTGCCTGAGGTCAAGGGTTCAAGACCAGCCTGGCCAACATGGCGAAATCCTGTTTCTATTAAAAATACAAAAATTAGCTGGGCATGGTGGCGGGTGCCTGTAATCCCCACTACTGGGGAGGCTGAGGCAGGAGAATCACTTGAACCCGGGAGGCAGAGGTTGCAGTGAGCCGATATCGCACCACTGCACTCCAGCCTGGGTGACAGAGGAAGGCTCCATCTCCAAAAAAAAACAAAACAAAACAAAAAACAGAAAAGAAAAGAAAGAAATGGTTGAATAAACTATAATGCTGCCATATAATTGAATATTATGCAGCCAATATAAAAGGCAGATCTATATATTGATTTGTTAGTGTAAAAAGCAAATTTTAGATCAATTACAGAATAATCTTATTCTTGAAAATATGAAAACATCTGGTTATCCACATAGATTTATTGCATATATTCAAGAAATATAAATTTAATTAACATAGATTACCTTAGGGAAGATGAAATTTGATGACTGGGTAATAGAAGGAACATTCACTAGGCAATTTAGATAATTTTTAAGGTGAAATTACAGATGATTCTTTTTGTTATTTTCTAGCATTTTTCTGAAATAAGAGAGAAAATAACTGCCTGAGCAAGGATGTAGAGGACACTGGAGAGAAAGGAGCCAAGGACATAAATGGAAGGGCTCATCTCAGACACCACAGACACTTCACTCTGGACGTGCATGAAAAGAGGGAAGAGTTGGTGAGGATATAAATCAGTAGAAGTGCAGGAGGTAGGGTGGGAAACCTGGAAGTTGAGACATCTTGCCTGATGGTCCTGATTTCTCAATAAAGATGAAGATGAAACCTGGGCTTGAAGAAAGTGGTCAGGATTTGGAAGAATCAATGAAGAAAAGGAGAAAGGATGCTCACCAAGGATGAGGCAGGAAAAGTGCACCCCTGGAATTCTATATAGGCCTAGAAGTGGCCCTTAACTGCAAGGCAGGCTGGGAATGTAATCTTGCTTTCTGGCCAGAAAGAAGAGAATAGATTTTGGTGGGCTGCCATCATCCTCTGCCACATTGTGACTATCTTAGATTTTCTTGGTAACACAGATCACTTTTCCTACTCCCTCACAAATCTGTATTCAATTTTACACTCATCCATACTCAATTTGAACAAGTTTCCTTTAAAAATTTTTTTATTTTTTTTAACTGACAAAAAGTACTTATATTTATGGGGTACAATATGAGTTTAATAGTATGTATATATTGTGGAATGGCTAAATCAAGCTAATTAATATATGCATTACCTCACATATTTTTGTGTGAGTAACTTAAAATCTATTCTCTTAGCGATTCAATTTTCTTTCCTTAATGAAGACATTATAGAATTATTGAAGCTGAAAAAAACCCTTAGAAATTTTCTCATCCAATTATCTCATTGTATGGATGAGAAAATGGTGACACACAGAGATAAATGATTTTCCAATGCAGCATAGCTTAGAAATAGTCTTTGGACTGACCCAGGCCAGAGCAGTTCCCATGATGCCATACAAATCCCCTGTTACTGTGATTAAAAGGTGAGAAATACTATGTCTGTGATCATTACAAATAGATGTCTCCAAATAGATGTCTTTCAAATAGATGCTTTGAAAATTAGGCATTCTCTCTGTTAAACAAAAATTACTCCTATTTAGGCCATAATCCTAAGCAACTTAATGCAGGAACAGAAAATAAAATACTGCATGTTCTTACTTATAAGCAGAGCTAAACATTTACCACACATGGACATAAATATGGGAACAATAGACACTGTGGTCTACTAGAAGGGAGAGAGAGGGAGGGAGGAGGGAGTTGAAAAACTACCTATCAGGCACTATGCTCACTATGGATGATATCCATACCCCAAACTTCAGCATCACACAATATTCCCATGTGACAAATCTGCACATGTACTTCCTGTACCTAAAATAAAATTTGAAATAAAAATTACCCCATTGAAGGTGATTATATGTAATAAGTATATTACTATTAATTTTCTATGAAATGCATTAAAATGAGAGAGAACAGGTGAGTAATTTGAATTGATGTATATTTTTAATATCAGTAGCTTCTCCGAATCCTACAGTTTGCACCATATTCACACTCTTCAAAATACCATTCAAGGCTATGCCATGTTTTGGGAAAGATTACAGTGCCCTCTGCAGCTTCAGCATAAATAACACAGTTGGGGAAAAAAACAGTAATTGAAACATCAACATAAAAGTGTGTGCAATTAATATGCCTCAGAAATTCACTTTTCTTCCTAAACTGAATGAAAACACTTACATAAAGATCATATTTAAGCACAGTTCACTACAGCATGTATGACAGGTACCTTTTTGTGTAAAAGATATGCAATATAGAAAAAGATGTATATGTGTGCCTATCTGTAAATTATTTTGATGAGAACACTTTAGGAAATGGCACAGTTGCCTCTGGGGAGGTGAAATGACACCTTAGGAGTCAATGTAGGAAGATTTGTTTTTCACTGTGAATCTTCTGTTCATTTGAATCTTTTGACCATATGCAGGTATTAATCTTTCAGGTAAAAAAAAAAATTAACAAAAAATTTCGATTGCCTATCAGAGAAATGGTAGGCATCCAAATGTTAAGCCTCTCTTGCCAGAAGTTCCATAACTTTAGATAGGTTATTTAATCTTTATGCTTTCCCTTACCACTCAATTTCTTTTTATTTTTATATTTTTTAACTTTTTTTTAGTCAGATTTACTTGATCCATCTCTTTTTTATTAGAACATGTTTATTTCTTTTTTCTCTTTTTGAAATATTTTCTAGATTTAGGGGGTACATCTGTGCATGTCATGCAGTTGTGTTACATGGATATATTGCGTAGTGATGAAATTTGGGTTTTTAGTGTTCCCATAACCCAAATAGTGAACATTGTACCAAATGGTTAGTATTGCATCCCTCAGTCCCCTCACACTCTCCCACCTTTTGGAGTTGCCAGTGTCTATTATTCACTCTATATGTCTGATATGGTTTGGCTGTGTCCCCACCACATCTCATCTTGAATTTTAATCCCCATAATCCCCATGTGTCATGGTAAGGACCTGAAGTGACTGGATCATGGGGATGGTTTCTCTCATGCTGTTCTCTGTTACTGAGTGAGTTCTCAAGAGATCTGATGGTTTTATAAGTGTCTGGCATTTCCCCTGCTCCCACTCACTCTCCTGCCTCCTTGTGGAAAAGGTGCCTGCTTCTGCTTCGCCTTCCACCATGATTGTGTTTTCTGAAGGCTCCCTAGCCATGCAGAACTGTGAATCAATTAAACCTCTCTATAAATCACCCAGTCTCGGGTATTTCTTTATAGCACCATGAGAACAGACTATTACAATGTTCATGTGTACTCATTGATTAACTCTCACTTATAAGTGACAACATGCAGTTTTTGACTTCCTGTTTCTGAGTCATTTCACTTGGGACAATGGCCTCCAGTTCCATGCATGTTGGTTATTATCCTTTTATTTTATTTATTGATTTTTAATTTATTTATTTCATGAATAAGTTCTTTAGTGGTTATTTCTGAGATTTTGGTGCAGCCATCAACCAAGCA
Source organism: Homo sapiens (assembly GCF_000001405.40). Taxonomy (NCBI): domain Eukaryota; kingdom Metazoa; phylum Chordata; class Mammalia; order Primates; family Hominidae; genus Homo; species Homo sapiens. The sequence goes on along the minus strand of NC_000004.12, from coordinate 103,202,904 downwards.
GTGTACACTGTACCCAATGTGTAGACTTTCATCTCTCACCCCCTCCCACCCTTTCCCCCAAGTCCCCAAAGTTCATTGTATCATTCTTATGCCTTTGAGTCCTCATAGCTTAGCTCTCACTTATAAGTGAGAACATATGACGTTTGGTTTTCCATTTCTGAGTTACTTCACTTAGAATAATGGTCTCCAATTCCATCCAGGTTGCTGTGAATCCCATTATTTCATTCCTTTTCATGGCTGAGTAGTATTCCATAGTATGTATACACCACAATACTCTGGATTATCTTATTAGAAGCAGCCCTGCCTCTTCACAATTTAGTCATGAAAAAGGATAATCTCTATGAGCTCAGAGCTAGATAACCAAAACAAATCTGAATGAGTAGACTCCATTTTACACACTGATTTATGTCAACTAATTTCTTTAACTTGAGAGAAACTAATATTCATGTGGTTAAAATATTGTTATGAAATAATATAAAATGAAAGGTGAATCTGTTTTCCAACTCAGTCCTTTCCCTCCAAAGAAAGCTAGGTGTATTCTGTGTATCTTTCCAGAAATTATGCCAATAAGTATTTGAGTAATACTTAAGTAATAAGTAATTTTTAATTGAACGTTTACTCTATGCCAAGCATCTTTGTACACACAGGGGACAAGGAGTAAACAAAAACTATGTCACTCTAGTGGGAGGAGACATATATACATAAATTAATACTCATACACATATTATGTCTAAAAGTTACAAATAATCTTGTAACTAATTTAAGAAGAAGATTTAAGAAATAGAAGTAACATACAATGGAGTTGGTGTTTTATAGAGAGAGAGCTATGAGAGGGTGACATTTGAGTAAACACTGGAATCAATGGGAAGGAGGGAAACATGTATATCTGGAGTGAAAGCCTTCCATCCAGACACAGCAGCCAGTGCAAAGGTCTCAAGAGGGGGTTTGTCTGGGATTCAGGAAACTGCCCATGGCCCGTGTGGCTGGAGTGGGGAGAGCAAAGGGGAGGGACAGTGGTAGGAGGTAAGGCCAGAGCACAAACAAAGGGCAAGATCATGTGAGGCTTGGGAGACAACTGAAAGACGTTGGGTTTTGTTCTGAGAGAAATCAGAGGGTGGGGGTGAAGGTGTGGCACTGGGGGTCTTGAGAGAGGAGTGACATGATCTGACACATTTTCACAGAATCATTCAAATTGCTGTGTTGAGAACAGACTGGCAGTGGGGGTGGGCAAGGGTGGAAACACTGAGATTAGCTCAGTGCCAGATGATGATATTTCGGACCAGGTAGCTGAAGCGTAAGTTGTGACAAACTTTTCATAGTCTGAAATTTTCTCAAGGTGGCCCTGACAGAATTTTCAGGTGAGAAGCTGAGCAGCATGGCTCCAGAGTCTGCACCTGGATAACTGGAAGGATGGACTTGCCAACAACTGAGAAGCAGAAAACTGCTGATTGAGCAGATTTTGAGGGGAAGAGCATGAATTTGGTATTAGACATTTTAAGTTTGCCATATATATTAGACACTCAATATGGGAGGAATTAAGGCATATGTTTGCTGTTAAGACTGGTTTTCTAGAGCAGGAGAAAATGACAAGCAGGACAGAGAGTGAGAAGGAGAGGACTGTATCCAGTGCACACATGGAGAGTTTCCAGAGTGGAAAACACACAGATGTTTATAAAGTTACAGTCTGGAAGGCGAGTATGCAAGCACAAATGCACATAGTGAGTAGCCAGATTGACAGGAATTAGGGCAAAGTCTTTTCTGGAAGCTTCTATTTTCATAGTGAAATAAAGAGTGTCTTGTTTGAAGGAATTAATGAATCCCTTTTTACCCCCTTGCTTAAAACCCTCCATAGGCTTCCCCTCACCCTTGAGAATAAGATCCAAACATTTTATCACAGCCCACAAGGCCCCATGGGTCCTGGACCTGGACCTGCCTACCTCTCTCCATTGCCACAAATGCTTCAGTCACAGGGCCCTCCCCTTTGTGTCTCAGACAGATGACAAACTCGATCAAGCCTTGGCTTCTTTGACTTACTTGTTCCTCTGTCTGGTACGCCCTTTCTCTTGTCCTCCCAAGTCTGGCTCACTCTTCTCACATAGGTTTCACTTCAAAGGTCACCTCCTCAGGTCTTTCTTGAACATCTCATCTAAAATAAACCTTCCTCCCAACACATTATTTTACTATATATTTGTTATGTATTGTCTGCTGCTTCCCACAAGAATGTGTTTCATAAGAAACTAGCACTCTTAACCCACCTTATCACTCTCTCTCTGTCTCCTGATCCTATTAATCATTACATTATGTGTGTGTGTGTGTGTGTGTGTGTGTGTGTGTGTGTGTGTGTGTAGAGAGAGAGAGAGAGAGACTGAGATTTTTCTGTATTACCCATCTCCTCTAAGAGAATAGCAACTCTACAACAACAGGTACTGTGTCTATTCTATTTACTGTTGTGCTTCCTGACCTTAGAACCGTATCTGGCACATAACAGTTGTTCAATGAATATTTCTTGATGAACAATTTGGAAAGTCAGATGAAAAAATTGGATAGAGAGCATATAATAGAGAGCCTGGCATATAGTAAATCTTCAATAAATGTCACCTGCTGTGATGATAAAAAAAGACAGTCATAGCAACGATCATAAGCACAACTATGAAAGGCTGATGACTTCTCTTTACTCGTGAACCAATCTCCTCTTGTCTCATTAGAAATTTTGATTAATCACATCTCCCTTCTTCTTCATAGGTTCCTTGCCTTCAGCTGTCTCATATTTGCCCACAATTAAAACAAAAACAACAGTTAAAATATACCTTCCTTAACTCTGTATTTTCTTACTAGATACAACCAAGTATCTTTACAGTCTAGCAATAAAAAAGAGTTGTTTATACTACCTCACAGCTAGTTAACCAAAACAAATCTTGAATGAATAGACTCATTTTTCTTTACTGTTCTTATCTATAAACTAGTTTCTTTAAATTGAAAGAAACTACTTTCATCTAACTCAGTCTACCATCTAACTCAGTCCTCACTCTGCAAGGAAATTAGGCATATTCTGTGTATCTTTCCAAAAATTATGTATGTATATCCAGACATATTCTGTGTACATAACCGTGCACCTTGAATTTCTCTTAATAAATGAAACATCTTGGATAGCTTTCTAAAGTACACATAAAAAGCTAGGCCAGGCACGATGGCTCATGCTTGTAATCCCAGCACTTTGGGAGGCCAAGGCAAGGAGGATTGCTTGAGCCTAGGAGTTCAAGACCTGCCTAGGCAACACTGTGAGACCCCACTCCCTACCCTAATCCCCCCACCACCCCGTCTCTACAAAAAAATTTAAAAATTATCTGGGCTTGTGATGTGCCTGTAATCCAAGCTACTCAGGAGGTTAAGGTGGGAACCCCACTTGGGCTGAGGCCAGGAGTTGAGCCTGCAGTGAGCTGTGTTCAGCCTACTGCACTCTAGCCTAGGTGACAAAGCAAGAACTCATGTTTATTTAAAAAAAAAAAAAAAAAAAAAAGAGAGAGAGAGAAGAAAGGGAAAATAAGCATTATTTTTGGGAAAAAATCACTGTATTTAGAATAGCTTTCCCTCTTAGTTAATAAAAGTAACAAACCAGGCCAGGAGCGGTGGCTCACGCCTTTAATCCCAGCACTTTTGGAGACCGAGGCAAGTGGATCACCTGAGGTCAGGACTTTGAGACCAGCCTTGCCAACATGGCGAAGCCCCGTCTCTACTAAAAATACAAAAATTACCTGGGCGTGGTGGCGGGCACCTTGTAATCCCAGCTACTGGGGAGGCTGAGGCAGGAGAATCACTTGAATGCAGGAGGTGGAGGCTGCAATGAGCAGAGATAAGCACCACTGCACTCCAGCCTGGGGTGACAGAGCGAGACTCCGTTTCCAAAAAAAAGAAGAAAAAAAAAGTATCAACCCATTACTCAATGAGTTTTTCAGTCCTCGGTATTTATTTTCCCTAATTCAACCTCTGAGGAAGCCACAGCTAATGGAAACGAGTTACAGAGAGAGAGAAACAGGAGAAAAGCCTAAACTCAGATTTTCTAAGGCGCACAACAGGCTTGTCACGTTTCTGGACTGGACAGCGAATTTCAACTCTTGCTGTTGAAAGTTTATTTTAAACTGTTGGTGCAGTTTCTTTAAAAGACGGCAATTCTGTTTGGGTAGTGAAAAATACATGTATCTCTACCTAGTTTCGTCTACAGGTTCCAAACTTTTTAAGGATGGGGTGGAGGATGACGTTCGCTAGCTTTTGGCAGATAATAGTATTCTGGTATTCCAGGACCACCACTCTCTGCCCACTCCTGGGAGCCCCTCCCTTCGGCCCTCTCCTCCGACTCTCTGCTGGGCCCTTTAAATCCCCTCTCCTGTTTAGCAGTGGTCACGCCGCCCGCCTTGCGTCCCCCGCGCTGCTCCGCACGTGGAATGGCCCATGACGTCACGAGGCCACGGCTCAATCAGATGCGGCGTTTGGGAAATTTTAAATTTAAAGGCGGGGCGGCCTGTGAGCCCTGAAGTGCCGGCCGCGGAGGGTCCTGGCCATTTTCCTGGGACCAGTTCAGCCTGATAGGATGGCGGAGGAAGGAGCCGTGGCCGTCTGCGTGCGAGTGCGGCCGCTGAACAGCAGGTAGGGGGGCCACACCACGGCCCGGTGCCCGCTGGGCCTGCGGCGCCGCCCTGAGCCGGAGGGGCGAGGCCTACGATGTTTCCAGGAGCCGCTGCTTCCCGGCTCTGCTGTCTAGTGACTCGGCTGCTGGCCATCGTTTCAGGGTCTGTAAAGTGACAGGGGAGGATCGGAGATCTAGAAGATACTTTCCAGCTGCGAGATTCACTTAAATTTAACTCAGTCTCGCTGACATACAGACCTTCCCTTCTGTGCTGCTCTGCCTTGCGGCATCTGCTCCTCCCTGCCCCATTCCCCGCCTAGAGAAGTCGTATGGGACCGTGCCTTCCTGGCCCTCATCACAGTTAGTCATTTTACACCTAACTGCTGTCTCCAGACCCTCTGAAGACAAGGGCTAGTCTGTCTTGTCACATTACATTCAATCGTCACTCAAGATCATTCTACAAATATTTATCAATTTTTTTTTAGTGACTTTGTACAACACAGACACTCCCGTCATTGCCCAGTGGCTCTTCCATTCTAATGGGACGAGACAGAAAGTAAAGTTGAAAATGTAGGATGTTAAGTGGTGATATGTAGGTAATAAGTGCTAGGGAGAAAAAGCAGGAAGAGGAATAAATGAAATCGGTTTGCTTCACTAGCTTCTGGCCCTCGACCCGAAATGCTAACACTTTGTGTGTGTGAGAAATTTTTATTGAACACGGGGTTTAATAAATGCAAATACCAAGATCAGGAATTTCCTATTTTTGAGGAGCTCATTATCTAATGCCTTAAACGGCTACATAAAGAAACCATTAGGATACCTTTTGACAAGTGTTATGATGGGCAGGTAGAGAATGTTTGCTAGAGGAGTTATTAGCCCATCAGAGACGAAAGCTTCCCGTGGGGTGAACTGGTGTCAGAAAAGTCTTGACGCTTTTCATGAGTGAAATAATCCCTATGTTACTTAATGGAAAGGGAAGTCAGAGTATTCCAGGCACAGAGAGGTTACATCTGTCATTTGGGGAAGACCTTCAGGTAGAGCTTAGGATGTATCTAGGAATTCAGAGGAAAATGGAAGAGAGAAATGACATGATCTAGGACTCGTGCCCTGCTGAGGATTTCATAAGTTTCCAAAAGGTTTTAAGAATTTTAAGCAAGACAGACATAATCAGAGTTGCATTTTGAATCCATCCCTTTGTTTACCAGTACTGGGGGAGAGGGTGAGAATGAAAGCCTTCACAAGAAAACACTTTTGAGGCGGCAGAAGGTCACTGAAGCTCCATTTAAGAGTTGAATCCTCAAAGATGGACTTTCTGTCATTCTCTTATGTTACTATCTTTCAAAATATTCTTTAGCAGGTGAAATCTTTTCAATTATTCCTCCTATGACATGACTTTTATGACTGGTTAAAATGCGGTGTTTTTATTCTTTTAGAGAAGAATCACTTGGAGAAACTGCCCAAGTTTACTGGAAAACTGACAATAATGTCATTTATCAAGTTGATGGAAGTAAATCCTTCAATTTTGGTAAGCTTATAATAGCATCAAAAGTTACCTTGTTATCCTTTTGCTATTAAAAGTACAAAAGGCTTATCAATAATATTAGATTTGTCACTAAAGATTAGACTAAGCCTTCTATAAACTGCTTCACTGGAAACAAAATTGTTTATCCATCATGTATTTAAGTAAGGTAACCAATTGGCATTTAAAACAGTTATAATCACAGTTATCTAATTTGCATCTAGGTAGATTCCAGACCCCCATGTGCAAACACTATACCTTATTGCCTCTTGAAAGAACATAGAAAAGTTGACTTGTAGTGTATTTTTTGTGTGTGAAAATGAACTCATTTTACCTTAGGGAAGGGTATTTTCAGAGAACCAAAAAGTTGAAAAAAATACTGTGTCTTAAATAGTTGATCATCCTACATTCTGACAGTTTTACTTTTGGGAATAATTACTAATTTGGAATGAAAACACAGTGGACTCATTTGATTTAACTTCTGTGTTGTTGTTGTTGTTGTTGTTGTTTAGATCGTGTCTTTCATGGTAATGAAACTACCAAAAATGTGTATGAAGAAATAGCAGCACCAATCATCGATTCTGCCATACAAGGCTACAATGGTTTGTATTCACTCAATGCTGCAGAAACATTTTAGTCTTGGGCGTCTGTGCAACAAGCATGCATAGTTTTACCCATTATAGGTTTGTTTTTAATCTTTGCGTATGTGTGTTTTGTTTTTTGCAGGTACTATATTTGCCTATGGACAGACTGCTTCAGGAAAAACATATACCATGATGGGTTCAGAAGATCATTTGGGAGTTATACCCAGGGCAATTCATGACATTTTCCAAAAAATTAAGAAGGTAAGTAACTTAACTGGATTTCTAGTACGTACAGGTAAAACTAGTAAAAACTGGGTACCAGTCTTAGTGTATTTCTCTTGTAAAGATGAAAGGAAGTAGATTTACAGTTATTGTTTGATTATCCATGGGGAAAGAAGAAAGGCATAGCATAGATTCACTTTTATCTCCACAACTTACTTTATAAAGCTTAAAGTTCTTTTATTCTTTCTCTTGAATTCTGCAACAATAATACTCTCAACAAAAAGTAGGCATTAAGGAACAAGAAAATGTTATCAGAATGGTTAGCTCCACCTAACCATTTAACTATCAGTGATTATAAAGGAACAGTAGAAAGTGGATGTAGGTAAAAAAAGAAGGGAAGCAGAAAGCCAGAATAGGCAACCGAGTTAGTTGGTTTCAAATTAGCATTTTTATTAAAATAAGAACATCTTTTGAGAGGGTTTTATTTTGAGCCTAGAGTTTGAGCCTAGAGTTGGTGTTCTCCCAGCTTTATGGTACTTCACTTTTCATTATTTCTGTAACGATGCTTTTATATTTTTGTGTTCATTATTTTGTCAACAGTAGAACCAAGGGGTTTCTTAGTTTGTTTTACATACATTTTACCTCTTTAAGCACATGAGCATTTAGCATTAGGTTTTCACAATTGGATGCTTCCTGGTGTTTTTATATAATTTTTTTTCTTCTAGTTTCCTGATAGGGAATTTCTCTTACGTGTATCTTACATGGAAATATACAATGAAACCATTACAGATTTACTCTGTGGCACTCAAAAAATGAAACCTTTAATTATTCGAGAAGATGTCAATGTGAGTAGCAGACTTAAGGGAGCTTTAAAATTGACTGACTTATTGAGATTATTGTTCTTGAATGTTTACCTTTAATTTCTATAGTTTTTAAAGTGTCTCCTATTTCTATAGTATGTGAGGGTTTTTTTGAAGTATTTATATTCATCTTTTAAACAATATGAATAGTTTTAAAATACTGACAGCTCTAATATTTTGGTTTAAGTGTAAAAATAGCAAGTTGGAAGTATCAGGTTAGAATTTGTTGTGCTTTGGTATGTGAAATAAATTGTGGGTATTCATAGAATTATTTGTTACATTCCTACAGAATTATGGTTCCATTTGCCACTTTTAACTTTCACAAATGAATTCTATAATAGTTTGCACCTTCTTTTGAAAAGCAAACTTGTGACTTCTATTTCTCTAATCTTTCCATAATTAAACTTGTTTCAGAGGAATGTGTATGTTGCTGATCTCACAGAAGAAGTTGTATATACATCAGAAATGGCTTTGAAATGGATTACAAAGGGAGAAAGTAAGACTTTATGCTGTATTTCTTTAGAACACTTGTAAAAACTATCTTTTCAATCAAGCACGTTTGGACCTCAAATCATACTTTTTTAAGTTAAAATAAAAATTATTGTGTTTCTATGGATTTTATTATATATGCAGCTGAAATATAACTCATTTTTACAGAGAGCAGGCATTATGGAGAAACAAAAATGAATCAAAGAAGCAGTCGTTCTCATACCATCTTTAGGATGGTAGGTAATTCTATCTATCTGTTAGATCTTTCCAAGTAAGAATGCACTAATTTTTCTACAGCTTGCCTTTTCTATCTAGATTTTGGAAAGCAGAGAGAAGGGTGAACCTTCTAATTGTGAAGGATCTGTTAAGGTATCCCATTTGGTGAGTATTAATGAACCATAATAATGTACTGTATGGGCCAAAACAAAATTTAATTTAGTTGCTGGATGTTTGGTTTAATAAGAACTGTTAACTAAACTAAATGTGGGAGGAAATCTACAAATTGTCTGCTTAGTCTTGTCAGTATCATCAAATTCCTAGCTAAAATGTCGTAGGAAAAATTCAGAGGATCTTTCTTCCTGTTATGTCATGGTTGCCATCTCCTAAAATTTAAATGTCAGGGCTATAGGGTTATAGGAATTGATGTTTTTTCTAACCACTAATGCAGTAGAATTTTTTTCTATACACATTTAACACTTTAGATCATCTTAGAATTTGAGGGTCTTTTTGTAAAATCTCAGCCAATGTAATTTAGACTTATGTGATCAACAAAAATCTAGGTTGGATGGTTAAAAAGTAATCACATTACTTTAGGTTTTACTTAAGTACAACAATAAAATATATTTTGTATTGTAAACGTAGTACTTTAGACTGTAAATCCATTGAGGAGTGATACTGCATTCATCCTGGTAGCCCCAACACATTATACCTATTTTATGTCTAATATAGATTTGCTGAATAAGCGAATATATGCATTATGCAAACATTCCTATATTCCACATTAGTAAACCTTCACTTCCTTCTTTCCACACTAAATTATTGCTGTTTCTTTCTTGCTCCTTTTCTATCTTTTACCATATTGCTTTATTCTGCATTTTTAGGGCCTAAATTCTTTAGCTTGATGTGGGATATGATTTAAGATTATTTGATTAGAAAACTTCAGGGAAAAAAGCAATCTATAATATGTTTATTCATTTTCAGATTTTATAAAATTAGATTATTAATTACTTAATATTCAATCCTAATTTCACCTTAGCTATTTTGCTATAAAATTGTATAACTTATTTTAGTAGACTTTAATCTTGTTTTAATTTAACAATAAAAAACCAAACCCTAACCTCTTTAGTTTTCTCATCCAAGACTGTGATATTTCATATAATTTTAACTTTTAATAATTTAGCTTTAATACTCTTGGCATATTCAGTGATCTACTTGATGATTTTCCTCATGTTACGTGATGCTCTGTCATTTGTGTTCCATCTGTTCCAACCCTCCAGCCTACCCACTTACTCTAAGAATCTTCTTGGAAAGAAGTCTCTAAAGAGTCATCTCTGTCTCTTTAGAGGTGGCTCTTTTCTGATTATCTCCTGGCCTTGGTGGGATGATAATATCCAGTTTCTCTTAGCTGTACTCCTCTGTTTTCTACCCTGGCTTCTTTTTCCCTACCCTCCTAAAAAAATAATTAAAAAAAAAAAAACTTGGAGGTATTCTGTGACGTTTCTTACTCAAGTTCTTGCTCTCAAATGTTCTGTCATCATTTCCATGTTGATGACTGCCAAATATTTTACCTATAGTCTCTGAATTCTAATTCATGTCTTCCTAAAGATGGTTATAATTGTGTCCCATCATTATCTCAAACTTTAATATGTCTAAAACGAAACTATTTTCTTCCTACCATAGTGAATATTCCTTATTTCCAGTAAAACCAGCATTATCCTAGCTGCCTAAGCTGGAAACCTAAGTCAATTTTGACTCATCTTTTTCTGCCTTTCTCTTTGTCCACTTGTCCCATTTCTTACTGATCCTACCTTTAAACATTTCCATGGGTGCTACACTCATTTACTTTCTCATCTCTCTTGAATTACTATGTCAGTCTCCTGGAACCTTGTCTCCATGACCCTTGTCTTTGTTTCTTGAAGTCATCATAAGGATTTCGAATATACTAACCATTGCTTTTGTATATCACTTCCTGGGGCAAGATTTGGCCACTCTTAACCAATCTAACTTTATTTCCTTCTGCTCTACATGAACTCCTCCCTCATAGATTGGGCCTCTGAGTATCTTTGAATATGAATGCTTGTTCTCATCTTTAACCTTCACTCATGCTGCCTTCATTACCACTTTGCCCTTTTATTATGTATCTGTGTCATCTGTAGTGGACACTGTGCAAGAAAAATTAGCCTCCTTAACTGGTAATACATATTTACCTGCCTAGTCTCAAAAATCTCCACAGAGAGAAATAACGTAAAGCTTTGACTTTCTTTCAAATCACTCACAATATTTACTAAGTTGTTATTGTCTTCTGAGCATGGTGTTGGGCTCTGAGATTAAAAAAACAATAAACAAGACACCCCTTCACTGCTTCTCTTACAAGCAGTCTCCTCTGCCACCTCCCTAACCCAAGCTGGTATTATCTCTCACCGAGATTCCTGCCCCAGCTGCCTGATGGGGCTGCCTGCAGCTGCTCTTGCCCCTTCCCAATCCATCCTCCACCCAGTAGTCATAGTGGATCCATTGTGAGAGTCATTGCTGAGCTTTATGCAAGGTTCTCTTTTTTTTTCCAGTTTTACGTTTTTTTATTTTTATTTATTTTTTTATTATACTTTAAGTTTTAGGGTACATGTGCACAACATGCACGTTTGTTACATATGTATACATGTGCCATGTTGGTATACTGCACCCATTAACTCGTCATTTACATTAGGTATATCTCCTAATGCTATCCCCCCCTCCCCCCACCCCACAACAGGCCCCGGTGTGTGATGTTCCCCTTCCTGTGTCCACGTGTTCTCATTGTTCAGTTCCAACCTATGAGTGAGAACATGCGGTGTTTGGTTTTTTGTCCTTGCGATAGTTTGCTGAGAATGATGGTTTCCAGCTTCATCCATGTCCCTACAAAGGACATGAACTCATCATTTTTTATGGCTGCATAGAATTTCATGGTGTATATGTGCCACATTTTCTTAATCCAGTCTACCATTGTTGGACATTTGGGTTGGTTCCAAGTCTTTGCTATTGTGAATAGTGCTACAATAAATATACGTGTGCATGTGTCTTTATAGCAGCATGATTTTATAATCCTTTGGGTATATACCCAGTAATGGGATGGCTGGGTCAAATGGTATTTCTAGTTCTAGATCCCTGAGGAATCACCACACTGTCTTCCACAATGGCTGAAGTAGTTTACAGTCCCACCAACAGTGTAAAAGTGTTCCTATTTCTCCACATCCTCTCCAGCACCTGTTGTTCCCTGACTTTTTAACGATTGCCATTCTAACTGGTGTGAGATGGTATCTCATTGTGGTTTTGATTTGCATTTCTCTGATGGCCAGTGATGATGAGCATTTTTTCGTGTGTCTTTTGGCTGCATAAATGTCTTCTTTTGAGAAGTGTCTGTTCATATCCTTCGCCCACTTGTCGATGTGGTTGTTTGTTTTTTTTTTTTCTAAATTTGTTTGAGTTCTTTATATATTCTGGATATTAGCCCTTTGTCAGATGAGTAGATTGCAAAAATTTTCTCCCTTTCTATAGGTTGCCTGTTCACTCTGATGGTAGTTTCTTTTGCTGTACAGAAGCTCTTTAGTTTACTTAGATCCCATTTTGTCAATTTTGGCTTTTGTTGTCATTGCTTTTGGTGTTTTAGACATGAAGTCCTTGCCCATGCCTATGTCCTGAATGGTATTGCCTAGGTTTTCTTCTAGGGTTTTTATGGTTTTAGGTCTCACATTTAAGTCTTTAATCCATCTTGAATTAATTTTTGTATAAGGTGTAAGGAAGGGATCTGGTTTCAGCTTTCTACATATGGCTAGCCAGTTTTCCCAGCACCATTTATTAAATAGGCAATCCTTTCTCCATTTCTTGTTTTTATCAGGTTTGTCAAAGATCAGATAGTTGTAGATATGTGGCATTATTTCTGAGGGCTCTGTTCCTTTCCATTGGTCTATATCTCTGTTTTGGTACTAGTACCATGCTGTTTTGGTTACTGTAGCCTTGTAGTATAGTTTGAAGTCAGGTAGCATGATGCCTCCAGCTTTGCTCTTTTGGCTTAGGATTGACTTGGCAATGCGGGCTCTTTTTTGGTTCCATATGAACCTTAAAGTAGTTTTTTCCAGTTCTGTGAAGAAAAGTCATTGGTAGCTGATGGGGATGGCAATGAATCTATAAATTACCTTGGGCAGTATGGCCATTTTCACGATATTGATTCTTCCTACCCATGAGCATGGAATGTTCTTCCATTTGTTTGTATCCTCTTTTATTTCCTTGAGCAGTGGTTTGTAGTTCTCCTTGAAGAGGTCCTTCACATCCCTTATAAGTTGGATTCCTAGGTATTTTATTCTCTTTGAAGCAATTGTGAATGGGAATTCACTCATGATTTGTCTCTCTGTTTGTCTGTTATTGGTGTATAAGAATGCTTGTGATTTTTGCACATTGATTTTGTATCCTGAGACTTTGCTGAAGTTGCTTATCAGCCTAAGGAGATTTTGGGCTGAGACGATGGGGTTTTCTAGATACACAATCATGTCATCTGCAAACAGGGACAATTTGACTTCCTCTTTTCCTAATTGAATACCCTTTATTTCCTCCTCCTGCCTGATTGCTCTGGCCAGAACTTCCAACACTATGTTGAATAGGAGTGGTGAGAGAGGGCATCCTTGTCTTGTGCCAGTTTTTAAAGGGAATGCTTCGAGTTTTTGCCCATTCAGTATGATATTGCCTGTGGGTTTGTCATAGATAGCTGTTATTATTTTGAGATACGTCCCATCAATACCTAACTTATTGAGAGTTTTTAGCATGAAGTGTTGTTGAATTTTGTTAAAGGCCTTTTCTGCATCTATTGAGATAATCATGTGGTTTTTGTCTTTGGTTCTGTTTATAGGCTGGATTACGTTTATTGATTTTTGTATGTTAAACCAGCCTTGCATCCCAGAGATGAAGCCCACTTGATCATGGTGGATAAGCTTTTTGATGTGCTGCTGGATTCTGTTTGCCAGTATTTTATTGAGGATTTTTGTATCGATGTTCATCAGGGGTATTGGTCTGAAATTCTCTTTTGTTGTTGTGTCTCTGCCAGGCTTTGGTTTCAGGATGATGCTGGCCTCATAAAATGAGTTAGGGAGGATTCCCTTGTTTTGTATTGATTAGAATAGTTTCAGAAGGAATGGTACCAGCTCCTCCTAGTACCTCTGGTAGAATTCGGCTGTGAATCCATCTGGTCCTGGGCTTCTTTTGGTTGGTAGGCTGTTAATTATTGCCTCAATTTCAGAGCCTGTTTTGGTCTATTCAGAGATTCACTTCTTCCTGATTTAGTCTTGGGAGGGTGTATGTGTCCAGCAATTTATCCATTTCTTCTAGATTTTCTAGTTTATTTGCATAGAGGTGTTTATAGTATTCTCTGATGGTAGTTTGTATTTCTGTGGGATCGGTGATGATATCCCCTTTATCATTTTTTATTGGGTCTATTTGATTCTTCTCTCTTTTCTTCTTTATTAGTCTTGCTAGCGGTCTATCAATTTTGTTGGTCTTTTCAAAAAACCAGCTCCTGGATTCATTGATTTTTTGAAGGGTTTTTTGTGTCTCTGTCTCCTTCAGTTCTGCTCTGATCTTAGTTATTGCTTGCCGTCTGCTAGCTTTTGAATGTGTTTGATCTTGCTTTTCTAGTTCTTTTAATTGTGATGTTAGGGTGTCAATTTTAGATCTTTCCTGCTTTCTCTTGTGGGCGTTTAGTGCTATAAGTTTCCCTCTACACACTGCTTTAAATGTGTCCCAGAGATTCTGGTATGTTGTGTCTTTGTTCTCATTGGTTTCAAAGAACATCTTTATTTCTGCCTTCATTTTGTTATGTACCCAGTAGTCATTCAGGAGCAGGTTGTTCAGTTTCCATGCAGTTGAGCGGTTTTGAGTGAGTTTCTTAATCCTGAGTTCTAGTTTGATTGCACTGTGGTCTGAGAGACAGTTTGTTATCATTTCTGTTCTTTTACATTTGCTGAGGAGTGCTTTACTTCCAACTATGTGGTCAATTTTGGAATAAGTGTGATGTGCTGAGAAGAATGTATATTCTGTTGATTTGGGGTGGAGAGTTCTATAGATGTCTATTAGGTCTGCTTGGTGCAGAGCTGAGTTCAATTCCTGGATATCTTTGTTAACTTTCTGTCTCGTTGATCTGTCTAACGTTGACAGTGGGGTGTTAAAGTCTCCCATTATTATTGTGTGGGAGTCTAAGTCTCTTTGTAGGTCTCTGAGGACTTGCTTTATGAATCTGGGTGCTCCTGTATTGGGTGCATATATATTTAGGATAGTTAGCTCTTCTTGTTGAATTGATCCCTTTACCATTATGTAATGGCCTTCTTTGTCTCTTTTGATCTTTGTTGGTTTAAAGTCTGTTTTATCAGAGACTAGGATTGCAACCCCTGCCTTTTTTTGTTTTCCATTTGCTTGGTAGATCTTCCTCCATCCCTTTATTTTGAGCCTATGTGTGTCTCTGCACATGAGATGGGTTTCCTGAATACAGCACACTGATGGGTCTTGACTATCCAATTTGCCAGTCTGTGTCTTTTCATTGGAGCATTTAGCCTATTTACATTTAAAGTTAATATTGTTATGTGTGAATTTGATCCTGTCATTATGATGTTAGCTGATTATTTTGCTTGTTAGTTGATGCAGTTTCTTCCTAGCCTCAATGGTCTTTACAATTTGGCATGTTTTTGCAGTGGCTATTACCGGTTGTTCCTTTCCATGTTTAGTGCTTCCTTCAGGAGCTCTTGTAAGGCAGGCCTGGTGGTGACAAAATCTCTCAGCATTTGCTTGTCTGTAAAGTATTTTATTTCTCCTTCACTTATGAAGCTTAGTTTGGCTGGATATGAAATTCTGGGTTGAATATTCTTTTCTTTAAGAATGTTGAATATTGGCCCCCACTCTCTTCTGGCTTGTAGAGTTTCTGCTGAGAGATCAGCTGTTAGTCTGATGGGCTTCCCTTTGTGGGTAGCCTGACCTTTCTCTCTGGCTGCCCTTAACATTTTTTCCTTCATTTCAACTTTGGTGAATCTGACAATTATGTGTCTTGGAGTTGCTCTTCTTGAGGAGTATCTTTGTGGCATTCTCTGTATTTCCTGAATTTGATAAAACGTAATGAACAAACCTCCAAGAAATATGGGACTATGTGAAAAGACCAAATCTACGTCTGATTGGTGTGCCTGAAAGTGACAGGGAGAATGGAACAAAGTAGGAAAACACTCTGCAGGATATTATCCAGGAGAACTTCCCCAATCTAGCAAGGCAGGGTTCTATTACTCCCTTGCATAAAGCCCTGCAATGGCTTCTCATTGAATATAAACATTTCAGAGTTTTAGATCTCACTTAAAAAGTCCTGCATAATCTGGCCCCTGTCTACTTCTCTTATTCTGTCTTTTCCTGTCTTCACTTCACCAACTGTGCCACACTGCCTTTTCTATTTTTTTGAACACACTGAGCACATTCTGCTTTGTGACTAAGTGTTTTGGCTATTCTTTTTGTCTAGACTACTGTTTCCCTTGATCTTTTTGGGACCAGCTTCCTCTTCTCAGGTCATTCAGATCGCAGCTTAATGACAAGCCTTCCACTGCTATCCAGTCCTATGAACCTAAAGCTACTGGCCCCTTTTCCAGCTCTATTTAAATAATCTCTGTTACACTTATCACAACATGTTTCTTATTTGTCTTTTTATCTCTTCTTACCAGCCTCCTCCTCTATGTAGAATGTAAGCTCCATGAGAGCAGAGACCTTATTTATTTGTAGCCCTAGCACCTGATGTACTTCCTGGAGCATAATAAGCAGCCACTTCTTTTCAGTAATATTTGTGAAATGAAAGAGAGGTCCAGCTCTTAAAGATGCCACAGTAAAGTCATGGTATTGCTACAGCATAGTACAGCTAGCATGCATGACTAGCCCAACAAAATAAGTGCTATAAATGTAAGTCGTATCTATAAGTCATGTTTATAAAGATTTCTGGTTATGCAGTTCAAGGAGCAGTTCATCTGAAATCTGGCGGGGAGGAAGGATAAAGTAGGCAAAGCTATGCTGAGGAGATAATCTTTGTGCCTGGTTCTTGAATAAAGAATAAGGACAGAATAGAACATTAGAACTAACTGAATAAAGGAAATAGCAAAAAGCTGGTGCTTGGAGGTGTAGAAGTACATGGGGTGTTTGGGGAATAGTGAGTAGTTCAGCTAGAGGTAAGAATAAGGGATGGATAAATACAAAGTTGGAGCAGTGCAAGTGCCAGCTTATAAAGAATTATATTTGCCATAGTAAGTTTTTGGACCTTGTATAGGAAACAGAACCTATACTGGTGGCATTATGGAAGATATAAAGAAAGGAACAGATAGAGAACAGTTTGACTCAGAGAAAAAAGGGAATGCCTAAACAGTAGCATGGGAGACATGGATACAGATCGAATATTCAGATATACCATGTATTAAAAATGTTCTTTCAGTAGTTTGAATTTTATTATTTCAAATTATCTGCCCTAAGGATTTATTTTTATCTATCTTACAGAATTTGGTTGATCTTGCAGGCAGTGAAAGAGCTGCTCAAACAGGCGCTGCAGGTAATTAAAACTCATGAAATATGTTAGTCTTAATGTCTTCCTATTTTACAGGTTTAAAAAGTACTACCAGGCATTTTTAGAAATTGATAAAGTAATTATATTCATTATTAATAATAATGAATCATTAATTGTGATTTTCTGATAAAAGTTTAACATAGAAATCAGCATCTGTATCTGCTTAATTTTTATTTTAGTCTACAATAGCATCAATTAAAAAATGAAAATTATACAATTGATGGGATTGTACAGCAGGAAAGCCCATGAGAATTCCATAAAAACCATTTAAACTTTCAAAATAAGGAAATTAAGAAAGATAATGTGGTACAAAATTAATATGCAGATATTAATTTTTAAAAGTTAAAATATTAATAAAAACAAGTTAAAATATTTAGTAGACAAAAAGACTCCATTTATAATAACCTAAAAGATGTGATATCTAGGAAGAAACTCAACAAAGATTTGTACAAGACTGATATAAAGAAAACTTTTTTTTTTTTTTTTTTCTAAGGCAGACTCTCACTCTGTCTCCCAGGCTGGAGTGCAGTGGCACGATCTCAGCTCAATGCAACCTCCACCTCCTGGGCTCAAGCAATTCTCATGCCTCAGCCTCCCAAGTAGCTGGGATTACAGACATGCACCATCACGCCCAGCTAATTTTTGTATTTTTAGTAGAGACAGAGTTTCGCCATGTTGGTCAGGCTGGTCTCCAACTCTTGGCCTCAAGTGACCCGCCCACCTCGGCCTCCCAAAGTTCTGGGATTACAAGTGTGAGCCACCACACCCGGCCTAAGAAAACTTGTAAATCAGACTTGAAGGACACAAACAAATACTTGAAAAAATGGAGAAGCATACTTAAATGGAAAAGATTCAAAATCACAAGGATATCAGGCCTCTGTGTTAATTTCTAGATTTAACACAATCCTAATAAGACTATCAAGAGTACATTTTCATGTTTAAATTAGGTAAGATGATTTTAAAATTTGTATGGAAACATAAAAACAGACAAGAGTAGCCAGGAAAATTCCAAAAAGCAGAAAGTGGAATTTAAGATTTTACTATCTTACTATAAGATAGTAAAACATATTATAATGCCATAGTAATTAAAACTGTGTGAATTGTCAGCCCAGTGAAATAGAATAGAAAATCCATCAAGAGTCCCAAATACATACAGAAGTTAGAATACAATAAAGATGGTCCTTCAAATTTGTAAAGAAAAGATAGATTATTCATTAATTGATAGCCATTTGGGAAAAAAAATTAAGTCGGATCCATATATCATACACCAAGGAATGCATTATAAGTAGCTCAAAAATTTCAATATAAAAAAACTAAAAATTGTTGGAAGTCAACTTACAGTGGGAAAACCCTTTTGTAACTGATACAAAGTCCAGATGCCTTAAAAGCTTAAAAGAAACCAACAAAAAACTGGGCAAAGGATATAAATGAATAGTTCATAATGCTTAAATGGTTTAGCTTGCACCTGCACTCTTGCCATTAGAAGAGCTGCTGATCCAAGGAAGATTAGAAGTTTGTTCAACAGACTTGAGCTCATTCTGCAACCTATTGTAGAGCCACTCAACTGAGCCTAGCCTACATCCACCAAACCAGTCCATCCTCAGACCTGTGAACAAAAAATAAATGCTTGTTTTAGCCGGTTGGTTAGGTAGTAATGTTAAAGCAATAGCTAATTAATGCACCTGTGAAATAACATCTGTTCAAAATTATTTTTACAATTTTTTTTGTATAGGCAGTAGACTGAAAACCTACATGTCCTTCAACAGGGGATGGGGTGGGTGAATGAAGTCTGATGCAGCCGTAAAATGGAATTTTATACTTTAAAAAAGAATGAAAAAGATCAGTGTTTACCGATATGGAAATTTTTCCAAGATATGTTGCCAAGTGAGAAAAAGCAAAGTGCAAAATAGTATGTATGGACTGTTACTATTGATATCAGTGAAGAAGGAAGGAAATAAATACATACGAACTTGTATTTTTAAAAATCTCTAAAGAAAAAAACTAATAACAGTGGTTTCCTGGTAGAGGTATAGGAACTGGTTGAATGGGGATAAAAGTGGAAGGGAGCTTTTTCAAAGTGTACTTTTTTTTTAAACTTTTTGAACCGTGTGAGCATATTAACAATTTAAAAATAAGAAATTAGAGGCTAATTTGGTTGTAAGTTCATAGTTGCCTATATTTAGATGTTGGAAAAAAATTGATTTGAACTGAAGAGCTAGAGAAGCTCTTTCAGGAAACAGGTTTTTTTTCCCTGCATTCTTCCCTCCCTCTTCATTTTTTTCTTTTTACTATTTTTCTCAGGTAATAACCTTTCTGATTCACTTGAAGTGGGACCAATAGGGAGAGAGCTCTTTCTACCACTGATATTAAAGATGGGCTCATGTCTAAACCAGAGCATAGACTTTAGCATCTGCCCTCTAATTTCTCTCATTAACTTAGTGATAAATAAGTTTATCATCTAGAAAAGGAGTCAAGTTTAGTTTTCATATTTGTTTAATAAATTCAGGTGTGCGGCTCAAGGAAGGCTGTAATATAAATCGAAGCTTATTTATTTTGGGACAAGTGATCAAGAAACTTAGTGATGGACAAGTTGGGTAAGTTTATCCCGTTGTGCACTTACCTACTGATTCTTATATTTTTCATTAGGTTGAACATTGCAACATTTCGATGACACTCAAATGTACTGATTTCTTCCATATATTCAAAAACTTATACATATGATTATAATCTACTGAATTTACTTTCTGTTTTAAATATTTTTTAGTAGTTTTAATCTGCCTCATATAACTTGTAAACTAATTTTTGAAACTCTGGCTGATTTAAGAGTTCTGCATTAAAAACCAACTACTTTATTATATAAACGTTCTCAATCTTTTTCTCCTGTAAACTTATTCCTTGCTAAGTGGTTTCATAAATTATCGAGATAGCAAGTTAACACGAATTCTCCAGAATTCCTTGGGAGGAAATGCAAAGACACGTATTATCTGCACAATTACTCCAGTATCTTTTGATGAAACACTTACTGCTCTCCAGGTGAGTTTGATTTTTATCTCAGCTTAATATAGGGGAAGATCAGCTTGAAGAAGAAAACATTACCTACTAAAATTAAGCATAGTTTTTTTTAATTAACTCGCCTGTTATAATCGATATGTTGTCTACTAAATAGCATTTCTTAATTTAATTTTGCCAGACTTCGATTATTTGTATCTTACCTTCATAATTTTTGCCACACCCAACACTATTTTACTGAAATTGACTTGATATTTTTAAAATAACTCACTTTTTGTACTTAATTTATTGTAAAAGGAAACTTTAATATTAGTCCTATCAATGGGAAACTATTATTACTTGCCACAAATAGAAGGTAACAAAAAAAATTGTGTGTCTGTCTGTATAACAAAATAATTCTGAAATTCCTGGTAGTTAACTGTTGCCTTCATTTTCTCTGAGCCTAAGGCCTACATTTTCTATTTTAAAAAGGAAAGGAACCAGCCTGACCAACATGGAGAAACCCTGTCTTTACTAAAAATACAAAATTAGCCAGATGTGGTAGCACATGCCTGTAATCCCAGCTACTGGGGAGGCTGAGGCAGGAGAATCACTTGAACCCAGGAGGCAGAGGTTGCGGTGAGCCGAGATCGCGCCATTGCACTCCAGCCTAGGCAACAAGAGCGAAACTATGTCTCAAAACAAAAAACAAAAAAAAAAAAAAGGAAAGGAAAAATGAGAAATATCAGTAGGGTAGCTTTCTCAATGAAGGATTCAATGTTATCTAATGGTCACCTTGGTGTACCCACCTAAAGTTACTTATGGTACTTATACTCTGAGAAACATTGCTTTAAATAGCTGTTGAGCACCAGATCAAGGTACTGTCAGAGGTGCAAAGAGAAACTAGAGTCCCTGGCTTAACAGAATTAATGAATTCTGTGACAAGGCACATAACACTTGTCTTGCAACATAATTGCCTTTGATTAGTAGTTAAGTGGTTAATAACTAGTATAGAGTTTAAAGGAAGGAGAGATATTTTTGGCTAGAAGCAAAACTTCAGAGTAGAGGAGGCGTTAGCACTGGACCTTGAGGGGTAAATGAGATTCCAATAAGCTGATGTTTTTAAGTTCTCTCAATATATCTTTTTTATTCTCCCGAAGACTATCACCCAGGATAAGTTACAGAGCATTGTTATAAGGACATAGAATGTTCCCTTTGTTCAAAAGTATTAAGCCAACTAGAAAGAGTATTGATTTTTTTAATCTTGAATATAAGAAAGCTAAATATTATTAATTAAATTCGAATTTTTTTAAGTGTTGAACACTTAGCACTTTCGTATTTTTTTTCCAGTTTGCCAGTACTGCTAAATATATGAAGAATACTCCTTATGTTAATGAGGTATCAACTGATGAAGCTCTCCTGAAAAGGTATAGAAAAGAAATAATGGATCTTAAAAAACAATTAGAGGAGGTATGTATGAATCATTTATTTCATTAAATTGAAAGAACCAATTTAGAATGGAGACCTGCCCAAATGCTCAGAGACTCTTCATTCCTGAATATCTGAGTTGCTACAACTTAGGTTTTTAATCACTTTTAAAGAAGAAGAAATCCACTCATAAAAATTTTAGTTTAATTTACTATAAATTGTAAGATTTGGTTCTTGAAATTATTTTAGATTTTGTTTTTTATTTTCAACGGGCAAAATCTGAGATTATCAAATGGGCCAAGTAGAGACATTTCTTAAAATTTTTCACAAATACATATGAATTCGATTAAAAAGAGAAACTACAGAGTTACTTAGAACCACCTTCTGTGTTTTCATGTTATCCTGAATTCCTCTTCTAACCCTTAGATAGCAATCTAATAATATAGCATAATTACTTATCATTTTAGTTTGTTTTAACCATCATGGTCCCATATTTTGTAAAAAATCACGCATTAAGGATCTTTTTTAAAATGAGCTAAAATATCAAATGGTAATCTTATGAGAACATCTCTATCTTTACTATCAGAATTCAAGTCTTTGTTTTATGACTTCTGACTATTCATATCTTCTTAGGCAATTAATAGAGTTATATTAACAGCATTGGTGTCTTATACATGGTATATAGAATAGTTACATGAGAAGAAATGTGTATTTTATTGTAAGTCTGAGAAATTATTGATTATGGTAACTGCATTTTGGTGTTCTACAGTTAGAGTATATTTTATTTCAGTGAAATTAAAATTCTTATAGTTCATATACAAATTTAATATTTTATTCTTTTATGCTACTTTAAGGTTTTAAAACTTAGCCACATTTATTATTAACATAATCCAATATTGCATTCTATAGGTTTCTTTAGAGACGCGGGCTCAGGCAATGGAAAAAGACCAATTGGCCCAACTTTTGGAAGAAAAAGATTTGCTTCAGAAAGTACAGAATGAGAAAATTGAAAACTTAACACGGATGCTGGTGACCTCTTCTTCCCTCACGTTGCAACAGGAATTAAAGGTAAAATTAAAAGATGACAGCTTAAACTTGATGTACAGAGAATAGAATTGGTATTTCTATATGTTTATTATATAGTATGCACTTTCTATCCTTTGATACAGTATATTCAAGAAACCCAGAAGATTTTGTGTTTCATAGTACCTAAGAGATTCATTAAAAATGCCAATTTCTGATTCCTATTTGTAGAGATTCTAATTCAACAAGTTTGGAATGTATTTAAATAATTTATTTGCAATATTCTGCTTAATAAATTCTAGAGAAACTGGGTGATTGGAAGCCATAGGTTTCTAGAATATGTGGAAATATTATTTTCTACTTAAACAGAAATATTAATCTCAGGAAAATTGGTGTAGAATATAAAACAACATAATTGTGTCAATGTAGACTCTGGTGAAAGAAAAACAACATAGTGAACAAAATTCTTACTTTGTTGGTGTGATTTTTTGTTTGTTTTTAATTGAGTAGGAATTTATTTATTCAGTAGACTTTTTGGGGTGTGAGGGTGTCATGGATAAGAGAATGACCTCTGGAGCTAGACTTCCTGGATTTGAATCTGTCATTTCCTGACTCTTGGCCTTGGACAATTTCTTGAATTCACTTTGCTGCTTTTTCCTGTGGAAGTAGCAGTGTGGAATAGCTTGATACTCACCTCATAAGTGTTGTGTGAGAATTAAATGAGATAATAGGTAGAATTAGCTCAACACAGCACTTTCCACACAGCATATTCTCAACTAATGTACATTGTTAATGTGAATAAGCATTATGTACAGAGGTATATAGAAGACAATCAAGAACTATTGGTTGAGTGGTGAGCAGGAAGTAGCCCAATGAAAGACCTAGAGAAGAATGTTTCAAAAGAGACCTACATGTACAAAAGCTTGGAGTTGTGAAGAAACATTATGCATTCCTTGCACTTAAGATGTTCTAGTAGCAGGGGCGTTTTAAACCTCCTTGAGGGATTTGAATGTGATGTTTTGCTAACAACAAAGAACAGCCTTGTGTGTGACATCAGAATTATAGTTGAGAAAGATGTAGCTACTGTGCACATCAGATTGCTTGGGCCTGCAAAGATTGTGGCTCTGGAGTTGGAGTGAATTGGATAAATTGGAGAAATGTTTGGAAGGTAAACTTAGCAGGACTTTGTGATTGTTTGGATGTTGAGGGCAGAGAAAGGGAGAAGGAGGTGTCCGGAATGACTTGCAAGCAATTCCTTGGCTTCATGGGTAGCTGGTAACAATATTGGTTGAGTTAAGGCACACTGAATAAAGAGCAGTGGAAATGGTGGGTGTTTTATTTGGGATTTCTTTTGTTTGAGATGTCAGGCTGTTGAAAATGCAAATGTGTGAATATGAGGTAGAAGATTTGAGATATAAATATCAATTTGGGCATTAACTACTACAGATCCAAATTAAAGTTTGTTCTGGTTGCATGTTGAGAGAAGGCAACAGGAGGCAAAGTGACAGAAGGCAAAACTCCAATTGGGTAAGGCAGAGAAAGAAGAATCCATAAAGCAGCCCAGGTTTAGCTGTACAGTTAAGAATAAAACCTAGTGAATATGGTAGCTAAGGGGAGAGAATATTTCAGGGAGGTAGTGGTCAGCAGTGTCATATTCTGCTGAGAAGTTAAATAAGATAAAGATGGACAAAAATTATTTGCATTTAGAAACACAGAGCTCATTTGCAAAAGTAATTTAAGTGATGGGGATGAAAGCCACCTTATAGTGTGTTGAGGTGGCCTAGATGGATGGAATCTTGAATATAGTAGAAAGAATTGGACTAACATAGGAGAAATACCTCTTGAATTGGAGCAAACATGGAGGAAAGGATAGGCTTCTGTGCAGGTAGTACTCTTAGGAGTTTAGGTTTATACTTTCTTTGTGAAATAGGTTTAATTCTTCTGCTGAGATGGCAGGTGATGGTAGAGTCATAAGTTTGCAGAGATACTAAGGGTTTGAAATAGGCTAGCCTTTGTAGGTAATGAAAAAGAAAGCTGACAAGGGGGAAGGGAATATTGCCATGCAACATTAAAGGTCCAGTTTATCTTGTCAGCCGGTCTTCTGGCTGTGTGGCTCTGGCAGTGCTCAGGAGGCTGATAAAGGTCTTGAACACAGTGCCATTTGAGTGTGCCGTGTAGGGTACATGTAAGGGACAGAGAGTGGGTCAAATAATTTGAGAACATTGACCTCAAATTTCAAACATGATTACAGTGATCTATGGAATCTAAGATGATAGGGTGAGAACCAAGAGGGAGATGGCAAAAAAAAAAAAAAAAGTCATGCAACAAGGGAACAGAGCTAAATAGCCCCTGATGAGCTAAATAGCTATAGTGGGATTAACTAAATTAATGATTTGGAAGGACAGCAACGGCAATGAGAGCAAGAGGTCTAGTTTATGACTTTCAGATAATGACAAGGTCCAGGTGTGGCTTTGGTAGCAACTGGCATTAAACTGAAGGTTATTGGAGTCGAGGATTTGAATATGATGGGGCTTTTGCAGAGCAGGGTGTGGAAAGGGCTGGCCATTTCAAGCAGAAGGACAGCACTCAGAGAGGCATGACAGTATGCAGTATATTCTGTGGACAACAAGTAATCTTAAGAGGCAATGTGACGGAATGGTTGCATGGATAGGCTCTGAAGTAATAGACAATGGGCTCAGCCACCAATTGGCTATACAACCTTATGCAACTTCTCCAAACTTGTTGGGCACCCAACTCATCTGTTAAAAAGATGTAGTAAGGTTGATACTCGATACAAGTATCATCTCATCTTATTTGATTCTCTCAACAACCTTAGGGTTGTGTATTTCAGATGTGATTACAACCCTAGGGTTGCCGAGAGAGTCAAATAAGATGAGATGATACTTGCACCCAGTAAAGAGTCAAGAGAAGAATGGTGGCTATGAAACCTGGAGAAACACACTTAAGAGGCAGGCACAGGAAGAGAAACTAGCAAAGCAGAGTGAGTGGTAAGGACAGCAGCTGGGTAAGGTAAGAACCAGGAGATGGGTCCCTGAAGTGTTGAGGAAGGAGTGGATAAATGATGAGGAGGACAAAGTAGGAAAAAAAGAAAATGGTAGTTAGAGTGAAGTAAAGAGTCAAGAGTTTGATTTTTTTTTTAAGCAATATCCTTAGACTAATAAAATTTTAAACTAGGCTTAATAAGAATTCTACCAAGTCAATGGTTTTCAAAAATAGAAACTAGTTCCCTTGTTTTATTATGTTTGAATACAGATCTATATGACATAATTTTGATTTCTTCTTCTTTAGGCTAAAAGAAAACGAAGAGTTACTTGGTGCCTTGGCAAAATTAACAAAATGAAGAACTCAAACTATGCAGATCAATTTAATATACCAACAAATATAACAACAAAAACACATAAGCTTTCTATAAATTTATTACGAGAAATTGATGAATGTGAGTGCTTTTTTCAAGTGGAACTATGTTTAATTATAAAAGCATCCTTATAAAGAGAAACTATGTTTATAGCTCAGTTAATGTGATAAACATGTTTAAATACTGTGTATTTCATATGTGATTACAATGGAGACTATGATTTAAAATAAGTAATTCTAAAAATACAAAAAAACTAGCTGTGCGTGGTTGCAGGCGCCTGTAATCCCGGCTACTTGGGAGGCTGAGGCAGGAGAATCGCTTGAACCTGGGAGGCGGAGCTTGCAGTGAGCCAAGACCCGTTGCACTCCAGCCTGGGTGACAAGAGTGAAACTCTGTCTCAAACAAATATAAATAAATAAATAAATAGAAAGTAATCATAAGTTCTTTATTCTGAATCTCCTAAGAATGATGCACTAGTTGAAACACACATGAGACAGGTGTTTTTATTTTCTAATTATTATTCAATTAAATTGTTAGTTATATGGCATCTGCCTTTGCTAATCTTAAAAGAGTGGCATTGACATAGGAATCTGTTTCAAAATTATTTCTTCAATAGTACAGTCTGTTGGGGGGGAATTTTAAATCTACTTATAATGATCAAATCTCAAATTCAGAATTTGTCCTTTTAACCTATATTTCATTAAGGATCCTGTATTGTGTCACTAATTCCAACCAGTGATCATCTTAATTCATACAATAACATAAATGACCATATCTATTAATGTACTTTTGGTATTCATACTCTGAGCACATAGTAGTTAATTTGAAGTTCTTAGTATCTCTGATAAGAATTTTTTTAGTAATCTTTAATTTGACTTAGGAAATTTGGTAAACATGTTCATGGACAAATTTTTTTTTTCTCTAATTATAGCTGTCTGTTCAGAGTCTGATGTTTTCAGTAACACTCTTGATACATTAAGTGAGATAGAATGGAATCCAGCAACAAAGCTACTAAATCAGGTAACTTAATGTATTTTACAGCATATAATGCTTTTACTCTTTTTAAAATTCTTTTGTTATTAGGTTTTGTTACTTGTTCTCATTTAATTTCAGTAATGATTTTGGCTCTAATGAAGGCTTTTCTCTTTACATTTCTACTCTATAACCATCAGGCACCTAGAGGAAGGCTAAAAATTTCATAAGGCAGACATGTGCTAGTAGGTAAACCTTTGCCTCTAGCTCTTTACTAGCAGATCTTAGTATTCACAATGTTTGTAAAGTTTCTGTTTTGCCTTGGTAAACTTCATTAGGGTAACAAGACTGATTTTAAAAGTGTCAATTCTCAGGCATTTATAATGTATAGAATAATATATCAGGGAGAGGTAATTTTGGTGAATACATCAGTAAGTTTAGATTCCGTGTTTACTTTGTAGATTGCTCGTGTTTAAAGATGTATAGTTGTATAAAGTAATAGACATTTTCATTTGAATTTTAGAATATAATTGCATTACTACTTATTATTGTTAGTTAATTCCTATAAAGTATTATTGATAAAGTGTTTTTTTGTTCCTAATACATACATTAGAAGTTTCTTGGGTTTTTTTTACAATCTCTGGTGTAAAAAAGTATTTTTTTAACTCATGGTTTATCTCTTCTCTTATAATAATATAGAAAATAGAAATAGGCCTCTTTATAGTAAAACACAGTTGTCATTAGCTTTAGAAGTCAATAAATAATATCTCTGTTTCCATTCTTGAATTCAGAACCATCTGAGACATAAAATAAGAGTTAGTTAGATTGGGGAATTCAATTATCAGTTTTATTACTGAGGAGCTTGAGGACTTATGGTCAAAATTCCCTGTCAGGCACAGGCAAACATACACTTTATTGATATATTTTTAAAATTCTCCTTCTTTCAAAATAATCTATTCTAAGTTAGCTAGTTTGCCAAAATGTAGAACTTTAGAAAGATATCAAATCAAAGTTAAAGTAGTTATTTAAATAATTCAAATTTTATTAAGGAAACAAAAAATATTTGAATTTTCTGATTGGAAAATCTGTTCTTGTTTATAATAGGAGAATATAGAAAGTGAGTTGAACTCACTTCGTGCTGACTATGATAATCTGGTATTAGACTATGAACAACTACGAACAGAAAAAGAAGAAATGGAATTGAAATTAAAAGAAAAGAATGATTTGGATGAATTTGAGGCTCTAGAAAGAAAAACTAAAAAAGATCAAGAGGTAAGAGAGACAGAAATGTAAAACTAAACTAAAAGCATACTTTTAAAAGAAGTATTCTCTTTTTTCTATAATGTAAGCTTTTTTAATTTTTTTTAAATGTACAGATAACATTTTATGTGTTTATTGTATACAACATGATGTATGATGTTTTGAAGTATATATACATTGTGGAATGGTTAAATCTAGCTAACAAATGTACTACCTCACATAGTTATTGTTTTTGTGGTGATAGCACATAGTATCCACAAATTTTATGTTTTTTAAGAATACAATAAATTGTCATTAACTATAGTCACCTTGCTGTACAATAGAGCTGTTGAAATTTATTCCTGCTATCTAACTGTCATTATGTCATCTGACCAAGATTTCCCCATTTTCTTCTCCCTGAAAAACACCCCAGCCTCCAATAACCACCATTATACTTTGTACTTCTAAGAGATCAGCTTTTTAAGATTCTGCATGTGAGTGAGATCATGCAGTATTTGTCTTTCTGTTCCTGGTTTATAATGTCCTTTGGGTTCATCCATATTGTTGCAAATGGTAGGATTTCTTTTTTTTTTTTTAAATAGCTGAAGAATATTCCATTGTGACTTTATACCAAATTTTCTTTATCCATTCTTCTGTTGGTAGACTCTTAGGTTGGTTCCATATCTTGGCTGTTGTGGAAAGTGCTGCAGTAAATATGGGAATGCAGATATTTCTTGAACATACTCATTTAAGTTCCTTTGGGTACATGCCCAGTAGTAGGACTGCTGGATCTTATGGTAGTTCTATTTTTGCTTTGTTGAGGAACCGTCATACTGTTTTCTATATATTCCTACCAACAGTATAAAAGGATTCTCTTTTGTCCACATCCTTGCCAACAAGTTCTCTTCTGCCTTCTTGATAAGCCATTCTAATTGGGATGAGGCAATACCTCACTGTGGTTTTGATTTGCATTTCCTTGATTATTAGTAATATTGAACATATTATGTGTATGTCTTCTTTTGAGAAACGTCTGTTCAGGTCTTCTGCCTATATTTTAATTGGGTTGTTTGGGGGTTTTTTTGCTATTGAGTTGTTTTAGTTTCTTATATATTTTGGATATTAACCATGTGTCAGATGTATATTTTGCAAATATTTCTGCAAATATTGCAAATATTTTGCAAATATTTCTGCAAATATTGCAAATATTTTGCAAATATTGTCTCTTTATTGATGATTTCCTTTGCCTTTAGTTGTAATTCCGTTTATTTGTTTTTGGTCTTTTTGGTTGTGCTTTTAAGGTCTTATTCAAAAATTCCTTGTCCTGACCAATGTTATGAAGCATTTCCACTATCTTGTTTTCTAGTAGTTTCATAGTTTCAAGTCTTAGAATTTAAGTCCTTAACTCATTCTGAATTGATTCTTGTATATGATGAGAGACAGGAGATCTAGTTTTTCTTCAACATATAGATATTCATTCAGTTTTCCCAGCACCACTATTGAAGAAAGACTATCCTTTCCCCAACATATGTTCTTGGCACTTTTGTCAAAAATCAGTTGACTGTATATGCATGGATTTATTTCCGCGTTCTCTGTTCTATTGGCCTGTTGTCTGTTTCTATGCCAGTAGCATGTTATTTTGGTTACTATAGTTTTGTAATATATTTTGGAGGCAGATGGTATGATGCCTCCAGATTTGCTCTTTTTGCTCAAGATTGCTTTGGCTATACAGGGTCTTTTGGGGTTCCATACGAATGTGAGGATTGTTTTTAATCTACTTTTGTGAAGAATGTCTTTGGTGTTTTGATAGATATCGCATTACATCTGTGGATCACTTTGGGCAATATGGACATTATAACAATATTCTTCCAATCCATGAACATGCATATCTTCCCATTTGTGTCTTCTTCAAATTCTTTCATTAACGTTTTATAGTTTTCATTTGAGAGATCTGACACCTCCTTGGATAGTTTGCCATTAACATATAGAGATACTACTTTTTTTTATGTTGATTTTGTATCCTGCAACTTTACTGAGTTTTTTATTAGTTGTAACAGTTTTGGATGGAGTCCTTAGGGTTTTCTGTATATAGGATCATATCATCTACAAATAGAGACAATTTAACTTCCTCCTTTCCTATTATGTTTTATTTTTCTCTTTTGCCTAATAGCTCTAGCTAGAACTTCCTGTACTATGTTGAATAAAAGTGGCAAAAGGGAACATCCTTATCCTGTTCTAGATCTTAGAGTAAAAGGCTTTCAGCTTTTCCCCATTTGGTATTACATTAGCAGTGGGTTTGTTGTATGTGGCCTTTATTGTGTTGAGGCATATCACTTCTATACCTAATTAAGAGTTTTTATCATGAAGAGGTATTGAACTCTGTCATGATTTTTCTGCATCTGTTGAAGTGATTGTATGACTTTTTTTCATTGTTTTGTTAATGCGGTATGTCATGTTTATTGATTTGTTTATGATGAACCATTCTTATATTCCTGGGATAAATCCCACTTGTTCATGGTGAATTATCTTTTAAATGTGCTGTTAAATTCAGTTTTATAGTATTTTGTTCAGGGTTTTTCTGTCTGTTCTTCAGGGATATTGGCCTATAGTTTTCCTTTTTTGTCTATTTTTGGTATCAGTGTAATGCTGGCCTTGTAGAATAAGTTAGGAAAAATTCCTTCCTCTTCAATTTTTTGGAATACTTTGAGAAGAATTGCTATTAGTTCTTCTGTAACTGTTGGTAGAATTCAGCAGTGATGCCATCAGGTCCTGGGCCTTTCTTTGATAGGAGACTTTTTATTACTGATTCAAGTCTCCTTTCTCATTACTGGCCTGTTCAGGTTTTCTATTTATTCATAATTCAGTCCTGGTAGGTAATGTGGTAGAGGAATTCATTTCTTCTAGGTTTTTCAATTTATTGGCATATAATTGTTCTTTGTATTTCTGTGGTATCAATTGTAATGTCTCCTTTTTTATTTCTGATTTTATTTATTTGAGTCGACTGTCTTTTTTACCTAGTCTAGCTAAAGGTTTGTTGATTTTGTTTCTTTCAAAAAAAAAAAACTCTTTATTTTGTGGATTTTTTTAAAGTCCCTATTTTGTTTATTTCTGCTCTGATCTTTATTCTTTCCATTTGCTAATTTGGGGTTTAGTTTGTTCTTGTTTTTCTAATTCTTCGAGGTAATAGTTTAGGTAGTTTGATTTCTTTCCTCTTTTTTGATGTAGATGTTTATTACTATAAACTTCTCTTTTAGAACTGCTTTTGCTGCATCCTATACATTTTGGTATATTGTGTTTCCATTTTCATTTGTCTTAGCTTTTTAAAATTACTCTTTTAATTCATTAACCCAGTGGTTGTTCAGGAGCGTGTTTAATTTTTATGTATTTGTAATATTTCCAGAATTTCTGCTATTATTAATTTCTAGTTTTATGTCATTGTGGTCAGAAAAGATACTTGATATAATTTTGATTTTAAATTTTTTAAGACTGTTTTTGTGGCCTAATATGATCTGTCTTAGAGAATGTTCCATGTGCAGTTGATAAGAATGTGTTTTCTGCAGCTGTTGAATGGAATGTTCTGTAAACATCTGTTAGGTCTCTTTGGTCTAGACTGCAGTTTAAATCTGCTATTTCTTTGTTGATTTTCTGTCTGAATAATCTGTCCATTGCTGAAAGTGTAGTTTCAAAATCCTCTATTATTATTGTGTTGCAGTCTCTCTTCCTTCAGATTAATATTTGCTTTATATATATTCTGCCATGTTCAGTGTGCATATATATTTACAATTGTTACAACCTCTTGCTGAGTTGACCCCTTTATCATTATGTAATGACCTTGTCTCTTTTCACAGTTTTTGATGTAAAGTCTATTTTAGCTGATATAAGTATAGCTTCTCCTGCTCTCTTACAATTTCAGTTTGCATGGAATATCTTTTTCCACCCCTTCCTTTCCATCTATTTGTATCCTTACAGGTGAAGTTAATCTCTTTCAGGCAGCATATATTTGGATTTTTTAATCCATTCAACCACTCTATCTTATAATTGGAGAATCAGTCCATTTACATTGATAGGTAGGAACTACTGATAGGTAGGAAATTACTACTTCCATTTTGCTAATTATTTTCTTATTTGTTTTTTAGGTCCTTTTATCTTATCTCACTGTCTTCCTTATTGGATAAATTATTTTCTCTGATAGTATGTTTTGATACCTTTCTATTTTTAGTGTATTTATTATAGGTTTTTTTCCTTCGTGGTTACCATCAGGCTTACAAGAAAAAGTCTTACAGTTATGCAGGTTATTTTAAACTGATAACAGATTATCATTGATTACTAAACAAACAAACAAACTCCACACTTTATCTCCTCCCACTTTCTGAATATTTGATTTTCTAACTTTTGATGTTACAACTGTTTTCCTTCAGTACTTTTACTATATCATTGCACTCCCTCCTGGCCTGTGAGATTCCTCTTTGTTGTTGTTGTTGTTGTTTAATTATACTTTAAGTTCTGGGGTACATGTGCATAACATACAGATTTGTTACATAGGTATACATGTGCCATGTTGGTGTGCTGCACCCATTAACTCGTCATTTAACATTAGGTATTTCTCCTAATGCCATCCCTCCCCTAGGCCCCCAATCCCCAACAGGCCCCAGTGTGTGATGTTCCCCTCCCTGTGTCCATGAGTTCTCATTGTTCAACTCCCACTTATAAGTGAGAACATGTGGTGTTTGGTTTTCTGTTCTTGTGTTAGTTTGCTGAGAATGATGGTTTCTAGCTTCATCCATGTCCCTGCAAAGGACATGAACTCATCCTTTTTTATGGCTGCGTAGTATTCCATGGTGTATATGTGCCACATTTCCTTTATCCAGTCTATCATTGAGGGGCATTTGGGTTGGTTCCAAGTCTTTGCTGTTGTAAACAATGCTGCAATAAGTATACGTGTGCATGTGTCTTTATAGTAGAATGATTTATAATCCTTTGGGTATATACTCAGTAATGGGCTTGCTGAGTCAAATGTTATTTCTAGTTCTAGATCCTTGAGGAATTGCCACACTGTCTTCCACAATGTTGAACTAATTTACACTCCTACCAACAGTGTAAAAGCATTCCTATTTCTCCACATCCTCTCCAGCATCTGTTTCCTGACTTTTTAATGATCCTGGCCTGTGAGATTTCTGCTTAGAAGTCTACTGCTAACCATAATGGAACTCCCTTCTATGTTATTTGCCTCTTTACTCTTGCTGCTTTGCTGCTTTTAGGATTTTCTCCTTGTCTTTGACTTTTGAGTTTGAATATAATATATCTTAGGGCAGGGTCATTTAGATTGAATTTGATTGGTAACCTTTGACCTTCCTATATGTGGATATGTATTGCTTTCTTCAGGTTTGGGAATTTTCTGCTATTATTTCTTTAAATAAGCTTTCTGTCCCTTTATTTTTCTCTACTTGAACTGCAGTGACCCAAATATTTGCTTTTTTGATGTTGTCCCATAAACTTCATTCCTTTTCATCCTTTTTTTTTTTTGCCTCCTGACTCTATATTTTAAAATAGCCTGTCTCAAGCTCACAAATTCTTCTGCATGATCCATTCTTCTATTGATGTTCTTTGTTGCATTTTTCATTTTGTTCATTGTATTTTCTTGCTCTAGGATTTCTGTTTGGTTTTTTTATTATTTCAGTCTCCTTGATAAATTTCTGGATTGTTTCTCTATGTTTTCTTGAGGTTTGCTGAGCTCGCTTAAAATAGCTATTTTGAATTCTTTGGCAGATAATACATCTCCATCTTTTAGGATCAGTCACCAGTATCTTACTTTGTGCTTTTGGTGACATCATGTTTCCCTGATCATGATGCTTGTGGTCATGCAGCAGTGTCTGCACATTGAAGATGAATGTAGCTATTTGTTTTAGTCTTCACCATCTTTATAAGGTCTTTTCAAGATCTATAGTATGACTGAGGTCACCATGTTATCCTGCAGAGGCACTACTGGACACCTTTCTCTTTAGGTCCCCAGGTGGGCAGAGCTGTTCTTATTCCACAGATGAGAGGGGTCAGTATCAAGATCCAGGGCCATTTGAGAATCTGCTGATGGACAAGGGTTGCAAAACCTGCCACAGGGACTTGGATACGCCTGTCTCCCGGTAGGACCCCGGCTGGGTAAAACCATTCTCAGACTATCGCTAGGAGAAACTGAAACCAAGCTTCAGAGTTAATTCAGAATGTGCTATGGAACCAATGTTGGTAAGCTTAACCTGGTGGCACCAGCAGTCAAGACTCCCAGCAGTTCCTTATGCAGGGAGGATTGCTTGCATTCTGTAGCTGTGACATTCAAGGTTCTTTCCAGAACTGCTATGTGATGGAAGCCAGCAGGCCTGTCCTACACAGGCAGGATAACTGCCAGGCTGCAGTAGAGAGGGGCTGCAGTCAAGACAAGACTGCTTTAGGATCTATTATGGGAAAGATGCATGAAACCTGTCCTGGTGGCTGGGGCAGGTGCTTCACCCAGCAGTTCCCAATACAGTCGAGATAGCTTCCTGACTGCAGCAAAGAGGCATTGAAGCTGAGACAGGGCCCCTTCAGTCTATTGTGGGATGGAGGACTGCAAGCCTGACCCAGTGGCTCAGACAGGTTCATCTCTTGGCAGTTCTCTGTGTGGGTGAGAGCAGGGAGGCTGCAGCAGGGGAGGGCTGGAGCCAGTACATGTCCCCGTCGGAATCTGCTATGAGACAGAGGCCGGCAAGCCTGTCCTGGTGGCTCAGATGGGCATGTTCCCTTCTGGGTCCTTGTGCAAGCAGTACTAAGCTAGGACTACAGCTTGAGGAGGGCAGGAGCCAAGTTATAGGCTAACTTTTGGGTCCACTGCCAAGACCAATGTCGACAGGCAGAAGAGCCCATCTGCCGAGACCCTAGAGTGTGTGATTTCTCCTGGACCCCTTGACAGATAGTTTTGGTTGCAGACTCTAGGCCAAACAGGGCTGTAGCTAAGTCCTTCAAGGAATGGGACCATTTCTG
This sequence comes from Homo sapiens, assembly GCF_000001405.40. Classification (NCBI taxonomy): domain Eukaryota; kingdom Metazoa; phylum Chordata; class Mammalia; order Primates; family Hominidae; genus Homo; species Homo sapiens. The sequence goes on along the minus strand of NC_000004.12, from coordinate 103,167,763 downwards.
CATATGAACCTGGGAGCACAATTGGCAGGACTCCCACCTGGGTGTTGGTATGCACTCTCAAAAACAACACTTCCAGGTCTTGAGTTCTACTGGGGTTTTACAACCTCCTACCTGAATCCAAAGGCTCCCACAAAAAGACTTGTCTGTAATAGGTACAGAATTCTTGTTGTTTTGGGGGGATGTGAGCAGGTGACCTCCTATTCTGTCATCTTCTTGACATCACTCAGAAGTATTGTCTTAAAGATTTTTTTTTCTAAGATTGAGATGTTGAAGATCTAACCATTTTTCATATGTATATACAATTTAGAAAATTTAAGAAATATTTTCTTCATTTATATTTTAAAAATAGTTAAATCATGTTTCTTTCCCTGGTGCTTATGCAAGAGAAAAAGGAATTAAAAGCATCTATGGGAAGGGTTGGTGTATCTACCTCTTGATGGATTTGTCTTGAAATTGTTTCCTTATAGTTTGTATATTACATTTTATTGAGCATATATAAATGCTACCTAGAGCACAGCAGTTTCCTACTGAGATCAGTATGAATTTTAATATCTAGATGACTATTTTATATATGGATGCTACATATTAATGGATTTCTTTTTCTTTAGAAAGTATGTTTCTAAATAATTAAAACATTAGAATAGCTGGAGAAGCTAATTTTGTACGTTTTGTTTTTCCTTCTCCATCTAAGAGAGTTATGTGAAAATTAGTATAACTAATACTAAATAGTTATAATGGAATTTATAGAAACAGATCACTCATTTTCTAAGTATAAAATATTAGGCTACACGTTAAGAGAACTTAATCCAGAAACCATCAGACTTTAGGGACTCAGAAATTGTCCAAAAGATTAAAGGGAGTTATTAGTGTAAAGTGTCCTTAACCTAGAGGCCACAGATGCTGTGAAATTATTTTGCAGAATTTTTCAATGCATATTCATTTTTCTGGAACAAGAATCTGTAGTTGTTATCAGACTTGCAAAGTGATTCGTGAACATCCCCCCTTCAAAAAAAAATAAGACCCAGTGTTTTATGTAGTTAAAAGATGAATTAATTTGCAGCTACTCTTCAGACTTCTATGTGGCTAGCCCAAAAGGCCATGACCCTTTTTCCTCGATATCATTGTTCAGTTTCTCAACCTCTTTTCATTTTTAAAGGAAAAAAGAATTCTATGCCAAAGCTATTATTTCCATTCTACCTACAAATTAAAATTATTGCTTTATTTCATAGGTACTATATTCAAAGAGGTAAAAGTCTATAAGTTCTCCACAGGGTTTCATTTAGCTTGTTTTAAAATGCATGTTAATGAAGTGCAAAATGTCATGCATGACAAAACCATTGGACTTTAATCAATAAAACTAGGTTTTATGGAAGGGACTGGCCTAGTGTCATGATTAAGAACATGGTCTCTAGAGTGAAATTGCCTGGATTTAAGCCGCAGTTTTGCCACTTATAAACTTACCGCAGATCCAATCCTATTATGAATTGTTGCCAAGGCCTTGGGCAAGTCACTGAATCTCAGGGCTTCCTGTATTTCTCCACCCTTGAAGTAGAGACCAGATGCTCACCAAGGTCCCTTCTGACTTTAAAATTTCATCTAATTTTTGTATGTTTTTTATATGTGATAATAACATGACATAAAACTAACGTTTGGGATAAGTGGTAATAATTTCTCTAATATTTTTCTCACATCATTAATATATTAATAAGAAAAATTGAAGCTTATTGAATTGAGTCAACACAGAGAAAGATTACAAAAATACCACAGAATATATGACATGTATCACACTGCAGTTTTTCTCCCATTTTAACCACAGTTGAGGAGGAAGAATCCTACTCCGTTCTTTTTAAATTTCTTTTTCTTTTTTTTCTTTTTTTTTTTTTTAAAACACAAAGCTCAGCTTTCTAATCTAAAAGACATATAATTAAAAAACTTTTTCTTTATAGAGACGGGGGTCTTGCCATGTTGGCCAGGCTAGTCTCACATTCCTGGGCTCAAGTGATCTGCTCGCCTCGGCCTCCCAAAGTGCTAGGATTACAGGTGTGAGCCACTGCTCTAGGCCCTTTACTTTTAATTCGACACAAAATTTAAGGTTACTTAAAAGATTATGTAATAAAAACATCCTGTTCAAAACCAGTTTTGCAGTATCTAGTCCATGTTAAACTAAAAATATAAGTCTATGTGTATGTAGCAAAATATGTTCCAAAACCTACATTTTGGGGAAAGGTTTAGCTAAAAGGGAATAAAAGTCAAATTGGCCTTAGGACATGGAGCCATTTCCCTGGTTTTCCTAAAGCTTTTGTCAAAAATCACCCAAGTTGTAGATAATTTTCTAGTGGGAATATAGTAACATGAGATGCTTAAATAGTATGTTTTAGAGGGAGAATGGAAAATGTCAAGTATCACCATACTCGAGGAATGAGAAAAATCTTTACCGTCTACCTATTTTAACTTGGTGTATTTAATTTTATAATTTTTACTACTTGGAGATGTAAGTTAAATATTTCATTTCACCTAATGACAATTACCATTTAAATCTGCAATTTAAATGGTAGCAATGGATTAACTGTAGATCAGATCATATGTTTAAATCATTTTTCCTTTTCACACACTTTCACTTCATGCTCTGCATCTTAAACATGTCATTGGGAGATTACACTTTTATTTTTATAAAAGCTAATTATTTTCTATGCATAAGAACCAGTACTAAGATAAAGTGCTATTTCAAATAAGAAGTAGGAAAATTTTCTTTTCTAAATTAGTATTCTTTAAATGTTTTCATTATCTATGGCCATACTACCCTGAATGCACCCGATCTCTTCTAAGTATTTTTAAAAGTTAAGATTGATTTTTGATTCTTTCTTATTGGTAAATGTGATTTTCTTTCACAGAAGTTAAAAATAAGGAAGAAAAGGTGAAAGAAGGAGCCAATTTAAATTAAAAGCAGTACAAATGTCTAAGACTGTGTTCTACAGTGGGGTAGCCACTAACCATATGTGGCAATTAAGCACTTGAAATGGGACCAGACTGAATTGACATAGTATATAAAAAAGAATGTAAAATTGTTCATTTTTTTTATATTGATTACCTAAAGAAACATGTTGGATAGATTACCTGAAGAAACATTTTGGAAGAAATATTTTTGATATATTAGGTTGAATAAAATATGTTCTCAAAGTTAATTCTGCCTTTTTCTTTTTAGGTTTAATGTGCCTACTAGGAAATTTTAAATTACATATGTGTCTGACATTATGTTTCTCTTGGATAGCACTGACCTAAAATAGTAATGTCAACACTTGCACTAGTCTGAAATTTAAAACTAGTCAGGACTCAGTTAAACATCCAGAAAATATTTAAATAAGATACTATTTTCAAGCCCCTTACATACTATTAGAATTTGCTTTTACTCTGTAAGTGCTCATCTGATTATGAAGATTAAATAATTCTAAGGGAAAATGTTTATCTTGGTTATGTGTGGTTTACTTGTTTTCAACAAACTTTTTGGTACTCAGATATTTAATGCTACAGATATTTTGGTAGAAAGGACACCTCAATAGAAATACTTCTACCTTTATACTTTTACATGGTTGAACAATATAATGGAGTGCAATATTTCCTCTGGAATAAATCAAGGTCATAGTTGATCATTCCATACCTGTGTAGCACTGGTGAAAAGTAATAATATTGTAAAGGCACTGCATGAAACAACCCTAATCCAAACCTAGATTCCAAATCAGAACTTATTAAAAAGTACACTAATGTAGAGCTGATGGATACTTTATGGGAAGAAAAAACTTTATAAGAATTAATACATTTCTGTACTTAACTGACTGAAAACAAAAATCTACTAAACGTGTATTTTTCAAGGTTTGATTACCACTTTTTAAATCTCTCCTCCAAGTAGTGCATACTAATTTGCTATTGACATTATTGTAGCTTTATTAACAGATGATATAGCTACTTGGTGGGGTCATGCTGAGGGGTTTTTTTTTATTTGTTTGATATGTTTTGGGTGATATTTCTAGTATTTTTAAATAATGAGGTGCTTTGTTGCGATAGCTTGAACAATTGATCTCAGTCCTTTCTAACTGTTGGGTGATTCTGAAGCAGTGAACCAGTGCCCTTTTTTTTCTTTTTCTTTTTTTTTTTTTTTTTGCTTTGCTTTATTAACTATTGGTTTGCTCTGTTACCTGTTCACATGCTCTTACAGATGCAACTAATTCATGAAATTTCGAACTTAAAGAATTTAGTTAAGCATGCAGAAGTATATAATCAAGATCTTGAGGTGAGCATTCATGTTGGTATTTCTATTGATAAGCAATTAGAACTATAAAACATGCAACATATGTAACTGAACATGATGTCAGAAATAAGGGAATTATGTTTTTAAAATATTAGTGACTTTGAATTTTACTATGAATTTAAACTAATATATATAAGTTCTGTTTTAATCCCTTAGACTTCAAATCAGATTCTAAATTGTTACTCTCTCCTTTGATTCTTTTAGAATGAACTCAGTTCAAAAGTAGAGCTGCTTAGAGAAAAGGAAGACCAGATTAAGAAGCTACAGGAATACATAGACTCTCAAAAGCTAGAAAATATAAAAATGGACTTGTCATACTCATTGGTAAAAATCAGGCGTATTTTGTTGTGTAATCACATAAATATATATAGCATACCATCATCTTAGCAAATGCTTATACTGGACCTACTTTGTGCTGTGTATTGTTGTAATAAATTTATATATATTTCATTAAATCTGTCAATAACCCTATGAGATAGGGACTGTTAGTATATTTGCCATTTTAGAGATAAAGTCACATTTGTGGAAAGTTGATCATGTCATCCTTTGAGTAAATATAAGGAAGTTAAGGACAGGCTCCCATTAAAAATCAGTAAGTTTTAGGCCAGGGCACAGTGGCTCATCCCTGTGATGCCAGTACTTTGGGAGGCCGAAGTGGGAGATCACTTGAGCCCAGGAGTTCAAGACCAGCCTGGGCAACATAGTGAGACCTGGTCTGTACAAAATATACAAAAATAAGCCTGGCAGGTACTGCCAGCTACTTGGGTAACTGAGGTGGCAGGATTGCTTGAGCCTGGGAGGTTGAGGCTGCCATGAGCCGAGATCATGCCATTGCACTCCAGCCTGGGCAACAGAGCAAGACTCTGTCTCCAAAAAAAAAAAAAAATCAGTAAAATTTTAAAATTCCGAATTTTTTTCAGTAGTTTTATACAAATGCATGCAGTAGTATATAGTCAAGATCTTAAATATTAAACTGGGATATTTTTTCACAATTTTATAGCTCTAGATGATTTTAGTTGATATAAGATCTTGGCATTAACTAACATTGAATCTGATGATGATGTCATTTAATCGCTTCAGTTTGCTTTCAGTATACCTGATTACTTATATATGTTTGGTTCCAGTTTTTAATACTTTTTTTTTTATGATAACAGTTTCTAGCTGGAACTTTTAAAAGACTAGTTTCTGTTCTTCTGTTTTCAGTTGAGTTTTTTAGTTTTTGTTACCTTCTATTCTTTTGTTGCCTTTTATTTGTGACAAATGATTCTTTTCAAAGGGGTTCATACCATTTCATATCATCCTATTCTGAGGCCCTGGATAGGAAGGCACTTTTATGTATTCTGGAGTGTCTGTTCATAGCGTGGCAAGCAGAACTGCCCACTTTTTAAAAATTACTATTTCTTTTTCCTTATTCATTCATGTATTAATTTATTAATTTTTTTCCAAGGACATATCATTGATTTCATATAAGCTAAAGTCATATTAAAATGCCACTTCTCTTTAGAAATGAGGTTGTAGATTTTTTTCATGTATTTTTCATTTGCATTTTCTCATCTGTAAGTTTCTTGTTCATATCATTTCTCTATTTTTCTATTAGATCATTTGTCTTTTTCCTTTTCAATTTGTGGGTTAATATCTTTAATTTAACTGTTAGCCACTTACCTATCATGTGCTGAAGAGAATAACTCAAAATAAAAATACATAGAAAACTTCATCAGCCTTGCCGAACAACAGTTGTTTTAACCTTTAAACAAAACAGATCTAAATTATGATACATTGCTTATATAATTTGATATATTGCTTATATAATTTGAAAAATATGACCAGAATTTTTAAAAATTATTTTTATTAGGAAAACATTATTTCTTTTTATATATTTGGTAACTAGCATATTTGTACGCTTTTTGATTAGCTAGAGTTAACATTTATATACATGTTCTCTTAAGAATTTTCCAACTCTGTGAAAATTAGATTTCAGTGAACCCCTTTTGTCATCTGTCTAGGAAAGCATTGAAGACCCAAAACAAATGAAGCAGACTCTGTTTGATGCTGAAACTGTAGCCCTTGATGCCAAGAGAGAATCAGCCTTTCTTAGAAGTGAAAATCTGGAGCTGAAGGAGAAAATGGTAAGTATTTTTTGTAATATTTATAATAAAGTAGTTGTAATGATCAGTGTATTTTTGTGCATTTGCAATGTTTTTCTCAATAGAAAGAACTTGCAACTACATACAAGCAAATGGAAAATGATATTCAGTTATATCAAAGCCAGTTGGAGGCAAAAAAGAAAATGCAAGTTGATCTGGAGAAAGAATTACAATCTGCTTTTAATGAGATAACAAAACTCACCTCCCTTATAGATGGCAAAGTTCCAAAAGGTATTTTGTAATTTTAAACATCTTTTTTCAAATCTGACTTCTTCTAGAAATGTACCTAAACAATTTGACAAGCATATTTCAATGATTAAAAATTCATTATACTCTGACTTTTTAAAAACTCAATATTACGTTTTAGTTTCATTTGGTATTAATATTTATAAAGATTTCCATGGGTTTCAAATCATAAGGGATTATTTTTCAAATAAACTTTACCTGATCCTGAAAAAGGTGATTCAAGGACAATTAAAAATTAAATTACCTGTTTGGCAACATTGGATCTTTATACAATTTACCAAAACTTTCTAGATTTGCTCTGTAATTTGGAATTGGAAGGAAAGATTACTGATCTTCAGAAAGAACTAAATAAAGAAGTTGAAGAAAATGAAGCTTTGCGGGAAGAAGTCATTTTGCTTTCAGAATTGAAATCTTTACCTTCTGAAGTAGAAAGGCTGAGGAAAGAGGTAAACACATTTATAAGCACTTATCCCTTATTTTGAAATAAAAACCTTTGCGATAATAGTGCCTTAAATATTTTGGTATAGTTTATTTTAAACTAGCAGACAAGAGAGATACTGTAAACGTTTTGACTAGTTAGAAATAGAAATGAATATAGTTCATCTTCTAATTTGTTCTTATGCTACTAGATTAAAAAATATATTTTTTCAAGGTGTATTTAACAGAATACTTAGTAATATAATCCATGTAGCAGCCATTTCTGTAGTCCTCAAATGTTGCATTTATACAGTATTACGGCCCACCCTTAGTCTTTACCATTTTTTTTGGTAGTAGTAGTATCATTATGTTGAATAAAAGACAGTAATGAGGGAAAAGAGGTTGCACTGATAAAGTTTTAGAGGTTAATGCAAACCTTGCAGGCTGGTGAATGTTTCTGTAAATCCATGGCCTGCCAGTTTTTCTTTCTACTTGTCTAAAAGAAAAATGGCAAAAATTTGAGTACTTACTGTATGGCAAACATCATGCTAAAGAACTTCAAAAACATTATTTCATTTACTCGTCTTATAAACTCTTCAAAAATAGGTAGTTTTTTAGTCCCAATAACCCATTATCAAACTCATAATTGAGCCACATAAATCTGCCTCCTAAACCCGTGATTGTAGCTACACGCTGTATTGCCCGTCTTTACTTTGTCCCTCCTTTATCTCTTCTTTTTTTCTCATCTCTCTCTGCCCTTATCTTTCACAGTGATTAAACTGTTAATATACAAGATATGGGTTATTTAAATTATGTAATTATTTAAATATTACTTAAGTGGTACTTCTATTTTTATTTTTTTCATGGACCATACCACTTAAGATACTTCTTAAATAACAATTTTAAATGATTAAACATTACTTAAATTATTCATTGATTAAGTTTTTGGAAACCTGAGAGGCATTCAAAGCCTTTAGGGAAAAAAATGTCAAATTCTGAGAAATGCCTGCCACATGATAAAGTTAGAAAACACTTTAAAATGATAGGTAAGGAAATAAAGACAATCTGATTATGTGCCTTTACTATTTTCCATGCAGACCTTACTTTCTAGAATACAAAGAGATTAGAAAATAAAACATCAAAGGTAGAGTTAAACAAGCTGAGTTAGGGAAAAGTGACAATAAGAGTACTACTATATTGCCTTTCCACAGTCAAATTTTTGCTGAATGTAAATAACTTCTCTTTTTGCAGAGAAAGCTTTTTTTCCTAAAAATTGCTTCAGTGAATCATATGTTGCTAACATCCCTAAATTTTATTTCTTTTCCATAGATACAAGACAAATCTGAAGAGCTCCATATAATAACATCAGAAAAAGATAAATTGTTTTCTGAAGTAGTTCATAAGGAGAGTAGAGTTCAAGGTTTACTTGAAGAAATTGGGAAAACAAAAGATGACCTAGCAACTACACAGTCGAATTATAAAAGCACTGATCAAGAATTCCAAAATTTCAAAACCCTTCATATGGACTTTGAGCAAAAGTATAAGATGGTCCTTGAGGAGAATGAGAGAATGAATCAGGAAATAGTTAATCTCTCTAAAGAAGCCCAAAAATTTGATTCGAGTTTGGGTGCTTTGAAGACCGAGGTTGGTACAAGATGCTATTTTGAGAAATGCTCCTTAGTCTTCTGGGGTTTTGGTTTCTGTATATATGTATGCCTCAGACTGCTCTGCTTTTACTGTGTGACATTTACTTTTTCTTTTTTAAAGCTTTCTTACAAGACCCAAGAACTTCAGGAGAAAACACGTGAGGTTCAAGAAAGACTAAATGAGATGGAACAGCTGAAGGAACAATTAGAAAATAGAGATTCTACGCTGCAAACTGTAGAAAGGGAGAAAACACTGATTACTGAGAAACTGCAGCAAACTTTAGAAGAAGTAAAAACTTTAACTCAAGAAAAAGATGATCTAAAACAACTCCAAGAAAGCTTGCAAATTGAGAGGGACCAACTCAAAAGTGATATTCACGATACTGTTAACATGGTAAGGTTTTGATTGATTAAACTTTGAAAAATTGGAGACTCTTAAAAACATTGCAGAGGCCATCATTTATTATTTATGATTATGTTATGTAGTAGCTACAAAATAATTTTGTTTCATATTCTAATGGAAATTGTTTTTATATTTTTCTAACAAAGAATATAGATACTCAAGAACAATTACGAAATGCTCTTGAGTCTCTGAAACAACATCAAGAAACAATTAATACACTAAAATCGAAAATTTCTGAGGAAGTTTCCAGGAATTTGCATATGGAGGAAAATACAGGAGAAACTAAAGATGAATTTCAGCAAAAGGTAAAGGGTGTTTATTTTCAGAGTTTTCATATGCTTGTATATATACTCTTTAACCTCAAATACTTAAATGCATAATATTCTCAATTTCATTTGTTACTCACAATGGTAATAACTAACAATAATTTTACAAGCTTATCCCTAATGCCTTTGAAATAACTTATGATAGAATATGTTTATAATCAATTAGAAAGGGAAAGGGCCCAAAAATGTATTAGTCCAAATTTTGCATAGCTGATACTTATTTTATGTCAAATTTACTATACTAAACTTGCTTAGAGTTTAAAATTCAGTCCATTGCAGAGGGGATTGCCTTATAACGTTATACCAGGGTTTCATTTATTAACAGTATTCTTTTCTACTTTCCCACAACACCTCTAAGATATATTGGTAACAGTAATTTTGTAATAACATGTCTCATTTTTATTATAGTTCATATTATTTTATCCAGAGTATTTACTGCTAGAATTTTAAAATATTCAATAGGAGACTGGTGAAATAATCTTTTGTAAATATATAGCTTGGAATAGTATATAGTAGTATATATTTTTTAAATTGGTAGTAAAATACACATAACATAAAATTTACCACCTTAACCATTTTAAGTATATACTTCACTAGTGTAAAATTCATTCACATTGTGATACAACCAATTTCCAGAATTCTTTTCATCTTGCAAAACCAAAACTATACCCATTGAGCAACAGCTCCCCAGTTTTCCTTCCCACAGACCCTGGCTACCACCATTTATTTTTCTGTCTTTATGAATTTGACTACTCTGAGTACCTCATATAAGTGGAATCATGCAGTATTTATCTTTTGTGACTGACCTGTCTCATTTTGCATAATGTCTTCATCCATGTTGTAGCATGTGTTAGAATTTCCTTCCTTTTTATGAGTAAATTTCCATTATATGTATATGCCACAGTTTGCTTATCTATGCATCCATCATGGACACTTGCGTTGCTTCTACCCATTATTGGCTGTTGTGAATAAAGCTCCTATGAATGTGAGTGAACAAATATCTCTTCAAAACCCTGCTTTCAGTTATTTTGGATATATATATCCAGAAGTGGAATTGCTAGGTTATATGGTAATTCTATTTTTAATTTTTTGAGAAAGCACCATAATGTTTTCCATAACAGCTGCACCATTTTACTTCCCACCAACAGGACAGAAGTGTTCTGGTTTATATGCACCTTTGCCAACACACTATTTTCTGTTTTTTTTTTTTTTTTTTTTTGATAGTAGCCATCCTAATGGATGTGAGGCAGTATCTCATCGTGGTTTTGAGTTGCATTTTCCTAATGATTAGTGATGTTGAATCTTCGTGTGCTTTTTGGCCATTTGTTTATCTTCCTTGCAGAAATGTCTATTTAAGTCTTTTCCCATTTTTATACTGGGTTGTTTGATTTTTGTCATTGAGTTGTAGGAGTTCTTTATACTTCTGAATATTACCCCTTTATCAGTTATATGCAATATTGCAAAAATTTCCTCCCATTCCATCGGCTGTCTTTTTACTCTGTTGATTGTATCCTTTGATACACAGAAGTTTTTAATTTCAATGTAGTCAAGTTTATTTATTTTTACTCTTGTTGCCTGTGTTTTGGTGTCATATCCAAGAAATCATTGCCAAGACCCTTATCATGAATCTGTTCCCCTATGTTTTCTTCTAAGAGTTTTGTAATTTTCACTCTTACGTTTAGGCCTGTAATCCATTTTGCATTTATTTGTATATATAGTGTAAGGTCAGGGTACAACTTCGTTCTTTTGTGTGTGGCTATTGTTTTCCCAACACCATTTTTTGAAAAGATCATCCTGTCCCCATTGAGTAGTCTTGGCATCCTTGTTGAAGATACTGTGACCATATACACAAGCATTAATTTCTGGTCTTTCTATTCTGTTCCAATGGTTTATATGTCTGTCTTTATGCTAGCACCACATTGTTTTGATTACTGTAGCTTTATAAGTTTTGAAATCAGGAAGTACAAGACCTCCAACTTCGTTCTTCTTTTTCAAGATTCGTTTCCCTATTTGGGGCCCTTTAAGGTTCTATATTAATCTTAGGATAGATTTTTCTAATTCTGCAAAAGACACCATTGGGATTTTGATAGGGATTACATTAAATGGTAGATTGTTCGGTAGTATTGATGTCTTAAAAATATTGTCTTCTAATCCATGAACATGGGATGTCTTACCATTTGTGTCTTCTTTAATTTCTTCTCAGCAACATTTACAGTTTTCAGCAGATGTCTTTCACCTCCTTGGTTAAGTTTATTCTTAGTATTTTGTTCTTTTTTGATGCTATTATACATAAAATTGTCTTAATTTCTTCTTTGGATCGTTCATTGTTAGTGTACAGAAATGCTACTGATGTTTGTACAGTCATGCATTTTTAACAGAATACATTATTAAATAAAAGCAAATACACATTTCAAAGTAATTCAGTAAGATCCAATTGATATAAATAAATATCTGTACATTTATATATTACTTCTATAAAATGAGCTGCATTTTCCCCCATTTACTCCGGGGCAAAATACTGCCTTGGAAAATGGAACTTTTTTTTTATTTCCATCTCCTTATGCTTTAGTTCTTCTCTCTCACTTTTTCTGTATCTTATGTTCTCAGCTTATTTATAATTTGGAATAACCATAGGCCAAAGGCATTTGACCTCAATTTGAAATTTACCCTCAACACAATGGCTTATGCCTGTAATCCTAGTACTTTCAGAGGCCAAGGTGGGCAGATTGCTTGAGTCCAGGAGTTCAAGACCGGCCTGGGCAACATGGTGAAACCCCGTCTCTACAAAAAAATACAAAAATTAGCCAGGCATGGTAGCAATGCACCTGTAGTCTCAGCCACTCAGGAGGCTGAGGTAGGAGGATCACCTGAGCCCAGGAAGGTTGAGGCTGCAGTGAGCCCAGATCATGCTGCAGCACTCCAGCTTGGGCGACAGAGTGAGACCCTGTCTAAAAAAAAAGAAAGAAATAATAACTTCCACTTTTATGATGGGAAAGTTTTTTTAGTAGACTTTTGACAATAATATATGGCAATCAATAACTGTTTTAAACAAATCCAAAATGCAGTTATAGAGACAATAGAAGATGAAGGGAAGAGTAGAGTTATACTCACTGGGAACAGCTAAGATCCTATGTTACCAAGTATATGCTGGAGTCATTTATCCATGTTGATAAAAGGATGTAGCTGGGGCTTTTCTGAGGCCATTCTGTTCACCAGGGATCCTAAAGTCTGGGATGGAAGGCTGAGATCAATTTGGTCTTGTATCATGCTCATGCTGGAATCTGCCATGGGAATAAAAGAGTGGAAATGGGGATTTCCAGGTGCTCCCCTGTTCATCTAGGCACCAGAGAGCTGCACTAGCAGGTCTATCATGAATCTCCTTGGAATGCTCATTTTTAGTCCTACTTGATGTGTCTGTTTCTGGAAATGCAGTATTTTTAATGTATCTCAACAAAAATATTTTATGATTAGTAAGCTTATTCTTATATAAAGGACAATTTTTTTCCTTTTTCACAGGTTCTAATAATTTTTTATTTAATAATTAGATCTATTAGATTTTATTCATAACTGTGGTAGTTGAAGTACCTTCTAGGCTGAGTTCAGATTTGAAATAAACCTTGGCTATCATTACAGAAAATTTTGTCTCAATCTGCTTTGTATTTGAAAGATATGAGATTCTGAATTATAATATCTAACAGACTAGTCCCAAAAGACTACGTGTTCCCTACCTTAATTTCTCATGTAGTTAGCTCTGTGATCACTGTTATCTTCTAGAAGCTCATGCATATTGCCAACAATAAGGGGGTTGCTAAATAAAGTACAGTTTATATCTACTCTAGAGAATCAAGCAGCTACTAAAAATTATTTGTAGGTTACATAACAACATGTGAAAATACATATGATCTAAGTGGAAAAGATAAAAACTAAAAAGAATCACACATATAAATTCATTATAATAGCTATGTTTAAAAAACAAAAAAACAAAAAAAAAACCTTTAATGGAAAAAACTCCAGAAGTAAATTTACCAGAATTCTAATAGTTTGTTGTGTGAAGTTGGTGACAGTGGATGATTTTTATCCTTTATTTTTCTATTGTTTTCTAATGTGATTATAGATTATTATAAAAACTTTTAAATACCTGTGTAGGCAATATGGAGCTGTTTGCTGAACTAGTGTAATGTCATACAATAATACCCTAAATTTGTACCAGCAATAGTAATTTCAGTCTCTGTCTCCCTTTACCAATAAGTTCACGTATTAGGTTACATTTGGTCGTGACTTATTTATGAATAAATGAATTTATATAACATTTTTCTTAAGCAGTATATAAAATATACATATATTAAGAAAAGATGAATTTCACCCTTATGAAATAGATCTTTATCAAAATTATTTATCCCCCTACATATAATAAAACTCCAGCCTTTTGTAAGTAGGACTGCCTCTGAAAATAAAGATTTGCAGGGAGTGGGAGACAGGGAATGATTCCCAGCTTTTAGGAGGAAATAGATAAAGTGATAGAGTTCAAGATTGCTTACTCGTTTAGTAGTAAATAAACAAACTACTACTAGAATGAAACTTGGAAAATATTTATGGAAGATGTGTACAAACTAAAGGCAGATATCCTTTAATTAATGTATTAATGTCATTGAAATAAGTAAACATGCAGAATCATGTTAACCTATCATACGTGAAGACAATTATTAATATTTGTAGTTGTCCATATTGTTCTGATTAGTGAACAGACGTAAGAGCACAAACTTTGGAGCCAGATCACTTGGATTCAAAACCTAGCTAAACCTCTGAGTGACCTTGGGCAAGTGACTTTACCTCTCTCCAGTTCAGTTTCCTCATCTGTCAAATGAAGATTATGGTAATACCTACCTCATAAAGTTACTGTCAAGATTAAATGTGTTAAGATATGAGAATAGTACCTGGCACATAATAGATGTGTTGGCTATTTTTATTATTTTTTAAAGTTGTTGTTAACTACTTAAGAAATTCTTCTGTAATGTGTTTATGTTTTAGATGGTTGGCATAGATAAAAAACAGGATTTGGAAGCTAAAAATACCCAAACACTAACTGCAGATGTTAAGGATAATGAGATAATTGAGCAACAAAGGAAGATATTTTCTTTAATACAGGAGAAAAATGAACTCCAACAAATGTTAGAGAGTGTTATAGCAGAAAAGGAACAATTGAAGACTGACCTAAAGGAAAATATTGAAATGGTAGGATTTAGCACTGTATACTTGGCATTACCTTTTTGTCTTCATTTGTTTCAGATTTTTATCAACTTTATTGAGGTATAATTTATATACAATAAATGTATCTGGTGGAAGTGTATGGTCTGACGACTTTTAACAAATGTCTCTACCCATTTCCTCTTCACCCCAGTCAAGATAGAAGATGTTTCCATCACCCCCAGAAAGTTTCCTCACACCTCTATCACAGACCCTCATCACCTCCTCCCCGCCAGATTATCAGTCCTGATATGTTCACCTTAAATCATTTGTCTCTTCTAGAGCTTTATACAAATAGAATCATACAGTATGTAGTCTCTTATGTTTGACTTTCTACACTCCCTTTTACTGCCAAGGAATAGTTCATTGTATTAATACGCCATAATTTTTTTATTCTTTTTCCTATTGATGGAAATTTGGGTTCCGTTCAGTATTTGGCTATTTTGAATAAAACTGCTGTAAACATTCTCGTACAACTCTTTTTATTTACATAGCTTTATTTACTTAAGGTAAATATCTAAATGGAATTGCTGTGTCACAGGGAAGAATATGTTTAACTTGATGAGAATTTGCTAGACTGATTTCCAAAGTAATTATATCATTTTACATTCCCATTAGCAAATTAAGAGAATTCTGGTGGCTCAAACATCCTTCTTCACCAACACTTCATATTTATTGGTGCTTTTAATTTTAGCCATTCTAATGGGTGTGCAGACTGTTGTTTTAATTTGCCTTTCCCTAATGACTAAGATGTTGAACATTTTTTCTTATGCTTCTAGACCATTGTATATCTTCTTCTGTAATTTGTCTGTTCTCAAAGAGGTATGTTGTAGATTTTCAGTGTATAGGTCTTTTAATATTTTATTAAATTTGTTCCTAAATGTTTCTCTTTTTTTTTGCTGTCATAATTTTTAAATTTTATTTTTAATTGTTTGTTGTTGATGTCTGCCAATATTTTCACACTTAGGTTTTCTATGTTTAGGGGTGATACAATGTGTATAAGTTTAAATAAATATTTGGAGAAGTTCACTGTGGATCATAGTAGAATGCGACCATTTGTATTGTTTTAATTTTATAAGTTTTGGGGATTGTCTCCTTCATCAAAAGAGCAGAATGTAAATAAGCACACAAACAAACAATGGTATTTTCTTCTCAGTCTCTGGCTTGTTATGTTTTTGTGGTCTTGATACGTGAGAATGTCACTGTGTGAGCCTAATAACCAGGATCAGCCCAAGTCATGCTAGCAGAGGGTGGCTGCCATTTTGAGCTCGCTGGCAGTGATCTGTGCTAAAACCAAAGCCATCCCAGTGTTTGAAAAAACTATAGCTGTAGTCTCATTATTACTCAGTGATAGCTCAGAAAAAGTCTCTTTTGACTTAAAGGTAGAAATAAGCTAAGCTCTCATGATAGAATGTTAAATGCAATTCTAATTCTCATGGTAGGAATGTAAATTGAGCAGTAAAGAAACAGTATAAAAAGCAGATTCTTGGCATCTTATATTATTAAAATAAGGACTTTCTTTTTTGAAATTTGTCTTTTCCTATATAGTTTTCCCTGATTTCTTCATTTGCAGACTGAGAGAAATGCTGATGTTTTACCTGATTTCATAAATGTTAGCTAATATTTACTTTAATCTCAACTTTTTTTTTCTTTCTAGACCATTGAAAACCAGGAAGAATTAAGACTTCTTGGGGATGAACTTAAAAAGCAACAAGAGATAGTTGCACAAGAAAAGAACCATGCCATAAAGAAAGAAGGAGAGCTTTCTAGGACCTGTGACAGACTGGCAGAAGTTGAAGAAAAACTAAAGGAAAAGGTGAATTTTTAAAGTTATTTCCCTGGCCATTTTTTCTAACTAAACTTTTTTTTTGGTAATTTTTATTTCTGTAGACCTAAATCCAGAAATAGCACATACCTCCCAAATGAACATATTTCAATGCTAGTATTTTGGACAATTTTAACTTACACTGAGATCTAAACTAACATACCTTATGAGGATTATATTATTCCAGAGTCTTTAGGTGAGAGAGGGCTTTGTATCATTTAAACAAATCATATGATGTATTCATTCATCAAATATTTATTGAGCACTGTCATGGGCCACGCACTGTTTTGGGCACTTGAGATATATTAGTCAACAAAACAAAGATTCTTTCCTTGCAGAGATGCATTAGTCATTTTGAAATGTAAGATTTATCACTATTACCATCTCTTAGATGTTTGCAGTTTCCTGAATCATTTCTTATATAGAAGTTAGGTGTTATTGGGATATTTGTGTAAGAGCTAAGACCCCTGTAACAGCTGTAGTTCCCAAGAGATTCTAAAATGCACCCATAGAGATCTTTCTATATAAGCTAAGGGCAGTGCCACTTGCATAATAGATAATATAGTACGGTTCTGTTATTATTCTGTGGAATATTTTTTCTTTTTTCTTTCCTCCTTTTTTTTTTGAGACAGGGTCTCACTCTGTCACCCAGGCTGGAGTGCAGTGGCATGATCACAGCTCACTGTAGCCTCAACCCCCCCTGGGTTCAGGCTGTCCTCCCACTTCAGCCTCCCGAGTAGCTGAGACTAAATTAGCTGTGCCACAACACCCAGCTAATTGTTGTATTTTTGGTAGAAACGAGGTCTCACTGTGTTGCCCAGGCTGGTCTCAAACTCCTGGGCTCAAGCAGTCTTCCTGCCTCAGCCTTCCAAAGTGCTAGGATTACAGGTGTGAGCCATCATGCCCAGCCTGTTTTTTTCTTAATATGTGTTTTCTTTTAATTCTGATCCCTTTCACTATCTCACCTAATTGAGTTTACTAAAACCTTATGTCTATTTCATACTCCTATAAAAAAGGTAAAATCAATAGCCTGTGAAGGTTAATGTCTCAGTATTTGGGGGAGCCACCCATAAGCATCTTATTGGAAGTGAAAATAAATTCTCCAAAAGTTTTTTAAGAGGATGAGGAATTATAGTTATTTGGTAGCTGTATTTGTATATTTAATTAGTCTCTTTGCTTTTTTACTTTATCTCATCTTCCCCTTATCTCCTTAATCAGTTTATCTCCTTAATCAGCCTGTATCAGTTTCCTAGGGCTGCCATAGCAAATTGCTGTAAACTTGATGGCTTACAATAGAGACATATTCTGTCACAGTTCTGAGTCCTAGAAGTCCAAATTTAAGTGTCAGCAATACCATATTCCCTCTGAAGGCTCTAAGGAAGAATCATTCCTTACTTCTTCCTAGCTTCCAGTGTCTCCCAGCTACCCTTCGCATTCCTTGGCTTGTAACTGCTTCACATGACCTCCTTCTCTGTGCCTCTCTATGTGCTTTTATGTCTCTTATAAATACACTCATTGGAATGAAGACCTACTCCAGTAGGATCACGTCTCAATCCTAATCCAATTACATCTGCAAAGACTCTATTTCCAAATAAGTTCACATTCTGAGGTTCCTGGGAGACATGAATTTTGGGTGGGACAATATTCAAACCACTGCAGACATTTATGCCTGTGAGTTTCATTTACTTTTAATGCTACTTACCTATTTATATGCTGATAGGAGGCAAGGCTGTTAATGATTTTGTGTAAGAATTTTGAGAATATAAGTAAAATGGTAATTATAAAAATTGTGCATTTTAAGAGCCAGCAACTCCAAGAAAAACAGCAACAACTTCTTAATGTACAAGAAGAGATGAGTGAGATGCAGAAAAAGATTAATGAAATAGAGAATTTAAAGAATGAATTAAAGAACAAAGAATTGACATTGGAACATATGGAAACAGAGAGGCTTGAGTTGGCTCAGAAACTTAATGAAAATTATGAGGAAGTGAAATCTATAACCAAAGAAAGAAAAGTTCTAAAGGAATTACAGAAGTCATTTGAAACAGAGAGAGACCACCTTAGAGGATATATAAGAGAAATTGAAGCTACAGTAAGTTATACCCTTTTCCTTCATCTATTAAGTGTTTCTTTTAAAATCTGAGCCACTTGGAAAGAGGGGAGCAATGTTGGAAGAATATTACAATATTCTTTAAATTTCACTCGCCAAGGGCCTACAAACCAAAGAAGAACTAAAAATTGCTCATATTCACCTAAAAGAACACCAAGAAACTATTGATGAACTAAGAAGAAGCGTATCTGAGAAGACAGCTCAAATAATAAATACTCAGGACTTAGAAAAATCCCATACCAAATTACAAGAAGAGGTATGTCTTTTATTCCTTTCATCCTTTGTCACTTCTTCCTTCCTTTCTCCTTTGAAGGAAAGATAAGCAGTAAGAAGTAGCTAGGATGTGGTTCATTAATTGACTGGGTAAGTATTTGTCGAGTGTTTAATGTGGCAGGCACACTCCTAGGTTATAGAAATGCAATGAGAACAAGGTGGACAAAACCCCTAAAATCCCTCTGATCCATTTGTAGTGAAAGAAAGTAGCTGATAAATAAGCAATCAAATGAACAAGAAAACATTAAATAGTGGTAAATGCTATGGAGAAAGTGAAACATTGGGATTACTGGGCCAACCTGTATTAAAAGCCTACTCCATGCCAGACATTGAGACTGTAGATATAAATAAGACATTGTTCTTTCCCCCCATTATAAACTAGAAAGAAAATCCCTTAATTCCAATATGGTAAATGCAGAAATACGCAAAATTACATGGTACCACTAATTTATCATGGAAAGAGAAATCAATCTATACACATAGAAAAATTGAGACATAGCATTGGAGCCCATCTGAAAATGGAGATCATACATTTATTGGGATATAGTTTGCTCAGCTATGGTTTTTCTCTTATAGCTTGGAAACTAGTGGAGAAATAAGTATGAAACAGACTGCTAGCAAAGTATAATTGGTTCACTTTGGGTCTAAGCTACAAAGAAAGAAAAGTATGACAGAATGTGACCCAGAAAAGTCATGAATAGCTTTAGCAGGAATTGAGGGAAAATGAATAATGAGCAGTTTGTGATCCAAGGTAGGCCTGAGGGTTCAAGATGACTTTCCTTGCTGTGAAAAGTATCCTGATCTTTTCCCTTTAAAAATTTATGATAATGGCCAGTGGGATGCGGTGGCTCACACCTGTAATCCCAGCACTTTGGGAGGCCAAGGCAGGCAGATCACCTGAGGTCAGGAGTTTGAGACCAGCCTGGCCAACATGGTGAAACCCCGTCTCTACTAAAAATACAAAAATTAGCCAGGCATGGTAGCACACACCTGTAATCCCAGCTACTCAGGAGACTGAGACAGGAGAATCTCTTGAACCCAGGAGGCAGAAGTTGCAGTGAACTGAGATTGCGCCACTGCACTCCCACCTGGGCAACAGAGTGAGATGCCGTCTCAAAAAAAAAAAAATTATGATCATAATCTCCTGATAGTAACCTTGGTATTTTATGAATGTCCTAAGATCCCAGTGCTTCATGAGGAACAAGAGTTACTGCCTAATGTGAAAGAAGTCAGTGAGACTCAGGAAACAATGAATGAACTGGAGTTATTAACAGAACAGTCCACAACCAAGGACTCAACAACACTGGCAAGAATAGAAATGGAAAGGCTCAGGTTGAATGAAAAATTTCAAGAAAGTCAGGAAGAGATAAAATCTCTAACCAAGGAAAGAGACAACCTTAAAACGATAAAAGAAGCCCTTGAAGTTAAACATGACCAGCTGAAAGAACATATTAGAGAAACTTTGGCTAAAGTAAGTTTCGTATTTTCCTCCCATTTTAACAAGTGTCTTATAAGAATCAAGGCTTGTGTTTGTGTTATAGTTATAATGTTTGTATTATAATTATGTTACCAGTTTTTTTAATGTCTCTTAATCATGAAATGACTAGAAACAGAACAATTAAAAATTGCTCTTGAATACCAAGAAGGTATTGAAACAGAGAGAAGATGTTTCAGAGAAAAGAACTGTTTTCTTAAATATTCAAAAAATAATTTAGAAAAAATAATTCTAAATTACAAGAAAGGGTGAAACCAAATATGAGATTGTTTTATTTTCTTTTTTAAACCTGTTCCTTTAATGTTTCATAAAGCACTACTGTGCTTTCTCATTGTTTTAGTCAGAAATCTGGGAGCTATCCCTACTAATATGCCTCCTTCTCTGCTTATTCTGTAATCCAGTCACCAAATCTTATTGATTTGAGTGTGTATTTTAAAAGTCATCCTGCTTTTCTCTCCACACTGCCACCACCCTAATCCAAGTCAACATCATTTCTTTCCCTGGCTATCTGCAGTAGTCTCCTAACTGGTCTTCCCACACTCATTCTTAGACTTCTCTAATCCAGTTTCTATACTAAGCCTAAGTTATCCTTTCTTACATTCTTTTAATATCTTATTGCTACTTTTTAAATAAAGACCAGGATCCTTTATGTGGCCTATGAGGCCCTAGGTGCAGATCTTGCCGGTCTTATTTCAATTCATTCTTCTTCCTATTCTTTGTTCTCCAGCAACTCTCTTCCGCAGCTCATGGCTTTCAGATTCTCAGGTCTCTCTACCTGCAGTACCTCCATACTCCTTTTTGCCTAACTAATGCTCTTATCCTTCAGATCTCAGTTAAAGCTTTCTCCTCTAGGAATCCCTTCCTATCATTCACAATAGATTATATTTGACACTTGGGCCGTAGGAGAAGCCAGCATCTCTATTTGGTAAGATTCAACATCATATCTATCTTTGTCCTTGAAGTATAAGTCTCAAAAAGAGAGAGATCCTGTAAGTCTCATCATTTTGTCTCCAGCCTCGAATAAGATGCTGACAACACAGTGAGACCTCAATTTTTAAAAAGCATTAAATGCCTGAATAATGGAAGAGTGGGAGAATGGAGAGATTGCTCTGTAAATGAGGCACTGAATCCTGCCTTAATTGTTTTAGAAAGCATCCTGATTTATTTTCCCCTAAAACACAATATCTCTGGATATCAACTGTACTGTTTTATGATTCTCTTAAGATCCAGGAGTCTCAAAGCAAACAAGAACAGTCCTTAAATATGAAAGAAAAAGACAATGAAACTACCAAAATCGTGAGTGAGATGGAGCAATTCAAACCCAAAGATTCAGCACTACTAAGGATAGAAATAGAAATGCTCGGATTGTCCAAAAGACTTCAAGAAAGTCATGATGAAATGAAATCTGTAGCTAAGGAGAAAGATGACCTACAGAGGCTGCAAGAAGTTCTTCAATCTGAAAGTGACCAGCTCAAAGAAAACATAAAAGAAATTGTAGCTAAAGTAGGTTTCATCTTTCACCATGTTTTTAAAAAATATTTTGTAACCAAATATTATTATAAACCCTAAATATTTGGAAAGGGGAGTTAATTACAACAAAATAGTTATAATGTTTCTATAAATTTATTGGAATTTCCTCTAATAATAAAGCACCTGGAAACTGAAGAGGAACTTAAAGTTGCTCATTGTTGCCTGAAAGAACAAGAGGAAACTATTAATGAGTTAAGAGTGAATCTTTCAGAGAAGGAAACTGAAATATCAACCATTCAAAAGCAGTTAGAAGCAATCAATGATAAATTACAGAACAAGGTAAATTGGGGATGAAGAAACAGTGGGAGGAAATGGGTGGGTTTGGAGTAGCTAACTGAATTATGAAGACTACTATTTGGCATGCTTAATTGTTTTGGGAAGCAACCTTTTCCTCTTAAGTTGTGTATGTGTGTGTGTGTGTTTACATATTTTTATGACTATTAACTTATTTTATAATTATGTTTAAGATCCAAGAGATTTATGAGAAAGAGGAACAATTTAATATAAAACAAATTAGTGAGGTTCAGGAAAAAGTGAATGAACTGAAACAATTCAAGGAGCATCGCAAAGCCAAGGATTCAGCACTACAAAGTATAGAAAGTAAGATGCTCGAGTTGACCAACAGACTTCAAGAAAGTCAAGAAGAAATACAAATTATGATTAAGGAAAAAGAGGAAATGAAAAGAGTACAGGAGGCCCTTCAGATAGAGAGAGACCAACTGAAAGAAAACACTAAAGAAATTGTAGCTAAAGTAAGTTCCCATCTTATTTTTTTTTTTTTTGGATACAGAAATAGTGTTAAGGTGATAATGACGGTGTTCATGTTAAGTTTTATTAATTTTCCTCTAATCATAAAGGGACCGGAAATAAAAGAGGAATCAAAAACTGCTTATATTCAACTGAGTACCAGTAAACTGTTAGTAGACAGAATATTTCAGAGAAGACAGCTCAAGTAGCAAATATTCATTGGGATTTAGGAAATTCTGATGGTGAATTACAGGAAAAAGTGGGACTTGTTAAATTGGAAAATGACATCTAATTATTGTTACTCATATCCCTTATGAAAGAAAGTACTACATACATTAGATTACAATGTAAAAATGATTGCCTTATTTTAGGAACAGTTCTTCCTTTTCCTAAAAAAATTCTGCCTATGTTGTAACTTACTTTATAATTTTCTCAGATGAAAGAATCTCAAGAAAAAGAATATCAGTTTCTTAAGATGACAGCTGTCAATGAGACTCAGGAGAAAATGTGTGAAATAGAACACTTGAAGGAGCAATTTGAGACCCAGAAGTTAAACCTGGAAAACATAGAAACGGAGAATATAAGGTTGACTCAGATACTACATGAAAACCTTGAAGAAATGAGATCTGTAACAAAAGAAAGAGATGACCTTAGGAGTGTGGAGGAGACTCTCAAAGTAGAGAGAGACCAGCTCAAGGAAAACCTTAGAGAAACTATAACTAGAGTGAGTTACCATCTCTCTACACCTCTAGTAACTATGACATTGAGTCCTAAGAGAAAAATCTGCCATAGGGTTGGTGGGAGTATAAAATTGGTCCAGGCCGGGCGCGGTGGCTCGAGCCGGTAATCCCAGCACTTTGGGAGGCCAGGGCGGGCAGATCACGAGGTCAGGAGATCAAGACCATCCTGGCTAACATGGTGAAACGCCATCTCTACTAAAAACATAAAAAATTAGGCAGGCGTGGTGGTGGGCGCCTGTAGTCCCAGCTACTTGGGAGGCTGAGACAGGAGAATGGCGTGAACCCAGGAGGCGGAGGTTGCAGTGAGCCAAGATCGCACCACTGCACTCCAGCCTGGGCGACAGAGCAAGACTCCATCTCAAAAAGTAAAATAAAATAAAAAATAATAAAATAAGATAAAATTGGTCCAATATTGAGGAAAGTTGGTGAGGGTATATTTGGAAATACCTTCCAAATTTTTCCAAAGGTTTATTCGTTGATCCACAAGTCCAGTTGTAACTATCCTCCACACATTTGCACAACTGTATAAAGATATTTGTAGGATATTCTTTGCAACAAGTTGCAATAATGAAATAACACAAACAAAAACAGGGAAAATTCTAACCATCCATTGGTAAGGGACTGGTTAAATAAGTGCAGCACATTCACGTCATGGAATTCTATGCCACAAATAAAAAATGTGGTAGAGCTATAGTGCTGATTTGAAGGGTGAAGTGTCCTGTTAGGGAACAGGGTAAGTTCAGGAATAGTGTATCTAGAATGTATTGACATCTAAAAGTAGCTTAGAGGGTGAGAACTAGGAGGCCTCAGAAGAGGGTGGAAGATTTTTACCTCCTGCCCTATACCTTTCTATAGCATGTGGATGGTACTACTCTCAATGTATTATTTTTATTTTTCTATTGATAAAGGACCTAGAAAAACAAGAGGAGCTAAAAATTGTTCACATGCATCTGAAGGAGCACCAAGAAACTATTGATAAACTAAGAGGGATTGTTTCAGAGAAAACAAATGAAATATCAAATATGCAAAAGGACTTAGAACACTCAAATGATGCCTTAAAAGCACAGGTATTTTATTTTTAAGTTATCTCAGTTACTGAGAGTTTGAATCAAACTTTTTGTGTAATGAAACAAGATATGAATTACCCTAAAATTGAAGGCAAGTGAAGACTTACTTGCCTACTCAATTTAGAAACTATCATTGATCTTTTTATATCTACTGATAATCCTAACTTATTGTATGATTATCTCAAGATCCAAGAACTTCAGGAGAAAGAACATCAACTTCTTTTTTTTTTTTTTTTTTTTTTTTGAGACAGAGTCTCGCTCTGTCGCCTGGAGTGCAACGGCATGATCTCGGCTCACTGCAATGTCTGCCTCCCGGGTTCAAGCGATTCTCCTGCCTCAAGTCTCCCAAGTAACTAGGATTACAGATGCATGTCATCACACCCAGCTAATTTTTGTATTTTTAGTAGAGAGGAGGTTTCACCGTGTTGACCAGGGTGGTCTCGATCTCCTGACCTCATGATCCACCCGCCTCGGCCTCCCAAAGTGCTGGGATTACAGGCATGAGCCGCCAGGCCCAGCCTCAACTTCTTAAAGTAAAAAATGATCTTAGGGAAACTATGTATCAAACAGGTCAGTTAAAGAAGCAGTTAGAGGCCTGGAATGTAACTCTGGAAAGTGTAGAAACGCAGAAATTAAGATTGACTCAGAAGCTTCATGAAAACCTTCAGGATGTAAGATTTGTTACTAAGGAAAATGATGGCCTAAGAGGAGTAGAGGAAATCTTTAAAATGGAGCAAGACCAACTTAGGGAAGGCCTTAGAGAAATAGAAGCTAAAGTAAGCTCATTCCTCTCCCTGGCAATTCAATGTATTGTGTTCTTACAGCAATGAACCCTTCTTTGAACCAAGTACTACTGTTGGCAAGAATGAAATGATACAGCCTTTTAAGCAGATAATTTGGTACTGTTCTTGAAAAGTTCAAGTCTGCAATTATCATTTTCCTTACGGACTTTAGCCTACATATATACTGTTAAAGGAGTGTGTGTGTATATACAAACACAACGTATACATATGCCACAGGTTATTTATTGTAGTGATTTTAATTAAAAATCTGAAACAATCTAAATGTTCCTCAGAAGGAAACAGTAAATATGAACAATATATCGAAATACTATGCAACACTTAAAAAAAGTAATATATGTGTAATGTGTTTGCCTCTGGAAAGCAGAAGTAGAGTGTGAAGAGAGGAGGACAGGGAAGAGAAAGCCTGTACCTTAAAAACAACAGCAAAGATATAGAGTAACAGTGTTATTATTTTTACTAAGAAAATATATCACTTTATTTTTTAAAAACTAATATTAAGATATGTCACTGTTTTTAAAATTTCTCTAATGGTAAAGGATCTGAAAATACAAGAGGAACTAAGAATTGCTCACATGCATCTGAAAGAGCAGCAGGAAACTATTGACAAACTCAGAGGAATTGTTTCTGAGAAGACAGATAAACTATCAAATATGCAAAAAGATTTAGAAAATTCAAATGCTAAATTACAAGAAAAGGTATTTTTATGGGGGGATTGTTTGATTGGATATCTAATTTGTTTGTGCCTAAAATTGTTGGGGATATAAAATGGTTCAACCACACTGGAAAACACCTTGGCAGTATTTACTAATGCTGGATGTAGCCTGCCTGAGGCCCAACATTTCCACTTCTTGGGTATGTACATAAGAGAAAAGAGTACGTACATACTTCTATAAAAAGACACAAGAATGTTTATAGCAGCCTTATTCAAAATAACAAAAAACTGAAAACTCAAATGTCTATCAGCAGGAAAATGGATACATACATTGTGATATATAGGTTCAAAAGCAGGCAAAACTGAACCAGGATGATAAAGGTCAGAATAGTGGCTGTCTCTAGGAAGGAGCACACAGAAACTTTATGAAGTGCTAGAAATATTCTCTGTTTTAATCTGGGTTGTAGTTTCATAGATTTACACCTGTGTCAAGAATAATTAAGTTATACATTGAAGATGAGCATGCTTTATATATATTATACCTCAAAAGAAAGTAAAATTCTGTGTGGAATTGTGCAGGATATCAGTGAGAGTAACATGGGTAGACAGTTGTCTTAATCAATTTAGAAACTATTATTTATCTGTCCCTAAAAAGCCACCTAACATATTATTTTATGATTATCTTAAGATTCAAGAACTTAAGGCAAATGAACATCAACTTATTACGTTAAAAAAAGATGTCAATGAGACACAGAAAAAAGTGTCTGAAATGGAGCAACTAAAGAAACAAATAAAAGACCAAAGCTTAACTCTGAGTAAATTAGAAATAGAGAATTTAAATTTGGCTCAGAAACTTCATGAAAACCTTGAAGAAATGAAATCTGTAATGAAAGAAAGAGATAATCTAAGAAGAGTAGAGGAGACACTCAAACTGGAGAGAGACCAACTCAAGGAAAGCCTGCAAGAAACCAAAGCTAGAGTGAGTTGTGTTCTCTCTTTACCCTACCATTATATTCACATATTTGGGCAAAAATACAGTGTTCACTGCAGCGTTGTGTCTGGTGACTAAAACCTAGAAATAATCTAAGTGTCCACCAATAATAAGGCACTATCTGTATAATGGAAAACTAAGCATAAGAATGGGGTATTCTTTTTGTGATATTGATTTAGAAAGATGTCCAAGTGGTATGAAAGGAGAAGGCTATGGGTGAGGCTACCAGCAGAAAATTTTACTTTACTCTTCTAATTTAGGAGGTTGTATAATGGTTGTTTTTAACTGTGAGTGTATAATTTTTAAGATTTTGTTTAAACTCAATCATTAAGTAAAGGTAACGTGCCTTTATATCATTACATTTCTTGATTTCTTCTAACCATAAAGGATCTGGAAATACAACAGGAACTAAAAACTGCTCGTATGCTATCAAAAGAACACAAAGAAACTGTTGATAAACTTAGAGAAAAAATTTCAGAAAAGACAATTCAAATTTCAGACATTCAAAAGGATTTAGATAAATCAAAAGATGAATTACAGAAAAAGGTATGTGTTGTTTTGTTCTTCTTTTGGAAGTAACTGTGCCCAAAATTATTTGTGGAATTAAAAAGATATAGATACAGATATGTAGATAGATATGTGCATATAGAACACAAGTAGACACTATTTGCCTTCCTTGAAGAAACTGCTTACATTCTAACTTGTTTTACAATTATCTCAAGATCCAAGAACTTCAGAAAAAAGAACTTCAACTGCTTAGAGTGAAAGAAGATGTCAATATGAGTCATAAAAAAATTAATGAAATGGAACAGTTGAAGAAGCAATTTGAGGCCCAAAACTTATCTATGCAAAGTGTGAGAATGGATAACTTCCAGTTGACTAAGAAACTTCATGAAAGCCTTGAAGAAATAAGAATTGTAGCTAAAGAAAGAGATGAGCTAAGGAGGATAAAAGAATCTCTCAAAATGGAAAGGGACCAATTCATAGCAACCTTAAGGGAAATGATAGCTAGAGTGAGTTCAGAGTCTTCCTTTGTGTAGTAACTATTAATAAGAATTAAGCTTTTTTGAAAAGAATTACAATGTTTTTATTTCTTTCTCTGGAAATTCCTATGAACAGTAAAGGACAGTGGGAAATGGTTACTCTAATTTTTACACAATAGAAAACAGTTTTAAAAGAAGCAAAAATATTTTCAGAAAATAACATTTAATTCTTTATTTTTATAAACTGTGTTAAAGCAGTCTATTTCCCTTAATATAACATTTTAAAGTTTTTTTTAATCAAGAGATAGCATTATTCTAAATGGAGAAATATTTGAAGGATTAGATTTGTAAGAGAGCAAATATTCCCATTTCTCTACCTATACATGCTGGAGTTCTAGAGTTGGGCTCTTATTGGTGAAGTTAAAAGGAAAAAAGGGAAGATAAATATAAAAATTAAGTTCCTCTGGTATGACTATTTATAGATATTCAGAATCATATATCTTAAAATATCTAATTAAATCCTCTTTTTGAAAGTAACAGAGTTCAGACAAGTTTATTAAAATCTGTAAAAATCTTTTTTATTCTCATATTTCTTTATGTGGGCCTGAACTAAATTTATAGAGAGATTTAATTCATTCATCAAATATTCTTCTAGGTACTGTAGTGAACAAGATAAGTGGGAGAAAATGTTTTTGTTTCACTTTATACTTTTTAATCAGAAATGCAAAATGTACACAGGATATGAACTTTTCCAAGGTGCTGGGAAGAATATATGACTAGGGTTTGAAACACCATAGACAGTACAGGTGGTTTTGCCAGTATATTTGGTTGGCGCCAATAAAGTGCATTAGGATAAAAGCAAGTGCCACTGTTAAAACTACAAGTGAATAATGCAGAGATTTGGAAGAGTAGGAATCAGAAATTAAAATCTAATTTATTTGTTTTCCTGGTTGTTTATTTATTTATTTATTTATTTTTATAGAGACAGGGTCTCACTATGTTGCTGAGGCTGGTTTTGAGCTCCTGAGCTCAAGTGATCCTCCTGCCTCGATCTCCTAAAGTGCTAGGATTACAGGCGTGAGCTACCATGCCTGGCCCTAAAACCTAATTTGTAGCTATGAAAAACAAATCCTGTCTCCAAAAATTAGATGATTTTTCTACTTTTTTACCAATGAGTTAAGGTCACTCCCTATAAAACTTACTGATACTATTATTCATTTTCTGATCATTTTAACATTGCTTTTGAGTGACAAGTATAATATTTAATTCCATTATTGAAATGTCATGTAATTTAGAAGTGTGCGATTAGACATTATATGTGAATATAGTCATGACAAAAGCCCTGTTTATTTTCTTTTTACCAAAGCAGGACCGACAGAACCACCAAGTAAAACCTGAAAAAAGGTTACTAAGTGATGGACAACAGCACCTTACGGAAAGCCTGAGAGAAAAGTGCTCTAGAATAAAAGTAAGTACCCCCTGTTAAAACTACAAATGATTATTGGTTGTCTTCCAAAGGCTTACCGAAACCTGAAGTGGGATTGAAGGAACCTCTGGAATAAATAGATAGTGCTCAGTATTTTTCTAAACATTGTAATCTAGTACAGGTGTGTGGGTATAATGCATATATACACACATACACAAACAACAATGGGAGCTTGTGAATTTAAGTCCTCACCAGAAAAGTGATACTTGAGCAAATACCTGAACGAGGTAAAGGGTCAGGCCATACAGATGTCTGAAAAGACCATTATAGGCAAAGGGAACAGCGAGTACAAAGTTCCTGAGGCAGAAGACTCTGTGGTGGTTCAAGGAATATCGAAAAGAGGGCAAGCTGCTAATGAATGAGATCAGAGAGTTAGCAGGGAAGAGGCAAGCTGTGGGACATGAAAAAAGACTGAGTTTTATTAAGTGAGGTGGAGATCCATTGGGGAATTTTTACCGCAAGAGAAACATAATCTGACTTAACATTTTAAAGGGATGACTCTTAATTGTTATATTGAAAATAGAGTGGAAGCAGGAAGACCATTATAAAGACTGATTTCAATCACCCAGGCAGAGATCATCCTGGCCTGGCCCAGAGAGGGAGCAATAGAGGTAGTGAGAAGTGTTGAGATTCTGAATATACATTGAAGGGAAAGCCAACAGGATTTACAGTCACACCTGTTGGAATGCAAGATCTCTAAGGACATTTTTGTTTTGTTTATGACTACATCATTTAGCACATTCCTGACATAAGTCAGTGTTCAATATGCTGCTGTATACCGTAGTTGATTCATCCTAAAACCAAAAACAGGAATCCCCTCTCCAACATTCCAGATTGATTAACATCTAGCTTTTCTTAAATTATTAAAAATAAAGGGCTCATTCTTGTGAGAACGCCCTTGTTTTATTGTTTAGCAGCCTGAACTAAACATGTTACCTACTACATGATTACAGTAACTTGAATTTTACATGTTTCTCTACCTGTGCTCTGACCAGTGTGTCACCTGCATAGCCTCAAGTCACTTGAGTCTATGGGTCCAGATTTATTGCATGTCTACTGTATGCCAGGTACCATACTGGGTGCTTTACCTCATGATATAGGCTTTATTGCTCCATTCATAAACAAGGAAACTGCCTTCCTCAGAAAGGAAGTTTAGCAGTTGCCCAAGGTTACACAGCTAGTAAATTGTTAGAATCAGAATTTTAAACTAAGTCAGACTTGTATCTGACTTAGTTCAAAACTTGGGTATAGAAACATGTTTATAAACATAATTTTGTCTCCTTCAAGTTAAATGACTGTGTCTGTTTTATAGATTACATAGGTATATAGGTATAGATCATATATTTTACTTGACCCCAGAAAACTTTGTGGTAATTATTGTAGTCTTCCTGTTGTTGTGAAAATGGCTCAGTGACTTCCCCAGTCAAGAAGTGGCAGAGCTGGAACCTGAACTCTACCTCTGATAAAGGGTTAGAAAACAGATTGTAGGCAGATAGTAGGATTGTGTGAAGTATCTGTACCAAGCTGACAAATAGGTGGTTTGATTCTTAATCACTTGTTTTATCTGCTAACTCAGACTGCCTACTATAAACATAAACCAGCACTCAACCATGAACTACAATACATACTTAATTGAATTTACTCAAATTTCTCATCAGACTTTGTCAATGTTGATTCATATCATGGATATTCAAAAAACTAAAAGAAAATGCATCAAAATGTTAAGAATGGTTGGTCCTGGCTTTCTTTGTTATATTTGCTTAAATTTTTTAAATTGCCATAATAATTATCTATTATTTCTGTTATCCAAAATGACAACAAGAGTTTCCTTTTGTTTTTAGACACAAAGGTCTTTATTTCTCTCCTACAGAAAATGTTAAAGCATAAGTTTTGTTACAATTCTAGAGTTGTAACTACTTATTGTGATATTAGAATGAATTGTTATAAATTGAGTGAATTCTCATTTCCTTTAGGAGCTTTTGAAGAGATACTCAGAGATGGATGATCATTATGAGTGCTTGAATAGATTGTCTCTTGACTTGGAGAAGGAAATTGAATTCCAAAAAGAGCTTTCAATGAGAGTTAAAGCAAACCTCTCACTTCCCTATTTACAAACCAAACACATTGAAAAACTTTTTACTGCAAACCAGAGATGCTCCATGGAATTCCACAGAATCATGAAGAAACTGAAGGTACCATCTTTTTTAGTAATATCCTTTTAAATATTTCAGTTATAAACATCAATGTATTTAAGTCCTGCTTCAGGTGCCGGCATATTTGCTATTTAGTATTCTTACTACCAAATTAAAGATTATGTGGGTCTGAGCATAGTAATATGTAGGATATCAGCAACACCTGAACTCTGCCTGTGGGCCTAGACATTATGTCAGGATGTTCAGGAGGCAGATGTGAGTTAACATCTCAAAGATCTCATAGTCTGGGGTGAGACAGACATATAAACAAGTATTAAGTGCAATGATAGAAGTGTATGCAAGTTATATGACGTACTAAATAAAATTACAGAAGATGAAACTGTAGTAGAAGCCAGACTCAATAACAAAGCTTGGAGTTCTTTTTGTAGATGGGGAATCATTAGACTATTGTTTTAAGTGGTGGTGGTAACAGGATCTGATTACCACTTAGGTACTAAACTAAAGAATACAGAAGAAATGAGTTTGAGGGAGATAAGCCTAGTAGCAGAAAGCAATAAGAGGCAGTTACAGTGGTCCAGATGAGATATTATATGTGACTGTACTACTAGGGAGGGTTTCACAGGGCTGGAGAGGACAAACGAGATTAAAGAAATATTTAGCAGCTTAAAATAGTAGGTCGAAATAATTGATAGTGGACATAAGGGAGAGAAGTTTAGATGGAGTTCTTGGATTTGGGCTTAGTCAGGTTTGTCGATAGTGGTACCATTAACTGAGATTCAAAAATAAAAAAGAAAGAGAAACAAGGTAGATGAGGCAGGAGATTGTTTAATTTGAGATGTTTGGGGGCTGAAATACCTATGATGGAACATCCAAGAAGAGAAACCAAGTAGACATTTAGATTTGAGTTTGAGGTTTGGCAGGAGAAAAATAAGAACTAACATTTGAGACTGATCAGCATATAGGTGATAGATAATACATTTGTAAGATCATCCAGAAAGCATAATGAAGACTAAGAGCCTTGGGATAAAAACAGAACTCTGGAAAAGATAAATGTCTAAGAGGCAGTAGCAGAAAAGGGAGCAACACATGGGTTCAAGGTTGGAAAAGTCAAAGATACAGGAGAGAAACTAGCAAAAGTACTGCTACCCAAATCAGTGGAGAAGAGTATGTCAAAGATGAAGTTATGAGTGGCAAATACTTCAGAGAGTCAGAATATGGACTGAAGATATTCTCTCAATGTGGTGATAATAGAACTCATTAGTGATCATTGTCAGAGAACAGTTTCAACTGGGTAGTTAAGGAAGAGACCAGATTATAAGAGGTTAAGGAATGGTGGAAGTTGAGGAATAAGTAAGCTGGTATCTGCCCTACCTGGGTAGATTGCCCTTCGGGCCCTGGTAATTCTTCCACAAATCCTGGTAATCAGACATCTAGAATTATTCATGAAGTCCATGAGACATTTGGCATTGAAATTATTGTCTCTTGAAGCCAAATATCTAAATATGCTTGACAAGGAAGTCTTTTTTTTTTTTTTTTTTTTTTTTGAGACGGAGTCTTGCTCTGTTGCCCAGGCTGGAGTGCAGTGGTGTGATGATCTCGGCTCACTGCAAGCTCCGCCTCCCGGGTTCACGCCATTCTCCTGCCACAGCCTCCAAGTAGCTGGGACTACAGGCGCCTGCCACCACGCCCAGCTAATTTTTTGTATTTTTAGTAGAGACAGGGTTTCACTGTGTTAGCCAGGATGGTCTCGAACTCCTGACCTTGTGATCTGCCCACGTCAGCCTCCCAAAGTGCTGGGATTACAGGCATGAGCCACCATGTCCGGCCGACAAGGAAGTCTTGAGGCATGTAACTTCATCTTTTTGGTTACCCAATCAGCGTTGGCAGGAGAGGATGTTGAAAATGAGTCTCATGAGTTTAACTGGGAAACCTGGGTGATTGGTAATGTAATTAGCCAAAAACTGGGCAATAGAAAAAGGAGGACTTGTAGAGAAAGGGATCATGTTACGTTTTAAACATGTTGAATTTGAAGTACTTGTAAGACATCCAAGAAGTATATCTGGTAAGAAGTCAGAAATAAGGAATTATAGGTCTGGGAGTTAGTTATTCTCCTAAGATACTAAGAGGAAAAACTGGGGATAGAGAGAAGCTCTTTCCCTTTTCCTCACTTGTGAGAGGATATAGGTAAATAAGAGATGTCATCCTACCTCATAGTCTCAAGGATGAAAACTTTCTCTACATGTGACAAAATTTTCATTTACCAATTTGTTTAATTTTTTTCTGCAAGTATGTGTTAAGCTATGTTACAAAAATAAAAGAAGAACAACATGAATCCATCAATAAATTTGAAATGGATTTTATTGATGAAGTGGAAAAGCAAAAGGAATTGCTAATTAAAATACAGCACCTTCAACAAGATTGTGATGTACCATCCAGAGAATTAAGGGATCTCAAATTGAACCAGAATATGGATCTACATATTGAGGTATAATTTATTTTAAATGGATTTAGTTAGATTTTAAGCCTTTTTATCAAGTAGAAAGGTACTTTTTCATGTGCTTAGAGCTATTTTCATTTACCAGAAATTAA
Organism: Homo sapiens; assembly: GCF_000001405.40. Classification (NCBI taxonomy): domain Eukaryota; kingdom Metazoa; phylum Chordata; class Mammalia; order Primates; family Hominidae; genus Homo; species Homo sapiens. The sequence continues at coordinate 103,133,590 of NC_000004.12, read as the reverse complement.
AAATACGTTGCAGAGTGATACCTGGCCAGACATAAAGACTGGCAAATAATGGACTAGCCTCTCTTCAGACCTCAATAGATACAGGAAAACTTATGTCTATGCTGGGAGTCAGAAACCGCTTTATTACAACAACTCCACATGGAATGTGTTACTTGCATTCATCTATGTGAGGCTGGCATCCAATTCCCAACATGTATGTAAGGTCTGCTATATGTACTGAAAAGCTACATTTAGAAGCACTTCATGAAGCCAGCCCCAGTGGCATGCCTGTAATTCCAGCTACTTAAGAGGCTCAGGCAGGAGGATCACTTGACTCCAGGGGTTCAAGATCAGCCTGGGCAACATAGTGAGACCATCTCAAAAAATAAAAATTAAGATGCACTTCAGGTATTGTAGCAATTAGTCACAAATTTGTCATTTTGACAAGCTTTAATTCTAATAGGTACAATCTGTTACATCATGTATACTGCCAAAATTATATTATGCAAATAACTAGAATAAAGTTTTAACTTACAATTATATTTCTTAGTTTACTTTAAAATATTAAGAAATGATATTAAAAGGAAGAAAAGCAAGAGTCCACTAGGTATTGCCCTCTTTTTATTTTATATATATATATATATATATATAAATAAAATATTTGGATCAAAACTTTCCTAATGTTTAAACAATTTGACGCTTATTTTTCACACAGGAAATTCTCAAAGATTTCTCAGAAAGTGAGTTCCCTAGCATAAAGACTGAATTTCAACAAGTACTAAGTAATAGGAAAGAAATGACACAGTTTTTGGAAGAGTGGTTAAATACTCGTTTTGATATAGAAAAGCTTAAAAATGGCATCCAGAAAGAAAATGATAGGATTTGTCAAGTGAATAACTTCTTTAATAACAGAATAATTGTAAGTATTACTTTTTGCTGTACTACTTTTTTGTTGCTGTTTGCTTTAATTGTCCTACCTCATTCTTAAAAGGGCAACTTATGTATATTTTCTTTATTTGTATATGCTTTAAAAAAATTGATTTGATAAAACGTGTTCTTCCTCTAATGTATTATTCTTCCTTATCAATTCATACTGATCAAGGTAACGAAATCTTGTTGTATAATATTTAGTTTCCACTTGTGAAATCTTGAATCCTCTTACTATTGTCCTCTTTTTCTTCTCCTTCTCACTGCTTCTGTAAGAACTGAGCCTTTTCCACGAGTAGCCTTAGAGATCGTAAGACATGAGTCTGTTTCAAGCTATGGGCAGCAACTGTGGTAAAGTCATAGACAAGCCTGGCCAGCTACTTTAGATGGGCCTCATGTGCTTTAATAAACTTTTTTTTTTAAGAGCAGTTTTAGGTTCACAGCAAAATTGAGCAGAAAGTACAGAGAGTTCTCTTATACCCCATCTCCACAAACACAATCTCCCCTATCAACAGCCCACATCAGGGTGGCACATTTGGCACAATCGATGAACCTACATTGATACATCATTATCACCCAAGAGAGTCCGTAGCTTACATTAGGGTTCACACTTGGCATAGTACATTCTATGAGTTACAATTGTAAAATGACATGTATCCATCATTACAGTATCATACAGAGTAATTTTACTATCCTGCCATAAAAATTCCCTGGGTTCCACCTGTATTCATCACTTCACCTTCCTAAACCCTGGCAACTGTTAATCTTTTTACTGTCTCCATAGTAGCCCCTTTTCCAGAATGTCATATGTTGGAATCATACAGTATATAGCCTTTTCAGGTTGACAACTTTCACTTAGTAATATTTATTTACGTTTTGTCCATGTCTTTTCATGGTTTCATAGCTTATTTCTTTTTAATGCTGAATAATATTCCATTGTGTGTATGTACCTGTTTATCTACTTACCTACCAAAGGATATTTTGGTGGCTTGTATGTTTTGGCAATTATGAATTCAGCTGCTATAAACATACATATGTATCTTTTTGTGTGGACATACATTTTCAACTCTCTTGAGTAAATATCAAGGAATGCAATTTCTGGATCATACAGTAAAAGTTTGTTTAGTTTTGTAATAAACTGCCAGACAGTCTTCCAAAGGGGCGGTACCATTTTGCACTCCCACCAGCAATGAATAAAATTCCTGTTGCTCCACATTCTCATCAGCATTTGGTGTTGTCAGTTTGGGATTTTGACCATTCTAGTAAGTGTAGTAAGTGTAGTATTTGACCATTCTAGTGGTATCTCATTCAGTTTGCAATTCTCTAATAACATATGATGTTGAACATTTTTTATAGTTATTTGTCATCTGTGTATCTTTTCTGGTGAAGTGTCTGTTCAGGTCTGTTGCCCTTATTTTAGTCAGGTTATTTGTTTTCTCATTGTTAAGGTTTAAGAATTGTTTGTATACTTTGAATATTGGTCTTTTATCAGATGTGTCTTGGAAATATATTCTACCAATCTGTGGCTTGTCTTCTCACTCCCTTGGCATTGTGTTTCAGAGTGCAGATTTTTAATGTTAAAAAAAAGTCTAGCTTATCAATTATTTCTTTCATAGATTATGCCTTTGAGTTTGTATCTAAAATATCACCAAACCCAAGATCATCTAGATTTTCTCCTATGCTGTCTTCCATAGTTTTTGTTTTACATTTAAACCAATGATCCATCTTGAGTTAATTTTTCTGAAGTTCTTAAGGTCTTTTTTTTTTTTTTTTCGCTTGTAGAAGTCCAGATTCAGCACAATTATATTGTCTTTGCTCCTTTGTCAATGATCATTTGACTATGTGGGATCTATTTCTGAGCTCTCTATTCTATTCCATTGATCTATTTGTTCTTTCATTTATAGCAAATCTGGAAACTGCTGATTTTTATAGTAAATCTGGAAGTCAAGTAACATCAGTTCTCTGACGTCGTTCTTCAGCATTGTGTTGGTTATTCTGGGTCCTTTGCCTCTCCATATAAACTTTGGAATTAGTTTGTCCCTATTCACAGAATAACTTCCTATGGTTTTGTTGGGATTGCTTCTAATTTATAGATGGAAAGAACTGACATCTTGACAATATCGTGTCTTTTTATCCATGAATATGGAATATTTCTCCATTTATTTGATTCTTTTATTTTTTTATAAGAGTTTGGTAGTTTTTCTCATATAGATCTTGTACATATTTGTTAGATTTGCCTATGTATTTTATTTTGGGGGGTGCTAGTATAAATGGTAATGTATTTTTAATTTCAAATTACACTTGTAAATTGCTGGTATACAGGAAAGCTATTAACTTTCGTATATTGACTTTTTATCCTGCAACTTTGCGATAGTTGCTTATTTAGTTCCAGGAGTATTTTTGTTGATGCCTTCAGATTTTCTATGTAGATGATCATGTCATGTGTAAACAAAGAGAGTTTTGTTTTATTTCTTCTTTACAAATTTGTGTACCTTGTATTTTCTTTACTTGTCTTATGGCGTTAATTTGGACTTCCAGTACAGTGTTGAAAACTAGAGGTGAGAGGGGACATCCTTGCCTTGTTTCTGATCACAGCAGGAAGACTTCTAGTTCCTCATGATTAACTATGATGTTAGCTGTAGTTTTTTGTAGACATTCTTTATCAAGTTGTAGAGGTTCATCTCTATTGCTGAGAGTTTTAAATTATGAATGGGTATTGGATTTTGACAAATTTTTTCTGCATCCATTGATATGATCATGTGATTTTTCTTCTTTAGCCTATGTGATGGAACATTAATTGATTTTTGAATGTTAAACCAGCCTTGCATACCTGGGATAAATCCCATTTGGTCATGTATAATCATTTTTACACGTGATTGGATTTGACTTCCTAATATTTTGTTGAGATTTTCACATCTTTTTTTACATCTTTGTTTTTTATTTTATTTTATTTTATTTTTTGAGATGGAGTCTCACTCTGTCTCCCAGGCTGGAGTGTAATGGCACAATCTCGGCACACGGCAACCTCTGCCTCCCAGGTTCAAGCACTTCTCCTGCCTCAGCTGGGATTACACACACGCACCACCACGCCTGGCTAATTTTTGTATTTTTAGTAGAGACGGGTTTCACCATGTTGGTCAGGCTGGTCTCGAACTCCTGACCTCGTGATCCACCCACCTCGGCCTCCCAAAGTACTGGGATTACAGGCGTGAACCACCGCACCCAGCTTTTACATCTCTTTTTATGGGAGATACTGGTCTGTAGTTTTCTTGTATAATGTCATCATCTGGTTTTAGTATTAGAATAATGCTGACATCATAGAATGAGTTTCCGTTTCTATCTTCTAGAAGAGATTGTAGGTTGTAGAGAATGGGTATAGTTTTTTCCTTAAATTTCTTAAATATTTGGTAGAGTTCACCATTGAACTCATCTGGACCTGGTGCTTTCTGTTTTGGAAAGTTTTTAATTACTGACTCCATTTCTTTGATAGATATAGGCCTAATCGAACTGCCTTTCTTGTGTATTGGTAGATTGTGTCTTTCAAAGAATTGGTCCATTTCATTTAAATTATCAAATTTGTGGGTTGTTCATAATTGTGGGTTGTAATAATTGAGTTGTTCCTAATATTTTTTAATGTCCATGGGCTCTATAGTGATGTCCTGTCATCCATTTCTGATATTAGTAATTTGTATTCTTTTTCTTTTTCTTAGTTTGCCTAGCTAGAGGTTTATTAACTTTATTGATCTTTTCAAAGAACCAGTTTTTAGGATATTTATTTTCTCTATTGATTTTGTTTCAATTTCATTGATTTCTACTTTTATTATTTCTTCTGCTTACTTTGGATTTAATTTGCTCTTCACTTTTAGTTTCCTAAGGTTAAAGCCTCATTTATTGGTTTTTAGGTCTTTCCTCTTTTCTAATACTGGTATTCAATGCTATAAATTTTCCTCTAAACACTGCTTTTACTGCATCCCACAGATACTGATAAGTCATATTTTCATTTTCATTGAGTTCAAAATACATTTTAATTTCTCTTTATTTCTCCTGTGACCCGTATGTTATTTAGAAATGTATTTTTTAAATCTCTAATTATCCAGGGATTTTTCAGCTGTTTTTGATTTCTAGTTTAATTCCATTGTGGTCTGAGAGCAGAATGGTATGATTGGTCCAGAATGTGGTCTGTCTTCACAAATATTCAATGTGAGTTTGAGAAGAATATATAATATGCTGTTGTTGGATGAAGTAGTCAATAGATGTCAATTGCATCCAGTTGATAGATGGTACTGTTAAATTCAACCATGTCCTTCCTGATTTTTCTGCCTGGTGGATCTGTTCACTTCTGATAGAGAGGCGTTGAAGTCTCCAACTATAATAAATTGATCTATTTCTCCTTGTAGTTTTATCAGTTTTTGCCTCAAGTATTTTAATGCGTTTTTGTTAGGTGCATGCAAAATAAAAATTGTTATGTCTTCTTGGGGTATTGATGTCTTTATCACTACGTAATGTCCCTTTATCCCTGATAGTTTTCCTTGCTCTGAACTCTGCTATGTGTGAAATTAATATCACTACTTCATCTCTTTTGACTAGTTTTAACATGGTGTATCTTTCTCCATCCCTTTACTTTCTAATCTATGTGTCCTTATATTGAAGATGGGTTTCTTGTAGACAACATACAGTCAGCTCTTATTTTTTGATCTGCTTTGACAGTCGGTCTTTTAATTGGTGTATTTAGACCATTGACGTTTAAGGTGATTATTGATATAATTGGATTAATATCTACCATATTGTTTCTGTTTTCTATTTTTTGCCCTTATTCTTTGTACCTATTTTTGTCTTCCACATTTTTTCTGCCTTTTATGATTTAAATTATTTTATGATTCCATTTTCTCTGCTTAGCATACAACTACACTTCTATCTTGTTTTAGTGGTTGCTCTAGAGTTTGCAATATATCCATTTACAACTAATCTGAGCCCAATTTCAAATAACACTTTCCACTTCACAGATAATATAAGTACCTTATAATAACAAAATATTTATAATTTCTCCCTCCCATCCATTGTATCATTGCCGTTATTCATTTCACTTATTCATAAGCATACATAAGTTAGCTCAGTTAAGAATAAGAAAATAAGTTTTTGTTTTACCTTCACTTATTCCTTCTCTTGTGCTCTTCCTTTCTTTATGTAGATCTGAGTTTCTGGCTATATCATTTTCCTTTCCTCTGAAGAACTTCTTTTTAATATTTCTTGCAAGACCAGTCTACTGACAGCAAATTCCCTCCATTTTTGTTTGTCTCAGAAAGTCTTTATTTCTACTTTACTTTTGAAGAATAATTTTACATGGAATAGAATTATAGGTTAGTATGTTTTTTCACTCCACTGTCTTCTAGCTTGAATAGCTTCAGAGAAGTCAGATGTAATTCTTATCTTCACTCCCCTATAGGTATGGTGTTTTTTCCCTTCTAGCTTCTTCAAAGATTTTTTTTTACCTTTGATTTTTCTGAAGTTTGAATATGATATGCTTAGATGTTGTTTTTTGTTTTTGGGGGTTTTTTTTCGGGGGTTTTTTTGGTTTTTTTTTTTTTTTATATTTGTCCCGTTTAGCATTATGAGTTTTCTGGATTCCTGGTTTGGTGTACGTTGTTAATCTGTGGAAATTCTTAGTCGTTATTACTTCAAATATTCCTGCTCTTTCTTTTTCTGTTCACCTTCTGGTATTCCCATTATGTATACATTACACCTTTTATAATTACTGCACACTTCTAGGATGTTGTTTAGGGATTTTTTCAGTCTTTTTACTCTTTGCTTTTCAGTTTTGGAAGTTTCCATTGTCATATTTCCAAGTTGAGTTTCTTTCTTCAGCCAGTCTGCTAATGAACTCTTCAAGGGCATTCTTCGTTTCTCTTAAGAGCATTTTTGATCTCTAGCATTTCTTTATTTTTTTGCTCAAAATTTCTATGTTTCTTCTTACATTGTTTATTTGTTCTTGCAAGTCGTCTGCTTTTTCCACTAAGGCCCCTAGCATATTAATCCATTTTTTTTAAATTTCTGGTCTGATAACTCTCATGTTCCTGGCATTTCTGCCTGTGGTTCTGATGCTTATTCAGTCTCTTCAAACTGTGTTTTTTGCCCTCTAGTATGTCTTGTAATTTTTTTTGCTGAAAAGCAGGCATGATTTACTGGGTAAAAGTAACTGTAGCAAATAGGCCTTTAGTAATGTAGTGGCAAGGTGTGTGTGGTGGGTGGCAGGCGGAGTATATTTCCCTGCCTTCACATGGAAGGCAAGAGCCAGCTGAAACTTAGTATTTCCCCCTCCTCCAGATATATTAGGCCCTGACAAAACCCCAGCATGTTAGGCTCTGGTGAAATAGTTTCTGCTGAGGTCAGGCCTTAAGAAAAAAAAAATGCTGTGTTTTGTTTTAAAATGGTTCCTTTTCTCCTCTCCTGCCAGACTCACAAAGGGATTTCTCCAATATTAACTGTGATGACTTGGTAGAGCTCCTGAAGGTAAAATACAAAAGTGTGGCGGCCACTGTATGACTAGGTCTCCGAAGTTTTTAACTCTCAGAGTTGCCACACTGAGCTCCAATAATTCATCATTGCAGTTCAGGTTTTCCTACCCCATAACTGGTTCCTGCAAAGGGTTTCTGCTCTAAGTTGTAATTCTCTGTATCTGCCTCTCTGCCTCTCCAGTTTGGGGAGCATCCCTTTGCCCTGCGACCTCACTTCTCTGATGGATCTAAGCAGAGTTGTGGATTTTTTTCATTTGTTTTGCTTTTTCCTTGTTAGGTAACTCCTTTTTTTTTTTTTTTTTTTTTGAGATGGAGTCTCACTCTGTCACCCAGGCTGGAGTGTGCAGTGGCTCAATCTCGGCTCACTGCAACCTCCGCCTCCTGGGTTCAAGCGATTCTCTTGCCTCAGCCTCCCGAGTAACTGGGACTACAGGCACGTGCCACCACTCCCAGCTAATTTTTGTATTTTTTTTAGTAGAGACGGGGTTTCACCTGTTGGCCAGGATGATCTCAATCTCTTGACCTCATGATCTGCCCGCCTCGGACTGCCAGAGTGCTGGGATTACAGGTGTGAGCCACTGCACCCGTCCTGGACTGGCAACTTCTAAACACCTAAAATGCTAAACTAGAAATTCCAAAATTTTGATTTTTTTTTTAATCATTGTTCCCAAGGTGATCAGCCCAAATGTACTGAGTCATAAGGACCAACATTGCTTAAGACCAGTTTGTTAACTTGTTTTACATTTCAGTGATTGGTATTTGGTGGGTACAAAAGTAATTGCAGTATTCATTCTGCTTTCAGAAGTAATCCCTTCTCTGTTTCATTGGTAAAACATGTAATATTCAAAAGATTGCTTATTTATATTAAATTGGAGCAATGGTAGCTAGATTAATATTATAGTTTCCAAAATACATTTTATAGTTCATATGTTTGGATAGTTCTTTTCTGACAATTTAATTTCATCTGCAAATCATATTGGAATCTTGTTGAAATAAGGAACAATGCCTTTTTTAAAAAGTTTTCGCTTGGAAAGTTCATCCTGTTTATTGATTAGTCAGAGCTAGCCAAATAGCAGTTGGCTATTTCAAGAAAAAACAAAGAAGTCCACAATCAGTAGAGAAAGGCACAAAACCAATGTTTGGATAAGGTCATGTCTATTTGTAATTTGTTGTTTTTCTTGTAATACTGGAGACCCAGTTGTGATTAGAAAGCAGGGATTTCTACTATGTGGATCAGCATGTATATGTGGCTTCTTCCAGCACATAAGAGTAGGCATTAATAACTTGGTATGGTGTGAGGTGCATAGTCCAGAGCCAAGGAGTGTCCAGGGTGTCAGGAACACGACGAATTTAAGATCTGGTAGAATGACCACAAAGCCTGGTAGAATGACCACAAAGCCACAAAGAAGTTAGGGATGAGACTAATGGGGCATTCATGATGAGAGCAGAAAGTACAATCTGCAGGAATTAGGAAGTAAAAAAGATATCAATAATTTCAGAGTTAGTTAGCCTTCAATATAAAAGAGTATTGTTATTCCCTGTACAGAAATACAAGATATTCAGATTAATTACCAACAATCAGTGAGTTATTTTCCCTATTAACATTGAGGTTTGTAATGAAGCAGGACAATAGATAATTGTTAAGTTTCTAGCTGTGCTCTGCTATTAGATATCAGTTAATGTTTCATTATCAGCCATAGCATATATAATGATTTTAACCTGGATAATTCTTCAGGTTCTCTTCATATGTTAGTACAAATCTAATAAAGTGAGATTATCATCTTGCAGATCAATATGAATCCTCTCTAGTCATTATTCATTTTATTGTCATCATCCACATCCAACATCTGAAATTTCAGAAACTGATGCAAACTACAAAGAATGTTCACATTCTTTTAAAGTACTGTTTTAGAATGTTCTAAATAATGAACTTCAGCATATACACTGTCCTAGAATTCTAGGGTTTTTTGAAGTTTTTTTAAAATATGTATATCAAGACCCCCCACCCCCGAGGGGATGCCATGGATGGTACCAAACCCTATGTATTCTGTTTTTTCTATACATCCATACCTATGATAAAGTTTAATTTATAAATTAGACACAGTAAGAGATTAGTAACAACAGCTAATAAAATAGAACAATTTTAACAATATACTATAGTAAAAGTTATATGAATGTGGACTCTCTCAAAATATCTTATTTTACTGCACTCTCCTTTCTTATGATGTGAGATGATACAGTGCCTACCTGATAAGATGAAGGAATATGAATGACCTAGACATTTTGATATAGTCTTAGACTACTATTGACCTTCTGTATTCCTGAATCCATGAATAAATCTTACTTGCAGTAAAGGGCTTGGTGTCACTTTTTTCAGGGGATCCCTTGCTGAAGTCTTCCTAGATGCTCAATGCTTGCTGGTACAACACATTGTCATCAACTGGAACACATTTCTGTTCTTGTCTTCTACCACAAATTTAATGCCTTTTCTAGCTTAACTAAGCACTTATCACACACTATTGTAGGCTGAAGTGCTACAGCAAAAACAGCACAAATTTCTCTTCCCTTCTTCACAATTCCACGGATAAAAGATTCATTCTAACCATAGATCTTAGCAACCTCAATATATGATTTTTTTTCTTATTAAGTTGAGAACTTTTACCTTCTCACTTACAAGAAGCACTTGACAGCTTCACGGTGGCATATCTAAATTGCCAGCATTACTACTCTTGTGCTTTGGGGCCATTATTAATTAAAATAAGGGTTACTTGGACACAAGTACTGCAATACAGCAGCAATCGGATAATCAGGGTGGCTATCAAGTGAACAAGTAGTGTATGCTGGACAAGAGGATGATTTACATCCCAGGCAGGACTGAGCAGGATGACTCAAAATTTCACTGTGCTACTCAGAATGATGTGCAATTCAAAACCTGTGAATTGTTTATTTCTGGAATTTCCCATTTAATATTTTCAGACCACTTTTGACTGAGGGTAACTGAAACCATGGAAAATAAAATTGCAGGTAAGTGGGGACTACTATAAATCGTTTTAGAGCTATAATGGTATTTTACTGTTCAATAGGCCATAATGAATGAATCAACAGAGTTTGAGGAAAGAAGTGCTACCATATCCAAAGAGTGGGAACAGGACCTGAAATCACTGAAAGAGAAAAATGAAAAACTATTTAAAAACTACCAAACATTGAAGACTTCCTTGGCATCTGGTGCCCAGGTTAATCCTACCACACAAGACAATAAGAATCCTCATGTTACATCAAGAGCTACACAGTTAACCACAGAGGTATATAATTTCTTATAAAATGTTCTTCAGTTTGCAGCTTCATCACAGAGTTTAGAGCAAAATTATAGTATTTACTTATTACTGAACATGAACACATTTATTTTTGTAAGTGATGGGCTTGATTTTTACTAGTAGTTCTACTATGGCTATCGTTCAACTAAACTAATTATAAAGCTAGACATTATGTAAGATATTATTATAAAACATAAATTGTAGCTTCATTTGATTATTACATTCATAAACTATAGTTTAAGTTACTACCAGTTAACGTACAATTACCACAAAAGTTTTCCAAATTATGTGACTTTCTGTTGAACTGTGATCTATGTCCGTATGCAGAACAAATATTAGCTTGGAGAGAAATAGCAATTCAGCTTTTCTCATTATCATCAGCGTATTTAATATTGCTTAATGTTATAATCACAATAAAAATATAAGAGGTTAAAAAATATAACAAGATTGTTACGCAGGTTAACTTGTATCTAAGAACCAGTACATTATTTGATAACCAAATTACCTTATTAACTACCCTTACTCGGGAATCTAACAACATGCGTAAAATGTTGTATTTTGTTAGCACACAAAACGACTTGTAGGGAACCCAATAGTAAATTACAATTTATCATTTTTACCAAAATAAATACTTATAATAAAACATCAACCACCAGCTTAATGAGAACTAGATCACTAGTATACAGTGTTTTGATTTGTAGGGCATTACAGACCTCAGTCAGCTGCTACAGATAAAATAGAGGAAAGATGAAATCCATCTACCAATATAGTAATTTAAAGAAGCAAAAGGAAAGTTGGTCAATCTTCAATGACCAAAGAAAATAGTCTAGCAGATAATAAAATACATGCTACTATCATTAGACAAGTTTGATGCAAAAATGGACAAGTAGAGCAGTGGAACAGAATAGAGGGTTCAGAAATATACCCAATTAAGTATGAGAATTTAGTACAGGTGTATGATAACAGTAACATTCAATTCAGTGGGAAAAAAAAATGGTTTACTTGGCCAGGTGTGTGAGTCTGTAATCCCAGTACTTTGGGAGGCCAAGGTTGGAGGATTACTTGAGCCTAGGAGTTTAAGATAAGCTTGGACAACATAGTGAGACCCTGTCTCTACAAAAAAAAAAGTGTTTTTTTAATATATTATCCAGGTGCAGTGACATCCACCTGTGGTCTCAGCTATGTGGGAGGCTTAGCTGGGAGGATTACTTGAGCCTGGGAGATCGATACTGCAGTGAGCCATGATCATGCCACTGCACACCAGCCTAGGCAACAGAGTGAGGCACTGCCTCAAAAAAAAAAAAAAAAAGAAAGAAAGAAAAGATGGTTTGCTTAGTGCATTATTTTGATACAACAGGATAGCCATCTGGAAAAAAGTAAGGCTGGATTCCTATCTCATTCATTAAACAAAAATGAATTCTAAATGGGCCCCCAAAAATCCAGACATTTTGCCAAAAACAAAAAAGAGTGTGTACATGTGAATTATATGATACCTTTATGAAATGAGATTCTATATGTCCATGAAAACAAAAAATAGGAGAGATCTATGTGTTGATAATGGAAAGATCTGGAAAAAATATGTTCTCAAGTTTTAAAATAAAGCAGAACTATATTTAGTATATTGTGTGTATACTATTTTTAGAAACTATATATTCATGTATATTTGGTTATAGATAGAAAATTTCTGGAAGGATACACCTGAAAAAGTTTAGTAGTCATCGCTTCAGGGTCAACTGGGGGTCTGAGATGGGGAGACTTACTCTTCATTATATGTCTTTGAATTTTTTTCCACATATTTGTGTTTTTCTATTTAAGATTAATAAGGGTGGGCATGGTGGTTCATGCCTTTAATCCCAGCACTTTGGGAGGCCAAGGCAGGCAGATCACCTGAGGTCAGGAATTCAATACCAGCCTGGCCAACGTGGTGAAACCCCGTCTCTACTAAAAGTACAAAAATTAGCTAGGCGTGGTGGCACACACCTGTAGTCCCAGCTACTCGGGAGGCTGAGGCAGGACAATCGCTTGAATCCAGGAGGTGGAGGTTGCAGTGAGTCGAGATTGCGCCACTGCATTCCAGCCTGGGCAACAGAGCAAGACTCCATCTCAAAAAAAAAAAATTAATAAAATTAAAGGGAAAGATAAATATATATTACTTTAGAGAGTCAATTAACCAATGTCCTTTGTTTAAGTGGTGTTCATGTAAAATATGAGTGCCTATTTAATATGCTTAGCACTATGCTAACTAATAAATCGCATAACCACTGTGCTGTTTTTAACTGCATGTTTTAAGAATTTGCAGACAGATTATAATATAAACCTTTGACATTTTCAATCCAAAAATCATCATCTAAATGAGGGAAATAACATGTCTGTAGATTGAATGATGTTTGGCCTCTCTTCTATCCATTGTTAATACAATCTGTGAAAAATTAACAATATCTAAATATGATCATCTCTGTCTCAAATTTCTATACTGTGATTCTGTCTTGATGATAGAGCTTATGAATGTGTGCTTTTTCTAATAGAAAATTCGAGAGCTGGAAAATTCACTGCATGAAGCTAAAGAAAGTGCTATGCATAAGGAAAGCAAGATTATAAAGATGCAGAAAGAACTTGAGGTGACTAATGACATAATAGCAAAACTTCAAGCCAAAGTTCATGAATCAAATAAATGCCTTGAAAAAACAAAAGAGACAATTCAAGTACTTCAGGTAACTTAAACATAAAAATAAAAGTTGTTTGTTTGTTTGTTTGTTTAACCTATTGAATTCAGCAAATCTCCTTGTGCTCTATTCTTCCCTCTCACAACAACTTACTGTTACCTATGTGTTTCTGAAGTTCAGTACTCAAGCAGAAGCAGCTTAACTTAGAAGTGAAATGTAGGAGCATATTGTCATATAAAATATTATTTTTATTATGTTGGAAGAATAATTTTTAAGATATACATGTTGTTTATAGTTTAGTGTATATTTTTTCATTTTTCAAAAATTGCTTATCAAAATATATAATACTATTAGATAAGTAAATTTTTAAATTCTTTTTTTCCTACTTACTGCCTCTGTTACTGAGTCCCACCTGATATCCCATGGGCTGAATCTGACCTGTTTTGGGGGGAAGAACCGTAACTGAAATGTTTTTCAACTTGAATGTCATTAGACAAATCACACACTCATTAATCACTACTTACAGCTCCCTCTTGTTTTAGTTCCAGCCACTTCCCACATTTCTTCTACTCGAGTCTGATCCAAATTGGCATATTTAAATTTGCTGTTCTGCTCCAGTGTCTTTTCTCTCCAGTTAAAATTAGGAACACGTCAAGAATGCCTGCTTTATTCATTATTTAACATTGTTCTAAAAATTCTGGTCTATTCAGTGAGACATGAGCAGAGAGGCAAAAGAAAAAATTAAATTTGTTTTTTCAACAATTGTTATAGCTAGAAACTAAAAAAATTCAACTGTAAAGTTTTAGAATGTTGTAATTTTTTAATATTACAAATAATTGATCACAGTTTTTATTCATTCAACAAATATTTGCTGAGCACCAGCTATGTGTCACTCACTGTTCTAGAGGCCAATGAAAAAACAAAGACCATGCCATCAAGGAACTTACATTCTAGTTGAAGGAGACAGAATATTAATTAAAAATGTAAAACATAGAAGGTATATTTTTATATATGTTATATATATTAAGAGGTATATTATATCTCAAGTGGTGAAAAGTGAAATGGAAAAAATTAAGCCAGACAAGGGGGTACATGGTTCTGGGTGAAAGTGGACATGTGTGGGAAGAGAGATGATTGTATATACAGGAGTTGAGGAATGTCACACCAGTAAGATGATCTGAAGGATGTGATAGGGTGAACTGTGTAGCCAGGGAGAAATATTCCAGGCAAAGGAAATAGCAAACTGAAAACAACAAGAAAGTTTGTGCATCCAGAGCAGAATAAGCAAGAGGATAGAGGTAGAAAATAAGGTGAGAAGTAGCAGAGGACCAGATCATAAAGGCCCTGTAAGCTATTTTAAGAACTCTCATTTCTATTCTGGGAGAGATGGAAACAAAGGCTTCTCAATGGGAAAAGGATAGTCTGATCAACTAATGATGCCAGACAACTGAACATCCACAAGCAAAAAAAGACAAAGAACTTATACTTTTCACAAAAATTAACTCAAAATAGATCATAGGCATACATGTAAAATGCAAAACTAGAAAACTCCAAGAAGATGACATAGGAGAAGTTCTAAGTGACCTTGGGTTTGGCGATTTTTTAAGATATAATACAAGAAGTGCAATCCATAAAGAAAAAAACTGGTAAGTTGGATTTTATTGAGACTTAAACTTCTGCTTTACAAAAGACACTGTCAGGAGAATCAAGAGAAGCCACAGACTGGCAGAAACTGTATATAAAAGATAAATCTGGTGAAGGAATGTTATACAAAATATACAAAGAACTCTTAAAACCAACAATAGGAAACAACCAATCAATCTTAAAATTGGCAAAAGACCCAGATGACAAATAACCATATGAACAGATGCTTCATATCATATGTCATCAGAGAATCACAAATTAAAATAATCGACCATTACAAACCTACCAGAATAGCCAAAATCCAAAACATTGACACCACCAAATGCTGGTGTGTGGAGCAACAAGAATTCTCATTAATTGCTAGTGGAAATGCAAAATGGTACAGCCATTTTGGAAGATGGTTTCGCAGTTTCTTACAAAACTAAGCATACTTGTATGATTGAGCAGTTGTATTCCTTGGTATTTACTCAGATGAGCTGAGAATATATGTGCACACAAAGGGCTGCATGTGTATGTTAATAGCAGCTGTGTTCATAATTGCTAAGACTGTCTTTCAGTGGGTAAATGGATAAACTGGTACATTCATACAGTGGAATAGTATTCAGCAATTAAAAGAAATGAGAGGGCTGGGCGCAGTGGCTCATGCCTGTAATCCCAACACTTTGGGAGGCTGAGGCGGGCGGATCACCTGAGATCAGGATTTCAAGACCAGCCTCCCCAACATGGCAAACACTGTCTTTACTAAAAATACAAAAAAGTAGCCAGGCATGGTGGTAAGCACCTGTAATCCCAGCTACTCAGGGGACTGAGGCAGGAGAATCGCTTGAACCCGGGAGGCGAAGGTTGCAGTGAGCCGAGATCGCACCACTGCACCCCAGCCTAGGTGACAGAGCAAAACTCTGTCTTAAAAAAAAAAAAAAAAAAAAAAAGGAAAGAAAATGAGTGGACTTTTAATACACATTGGTTAGTGAAAGAAGCCAATCTGGAAAGGCTACATACTGTATGATTTCAAGTATATGACATTTTTAGAAAGACAAAACTACAGAGACAGTAAAAAAATAAACAGTTGCCAGGGATAATGGAGAAGAGAGGGATGAATAGGCAAAGCACGGGGTTTTTTAGGACAGTGAAACTATTCTGTATGATACTGTAATGATGGACATGTGCCATTTTACATTTGTCAAAACCCACAGAATGTACAATACAAATAAACTGTCATGGAAATTATAGATTTTAATAATAATGTATCAATATTCATCACTTATAACAAATGCAGCATACTAATGCATGATGTTAATATGGGGAAAAAGGAATAGGGGACACTGGGTATGTAGGAACTCCCAGTATTTTCCATTCCATTTTTCTGGAAACCTGCTGCTGTAAAATATAGTGTTTTGAATCACTGGATGGAACTGTTTCAGTACAAAATATACTTAGTAATGCTTTGTTTTGTGGCTTAAATTTAGTTCTAGTTTGATGTTTACATCACTGCTCCAACATCTTTTTGTTTCATTTTCTGATTTACCTTTTTCCACCCTTTTCATTATTTCCAACTTTTTTCATTTTGTAGGTATTTTCAATTAGAAAAAAAATATTTATTTTAAGAAATAAAAATCATGTTTCTAATTGCATATTATGATAGCTCCAAATAAAAAATCATGTTTCTAATTGCATATTAGCTTCAAATAGACTTCATATCAATATCTAGTTATTCAGTTAAAATTGATGCTTTTTCATATATTTGGAATTGTTTGCTATTTTAAAATGTCCTTATTAGAGCAAAGACAGCTAACCATTCTTTACAACTGGAGAAACTGAAGCGCCTCTAATAATTATTTTTATTTTCTCTAAAAAAAATTTAGGACAAAGTTGCTTTAGGAGCTAAGCCATATAAAGAAGAAATTGAAGATCTCAAAATGAAGCTTGTGAAAATAGACCTAGAGAAAATGAAAAATGCCAAAGAATTTGAAAAGGAGTACGTATTTGTCTTAATTTAATGTGATTTTAATAGCTTAAATTTTCTTCCTAAACTACATATACTTTTCATTAGTTAACTTTTTAAAATATAATTTATGAAAATATTGTTACAGCTCTTTTTTTAAAAATGTACACATCCATAGATTTTAAATATACTGGTCTCATTACATATGCAAAGTTTTTAAAACTAAACACAATTCTGATCAATTAACACGCTGTGTCTTTGAACACTTCTTAGTCATACAGAATATAAACAATTTTAAGTGGCTTTTGTATGCCTGAAAGTGAACATTAAGAGTGTGTGTGTGTGTGTGTGTGTGTGTATTTAGCAGTTTTACTAAGGCTTCTGTTGGTTCTCTTAATTTCATTTGTTGGCCTTACTGTGTTTCTGTGTGAAGATTATATTTCCTTTTAGTTTATAGTTCCCTAGGGCCCAAGAGCAAATCCTCTTTTTATTGATTTATTTATAGGTAGCATTATACATAACAGCATGCCTAAATTCTTTGTGGTATAGCATAATGAAAAGAACATTAAAGAGAGTCAAGGAAACTGAAGTAGAAATACGTTCTCAATCCCAGCACTTTGGGAGGGCTACACGGGCAAATCACGAGGTCAGGAGATAGAGACCATCCTGGCTAACACGGTGAAACCCCGCCTCTACTAAAAATACCAAAAAAATTAGCCGGCATGGTGGCAGGCGCCTGTAGTCCCAGCTACTTGGGAGGCTGAGGCAGGAGAATGGTGTGAACCCGGGAGGCGGAGCTTGCAGTGAGCCGAGATCGCACCACTGCACTCCAGCCTGGGCGACAGAGTGAGACTCCATCTCAAAAAAAAAAAAAAAAAGAAATATGTTCTCACTTACTAATGCATCACCTTACACTGTTTATTCTCTCTGGTCCTCGCATTCATAATCAATAAGGAAAGGTTTATTTAGAGGATTTGTTAGGATGCTTCCTGGCTTTTAACACTTTTCATTCTTCCTATATAAATCTTGAATAAATATTTAATGATCTCTTATTTTGCCCAGGAAGTAGCATTGGAATTTTCATGCTCTCTAAGCAGTCTATTGGTTTCAGTGAAACATAGATCTATTAGATTCTTAATTATAAAAACAATTTTACTTGTAGAATAGGGTCAGCAGGGCCGGGCACGGTGGCTCACGCCTGTGATCCCAGCACTTTGGGAGGCTGAGGCAGGCAGATCACCTGAGGTCAGGAATTTGAGACCAGTCTGGCCAACATGGTGAAACCCCGTCTCTACTAAAAGTACAAAAATTAGCCAGGCGTGGTGGCAGGTGCCTGTAATCCCAGCTACTCAGGAGGCTGAGGCAGGAGAATCGCTTGAGCTCAGGAGGCAGAGGTTGCAGTGAGCTGAGATAGCGCCATTGCACTCCAGCCTGGGGGACAAGACCAAGACTTCGTCTCAAAAAAAAAAAGAAAAGAAAAGTAAAGAATAGGGTCAGCAGATACAGATAATTCATAGTCATTAAGAAAGGCAGAAAGTCTTATAATTTATCGTTACTGATTAATGCGTAAACTAACAACTCATAAAATGTCTCTTTCTACTGGAGAACAGTGATCAGAATTTGACCTTTGTAGCACCTTAGACCAGAGCTGCAGTCAGGGTTTGCTTTCCTGACCATACAGAAATAAAGCTGCACTTTCTCTTTCATGCTCCTTATACCTTCAAATATTTCTAGGACCCCATGGTAAAAAATAATTAGGTAATTATAATTTTGTTCAATATACAATGAATTAGGCCTCCAGAAGCTTTAAAAGAACTGGGGTTTCTCAATATAAGAAAATCGGACTGTCCCTGCACCCAAGCAGAATGCTTCTAGTTTGATGGCATTAATGCCATAAGGCACATGGCACCAGAGAGGTATCACGAGGGCTTATCTACTGCCACTTACAGGCATTATGTCAATGTGATGTGTTAGAAAATCCTTCACAGCAGTTCTGTTTATTCTCCTGTAAAAAATCAGTTGCTGAGCTTTTTACATATTTTTATTGTTTTTGTTAGAATCAGTGCTACAAAAGCCACTGTAGAATATCAAAAGGAAGTTATAAGGCTATTGAGAGAAAATCTCAGAAGAAGTCAACAGGCCCAAGATACCTCAGGTAAGTAGAAAATGCAGATATTTTCAGATGAAATTTTACTTCTCAACACACAACAGACTTTGAAGACTAATATTATGTAGTATGTGACAGTCGAGAGTAAACAGAAGTTGGCCACTAATCTATTTTTAAATGAATTTATTGGAACCATATTTCCAGATATCTTGTGACATCGTTTGTTGTAATCTTAGATGCTTATCCATTATAGATTCTTGAAAAATACGAACTCTGCTTTTGTATTGTCAAATCTTTACCTATTAGTGAAGATACCTTCAGGCAATAAAGGAATGACTTATACTATATCAACATGGAATTATGCTTCCCAATAAAACGAAACACATGTCTTCGTAGATTTTAATTGTATGCATCTAATAAGTTATAATTGGTGTACAGTAAAAATAAATACTATTCTGTTTGTTCTTGAAACTAAAAATACCAAGTTAATATTTACTTGCAAAGGTCTTTGAAATTTATCTGAGATACTTTTTAGATCTGTTGGTCAAATTTCTCAATATACATGCATTCCTCAAACTACCTTTATTCATATTCTGTCTGTCATGTTCCATTTGAAAAGAAAGAATGCTTGAACAGTACTTGAGATAGCTTTACGCAGTAGAACAAGTACTGAACTAAGATGCAGATCTCAATGGCTATATGAAATCGTGGGGTTAGCACCTGACCTTCTAACTTATAAGCATATATGTATGCTTATATATATACTTATTATAAGTATATATACACTTATAAGTATATATACACTTATTATACATATATAAGTATACATAATAAATATATAAGTATATATAGTATAAGTGTATAATATATAAGTAATATATCTATTACTTCTTTATTACTTACATGAGTAATATATAAGTAATATAAAATATATATTACTTATATATTATATATTATATATAAGTTATATATTATATATAATATATATTATAATATATATAAGTATAACATATATAAGTAATATATAAGTTATATATTATATATAAGTAATATGTAAGTAATATATATAAGTAATATATAAGTATATATAGTAAATACTTATATAATTAGAAGTATTATACTTATAAGTCTATAGAAGTATATATACGAGTATATGTACTTATATACTCATACATACTTTTTTACAGGAGAATAAACAGAACTGCTGTGAAGGATTTTCTAATATATACATATATATGTATACACTTATATATACTTATAAGTATATATACACATATACTTAAAAGTATATATATACACTTATATACTTATAAGTATATATACACTTATATACTTATAAGTATATATACACTTATATACTTATAAGTATATATACACATATACTTATAAGTATATATATACACTTATATATACACTTATATACTTATAAGTATATATATACACTTATATACTTATAAGTATATATATACACTTATATACTTATAAGTATATATATACACTTATATACTTATAAGTATATATATACACTTATATACTTATAAGTATATATATACACTTATATACTTATAAGTATATATGTACACTTATATACTTATAAGTATATATGTACACTTATATACTTATAAGTATATATGTACACTTATATACTTATAAGTATATATATACACTTATATACTTATAAGTATATATATACACTTATATACTTATAAGTATATATATACACTTATATACTTATAAGTATATATATACACTTATATACTTATAAGTATATATATACACTTATATACTTATAAGTATATATATACACTTATATATACTTACAAGTATATATGCAGACTTATATATACTTATAAGTATATATCCACTTATATATACTTACAAGTATATATACAGACTTATATATACTTATAAGTATGTATACATTTATAAGTATATATACATACATACACATATATACTTATAAGTGTATATATGTATATGTATATGTGTATATATACATGTATACATAAGTATACTTAGTATATATAAGTATATATGTATAGATATGTATATATAAGTATATGTATGTATAAGTATATAAGTATATACATATATATGTAAGTGTATATTTGTGCGTGCACATGTATATATGTGTATATACTTACATATATATACTTATATATAAGTGTATATATATATACACTTATAAGTATATAGTACAAGCAAATATCTTATGTTTTGCTTAGTATTTGGAATTTTCAATATGCAATATATATTATATATAATACTTATATATTTACAGAATATATAGAATTCTGTATATTATATGTTACAGGATACATATAAGTGTATACACATATATATGCATGTGCACACATATATATAGTTATGCTCACACATATATATGGACATGGTATATGCACATATTTTTTGCAGGTAGTAACACTTCAGTCATGGGGAAAGTAATTTTTAGAGCTCATGTAATAAGTGTCTTTTTTAAAAAAGTGTATATACATATACACTTATTTATATACATGCACACGCACACACACGTACATAAAGATCAAACCGAAAGTTGTGGGTAAAAACACATTGAAAATTCCAAATACTAAGCAAAACATAAGATGATATTTGCTTGTATTATAGTCCACTTGTTTCCAAAAATAGATGGTGCTAAAGGTGTTAAGGTGTTACCTAGTACCTGTTGTAGCTTAAACTTCCCTAGTGTCTGTTACAGGATAACCACAGCACCTACCGAGAAAACTTAAAGGGGTAAAAATAGAAGTGAGGATTCTTTGTTTCAGAAGGTTGAGGATATTTATTCTTGATTTGTAGATGACTTTCAGGTACATAGTGTAGATGAATTCAAAATAAAATAGACATCAAGAATCACCCCCAACACACACACTATCCCTCTTTTGTGAATTCCCAGTGACCTAATGGATTAATCCACTTCATAACTATCTCACATTTTGTGCAACTTTGCCTACAATTTACAAAACACAGTCTCTTTACACACATAGTGTAGAATATTTAATATGTGCTTTAATATTATTGTAACATATATTTAGTTAATAATATGTATTGAATACATATAATGCACTGAATGACGGGGTGGCCCTCCCACCCTACCTCACCTCCCCGCCACACACGCAGTGTGTTGTAACAAGCCCTTCAGGGGAAAACTGATGTAGAAAATATAGATCAATAAAGGACAGCAGTAAGTGGAGAGGATTGCTATTGCTGCAGTCAGGGTGAAAGAGCTTGGTGATCAGGATCAGGATATGTTAGTGGAATTGGTTGAGGGGGATTCTAGAGGCATAGAATTAATGGTTGGTCAAATAAGCAGAGGGAGTAAGGTAGAAGGCAGAAGTCAAGGGTGACTTCCAGGGAAATAAGACTTGAGCTGTTTGGGTCTCTATAATGGCTTATTGTACTTGGTAGTATTTCCTTTATTTTGAACTTTGGAGACAATTAAAATTATCACCTATTTGTATATTTTCCTCCCACAGTGATATCAGAACATACTGATCCTCAGCCTTCAAATAAACCCTTAACTTGTGGAGGTGGCAGCGGCATTGTACAAAACACAAAAGCTCTTATTTTGAAAAGTGAACATATAAGGCTAGAAAAAGAAATTTCTAAGTTAAAGCAGCAAAATGAACAGCTAATAAAACAAAAGAATGAATTGTTAAGGTAAGATCTGCTTACATGATACGGATATTATGCTTACGGCTATTACATATATGTAGGGACATGGTATATGCACGTATTTTTTGCAGGTGGTAACACTTCAGTCATTATGGGGAAAGTAATTTTTAGAGCTCAGGTAATAAGTATCTTTTTTAAAAAATGAGAATATGGTAGCACTATTCCAATGTTTGCTGTCTATCAACTGACCAATTCTTAACCAAGGCAAGAAATAGGAAAGAAACAAAGACCTTTGAGGGGGCAGCTGAAATACACCACAAGTCCATATACCCAAGCCAGTGAGGCTTTACTTAGAGAGGAACTCCTTACGTCCATTATTGTAGGCTTTTTACTTTATAAACAGATCTAACAAATTATTCGGCTTCTACCACGTGGAAGAGTAGAATCTTTTCCCCAAGCACTCTACTATGATACAGTAGAAAAAAAAGCGTTAAATAATTTTACAAATAACTAACTCTGCCATGAGTGCTATTAAAAAAGAAACAAAAACAAAAAGGACATTATAAAAGGGTTATATTATGAAAGAGAGAGATCCAACGTTATCTAGGTGTTAGGGGTGGAGGGTTGGTTGATCAGGAAGCCAACAAACAGGCATACCTCGTTTTATTGCACTTATCTTTCTACTATACACACTGGGAACCCAAAAGATTTCCGCGATTCACTTTATTTCAGTGATCTGGAAACAAACCTGCAATATCTCCAAGGTATGCCTATATCAGAATAGATATGAAAAATGAGTAGGAATTAGGCTAGATGAGGGAAGAAGGATAAGTTTTCCAGGCCAGGGGAACATGTTCACGGGCTTTGAGTTAAGAAGAATAACTAATTGGTGGGACTGAAAGACATCCAGTGTGGCCAGAATGTAGAGAATGAGACAGAGTAAAGTGCAAGACAAGGTGCCAGAGGTAACTAGATTCAGATTACATGGGCCCTTATAGTTCATTTTGAAGAATATGGAGTGGTATCCTAAATGTAATGGCAGGATTACCTGCACTGGAGGGTTTTAAGCTAGTGGCCTGATGAGATCATATAGCATCTTTGGCTGCTAGAGCATTATAGAGGGATCAAATTTTAGAATGTGTTTATGGTAGTTCAGACAAAAAGTAATTTTAGCATGGACTAGCTTGGCCCCAATAGGGATAAAAACAAGGAAGTGAATTTGATAGATAGGATGAGAGTGTATCAAGAGACTTGGATGACTTAAAATAAAAGAGAGTGAGGTCTCTAGGATTGCTTCCCAGGTTTCTCTCCGGAGGAACTGGATAAATGCTGGTGGCATCTCCTGTAAGAAGCAGCATTGTAACTAGAAAAGCACAGTGTAATATTTATTTTACAGTAAGAAAGGTACATCAAAGATTCATCTATCCAGGAGACTAATTTGTCAAATTATTGTGGCAAAGCATCAATAGATAAGCCACTCTGGATTATATCATTGATTCATTTGAAAACCTAATGTTGTACTTAGAGCTTTCTTTTCAAGACTCCATGATCATGGAAACTTACTATATTATTCAATTTATATAGATCCATTTTGTTTTCTGAACTTTGAAAATAGTCAAAACAGGAAGCATGAGGTTGAAATTAAAATGTAAATGTGATAAAATGTACATTTTATGTTATATATATTTCATCACAATTTATTTTTAATTTTTAAATATAAATGTGAATACATCTTAAGAATCAAGAAGTCTTACAGTCTCTCTTTTCTTCCCCCACATTTAAGCAATAATCAGCATCTTTCCAATGAGGTCAAAACTTGGAAGGAAAGAACCCTTAAAAGAGAGGCTCACAAACAAGTAACTTGTGAGAATTCTCCAAAGTCTCCTAAAGTGACTGGAACAGCTTCTAAAAAGAAACAAATTACACCCTCTCAATGCAAGGAACGGAATTTACAAGATCCTGTGCCAAAGGAATCACCAAAATCTTGTTTTTTTGATAGCCGATCAAAGTCTTTACCATCACCTCATCCAGTTCGCTATTTTGATAACTCAAGTTTAGGCCTTTGTCCAGGTAAGTAAATATACTGGTTACTTGGAAATCAGAGGGTAACAGTTGGAACTTATCATTAATATGTGATCCCAAAGGGCAAGTTTAGATAAGAGATGATTTAGTTGAGTAAGCTACAATGACAGGCTTCATTTGCTGACTCTGTAAGAAAGTTGATTTCTCCAAGGCACCCCACACAGTGAAGTGCAATTCACTTTTACCCCAAGTGAAGTCTTTAGTCTACCCTTTAAGCCTTTAGTTTCGTCCAAAGAGAGACAAGCAACTTTCTCAAGGACATGAAGATACTACCCTAAAAAGCAACTTTTACTGAAAAGTCTTATCAATTCAATGGACCAAAATATCCAATAGCATTATATTTACTTTACCCAAGCCAGATAATAGATGAATCATTTACTTATTCATTTATTCAGTCAATAAAATTGTTTTGAGCCCCTACTATGTGTTAAGGATTAGATCCTGGTGGCACATTGATAAGCAAAACCAGACATGATCCCTGCCTTCATAGAGCTTAATTCTCATGGAAGATACAGACAGTAATCAAGTGATTAAAAAAAAAAAAAAGTGAAATTATAGCAGTGCAAGTACAAAAGACTATGAGAAATATAATAAGTATTTGAGGAGTATTGAGGAAGGAAACAGATCAGATCTAAAAGGTTAACATGAGTTATCTTAATAAAGAGCAGAGGGAAAAACATCTCAGGCAGATGGAACAGCAACAGCGTTAGGGTAGGTGGGAACATGACCAGGGGAAGAGTTGAAAGAAATATGGTGTGGTCAGAGCACAGTGAGTACAAGCTTGTGTGGGTGAAGTCAGTGAGGCCAAAGAGAGAAATAAGAGCCAGAAATGCTGGACTTTTATAAATTATATAAAGGAATTGTTTCATTTATTGTGTAGAGGAAGCCTTTGAAAGATCTTAAGCAATGGCAGGAGAACATGAGTTATACATTTTGAAAACATCACCTCGTCTCTAAGGTGACCAGCAAATAATAGGAGCAGGAGTTAGACTGTTGTCTAAACAAGACATGATGGTAGTGTGGACTTGGAGTAGAGAAGGAGAGAAGTAGACCGACGGGAGAGATTTTGGAGTAAAATCAGCAACACCAGGCACCTGATTGAACAAAGGAGTGGGGAGGTATCAAGGATCACCCCCAGCTCTGCATGGAGGTTGTCCACAGAAGTGGGGGGACTTGCAGGAGAAACGGTAACACGGCATTTCTTGTAGTCTTTCTCACCACATAGCATCTACTGTGCACAGCCCTTTGTGACAGTGTGTCTGCCTACCCTACCAGAGGTACCCTGTTATGCAACTGTAGAAATCTAAAGCAACAAAATTGTACAGTAAGAAAGGCAGTTGCCAAATCATTTAAAACCTTGAGCACTATTTGCCAGAGTTTATAAACCTCTACTTTGTGATTAAGAAAAAATCTATCCATTCTCATCAACTACATCAAAATTAGATCAAGTTGACAGTCTAAAAGTGTTCTTAGGGAGATAGGTAGGCACAGAAACATTTGGAATAAAAACATGTTTGAAATATTCTCTTCATTAAATAGTATTTAACAAACATTTAAGGACCTTCTATTGGCTAGCTAACACTTGCATGGAACTCTCTCACTATGTTGCCCAAACTGGCCTTGAACTCCTAGGCTCAAGCAATCCTCCTAAGCATCAAGGACTACAGGTGCATGCTAGCTACCACACCCAGCTGTAATCACCTTTTGATTTTGTCTGCTAGTGCCAGAGGCATATGCATAATGTGAATTCATCAAACTGCAAATAAAAATGTTTGAGTCCTTTTTTAATATGTGGATCTCTCTGGTACTGTTTTTAGATAAATAAAAGAGTAGCCTAGAAGAATACATAAATCAAAAACTGACCAATTCAGAATTAAATGAGATAGTCCCAGCTTGAATTAATACCAGTCTTTAAAAAAATAAATGTGAGTTTTTACTTTTAATTATAAAAGGTAATCTAAATTACCTTAAACTAAGGTAATTGCCAAGACCAGTTATGGTAGATTTACTTTTATAAATATAATAATTGTAAAATAAATATTGTTTATAAGCAAATAGATGCAGCTAAAGTCCTTTTTAAAGGCTCACAGAAAGCTTTCCAAAGATGATTAAATATTCTCTAAAATACTATTTGTTTAGCACACCATTTATTTTGAAAAACAGGACAAAAGAAAACTCAATCAGCCCGTGTTTGATTCACTTTGAATTTCAAATTGAAGAATTCCAAATAAAACTTTATTACCTCTCAGTTTAACTATGGTTTGTCTAATAGTTCATTTTAGGACAAAATGGGGAGTAAACTTCTCCAACTCTGAGGTGAAATACACCATCTTCATGACCAAACACGGTGAATCACGTTGCCATTTTTCATTCTTCACATCTCTCCTGTCTTAACCTCCTTTCCACTTCCAGCTGTGCTTGGTTTTTGTGTATTTTTGTAATAGGATGAATGTTGTTTTCATTTTCTTTCTCAGAGGTGCAAAATGCAGGAGCAGAGAGTGTGGATTCTCAGCCAGGTCCTTGGCACGCCTCCTCAGGCAAGGATGTGCCTGAGTGCAAAACTCAGTAGACTCCTCTTTGTCACTTCTCTGGAGATCCAGCATTCCTTATTTGGAAATGACTTTGTTTATGTGTCTATCCCTGGTAATGATGTTGTAGTGCAGCTTAATTTCAATTCAGTCTTTACTTTGCCACTAGAGTTGAAAGATAAGGGAACAGGAAATGAATGCATTGTGGTAATTTAGAATGGTGATAGCAATACCTTCTTCTTGCATATGGTAATACTTTTAAAAGTTGAATTGTTTTATTTATTTGTATATTTTGTAAAGAATAAAGTTATTGAAAGAAATGTAAAGTTATCTACATGACTTAGCATATTCCAAAGCATAATACATACATTAATATAAAACATCATTTTATTAACAAAATTGTAAATGTTTTTAATACCTTACACATTCAATAAATGTTTAGTAGTTCTGAATCACCGCTCTTCTATATAATGTTAATGGTTTCTTGGTGAGGTAGTCTCTCTTGTTGACTCAGTATTTTGCTATGAAAATATACACAAGTTTTCTGGATCTGGATTTAAATTCTTAAAGGATAGCAGAGGCTATGTCCTCTTAACTTTCCAGTTCTAATATTCCTTTTACTGTAATAACCACAGAAGTTCTTTCTCACATTTCTGGTAACCTACCTATCCCAATCCCTATACAAACTCTCTAAATTGGTTGGTTTATTATAGACTTTGTTTTTCATTGCCCCTCACTCCCAGCCTGGAGGAACCTATAGATCATTTATTCTACCTCTTCATTGTAGACATAAGGAAACAGTACCAGAGTTTTTATCAAAGTAAAGTTTTCTAAACCTGGAGTCCCCACAGATAGATAAAGCATATATGGATGGACTTCTTGTAATCTGTAAAATTTTTGAAATTTTTTATGAACTTTTTTGTGTGGATTTATTTGGGGGGAGGGGATACTGGGGTTTATACTTTGTTTTATCATATTCTTAGAGGGGCCCGTGATCCTGTAAAAATCTAAGAACTATGGTTTTAGAGGATATTTGATATTACTTTTATACCATATGACTTTGAAAAACCACTTAAAACAAGTTGCATTAGGTTATAGAACAGAGGTAAAGTGATTTCAAGTCATTCTCGGCTCTTTGGTAAGATTCATTCAAAGGGAGAGATTATTGATTGCATCATATCTAGTATTTCAAAGTCTGTGGATTGGATATTTCTCCGTATCTTAACATACCACCAAAGGAATTAACAAAGACTAAGGGGAAACTATCCCTTCCTAAAATCTTTTCCCCCAGACCTGTACCTTGAGAGTCTGTCTTCTGCTTTCCACCCTTATCCAAACAAAACACTAACATGCCTGCAGGTTTGATTCTTTATGTCTGCTTCTCCACTGAACAAAAGTAACCCAAAGTAGTGGTTGTTTACCTGATTGATAAAACTACATTAAAGCCATTAAAAATCTAGTTGTCAGGTAGCCAGCCTAGTAGAATATTGCTTAACTTTTGAATTTGGGTGTCCATTTTATTCCTCAAATTTGGGAAGTTTGTGGCCATTATTTCTTCAAATAAGCTCTGTCCCTTTTGCTGCCACCATTATCCCACACCCTTAATATCCCCACACATTTTTCTCAGATTTCTGCTTATATAAGTTAGAAAACTCAAGTGGTTCTTTTGATTGTGATGCAGCTCCTCATGGGCCACACTTTGTACCTCACATTAGGGATCTGCTGGGACTTGAGTCTAGTTATAGGTCTAGGAGCATAGAGGGGTGGTGGGGGTAGGTCCTGAGGAGAATCAGCATTGTCTTGCTTGGCAGCTGCCTCAGGGGAGGCCATTATTATTTCCTCAGGCAATGCAGGGTTAACCCTTCAGACAAAGGTGGAAAGGCCATTACCAACCCCAATGAGGTTGGAGAGGCCACTACAGCTGGTAAAAAAAAAAACTCATCAGAATGTAGGAACTGGCCAGGCATGGTGGCTCACACCTGTAATCCCAGCACTTTGGGAGGCTGAGGTGTGGGACTCTTGAGCCTAGCAGTTCGTGACCAGCCTGGGCAACATAGTGAAACCCCGTCTCTACAAAAAATACAAAAATTAGCCTGGCATGGTGGCTTATGGCCATAGTCTCAGCTACTCGGGGGTGCTGAGGTGGGAGGATCACTTGAGCCCTGGAAGTCAACGTTGTAGTGAGCCGAGATCATGCCATTGCACTCCAACCTGGCCAACAGGGTGAAACTGAAAAAAAAAAAAAAAAAAAAAAACTCAATGTTCCTGGCTTCAGGGTCTTCCCACACGTCCCCATCCCAACTTATAGAATCTCACTCTCCCAGTCACTGTGGCTTATTTTACCAGTAGACACACTGAGGCCTTTTGTAATTGCACCAATCAAATGATGAAGACTGGTGTTTGATTTTCAGCAATTTTAGCCTCATGTCTACAGGAGAGAAGATCCTCTTTCAGGGCACGCCTATAAGCTCTTAGGTTACTTATGTGGAGCTTGAGCCATGAATTTGAATCCCTGAAGTCATCCTTTTTTTTTTTAAATAATTTTGCCCAACAATATTAGAAGCAACCAACCAACATTGGTATATTTCTTAGTTTTCCATAAATATTTGAAAGTATTATAGGGCCGGGCACAGTGGCTCACACCTGTAATCCCAGCACTTAGGGAGGCTGAGGCAGGCGGATCACAAGGTCAAGAGTTTGAGACCAGCGTGGCCAACATGGTGAAACCCCGTCTCTACTAGAATACAAAAATTAGCCAGGCATGGTGGTGTGTGCCTGTAATCCCAGCTATTCGAGAGGCTGAGGCAGAAGAATCGCTTGAACCCAGGAGGCAGAGGTTGCAGTGAGCCGAGATCATGCCACTGCACTCCAGCCTGGGCGACAGAGCAAGACTCTGTCTCGGAAAAAAAAAAAAAAGTATTATATATAGAGTCACTTAAGTTCCTCACCTCTAAGAAGTGGTTGATTAGGAGTATCCAATGCAGACATTTTGCATACCTCTATGAACAGTTCATTTCTTGGACAATCAGTGCTCTCTGTACTATTAAAAGGAGAGCCAGGCTGGGCGCAGTGACTCATCCCTGTAATCTCAACACTTTGGGAAACTGAGGCAGGAGGAGCACTTGAGACCAGGAGTTTGAGACCAGCCTAGGCTACATACTGAGACCTCATCTCTACCAAAAAAAAACAATTTGGAGGGCTGAGGCAGGAGGATGGCCTGAGCCCAGGTATTCAAGGCTACAGTCAGCTATGATGGTGCCACTGCACTCCAACCTGTTCAAGAGTGTGACCCCATCTCAAAGAGTAGAGCCTTTAGCATTTTCAAATCTAATCAGACTAAGAGCCAATTCCAGGAACCCCAAAACCAACTCAGGAAACTCATCCTTAAAATTTTGTTCCTCTAGAACCTCTCCTGTTACCAAAATCTGTCTTAGGATTTTCCAGAGAGACAGAACCAATAGAATATACACAGATGGTCACCAACTTGTCATGGTTCAACTTGAGATTTTTCAACTTTAGGGATGGTGTGAGAGCGATACGCATTCAGTGAAAACTTTACTTTGAATTCTGATCTCTTCATAAGATAGCAATACTCTACTGTGATCATGGGCAGTGGCGGCAAGACACAGCTCTCAGTCAGCCACGGGATCACGAGTAAACAACTGACACTGTTCAGTGTACTCTGTTCAATAAATCCCATGAGTCAGTCAACACCTTGTTATAAAACAGGCTTTGTATTAAATGATTTTATCCAACTGTAGGCTAACAAGTGTTCTGAGCACATTTAAGTAGGCTCGGCTAAGCTCTATGTTCAGTGAATTAGGTATATTAAATACATTTTCAACTGACAATGTTTTCAATTTACAATGGGCTTATTGGGATGTAACCCCACTGAAGCTTGAGGAAAAAAAAAAAAATATATATATATATATATGCAGAGAGAGAGAGAGAGGATGTTTATTAGGGGAATTGGTTTACACAATTAGGGAGGCTGAGAAGTCCCACCATAGGCTGTCTGCAAGCTGGAGAGCCAGGGAAACTAGGAGCGTGGCTCAGTCCAAGTCTGAAGGCCTGAGAATCTGGTCGGAGTTCAGGTATCCAAGGGCAGGAGAAGATGGATGTCCCAGTTCCGGAAGAGAGAGAATTCACCTTTTCTCTGCCTTTTTGTTTTATCTGGGCCCTCAGCCAATTGGATAGTGCCTGCCCACATTGGGTGAAGTAGATCCTTACCCAGTTCACTGATTCCAATGCCGATCTCTTCCAGAAACACTCAGAGATGTCCCAGAAATAATGCTTACCAGCTCTCTGGGGATCCGTAAATCCAGTCAAGTTGACACCTAAAATTAATTATCACAAACATTGTCTTGAGAGCCTGGCAGAATTATATTCAGGAAACTTATTAAGAAACTGCCATTCACTC
Source organism: Homo sapiens (assembly GCF_000001405.40). NCBI lineage: Eukaryota > Metazoa > Chordata > Mammalia > Primates > Hominidae > Homo > Homo sapiens. The sequence goes on along the minus strand of NC_000004.12, from coordinate 103,101,842 downwards.
AGCAAATATTTAATGAGCATCTACTATCTGCCAATTACTGTTTTAGGCACTGAAAGGCACTACCAATGTGGAACTCATATTGTAGATAAGAAAACAAGTAACTAATACTCTTTTAATACGAGCTAATCACAATGTAAAGGTGTAAAACATAGTCCCCACCCTTGAAGAAATTTAGTCTGCTGAGAATACTAATGGGTAAGCAAGTATTTGCAATACCATGTGACTTAGGCTGTTATCAAGTAAGCATTGTTGCTGAAGATTACAGAGGGATGCTGAAGAAAGCTACATCAAGAAGCATTGGAGTTGGCTTTGATTAGAGAACTCTCATAAAGTCTGTTCCAAAAGCCTCAAAAGTCAAAGGGCATTATTAGTAAAGCAGGAACAAAGCTAGATGTGATTACAGATTGTTAGAGCCAGCATTAGAAGTTGCTGAAACAATGAACAAGGAGGGACAATTTTACCATAGACCTCATATAGACACATGCAGAAACTAAGTCCAGTTTTTAAAAGAACATTAAAAAGCGCAACTTTTACCATCCATTATAATTAAATTTCTCCAACAATGTCTTCATCATAAGAATCACTAACATGTATTAAGCACCTGTGTGGCAAACATTGTGCTGATGGATTCACAGGCTTAGTCGTTCCTCCTCACCACATCCCTGAGGTAGGTGCTATTTTACCTTCATTTTACAGATGAGAAACATAAGAGGTTCAGAGATTTAAGTGATTTACTCACTTAGCTAGTGAGAGAGAGATATGGGACTTGCTCTAGTCTTACTGACGCCACAGTCTTTGTTCTTATCCCCTGTGACTGTTAGAAATCACTTAGCTCCATGTAACAAAAAACGTGAAAAACACTAAAGTTTATTGTCCTCACATAAGAAGTCCAGAGGAGTTGTTGCCTTGAGGCTGTCATCAGGGCCGCAGGCTCCTTCTCTTGCTGGTCCCTGTCGTTAATGTGTGCCTCTGGCCTCAGATGAACTCACTAAATGGCTGCTCTGTCCCACGGCATCCTATCTTCATTCCAGGCAAAAAGAAAGGGAGGAGCAAAAGCTAAAAGCCTTTCAGAAGGGCTTACTTTTCTATTTAAGAAGGAGGCCCTCCTCAGAAATTCCCACCTGCATTTCATTGGCAACATCTATGCTGCTTGGCCACCCCTAGCAGCAAACAAGGCTATGAAGTAGAGACTTTTGTTTTCCAGCTTTGACAAGTGAAAAAAGGGGAAAGTGAGTTGGATGGGTGCTGAGGAAACCAATTTATACAGTACATGTACAAGTAGCCTACACAATCACTCTGCTCACTGGCACTACAGATAAAGCACATGTTGCTATCCTAACCTAGAGGGCTCATGAGATCTAGTCCTTTCTTTTTGACCTTATATCTCTGTTCTCTTCAGCCAAACTGGGGTTTTTCGCTGTTAACATGTTCCCTTTTAAGCCTCCACCCTGTCATCCAAGTTTCACGTTCTCCCCAACCCCATTCCCAGTGTAGTAAAAGGCTCCTGGCATTCTGCCACTAAATGTGCATTAGTGTTAGAATATTCTGAGCATGAAAAAATAAAAATCACAACTGTATCTCAAACAAAAAGGATTTTTTTTTTTATTTCTCTCCCTTAAAACAATCCAGGCCAAGTGACAGGAAGGCTCCAGAATTTTCAGTGACCTGGGTTCCCTCTATTTTGTTGCTCTGCTATCTTCCACACGCAGTTTCCAGCTCAGCCAATCTCGTCTACCCTGGCACCGCATATAGTAGGCATAAACAAAACAGAGAAGTGGAGAGACTGAAGTGAAGGAAATGATTTCCGCATCCTAAGTAAGCTCTAAGGTGCTTTTCCACTTTTCACCTTCCACTTGGAATTCATAGTTCTACCTGAATTCCACTAGATGGCAGCACATACATTTATAAAGTGTATGGATGGAGCCACTAAACTCTGAAAGCAGGGAAACTACAAATCCCAGCATGCATTATTAAGCGCTTGACTTGCTTCCAGACAAAGGTTGTCTCAAGTTTGTTGCTCAAACCGAGTTCTGGAGAACGCCATCAGCTCGCTGCTTAAAGTAAGATTTCCTAATACTTTTGAAATGAAACTTTAGAACGGAAAGAGGGGAGGTTTAATTTTTAGATGTTGTTTTTTTCTGCACGTTGCCTGTTTCAAAATTAATCTGAGCAGTTAGATCAGTGTAAAGATGGGTTTTTAAAGAGCCTGAAACTCTGTGGTATGTATGTTTTATAAAGTAGCCCAAGAAAAAAGGATTCTTACGGTATCCTAAGTGAAGAGTTTTCTTCCTGGCTCTTGAAAACAATGGCTTCCTGAATATGCTGTTTGTGTCTCTGCTAATCAAAAATCAACATTTTGATTCTAACTTTTGGACTAAGGAAGCCAACATGTATGGTTTTCACATTGGATATATTGAGAGGTGCCTTGTTTTACCATTTCAGGCCGTGTTTGCTCTCATTTTCTCAAAGAAATCTGTTTTAGTTTGAGATTACAGTTTATCAAATGTTAAGGCTTTGACCCCAAAATCTGGTCCCAGAAAGACAGGAAGGCCAGCTAAGAGGAGGTTTTCAGAGTGCATAGAAAGGCTGCTCTGTGCTTCGGCATTTGTTCTGGAAGTGCTTCTTCGGTTGGCAAAGATTCCTAGCAAAACCTTTGACTGGAGGCTTTACAGGGCCATACACCCAATATCACTAATGACAGTGTTGTAAAATAGCTTTTGTGCACCATGCTTAGGATTCAAGGAGGATAAAGTATATCTTTCTAAAGTTATACTTTAGAAACTGTCATTCCATGTTGAAATGATAAACATTCCATGTTTATCTTTTGTGTAAGAAGTAAAAAAGCAAAAATTCATTGCATCAAAGTAGGTCAGGCACTGTTAAAGCCAAGCTTCCCCATCGCCTAAAAAATGTGGACAAACTCAGAGGAAGTCAGTGATTATAAGCTGATCCCTGGAGCCAGTTCTTACATAATTGTGTTAGTCTGCTCCTCCAAGAAGCAGACTCCAAGATAGAATTAAATATGCATGGATTTTATTAGGGGAAATGCTGTTGTGAGAGAGAATGAGGAGAGAACTAGGTAAGGCTGTGAGAGCCATCAGACCTCGATGCAAGTCCACCCGCGAGGGAGGAAAAGAAGGAAACCAGGTTGAGTGGAAGCATCCCAGACAGCTGTGCAGTCTAAGAGAACTTCAGCAAGGTAATAAGGAGCTTCTCTAGCCAGTCATCCGTTGGGGAGGAGGTCTATGTCTCCCAGAAATGAGTCTGCCTTAGTAAGCATGCATGCTCAGGCACTGGCTTGTAACGGCCCCGAGAAGGTGGCCTCAGCACAAACCCAGAGAGGCAGCAGCAGCTGCGCCTCATTGTCCATTACTTCCTGGGGTCAGCGGTCTGCGAGGCACAGGCTCCTGGTGCCACAGTGGGGATTTAGAGAGGCCCGCAGGGCTTTGAGTACCATGAGACAATGCCATGAGATCTTCCCTTGGACCTGCAACAAGAAGGCCTAGGTTTGAATTCATAGCTGCAAAACACTGGGCAAATAACATTTCTTTGAAATTAGCCACGTTGGTGATCAGGTCCTACCTATCTCATCTCTGAAACACTTCTCCAATCCACCTATCTCTCCATCCCTGCTATTTTCTCCAGCCCTGCTATTTCACCAGCGCCCCCACTAGATAACCCTAGCAGCCTCCTAATGGCACCCCATGCTCCTGCCCAGGTATGTTCTCCACAGCAGTCCTTCCAAAATACGAATCTGATCATTTCACACCCTTTCCATAAATCCTTCAGTGGCTGTTGCCTATAGGAGTAACTTGCCCTTCACCATGTGGACCTTGGACCAAGTGTGGAGGTTTGAAATGGAAGAGCATATTGGGTATAAAAAAAAAAAAGTTTGGCTAAAGAGAGAACTGAAATAAGTTCAAAGAGAAAGGACTAGGTAATATAAGCCCTTTAGGCAAGGCTATCAACCTGTACAAAATCAGGCAGATAATGGAACAGAGTGATTGTGTAGGCTAGTTTGCATGTACTGTAAGTTGGTTCATCAACACCATCCAACTCACTTTCTCCTATTCTTCACTTTATCAAAGCTGGAAACAAAAGTCTCAACTTCCAACCTCTTTGCAGCTAGGAGTGGCCAAGTAGCATAGATCTGGTGAATGAACTGCAGGTGGGAATTTCTGAGAAGGTTTCCTTCTTAAATAGAAAGGTGAGACCTCTCTGAAAGCCTTTTGGCTTTTGCTCCTCCCTTTCTTTTTGCCTGAAATGTGGATATGATGCCTTGGACAAAGCAGCCACTTTGTGAGTTCGTATGAGGTCAGAGGCACACATTAATGACAGAGCCCAGCAAGACTTGGAGCCTGTGTCCTTGAAGACAGCCTCATTTGATGGTCATTTGGCTCTTCTCCACCCCCAGCCTCACTACTAGCTCTTTCTCTCACTTTGTGATCTATAATCCAAGCACTGGTGAAATATCTCATGCACATGAGCCCCGGTGTCAGTGTTTCTCAATCATTTAGAAATTACTGATTATGCCTGTTAATGTGTTACTACTGCATGCTTAAACTTTATAAGAGGATCGGCAGCATTGTGGGCTGGACTGTTCACATAGCAAGAGTCTGGAAGTCTAAGTTTAGTTCTGGCTTTCCCATTGACTGGCTCTATGACATTGGGCATGTTTCAGCAGTTTCCTCATCTGTAAAATGGGAGTATTGGATGTGATTTGATTTTTCCATCCTTTTTTTTTTCGATGAATATCTGAGACCAACTATGAAATCTTTTCAAGAGAAAAAAAATCATAAGCAATTGATAGTGCAAACCTCAACAAAAGTTTATGGAAGAGAAATCAAGAAGCAGCCCTGAGTAGTAAGGACACAAATAATGTCATAGCAATGTGTGCAGGGGTCATGGAGAGAGTGATGGTGGTAGTGAGGAAACTCAGCACCAGAGGCTGTCCTCTCCAGGTACTGAAGGAAGGATAAGGTAGGTTAAAGTGCAATATCTGGGCTGGGCACAGTGGCTCAGGCCTGTAATCTCAGCACTTTGGAAGGCTGAGGCAGGTGGATTGCCTGAGGTCAGGAGTTTGAGACCAGTCTGGCCAACATGGTGAAAGCCCGTCTCTACAAAAAATACAGAAATTGGCTGGGCGTGGTGGCAGGCACCTGTAATCCCAGCTACTCAGGAGGCTGCGGCAGGAGAATTGCTTGAACCTAAAAGGCGGAGGTTGCAGTGAGCCGAGATCACTCCATTACACTCCAGCCTGGGTGACAAGAGTGAAACTCCATCTCATAAAAAAAAAAAAAAAAAAAAAAAATGGCCAATGTCTGTCACCAGTCATTACTTCAGTGGGTTATGGTAAATGTGTTTGATATACAAAGCTAGGTATGCAGAGTAAGCATTCTAGGAGAATTCAGATGATGGGACTACTTGCACAGAGGTGCTGTCTTCAAGTTCCTGAAGGAGCTCACTAAATTATTCTTAAAAGAGCACACTGAACTATTCATTCTAGATGTTACTGCCTGCTCAAGATCATGTTCTACAGTATAACCCATTAAACACACATGTCTTTAGATTAAACCACAGGTTCCATTATGGGTCGACTTGATGGGAAAGTCATCATCCTGACGGCCGCTGCTCAGGGGATTGGCCAAGCAGCTGCCTTAGTAAGTTATAAGTTACTATCTTTGTTGTTTGCCTACTAACTCTTGACATATTGAATTATGTGGACTGATGCCATGGTTGTTTACTTCTGCTCTGCTTTTTTATTTTTTTACTTTTGTGCTTCTGTTGTCTTAAGTTATAAAAATAAACAAATAAATAAATAGGTCCCTACTCCTGACCCCAGGCAGATGAAGGAATGAATACCTCATATTTAGTACATGACATCACTGATAACCATTGACTCTGAGAAACTTCTCTACTTCAGTTTCTCTGCATCATGATATATTCGCTACAGAGGGCAAACAGGGTTACACAGCTTTCTGAAATTGTGTCAGTTTAGATATATGACTCCAGAGTTATAAGACAGGTTACCTTGTTCTCCTGATTTATATCAATTTCTGTTACATTATGTACCCCACTTAAGCTAATATCGGCACCTTAAGTATAACAGTACCTTAAGTATAATGGCAGGGTATGGTTTGACATTTATGAAAGCACTAGCATACTCTTAGTAGGAAAAGTGTTGAAACAACCAATTTTTCTCTTATTATTTGGAGTTTAGTAACTCAAACTCAGAAATGATATATAGTCTCATTACAGAAGAGCAGTATTTTGAGAGTATTGAAAACAGCTGTCATTTTTTTAAGAACGTTATTTTGTTTGATATTACTTAAAGGGACTAAGTCAGATGACAAGCACAATGTATGTCACATTGTTCTAATTAATGATAAAAATAATAACAATGGAGAAGGGGTAAGACTAGATAGTTTAAAATTCTAGCTATCTTATAGGGAAAAGAACAATGAAAATAAGATAAAGGAGAAAAAGACCACATGATGTTCCATTCATGAGCACAGTTTATTCAAGTAAACAAAGGATTTATTTGTACTTTGTGTCTACTAGGCTTTTGCAAGAGAAGGTGCCAAAGTCATAGCCACAGACATTAATGAGTCCAAACTTCAGGAACTGGAAAAGTACCCGGGTAAGCAACTCAGCAGCTTGAATTTGGGATTCAGTGTCTGCAAGGTATTATAAAGCATGGCGCTCACATGTTGAAAGAAAATTCCCTAGCTACTGAGCTCCACTGCCGTGCTTTTTAGATTCTCTCTCTGATATGAAATCTATATTTTGTGAACCTATAGACAAAAATCTGTGACTTACATGCATAGAAAAATTTGAGGACGAATACTTAAAATCCTTTATTTAGCTAACACATTTGAGGGATTCAGTTCCTAATTACAAACTTACATGTGAAAATTTACTAGTTGTTAGGTTAACTTTTCATGACAGCTTTTCACTTCTGTGCCCTCCTCCTCTAGGATAGCCCTGTCCAATAGTAACATGTTGTGAGCTGCCTGTGTAATTTTAAATTTTCTAGTATCCACATTAAAAAAGTAAAAAGAATCAAGTGAAAATTAATTTAATAATATATTTTCTTTTATCCAATATATCTAAAATATAATCTCAACATGCACTCAAGTTAAAAAATTAATATTTTAATTTTTTCTTACTAAATTTTTTATTTAAATTATTAGAAGTTTCTTACAAACTTCAAACATTAATTTTCTCCTCTTTGCAGCTTTTCTCTTAATTTTCTCTTCTTTGAGGTATAATTGAGAAATAAAAATTGCATATATTCAAGATGTTCAACATGATGTTTTCATATATGTTGTAAAATACCTTGTGAAATGATTATCACAGTCAAGCTAATTAACATATCCATTACCTCATTTAGTTACCTCTGTGTGTATGTATGTGTGTGCTAAGAATACCTAGGATCTACCCTCTTAGCAAATTTCAAGTATACAATACATTATTAATAACTATAGTCACTGTACTGTATATTAAGTCTTATAACTGCAAGAGTGTACCCTTTGACCAACGTCTCAATATTTTCATACTAAATCTTTAAAATTCATGTGTATTTTACACTTGCAGCACATTTCATTTCAGACTAGCTGCATTTCAGGTGCTCAGTAGCCACATGTGGCTGGAGACAGCTTAGCTCTAAAATCACACATCATCATGAGAAACCCTAAGAGAGTACCCAGATTATTAGGTGTGTACCACCACTTCTTCACCCCACTGAACCAAACTCCAACACCAAAGGATTTTAATTGCAGTTTACCCAAAGAAATCAGAACAGAGAACCTATATGAAAGGTAACCCTTACAGCAAAATAGAACAGGTTACATAATCAAACAGCAATTAGTTCCTTGAATTAGTTAATTGAATTGGAATATGTTGAATTATAATTCAAACAAGTCAAAGTAAAGCTGCTGCACTGGGGAAGCACAAAGATAAGGAAATGTTTCTGAAACAAAATTTCAAGTCTTCCCTTTCTTTATGAATCTTTTATTTCTATATTCCCCCAAAATAAACCATATACATATTATTTATAATATATTATAAATTATAAAATATAATACACATTATAGATAATTATATATTATATGTATTATACATATATTATTATATATTATACATATACATATTAATACATTGTATATATTATAAATTATATTACTATATATTATATGTATTATTCATATATTATTATATATTATATGTATACATATTAATACATTGTATATATTATAAATTATATTACTATATGTTATAATATATATTATGCACATTATAAATAATATGTGTATATATTTATAATGATGACTGCTGCTTTTGTTAGACACTGTTTGGAGTTTCTCAGCAACTAGTGCAGTGTGTATCTCTCAGGTGCCCGCCATGCCAGATCTCTCATGTCTAGCCTTCAAGGGTGTCATCCCTTCTTCTGACCCTCTCATTTCTTCTCCTTGCAGTTTAGTCCAGAAATACATGTATTTGACTGGATACCCTTGACTAACAGAGTCATTTCTAATAAATAATGGAAATGACATAAAGGGGAAGCTCACAAATAGAAACAGTCTCTTATTCCAGAACACTTGCTCTTCTCCACCCCTCACTCAGACAAAATTCTGATTACTGTATAGGTACCAGCAACCCAGTCTCTGGCAGGGGAAGGATAGGGGAAGGACATCTTGAATATATGCAATTTTTATTTCTCAATTATACCTCAAAGAAGAGAAAATTAAGAGAAAAGCTGCAAAGAGGAGAAAATTAATGTTTGAAGTTTGTAAGAACTTCAAATGAGCCCATTTTCAGTTATTACTGCTGGCTTACTGAGAAACATCTAATGTACACCAGTCATTCTTTACTATAAAGCCATTGCTCAGAAAGGACCCTTATTATTCAACTTGGAAAATGGACAGAGAGGAAGGAAGAGGGACGGATGGGTTATTGGAGGAGTCAAGATGGACTTTAAGTTTACTAATGAGACTCTGAAGATTCTTAAGACCCTAGTAAGAAGGTCAGCAATCTATGAAGCCTAGCTGGATAGATGTTGCAATCTTCACACTTCACACTTCAAAACAGCTAAACCTTCAAGGCTAAACATTTTTAGGAATAGTGCCTCTTGTTTTATTTTTCAGGTATTCAAACTCGTGTCCTTGATGTCACAAAGAAGAAACAAATTGATCAGTTTGCCAATGAAGTTGAGAGACTTGATGTTCTCTTTAATGTTGCTGGGTAATTCATAACTTTTTAGTTTCACTTTCCTTACAGAAAGTTTTCTATGACTTTCATTCAAAGAATTTTCATAATGTGGCAAAATCATTCATTGTGAACCATGACATATTCCTTGGGAAATATGGCTAGATTTTACACAGCATTTTCATTACACATAAAATTCAGCAGGTAAGACAGCCTTAGAGTTTGACATGATCTGGGGCAAATGAGGTCTACTCAAGACAGATGGTACTGATACAAAGCTGTATTATGTGTTACAATGTATGGAAGTTAAATTAAAGCAATAATTTCTGATCATCTATTTTATAAATAGTCTTCCATCCTCATGTAAGAATACACCCAGAAACATGAAACAAATAGTTAGCAAAGTTAGTTTCTGAGCATCTATTAAATTTTCAGCCATGTAGGGGATGTAGAAATAATCATGTGGTTCCTGCTGTCATGAAACTGACATTCTGACTGAAATAGCAGAGCTTTGGTACATGGAAGTCACAGCCAACAATATTTTATAATGAATTACATAATTTGGGTCCAGAGGACCAAATCAGTAAGGGTTCCAGTGTTTTGGAAGCTTCCCTCAGAAAACGTAACTTGAAAAATAGTGAAAGCTACTTTACGGGTTTGTTTTGTTCTGCCTTAACGTCTCTCTTACAACAAACTAACATCTCTCAGTATGTTAGAACACTAGCAGTATCACTTTGCTGCTCTGAGATGTTCAGACACTTGTTTTCCTTGCAATTTTGATTTCCCTTGAGAATTCTAAATCTGTGCCACCTGAGGGCACTGTTGCTCTTGAAATAGGAATCACATAGGCAAATAGGGCAGATGTTTTTTCTCTCTCTCTTTTTTTTTTCTGAAACAGGGTTTGTCTTGGTTCCCCAGGCTAGAGGGCAGTGGAATGATCATAGCTCACTGCATCCTAAAACTCCTGGGCTCAAGTGGTCCTCTTGCCTCAGCCTTCAAAGTAGCTGAGGCTGCAGGTGTGTGCTACCATGCCTAGCCCTGTTCGCCTTTATTTGTTGTTTGTTTTTAATGGCATTGATGTTTCCAGCACAATTAATATAAAGCTTCTTATGTTCGGTGACCATACTTTTGTTTGGAAAACAAGGATCTTGTTTTCAGATGACATTTCTAGCTTAAGTTGTTGGGATTCTTACTAATATAATATACTAAGTGATACTATGAATTGTTTAAAGTCTTGATAAGGGAAAGAGACAGTGGTCTAAGTCACTAAGTGACAATAAAAATAATCAGCAGATGGAATAGAAAAATTTTAATGGCAGTTATTCTTCCATTGTTTAATCACTCTTCTAGTTTTGTCCATCATGGAACTGTCCTGGATTGTGAGGAGAAAGACTGGGACTTCTCGATGAATCTCAATGTGCGCAGCATGTACCTGATGATCAAGGCATTCCTTCCTAAAGTAAGACCACCACCACCACCACCAGGATAAGCACCACATTAGGTCTCTGTACTGGGCACACAGAAGGGATTCCCACATGTGCTGAAGAGTGATAATAACTAACACAATGATTAACTTGCATTGAACATTTATATCAAGGCATTTCACATAAATTAATCTATTTAACCTTCCAGCTCATCCACTCAAGGAATATTTATTAAGCACTTTCCACATGCCAGGCTCCATTCTAGGCACAGAAGACACATAAGTGAACTAAACAAAGTGCCTTCTATAAGGCAGGTTCCATTATTGGGGGTGAGATGGGACAATTAGTAATCAAATAGACATAGAATATGTGGCGTGGTTTTAAATATAATGAAGAGAAAGAAGCTAGGATATCAATGCGGCCCCTCTGGACTCCACCGCAAAGGTGAAACTGGCATAGCAGTCCAAGAAGTGAGACAGCTGATCATTCAGGTACCTTGGGAGATGATTCCAGGCAGAGGTAACAGCAGGGAGGCACACGAGACTGGAATGATCGTATGAGGTAGATACTATTATCTCATCCATTGTTCAGAAGATGAAACTGAGAGTTCAGACAACTTGCTCAAGGTCACCCAACTAGCACATGGTTAGAACCAAGATTTGAAGCCTGGACGTTGAGCCCCTTCGTGAATTTCAGTCTAGGCTCACACTCTCAAGAGGGATGTACCCCATTGCTTTTCTCTGCCCTGAAGCTTCTCCCTTCGCTCTTGTTTTGATCTGAACCACAGTGGTACTGGGCAGGTGAGAGACAGTGTGTGCTCAAGACAGCATTCCTCCTTGAATTCTCAAGCCTTCACACAACGCATCAATGTTTAAAATTTTATTTTATAAACTAGCATTAAGTACCTCTTGGTATAAATCACTATATAAAGTGTTCTAGGGGAGTATAAACATGAGCAGCGTACATCCCTGATTTCAAATGAGCTTATAAACCAGTAGTAGCAGACAGTGCAGGCTGAGACAATGAAAGGGGTTGACTGGGTACAGAGCCAGCTCAACTCAAGGTTGTAAATTGAACCTAGTGAAATGCAGAAGAACAACTTTTCCCTTCCATCCCAGCTGGATTTGATGTCCTGTCCATGTCTGGGCAGGAGAAGAGCTTTGTTAATGGCACAGCAGGGCTGATATTCTACTCTGAATATTCAACCTAATGTTAAGAAGGTTCCAGATGAACATTAACAGGAAAATTAGAGAAACTGACTTAGTAATGAAGGGACTTTGAAAAATCTACTTGTTTAGTGCTTAGAAGGGATTTTTGGGTGGGTCCACAGAATGTTGAACTAGCAAATTTTTATAACAAATTGTTTTTTTTAATGTAAGTTGATTTTTTAGCCTATTTGGAGTTTATGAGAAACTATAGTATTTGGAACACGAATGTATTTTTGAAGACAGATCCTTTGCATAGGTTACAGGGGTAGAGCAGAGACTGTGGTATAGGAGGAAAGCTTAGGTCATCGTGGGTAAGACTGTTGCACATGCATGAGACTCATTTGCAAAACCAGGCTCTAAAATGCTTTACAAATTTTAGTAAAGGAAGTAGGTGTGGAGTACAGTGGAGCTGAAATGTAAACTTGTGTTAATTTTTAAAATATACAAACATTAACTTGCAAACTAGTGAGTTTGCTTGTGATTTACAATATCTTAACAATTATCCATGTGGGCCAAAAACACAGATTTGTTTAAAAAAAAATCCCAAGAGATGTTAATGGCAGGAATATGGTATTAGTGCCTCTTGTTTAAAGTGACCTTGACAAAATCGAATCCTGGTCTTGGACTCTATCATCAGAAGTCCTTAGGTGCAGTCTGCGCCCTGCCCCTAATTGGCCATGTGCCATAGAGATGGCACTTGTACCCTCTCAGTACATATTTCTTTTAGCTAAAAAATGAGGATGATAGGTTACACAATCACTTCCAGCCATAATTATCTATGATCCTCTGTATCATTAACTATGACACACATATCCCATGTTAGAACTTTCCAGGGGAAGCTAGGATTTGGAGTCTAGGCAGCTCTGGAAGGTCAGCTGGTCAGAACATAGGAACACTCATAGGAAATTTTTATTCATGGATAGATACACAGGAAAGCATTCCAAGACTGGAAGATCAGTCAAAAGGCAGAGAACAAGTTGAAAATACTTTAAGAAGAGGTCAATGCAGAATCCAGGCTCCACCAGAAGAGAAGATCCATTAGGGCAAAGATTTGGGGATATCTTTGTTATTTGGGTTGGTTTGTTTGCTTGCTTTTTTCCCCCACCTTGCTGTGTCTTAGAAGAGTCTTCAGCGTATAGAGGTGCTCCACAAACATTTGTCAAATAAATAAATGAATCAAGGTTGTTAGTCCAGCAGGAACCACTGGAGACCCAAGTGGCCAGGTTCCACCAGGGTTAGGGGCTGAGCTCTGGCCAATGGAGACAGAAGGGCTGGGTCAGAGTAAGACTAACTAGATACAGCTCCAGGGACTCTTAAGGGGTATTTCTAGCCCCTACCTAAGCTTCTGGGAGGTCAATCCTAGATAGCAGTACTATGTACCAGGCACTTGACTTTATAGTCATGCCTGCCAGAGAAGGCTATTGCATGGGGAGCCAGGGAGAGCCTGACACCATGACGACAGCTCCTGACCTGGACTGGGAAGGCAGCATGGGAACAGGTACTGACTAGGGGCTCTAGAAGCAGCAGAGGGACCTCGGTTGAACTTGGTTGAATGGATAGTGCAAGTGTTAGGGGGCAGCACTAATGTAATGTCTCTTAGGTGGCTTTATTCTAAGGTTTTGCCTGAGATAATATTGCATTTCTAGAGAGGACTAGAGATTGAACCTACATAATAACCCATCTTTATGTATTAAATTGGGGTATATGTATTCTATATGTATTTTAAATGGGGAATGCTATTTGCTAAATTGGATAAGAAAGAACAATTTTAAGGCTTACTTTTCAACACCATTACACTTGACCAACATTCTTGACACTTTTTATGAGAACCCCATTTCATTATGATCCTCTTTATTATATAAAACACACAATTAAGTTAAACATTATTTTTTCCCCTGCTGTCTTCCTTAGCTTGGTTGGGTTACAGTCAGCCTCTCCTTGTATCCACTTACTCCATTCAGCATAGTGCCTTGGGGTTAGTTTAGATTCTGTTTTTAGGGGCAATTAGTAGCTAAATCTCAGAACAAAGTCAGAAGAATATCCTAAGAAATCAATCATCTTGGCCACACCAATCCTGGATCCATTCAATTATTTACTTTTTCCTTTCCTACACCTCTTTTTCTAAAAGCTGCTAAAGAAACTCGTCCCAACAGAAGTCATTTTTTTTCTCTGGCCCTTTACACTGCCTATTGAGACTTCTATGTACATGTTATAATTAGTAAAGTTTGAAAACATTTTTAAATTCATAGCAGTTTTCTTTATTATATATTTATTTAGCTATAGGACAGGGCCCAGCAATCTGTGTTTTAAACTAGCACCTCAGGAGATTCTGATTCATCAACATTTATTGACTGCCTACTGTGTACACTGTCTAGGAGGACAAAACAGCCAAAGACCCTCATCTTAATAAATTCACACTTTAGTGGGGGAATTCTGAAGAAGGTGTTCTTAGGAAACACTGCCCTAAATTGGTGAGGCCCACCATCCCTGCAGCAACCATCTACAAGGTCCTGCCCATCCTGCCTCAGCCCTCTCCTCCTCAGCTACCCATAGACATTTCTGCAGCTCCACCTTTATCACTCTTTCCTGAAGCCTGCATCAGCTTCCACTAGTCTCTGGGCACCACAGTAATCCTTGCAATCCCCAAGTCTGAACATGCCACTTCTCTGCTTTAAACCCTTCAGTGTCACTGCATCACCTTCAGGGTAAAACCCAGGTTCTAAATTCAGCCCTTGTTGACCTCTGCAGCCTCATTGCTTCCACACCCTGCATTCCAGCCAGACCCAGCCCCTCCTCCCAGTTCCCGATGGAACCTTTATACCTGTGTACCCACTCCTCAAAACATCCTTTTCTTTTATTTTTCTGACTAATACTCTAGTGTTCAAAATTCAGCCCATATCCTTCCTTCTCAGGAGGTCCCCTCTGAGTGTCGCCCAGCCTGAATTGCTCCCTTTCTGCCCTCACCCTGCTGTTAGATCTCTGTGGAGGTCTCTGCTGTGGCTGGATGTGGATTATGTGAGCCACTCTAACCAGACTGGTTGCCTCCTGTAGGCAGTAATCTCCTGGACCTAGCACAATACCTGGCCTCAGTAGGTATTCAAAAATTATGTGTTGAATGGAGTAAGTTTCCCAACATCAGTAACACACAATAACAACATTTATTCACATTTCATTTAAGTCAGCATTCACTCGTAGTCTTGCTGACATTCTTGTACCATGGGAAGGTGGTAATCCCCCTGGGAAATGCCAGTGAGTGCAGTCACATTGCCATCATTTCCCAGCAATAGTTGATGAGGTGTTTTGGGTTCACTGTTAAGACTGCTTAATAGTGCTTAATGTGACTAGCTAATACAGTAATTAAATTCATTCTGCAAACCCTAAGAAAATGCAAATCTTTTTAAAAGGTAGTATTTTAGCCCACAAAGTGGATTTTTTTTTTTTTGTATTTGTTTTGTTTTGGCAGATGCTTGCTCAGAAATCTGGCAATATTATCAACATGTCTTCTGTGGCTTCCAGCGTCAAAGGTGGGTCTGTCTCCTTCCGAGGACTGCGATGCTCATACACGCACATCATTAAGAGCTCTGCGTTTGGGAACAGGCATAGCAGAGATTATAATTTCAAGTATTGAAATGATTTCAAAACTGCTTTTTTCAAAATTGGTATTAAGTTCCTTAACCACAGATCTTTTGCTCTCGATGTGAGCCAGTGGTAAAATTAAATTAAAATGTGGGGTATTTTTGCCCTCCCTTTTATTCTTTCTAATGGACATGGAAATGAACATCAAACTGGGAGAAAGAACCATTTAACATTTAATTAATTTAAAATAGTGTATTGAGCACCGGTATGTGCTCTGGCCATAAAAGAATTCACAGTCCAAAACTAGGAGCAAGGCAGCAAACATCATCTTCTCCAGTGTGATGATATATAACAGAGGTTTGTACAAAGCGCTGTCAAAATACAGGGAAATAACTGCCTGTGAGTTTGTGGAATGCTTCACAAAGACAGTTGATCTGAGCCATCAGCAAGAAGTCAAGTTGAAGGACAAGGACAGCAGTACAAAATGTGGATTATGTCACAATCTGGCATAGTTGGATCTGTGAGTTTAAAATGAAATAGTTACTGCTGAGATACCATTTCTTCTCTTTGCAAGGATACACATATTCAACATACACAAGAGAGGAATGTAAAGAAGTGCCTAGGCCTCCTGTTTTATTGTTTTGTTTTGTTATTAATCTTCATTTTCTTTTGGAATCTGCCTAAGAGTTATGGCAACTGATGATGAGAAACTAAGACTACCAATGTTAAGTAAGTTCAGCATTTCAATTAAGTCTCAATTAAGTTGTGCCTATACTGATATTATTTCCCTAGATCCAGAAACTGACTCTATTGAAGGAAAAAAATCTGATATCAATCTTTTTAAAAGGGGAGGAATGTGGGAGAAAGCATGAAAATGGCTACTGGGAAAACTTATTTGTGTTACCTTTCTGAAGGAAAATACATTTTTTATTCCTTCAATTGTTGAACCTTTCCTCCACCCTCAGGAGTTGTGAACAGATGTGTGTACAGCACAACCAAGGCAGCCGTGATTGGCCTCACAAAATCTGTGGCTGCAGATTTCATCCAGCAGGGCATCAGGTGCAACTGTGTGTGCCCAGGTGAGTAAGGCACACCTGTTTTGTAAGCAAAGTTTTACTGAAACACTTCCACACCCAATTTGCTTATGTTATTGCCTATGGCTGTTTTCATGCTACAAAGGCAGAGTTTAGTATAATAGTTGCAACAGATAAAATGACTCTCAAAGCCATAAATATTTTTTGTCTGCCTCTTTACCAAGAAAGGTGTGCCGATCCCTCATACAAAGCAAAGAAGAAAAGCAGAACTTTCCTTTTCTTAATAACTATAGGGGTGTGTCTCATTTTCACAATAACCGTAGATGTGTTTATTAAATTGATATGTACTTTTACCTGGTTCTACCAATCTAAAAGGAACTTAAGGTATCTAATAAGGATTATAATATTCTTTAAAAAGAAATGATTGCATATCCAGGATCAAGGTTTCCCTTGGTAGTGCACAATTGATAATGGGGGGTGGTGTGTGAAAGGGAAACATTTCAATATGACCTGGGGACCTTTCAAACCTGAAGGGCATGCCAGAATTTAGGGAAGGAGTTCATGGAGAGAATTGTGTGGTTTAGAAAGACCCACAAGAGATTCTGATTGAATCTTCAGTTGAAACCCACTGACTTAAAGAGGGGAAACTAAACATCCCCCAAGCTACAGAATTTCAGCGATTGAGATGTTCTGTTTTATTTTTCTTGGAACAGAAATGTAAACGTAGGTAACGCTAAGAAAAAGAAGAATGCATGAGAGGTCATTTCATTGGGTTTTAATGTACATCCTGGCGATACTTGAGTCTAGCTATTCTTGGTGCCATTTACCCAGTGGAATAAGTGGTAAAATGATTTGGAAAATGTGGTTGTTTCAGCGACTGGACTTATCAGGAGATTGGAAAATATGTTATCAAACTCTTTGGAACAAGGAACTAGCTGTGACTCAGTGAACCAATCACAGAAGAAAACTTGAGGAGGACTGAGTATGTCTGAGATGCTGCTGATGGTTGTATAGTCACAAATCTCCAGCCAGACTTGTGTAGACCCTGGCATAGTATGTCTGTGCCATGGACACAGCTGAACCCAGTGACATTGGAATACTCTAAAGGCATGGGCTTGCTCTACAGTTCTTATTTAATAGCCATTAGTACCAGTCATATGTAAGATATGATGTTCATTTACCTCAGAGGGAGAAAGCTATTAAAGCTGTAAGATTCTGAAGGAGTGTTAGTGAAAGCTTGAGGTGCACACTGTTGGTAAAACTGTGGACTTTAAGGAGGCTATTGAGGAAAGTGAGGAAAATATTATTGAAAATTAGAAAAAAGAGTGTCTTTGTCATACAGTTTCAGAAAGTACATCAACACTGTTGCCTGTAGTGTGAAGGTAGAAGATGTTCCTAATGAACTGGGTGATCTAATTAAGGTGATTTCTACCCAGAGTCTTGAAAGTGCTGGCTGCTTATAGTAAAATGTGACAAGAGACAGATAACCAACCTAAAGAGGGGGTTCCAAAATGGAGTCAGGCTTTCTGATTTTGAAGATTTCCAGCTTCATCAGAAAAAAATAGCAAATGATGCTAAAATTAAGAAATGTTTTCTGAATAAAGATCAAATCTATGGCACTCTCAGGAACATGATCTAAGGGTGAAGTATGACTGTAAAACCATTTGTTACAACCTCAGAAAGATCACATTATTTGCCAGAGTACTCTTTAGTCTGAAAAAGGGCCCTCTAAAGAGAATGAACAGTTTATGTCCGTTAACAAAAAAGTCTGGGTAACGTGCTCTAGGAGACCATAAACTAAGTGGAATTTTAAAATGTTAGCGTTGTTCTTATTTTTCTTTTTTAAAGTAAAATAACTTTAAATTAGATTAAATTATATTTTTGATTAAAAACTTGAAACTGTGGTTAAAAGTAGGCATTTGAAACAATGAAAATAGGCAAGGTGATAAGAAAAATTTAGCGCCACCTGAATTACCAAGGACTATGGTAGCCATGGGATTGTCCCCAAAGATGCCACAGTGAACTTGACAGCAAAGAATGGTTTTGAGATCATTGAGGCAAACTGGCTCCTTAAGCTGGCAAAGTGCTTGTACGATTTTATCTACATCTCAGGGTTATTGTGAGGATTAGCTGAGATCATATGCATAAATGTATTTAAAATCCATAAAGCATCATATAAATGCAATGTGACTAAAATATATGTCCTTGAGAATGCTGGGTGATTCATCCAGAGTCCCTACATAGTGTCACGAAGAATCATAGTCTGTGTTTTTAAAATCATAGAAATGTTATTGAAGAAATTATAAGCCTATTAAATAAGAGGCCTCAGGCAGGCAGCTGTAAAGTTGTCATTTTAAGTCAAGGAGAAGAATCTCACTGATTGTCATATGGAAAGGAAGTTTAGTTATCGATTTCTTTTTCAGTGAAAGTGAGTAACCAAGCTGAATATCCCCCTTTGATTTAGGAACAGTTGATACGCCATCTCTACAAGAAAGAATACAAGCCAGAGGAAATCCTGAAGAGGTACATCTAGCATTTAAAATGTATTTAAACCTTTTGTTAATAAATGCCCTCTTCCATACCTATAGCAGACAAATTCATAGAGACAGAAAGTGAAATGGTAGTTGCCAGGGGCTTGGAAGGAGGGAAAAGAGTAGTTAATGCTTAATGAGTAGAGAGGTTCCATTTTGTAAGATGAAAAGAGTTCTGCTTGGGAAGCTGAGGCTGGGGGATCGCTTGAGCCCAGGAGTTTGAGGTACAACAGTGAGCTATGATCACAACACTGCACTCCAGCCTGGGCAACAGAGCAAGACTCTGTCTCTAAGAAAAAATAATAATAATAAAAATAAGAGTTCTGGAGATGGACAGTGGTGATGGTGGCACAACAGTGTGAATGTACCTAACACTATTGAACTGTACACTTAAAATGGTTAAGATAGTAAATTTTATATTCTGTATACTTTACCACAACTTTTGAAGATGAAAAAATAATGCCCTCATCCTTTAACATTAGCTTTCTGATGTGTCACAATATCTGTGGGTTTTAGTATAACACAAACAATTTGAGTAACTTTGGCAAAAGAATCACCATAACCCTAGTTGATTATTCATCAAGGCAGCAAGCCAGTGGATTCTCTTGCCTTTAACTCCTTGAACAAGATGCAGGTGAGCACATACAGCTGCTTCCATCACTAATGTCTGGTATGGTCTCTGGTCACAGGCACGGAATGATTTCCTGAAGAGACAAAAGACGGGAAGATTCGCAACTGCAGAAGAAATAGCCATGCTCTGCGTGTATTTGGCTTCTGATGAAGTAAGCACTATTCTTCCCAAGGAGTTCATTACCCTCAATCACATTTGGCCACAATTTGCTCATCAAAATAATATCATTTTAGAGAGTTTGTGGCATATATGTGCTAAGATGCTACATTTATAAGATAGGGATAAGTTCTCATTTAATTTGCTCAAAGAAAGACCACTTCGATCTGAGCCACTAATTCTTCCTTATTCAGCTTTACATAAAATCTTGTAGCAAACAAAATGGAGGACTAAAAAAGTTAAAGTGCTCAATTTTCTGAGAGACAGTTCCTTTCAAAAATTATAATTGGGGAAACCCTGATTAAATGCAAGTCAAAAAATTGAACCTCCAGGATTATAAGAGCTCTAAGTGAAATGGGGAGAGGATTAAGCAGATTTGTGTTCAGTGGACACAGAATTCGCATGTGGTGTTTTAGTTTTACTTGTGACTTGTTTGGGAGAATTCCACTGGCTCTTTTTTCTCTATTAATTCTTACTTGTGGCCGGGCATGGTGGCTCATGCCTGTAATCCCAGCACTTTGGGAGGTCGAGGCAGGCGGATCACCTGAGTTCAGGAGTTTGAGACCAGCCTGACCAACATGGTGAAACCTCGTCTCTACTAAAAACAGAAAATAGCTGAGCGTGGTGGCGGGCGCCTGTAGTCCCAGCTACTCGGGAGGCTGAGGCAGGAGAATCGCTTGAACCAGGGAGGCGGAGGTTGCAGTGAGCCGGGATTGCGCCACTGCACTCCAGCCTGGGTGACAGAGTGAGACTCCGTCTCAAAATAAATAAATATTTTTAAAAATTCTTACTTGTTCATCATCGTGTATGGAAATTCCTAATTTAATCTCTTCCACTTTGCATCTGTTTAACAGTTTTTTCCTTAATAACTATTGTTTACTTTTAAATGGCTTAAGATGAAAGCAAAAATGATGCTTATAAGGTATAGAGCACAAGAAGGTCCTCCTCTGTTTTATGTCTCTGAATACTACAGGAACAAGGAACTGTAATGTGTGAGAAGAGGGAAGGAAAGGGGACTAGGCGGGAGCGAGGAGGGAACAACTGATAGCTCCTCTTCCCAGTAACTTGGTGCACACCAGATAGTTGGTGAATGTGACAAATACAGGGATTGAAATGTTTCCGTGACAGCGCAGTTTCTTCTCAGAACTTCTCCCAACTATTAACAACAATTGTTAATAGCTGGGGAAATTAATAGACAAATGTTTAATGAAGAAGCACATGAGCCTTTGTGATTTCTCTGAATCCGTATCTTCAGAATAGCTCATTTGATTTGGGTACTGCTGATAAGCTAAATTACCCTTAGTTAGCCAGAGCTTAGGTTACAAGATATTTGGAAGTGTTGTGGCTTGAAATGTGCTACAAAAGTACCTTTGGCTTTTTAGAGGTTTCCAGAGGAGTTCATATGTGTAACAGAGCTTGTCTTTTAAAAGAACTTGGGGGAGTTGGAGGTATTTCTTTGGTGAAGTGACTAATAACTCCCTAGTTCACCTACTGTATATTATCAGCTTTTATCTATTGAACTCTTAAAATTTCTCTATTCATTATGATATCCTTACTTCCTCTTCCATTGTTTCAGGCTTCAGATGAATTTAGACTGTTTGAGTCTTTATTATCCATTTTAAGTTAAAAGATTTTTAAACTTCTACCAAAAAGATCACTTCAGCCTTATTTAGAAAATGAAAAATTTATGGGAATAAACCAGTAATTATTTTTTAAATTCCTTAGTTTTATAAAGATTTGGATATCTGAAACTAATATAGAATATTTTTATAGCTTAATGGATTATAGTTATTATCATTCATGTAAATTTTTAAAACACATTTAGTGTGCTTCAGCTCCTACAATTATCCACTTATAATTGATCAACTAAATATATGCTGTCTTTTTTAAAAAACTGGTCATTAATATGACCATTTTATGACTGATACACTTATGTTCAAAAGTTTATTAGTGGCATAAAACTTAGCTAGTTTTGAATAGTTCTGAGTTTCAAAATGAAAATGTGCTTTTAGCCTATATCCTAATTTGGGGAATGGCTATACATCACTGTTCCTTAATTTGGGGATTCTGAGACCAAATACCTAACAGTGACAGGTGCTTAGACACCAGCCAGAGGCCATTTAGTTCCAGATCACAGGACACTCAGCAGTTCTAAATCAACCAAATGTTAATTTGGATTTCCCTGAATTAAGTGTTTAAGTGAGGTTTCCTGTTAGGACAAGGGTAAATTGTTTAGTTATCCTAGTCACAGGAAAATTTCAAAATACAGCCTGTATCAAACCTGGTTAATTGTTCTGTCTCCTTGTGTTTATCACTGCAGTCTGCTTATGTAACTGGTAACCCTGTCATCATTGATGGAGGCTGGAGCTTGTGATTTTAGGATCTCCATGGTGGGAAGGAAGGCAGGCCCTTCCTATCCACAGTGAACCTGGTTACGAAGAAAACTCACCAATCATCTCCTTCCTGTTAATCACATGTTAATGAAAATAAGCTCTTTTTAATGATGTCACTGTTTGCAAGAGTCTGATTCTTTAAGTATATTAATCTCTTTGTAATCTCTTCTGAAATCATTGTAAAGAAATAAAAATATTGAACTCATAGCAGGAGAATAGTTTTTAAAATAAATCTCGATTTGTTAGCATCTGTCTTAGTCACTTTGGGCTGCTATAACAAATTACCATAGATGGAGTGTCATAGACAACAAACATTTATTTTTCAGTCTGGAGGCTAGGAAGTGCAAGATAAAGGTGCCAGCAGATATAGTTTCTGGTTAGGGCCCACTTCCTGGTTTGCAGATGGTCCTCTTCTTGCTGTATCCTCACATAGCAAGAGCAGAGAAAAAAAGCGAGCGCTCATGTGTCTTTTTATAAGGACACTAATCCTGTTCATGAGGGCACTACCCTTATGACCTGATTACCTCCCAAAGGCCCCACCTCCTAATGTATCATATTGCAGGTTAGGATGTCAACACATGACTCTGGGGTGATACAAATAGGCCATTGCAGCATATACAATTAAAATGTAAATATGAAGAAAAAAGGAAGTTTTTGTTTTTTTGTGGGGGAGATGGGGGTTAAGGAAGAAGATAGTAATTTCAGGACTAGGCATGGTAGCTCATGCCTATAATTCCTGCACTTTGGGAGGCCAAGGCAGGAGGATCACTTGCGGCCAGGAGTTCAGGACCAGCATGGTTAACAGAGGCTAAGGCAGGAGGATTACTTGAGCCCAAGAGTTTGAGGCTGCAGTGAGCTGTAATCATGCCACTGCACTCCAGGGTGACAGAGCAAGACCCTGTACCTAAATAATAATAATAATTTCCACTTCATTTTTCAATATTCAAATATTTTTATATAATTCTGCATTGTTCTGTATGTAGATCCTAATTTTAAAATTTTACACCATCATAAATGAACAAAGGTAGGAAGGAGTTTGGCTTCAATAGCTTACAGTAAAAGGAGTAAAGGAGTTCAGCCTCAAAACGATATTGTTGACCTGTTATGTTATGAAAAATAATCCAGTGTTTATACTTAACGGATGCCATCCCTTATTATTTACTATTTTCTTAGTCTAACTAAACAATCTTTATTAAAATAAGCAATGATATTTGACATGGGCCTAAGAAATATATAGTTAGCTAACAATATTGTCAGTTAGAGGGATTTCTTTTCTAAATTAAGTACAGATTTCTTCACCAAACTCCAGGATAACAGAAAAGAGGACATAAAATTTGGACATAGTTTCTGGATAAATAAATGTAAATTTAAATATAAATTATGTAACAGGAAACAAACGAAATTAAAGAAAATAAATTTTTCAAGAAAAGTAAATTTATGGATGTTAATTCTGTAACATTGTCAGGGCAAAGTTTTTTGTTTTTATTTTAATTTAAGGGTTTTATGTTTGTTTTTTACTTGTTGCAACCTCAAATGACCAAATGGTATGATGCACACTGAGATACTCAATAAATGTGCAGTGATTCTTAGCCTTTTTTCCTAGAACTTTAATATTAACATGGAAAATTCTGAAATGGACAACAAAAAGATAACACTTTGTGTATGGGGAAGAATATCATGCAGTTGATGACGGTACATTAAAATTCACACAAAAGGACATTTTGACTAGCATTCAGAAAGAGTCCATTGATTATAAGATTATCTATGAGGTTTTGGACCGGGCACTACACTACCGAATTATGGCTAACTTTGGTTTGTGATCTAGACCAAGTCACCCAATCTATCTTGGATTTTAGTTTTCTGGTTTATGAAATTAAGGAGTTAAGCTAAATGACTTGGGTTTCTTTTCGTGTATCATAATCAAAATGCTGTAACTTCTCTAGTGAATTCATAGAACACTGACTCTTACAAGTATGTCATGAAATACTTTATGCTGTGAGCAGGTATACATGTATAATATATGTATAGCTATGAACAAATAAATTTTAAATAAATGCACAACGAATTCTACAAAATGGGCTCCAACATTAACAAATGATCTGAGTTAGTCTTTCTCACAGCCGACCATAAACTATAAAACATTTTTATAAACACTATCAGCAATAAAAACGAAGTAAAATCTAGCCAAAAAATTCAATGTTCTCCAAAGTCATGTTAATCAAATCAGGTGATATATTAATGAAGTACATATGACTAAAAGGAAAAATATATGTCATTCCTGTGGTAAGAGGAAGCTGAATGTCACTAGAAATTTTTACAAGCTTTAGGAGAGGAAGAGTTCCGTTTAGGAAAATAATCATTTCAGATGATCTGAAGAAGGGTATTGGATGGAACCTATCCAATAGGTTCATCACAAAAGAGGACCTGAGAGACAAGAATGAATGGTTTCTGACTGGTGGAGAAATTTGAGGATAATCTCCCTTGCTTGAAAAGCGGTGATTAAGATTGGCACTTGCTTACAGGAGTGAAAAACAGGTAAGGGGTGCGCGCGTCTTAACACACACAAGAGGAAATACAGAGAAAAGGAAGACACAAACATGAAATGAGAATTAAATGAAATAGAATCACACTGCTGATAGAAGGGTTAAAAATCTAAAATACAACAAGAAGGGCAGGTGTTAAGCGATAAAGGGGGGCAGAACAAGTCTTTTATCCGGCCATTTAATTGGTCACCTTAAGAAAGAATCCTATCTTCCCACCGCAGCTGAGAAGACACTTCTAAGAGGTACAGCTAAAAGGTGGAGGACTGATAGACAACTTAGAGGTTGGTTTCGGGAACGATAAAACAAGTAACGGGCTGCCCGGCCTGCGCCGCGGAGTCCCGAGGAGCCTGCGCTGTGCTCCTCTCGCGGTGTCTCGTCATCTCCGGGAAGACTCGGCGCCTGGGTCCGCGCTCTCTGGGTAAGCTTTCCGGGAAGCTTTCCCGGGAGCTCGCTGGTCCTGGCCCCAGAAGCCTGCGGACCCGCCCAGGGAGGATAAGCAGCTGAAAGACCGCGCGGTGCCGCTCCGAGGCCCCGGGACGTGGGCCCATGGTCGGCCTGGCGCCACCTTTCCGGGGGAAGCCACGCGCACCAGGCATCGCACGCGGCTCTGCACCCGCGCCGCCGGACCTGAAACCCGGCGGAGGGCACACGGGGCTGCCGCTGCGGGCCCCGGACCAACCCATGCTTACTCCGGAGCCTGTACCGGCGCCGACGGGTCGGACCTCCCTGCGCGGTGTCGCCCAGCGGGTTCGTGCGAAAGGCGGGGCCGACTACACGCGGTGCCGCGCCCTGAGACCGTTTATCTGCAGTCAACGCAGCCTCCCGGCTCAGCCTGGGAAGATGCGCGAATCGGGAACCCCAGAGCGCGGTGGCTAGACCGGGCTCCGCCGCCTCCCCCACAGCCCCTTTCCTAATCGTTCAGACGGAGCCTGGTCGACTTCGCCGGAGACTGCCAGGTGAGAGGCCCCAGAGACACTAAGGGTAAAAATAAACCCAGCGCCAGCGGCGGGTACCCTGTAGGCCTGCTGGACCGGAGACGCGAGCGAGGGGCCCAGCCTTTTCTGTTTGTACACCCGGTGACGGGCGCGTGTCTGTTTACTGTTGTAAGGTGTTGGCGTGGGTTTTCTTGCTTGCTTTTATTTTAGTTCTCAGATTAACCAGAGGGGGTGTTGCCTTTGTGGACTGGGTTAGCATCCTCGAGGTGCTAAGAATCATCGTATGCTATTGACTGAAGAATATAACCTTAAGACAGCAGTAGCTGCTGTAAGAGATAAAGTAAAACATCTCAGTAACTAAACATAGTTCAGGCTTATTTCTCGTTCATGTCAAGTCCATTCACGTGTTCAGCTGTTGGCCTTCTACTCAATTATTCAGGAACCCAAACTCCTTTTATATTATGGCTTTGCTATCCCCTAAGACCTTGGAGTCCTTAGTTTCCAGGCAACGGACAGAAAAAGAAAAGCTACTAGAGGATTGCATGAGGATTGTTTCTTATGGGTGAGGACTGGAAATCACATACTATTTATGTCCACATGCCATTGACCAGACTTCAGTCACATGCCACACTGACCTGCAAGGGAGACTGGAAATGTACTATGGACCCAGGCAGAAGAGTAAACGATTTTGGTAAACACATATCAGTCTCTGACCATCCCTTAAAGGGCAGACTGCATCTTAGTCATCTTTGTTACTCTTGTGCCTATCACACCAGAGAAACTTGTTAAGGCTTTGTGAGGCCGAGGTGGGCATATCACCTGAGGTCAGGAGTTCGAGACCAGCCTAGCCAACATGGTAAAACCCCATCTCTACTAAAAATATAAAAATTAGCTGGGCATGGTGGTGCACGCCCGTAATTCCAGCTATTCCGGAGGCTGAGGCTGAAGAATCGCTTGAACCCAGGAGGCACAGGTTGCAGTGAGCCAAGATTGTGCCACTGCACTCCAGCCTAGGTGACAGAGCAAGACTCCATCTCAGAAAAGAAAAAAAAGGAAATGAAACTTGTTAAGGGATGGGGTTGTTATGTGTCTAAAGTTGAAACTTAACCATATTTCATTGTGATTGCTTAGGAATCATTTATCATCCTTTATCATCCTGTAACTAGATTACAAGATCTGAATATAGGAACTATTTAAGACCGTTCACTTCTGAATCCTCAGCTCAAGGACTGGGACGTAACAAGAGCTTAATAGCTCTTGTTTGTTGAATGAATGAATGAATCATCAGAGAGGAAAACGAGGGAGACAGTTTGTCAATGTTGGAGTTAGGAAATACTGAGAAGGTGACATTTGAGTTAGATTTTGAATTTCTTCAAGTAGAAAAAGCAGAAATGAAACTCCAGGCAGCAATAGTAGTGATATTTTATTGTTGTTGTTTTGTTTCATGAGTGGAAATTTGGAAAACAACCAAACGTTTATAAGTCCAACTTTTCTTCATTCAGTATTCAAATATTACAATTTAACTTCAGGGTAGAGGAGGGGAAATACATAATCTTACAATCCAAATAATTTCTGTTGACTAAAAGAATGGCAGTGAAAACCTTGGCACTAATTTTT
Organism: Homo sapiens; assembly: GCF_000001405.40. NCBI lineage: Eukaryota > Metazoa > Chordata > Mammalia > Primates > Hominidae > Homo > Homo sapiens. The sequence goes on along the minus strand of NC_000004.12, from coordinate 103,074,587 downwards.
AACTTTATAAAATGTTATTTTCTGGACATTTTTGAGAAATTTCAATACAAAGGCAGTGTTCTGATCATTCATTGTCTATGATGATTTTGCACTGTAACAAGAAGCTAGAAAGATAGAAACTAAAGTTTGTAAGACAGAGGTTCCTCATCACTGCTGTTCATCAGGGCTTCTCAGGGATGGTTCTGCAACAAAATCACCTGTTATATTGGTTAGGATGCTTTTGGCTGCAAGTAACAGGATATTCAGCCAAAACTCCCTTCAAAAATACAGATGTACTTTGCTCATACATGAAGATGTTTGAAGGTAGGTGGGTCCAGGGTTTGTTCAGTAGCTCAGTAATATCAGGGCTCTATGTTGCTTTCTGTGTTCAGCTAATCTTGACTTTTCTTCATGGGTGAATGATGGCTGCTAGAATTGTCCCAAGAAACCCATCCACAATCCCAACTTCCCTTGCCTCTTTACCTGGTCATTTAAAGACAAAAAGAGGAGAGGATTTTCCTCCTCTCTCTCTGTCTTTATTAAGAAGGAAAATCTTATGTAATATGCCCCAATAGTCTTGCCTACAAATTCCAATGGCAAGAAATGAATCATGCTCACTCCTTAGCCAATAAGTGGCAAAGAGGAATGGTGTTACAGAGATTGATTTACACCAATAATGACTTATCCCTAGGGCGGGAGAAGGGTCCTACTGGCATACCTGAACACTTGGCATTTAGACAGGCCATAAGTCATGTCTGTCCCACTTGGGGTAGATTCGGTCTCTGTAGATTCTGATTTTAGTGGGCCTAGAAATAATATTTTAAACTTTTAGTAAGTATATTTCACTTTGGTGAGGAGAGAGAATAGAAAGGATGAAAGCAAGTATTGGGTCCCTTATGTAGGGGTAATTTCCTTTTATTCTTATCTCATTATATAGTGTTTTCCTTCATGAGTCAATGAAATTACTAAATCAATTAACCAAATAAAATAGCGGTTGTTTTCCTTTGGTAACTTGGCCACATGTATTTGACACACCTAAGTCTTTCAGATAAGGTAGTTCTCATTCAGGGAAACACTGTTAGTCATTTTAGTAATTAATTGTCTAAGAAAGTGTTAAGCCCTACTCTGAGCCTGATCTGAATTCCTCATTGCTGGGTAGGGCTCCTTTTGGGAAATGACCATTAGATCAGTGTTGATAAGCAAATACAGAAACTGGAATGTTTCTGTATGTTCTATGTAGAAATACTGTATGAGACTGAGAACCTATACGTTCAACACATGAATGGATGAACACAAAGGCAGGAGATTGTTGTTATTATTATCATTATAGAGTATTGAACAATCATAGTGATGCTCTTTCAAAGGCATGAATACAACCCAGAGTACTCTAGCAATGTCTTAGTCCATTTTTGTTACTGTAACAAAATACCACAAACTAATTAATTTATAAATAATCAAATTTATTTCTCACAGTTCTGGAGGCTGGGAAGTCCTAGGTCAAGGTGCTAATTAGATTTGATGTCTGTTACACACTTGATCTCTGCTTGCAAGATGGTGCCTTCTTGCCATGTCTTCTTCACATGGAGGAAGAGACTAATGCTGTGTTCTCAGATGGTGGAAGGGAAAGAGCCAAAGGGACTAGGCTGCTCCCTTTGACCTCTTTTATAAGAGCACTAGTCCCATTCATGAGGGTTGAGTGCTGGTGACTTAATCACTTCCCCAAAGTACCTCCCTCTTAATACCATCACCTTGGCAGTTACATTCCAAAATCTGAATTTTGGAGGGACACAAACATTCAAGCCATAGCAAGCAATATATGTAAATTCTCCATAAGATTACTCCTTTAAATGTCAGCCTATCCAAATCACAGGCAGCAAATAGCAAGAATAAAAAGTCTTTATCCATATCTTTTAGCAGTAACTGAAATGATAGCAGTAAGTCTATTTTACTTGACCGAGAGCCTACGGACATTTGTAAGTTGATAGTTCCTTTATTTCTTCTGGAATATTACAGAAAGTACTTGTAAACATTTACATTAGTAAGATAATATGAAAAAGAGAACATTTAACAAATATCTCTCTATGTGAAAACATATTTACAGAAATGGTTTCCAAAGTATGCTCCACTTGCCAGAAGGAACAGGGGTGAGTAGACAGGGCTCCTGCAGCGCCACCTTAGTCGTTCCATTTGTAGGATTTAAGGATTAGGTTTCATTTGATGAAAGATATTTGACATAAAGATATGAAGACCAGGGCTGGGTGCGGTGGCTCACGCCTGTAATCCCAGCACTTTGGGAGGCCAAGGCGGGCAGATCATGAGGTCAGGAGTTTGAGACCAGCCTGGCCAACATGGTGAAACCCCATCTCTACTAAAAATAGAAAAAGTAGCTGGGCATGGTGGCCGGCACCTTTAATCCCAGCTACTCGGGAGGCTGAGGCAGGAGAATAGCTTGAAACCGGAAGGCAGAGGTTGCAGTGAGCTGAGATCTCGCCACTGCACTCCAGCCTGGGCAAAAGAGCGAAACTCCACCTCAAAAAAAAAAAAAAAAAAAACATGAAAGCCAAACTTGAAAATTTTGAAAACCACTGCTATTGGTGATTCTGGGCAGTTACTCATCTTCTTTGAAAAATCACAACTACAAAAAATGATTTTAAATTGTGGCAGGTGTTATTAAGTTACCTCAAATCAAATCACCAGACTGTATCTATGAGAAATATTACCAAGAAATGTGGTACCATTTTCTTTTCTCTAAAGCTTTAGGAATTGAGTAGATTATTTTTAAATGTATTTAAAATTAGGGCCAGGCAGGGTGGCTCACATCTCTAATCCCAGCACTTTAGGAGGCCAAGGCCAGTGGATCACTTGAGGTCAGGAGTTTGAGACCATTCTGGCCAACATAGTGAAACCCATCCCTATTAAAAATACAAAAATTAGCCGGGTGTGGTAGCTCACACCTGTAATCCCAGCACTTTGGGAGGCTGAGGCAGGTGGATCATGAGGTCAAGAGATCGAGACCATCCTGGCCAACATGGTGAAACCCCGTCTCTACTAAAAATACAAAAATTAGCAAGGGATGGTGGCATGTGCCTGTAGTCCCTCAGGAGGCTGAGGCAGGAGAATCACTTGAACCTGGGAGGTGGAGGTTGCAGTGAGCTGAGATCGTGCCATTGCAATCCCTCTTCAGCCTGGTGACAGAGTGAGACTCCTTCTAAAAAAAAAAAAAAAAAAAATACAAAAATTAGCCAGGCGTGGTGGTGCATGCCTCTAGTCCTAGCTACTTGGGAGGCCAAGGTAGGAGAATCACTTGAACCGAGGAGGCGGAGGTTGCAGTGAGCCAAGATCATGCCACTGCACTCCAGCCTGGGTGACAGAGCGAGAATCCATCTCAAAAAAACAACAACAACAACAACAAAATATATATATATATCAAATTACATAAGAAAATCCTACATAAGAAAATCTTTCTTAGAAAATAAGAAAGAAAGTCCAGCCACTCCTCTTCCATTTCCCTTCCCAAAGGCAACTGCTGTTAAAGGATTTTTTTTTTCTGTTTCCTTCTTAACAGGTACATATATCAAACTGCTTATATTCTTGATCTCTTAAGGACAATTCTTTCAAGTGGGGAGAAAAGGTTAAGAAAACTTTTTTCTTTTTTCTTTTTTTATACAGTCTTGCTCTGTCGCCCCCACTATAAATGACTCTTAGATTGCTGTCTTTTTCATCTCTTTCACTGTCATCAGTCACTAATGCTGCTCTCAATTTGCCTCTATCACAGCAATCTCTTCCTGAATTTTAATATTTAACACCTAATCTTCTGAGGGTTTGAAAAACAAAGGAGCAAAGTCATTAGAATTGTTTTCGAAATAAGGGCCGGGCATGGTGGCTCATGCCTGTAATCCCAGCATTTTGGGAGGCCTAGGCGGGTGGATCACTGAGGTCAGGAGTTGGAGACCAGCCTCGCTGACATGGCGAAAACCCATCTCTACTAAAAATACAAAAAATTAGCCAGGCGAGGTGGCGGGCACCTGTAATCCCAGCTACTCAGAAGGCCGAGGCAGGAGAGTCTCTTGAACCCAGGCGGCGGAGGTTGCAGTGAGCTAGGATCATGCCACTGCACTATAGCCTGGGCAACAGAGGGAGACTTCGTCTCAAAAATCAAACAAACAAACAAAACAAAATAAGGGTTAATGGGCTCTGCATGAGTCCTTAAGAGCCTCTCTATGAGTAAGGAGAATAAACTTTCTAATAAGCATTTCATGACATTTTTTATGGCCCTTCAAAGGTCATTTTTGTAATTTCAAGACCCAATGACTATAAATAATAAATACCATGAACATGGTCACTTTAAGTAAAGCTAACATTTTTGAAATTTTCCTAAATTTAAGTAGGTTCCTGAAGTGAGACATGCATTTTAAATGGTCTTTTAGAAATGGAAACACAGCAGAGAGCAAACAAATACAGCTGACTAGTTGTAAGATCTCTTACTGGGCTCATTAAAAGACATGTATTTCATTTTACCCTTTATTTCTGCAGTACCTTTCTGATCATGTATAAGTACTTTGGCATTTATGGTTGAGAGTATTGGAGAATAGGGAACTTTTCTGGAATGTAAAATTATATAAATTCCCACAGATGGCATAACATGCCAAGTTGTGATTGTTTATATTTAAAAGGACCCCATAATAACATTGATAAAATTTGTTCGCAAAGGCTTCATTTTAACCAATAGTTTTTGTCTACTAAAAATAATAATTTCTAATTCACGACTATTTAAAAATAGTTTTTGTAAGTGGCAGAATGGGCTGATTTTGAGAATTTGATGAAAGAGGTAATTCTAGTGGTACTGCCAAAGAATTTCTATGTAATTCTCCTAATGAGAAGGGTGAAGAAATGAATGTTACATCCACCTGATCAAGAAGTGGGCCTCAAAAACAGATGAAAAATCATGACCAAATAAAATCAATGGGATTAAGTAGTAAATTCTTCAAGGTTGAGGTGACTTTTTCTTGCTTAATAGGGAAAGCAAAATGATTCTTAAAGATTCTTCTTATGATAATCAGGAAGAAGGAATATGCATGGTTAGCAATAACCAACACTATTGAATGCCAACTGTGCATAGTTAGAACTATTCTTGTCTCCATTTCATAAATAAGAAACTAATCACAAAGAGGTTAAGCAATTTGGTATAGATGGACTTCAAATTCAGGCTTATCCAAATTCGAACCCAGCCCATCTTGTCAGTTACCATATTTGGGGTCATTCACTTCAGAAGGTAAAGGCCAAGTGCCGTGGTTTGAGATATGATATCCTAACTCTTTAACCTGATCTCGCATTACTCTCAGCCTCCTGCCACAAGCTCCAGCAGTTTCCCCTCACACACCACTGGCTTTCATGTCTCCATGCCTTTAAGACAAGTGTTCTCTGAGTCTAACATTTTCTCATCAAGTGACTTTTTTATTATCAGTCTAAATTTTGAAATAAGTTTTTTAATTTAAAAAATTATATATACAAACATACATACACATACATATATATCATTATATAAACATTTATTACAAATTATGTATAATAAAAAACAAACTAAAGGTTTTTTTGAGATGGGACTCTGGTTACCATGTGTTTTGTAAGTAGGAAAAATGGGGGTGGTTGTGGTAAAAAGATTATGATGTTTTTTGAAGTTTTAAATGCAAATTTCTTGGCACTTCGTTGAACAGAGAAAATGATTCCTTGAGGGAGGGGTCCTGTCTAATTCATCCTTGTCTTTATGTCTAGCATAGTGCCTGGAACCCATTAGGCACTTTGATATGTGTTGAATTAGATTTTCCCTTCTCTTACATAATTTTCTCTTTGATTCTACCACAAGTTTGTAGTGTGTACCTCTATCAAGATACTCATTCTACTTGTTGCATTAGGAGTAAGTTTCCTTACTAGTTAAAAAAGAAGAAAAAACTTGATTAATAGTGGTTTAAACAATTACCCCAATGCTTGGCAGTCCAAGGCTGATGGAGCAACTGGAAGATGTCATCAAGGAACCAGCTTCTCCTATCTTACTTATCTACTATCCTAAATAGAGGGCTTTTATTCTCATGCTTGAAAGATGTCTGTTGCCCTTCCAGGCACTGTATCTACATTCTAGGAAGGAGAAAGGGAAATGTTAGAGGACAAAAAGTACAAAGTATTATCTTCTAAAGGCCTCCCCCAAAACTCCCACCTAAATCTCATATGTAGAACTGTGACACATGGCCACCTCTACCTACAAAAGTGGCTAGGAACTGGAGTGCTGTATTTGCCTTGTAGCCTGTATAGCATGGAAAGCCAAGGGAGAATGTGTTGAAGTGAGTGTTTATTGAGCCAATCCGTAGTCTTACAGGTTTTCTTAGTTATTTGGTATAAATTTATTTTTCCTGGTATATGATAAGTCAATGGAAAACAAACAATATGTTTTGGTAATCTTTGAATTGCCCACAATGACTAAAAAGTGACTACCATAGCACTCATCATAGTGTCTGAGACATTCTGGCTACTCAGTCAATTGTGGTGTATTTTTAAACTTTAATTTAGAAATAAGAACCAGGCAGGAGTTAGTGACTCTAGATTCTCCGAAAAGGATGAAATCCAGAGATTTCCCTTTAGTGACTCATTCCTCATATCAACATTGGAAAGTTACCTGGAGACTTCCTGCTTCATCCAGTTGGCCCATGAGAGAGGACAGTTTAACACTGATATTGCTTGGATTGTTTTTAAGTTTAACTCAAAAAATAATATGGGAAAGAAATCATAAAAATGTGATTGGTCAACAAAGGCTTTTTCAAGAAAAATAAAAAGGTAGATAAGAATGATGATAATATACTAGAATCAAGCAAAAACAATAACCAGCCATTGAAAATTAAGAATAGTCTAATTTCAAATAGTTTAGCCATTCGGAATTTTTAGGGAAAAAAATAAGTACAATCCAAAGTCTTTGAAATCACAAGACTTTCAAATTACTGCTCTATATCTATACTCTTTCAAAACAGATCTCGTTCCTCTTCCCTGTGTCATCTTCTTAATTATAAATAATGGGGGATGAAGATAAAAGAATTACATATGAAGATTCAGAACCATCCACAGGAATGAATTACACGCCCTCCATGCATCAAGAAGCACAGGTAAATCTAAGCTGTGATAGAATTGTGTTTTCTTCATATTCTACCACTCATTTACCAATTCTCCTATCCCCAAACTTACACAATCCAAGGCAGGTGTGACTACCAGTTTTCCCAGCTAACATCATTGCCAGCTGACCCTACCTGTAACTAGAAAAATGGAGAGCCTATGAAACGCTTTGTGTCTCTGACCTAATCTCTAGAATGGTTTTGGTTTCTTCCTTTTTATTGTTTAAATTCAAGTAGATTAATGAATGTGAAGTGGTTTTCATTACAGATAGTTATCTTTTTCTAAACCACTTTGGTATATGTGCCAATTATTGCCCTGAATTTTATCTTAAATATGCTTATTTTAAAACCCAGTATTATAAAACATAATAAAATGTTATGTGACCCAAGCATTTATAATACAGGTTGAATATCCCTTATCTGAAATGCTTGGGACTATAAGTGTCTTGGATTTTTTTTTTTTTTAATATTTGCATGCACCTAATGAGATATCTTGCAGATGGAACCCAAGTCTAAACAGGAAATTTATTTATGTTTCATATTTATACAGGTAATCCGAAGGTAATTTTATATAATATTTTAAATAATTTGTACATGAAACAAAGTTGCATTTGACTGTTACCTGTCATGTGACTTTAGGTGTGGAATTTTTCACTTGTGTGTCATGTCAGTGCTCAAAAAGTTTCAGATTTTGGAGCATTTCAGATTTTAGATTTCCAGATTAGTGATACTCAACCTGTACTAAAAATAGTGACTGTGCTAAATACTCCTAGTATCATTCTTGTTTCAAGCTGATTAGCTAGTAATAAAGCTGTGAGTTTTTTCTACAAAGTGTTATCCTTGATGCTAGTCATAGAAATTTGATTTGTAAGGTGATGATGCAGTACCTATAAATATGTGTAAAATATATACAGTTTTAAGGATTTTTAAAATTACTTTAAACACAGGAGGAGACAGTTATGAAGCTCAAAGGTATAGATGCAAATGAACCAACAGAAGGAAGTATTCTTTTGAAAAGCAGTGAAAAAAAGCTACAAGAAACACCAACTGAAGCAAATCACGTACAAAGACTGAGACAAATGCTGGCTTGCCCTCCACATGGTTTACTGGACAGGGTCATAACAAATGGTAAGGATGAATTCAGAAAGAGATGGCAAAAGATGAAGTTGTTATAATGGCAGATTACTAAATAATATGGTTGAAAGGACAAAAAGAAGTTCACTTCTCCCAAACATAAAAACTAGTTGGTGAACAATTCACACACATGGGTGGCTCTGCTCCACACATTCAAGGGAAGGACCTAGACTAACAGGGCTCCACTGTCTTCACCTTGGCTTTCAGGATCACTGTGGTCACCACCATTGTGGGAAGGGGGAAGGAACACAGATCAAGGACCTTTTCCTTTACTATATCTGAGTAATTTCACAGGATTACGTTAGGACTGTAAAACACTACATAAACGTTTGTTGTTATTACTGTTAAGTAATGCAAGTAATATTTTAGCAAACACAGCCCCATTTATACTTCCAGATGAATCCTATTACTTTATAAGTAAGAATATTGGTTTGCAATTCAGCTTATTTTAGTAGAGTTGCTGTTACATAAGACATTTGGGGGATTTTTCTTTGGGAGTTTATCTCAGCACTATTTTGAAAATTTTTAGGCTTGTATATGTTTGTCTTTCAGGAATGGATTTGGTCTTTGAAGGAAGCCAAAGGTTATTCTGCCATCAATTTGATAAATATATGGAAGTTCAGATTGATTTATGCCCTATTTTTCTTCAGAAATGAATTGTGTGCATATGTGTGTCTGTGCTGTGTATGCTGGGGGAATATGTGATAAAGCAGAAAAAAGAAGAGATTTGAAAATTATCTATAAAGGCAAATTAGGTTTTTTTAAGAAGACAGTATTCTTTTATTGAGACTTAAAATTTATTTTATTTTTTACATTGATAGATAAAATTGTATGTATTTACCATGTGCAACATGATGTTTTGAAGTATGTATACATACTGGAATGACTAATTTTAGCTAATTAACATATGTATTACCTCACATAGCTGTCATTTTTTGTGGTGAGAACACAATACATTCACTGTTAGTATTTTTCAAGAATACAATATATTTATTAACTACAGTCTTCATGTTGTTCAATAGACCTCTTAAACTTATTCCTCCTGTCTAACTGAAATTTTGTATCCTGTGACCAACAACCCAATATATATCACCCAATATACTTGAGTTATATGTGTGTGTGTGTGTGTGTGTGTGTGTGCGTGTGTGTACATTTTTTTTTTCATGGATCTTCAGATTTAAAGTCTAGAGAAAATTACATGTCAAGGCATTGGTCATGGTCTTCCTGCCACTTTCACCTCCCCCACCCAACCTTTTTTTTCCTGGAGACAGGATCTTGTTATGTTGCCCAGGTTTGTCTTGAACTCCTAAGCTCAAGGGATCCTCCCACCTCAGCTTCCCAAGTAGCTTGTTACAGATGTATACCACTGCATCTGGCAAAACTAGTTTTAACCGGCCAACTTTTAAATGCCTGGAATCTATCCACAATTTTTCACTTTTATAAATCATATTTTCAAAAGATAAAGATAATTTTAACATCAAAATATAAAAAGAATTGTTCAAAAACATAAACATCCATTCATCAGCATTATTTATTTATTTTTATTTTTGACACATATTTGTACATATTTGTGGGGTACAATATGATGTTTCAATACATGTATATATTATATAATGATCAAATCTAGCTAATTAGCATATCTAACACATGAAGCATTTATCGTTTCTTCATGGTGAGAACATAGAAAATCTTCTGTTTTGAGGTATACAATACCTTATTCCTGACTATAGTCACGTTGCTGTGGTACAGAACAAACTACTCTTCCTATCTAATTATCACTTTGTACCTGTTGACCACTCTCTCCCCATAACCCCAAGCTCCTCCCCTCCCCAGTCCCTGGTAATCACCATTCTATTTACTATTTCCATATGAACAACTGTTTTAGATTCTACATATGAGTGAGAACATGCAGTATTTGTCTCTCTGTGCCTGGCTTACTTCACTTAGCATAATGTCCTCCAGGTTCATCCATGTTGTTGCAAATGACAGGATTTCATTCTTTTTTATGGCTGAAAAGCATATCATTGTGTATATACACATATTTTCTTCATCCAGTCATTCATTGTTGGACACTTAGGGTTGATTCCATATCTTGGCTATTGTGAATAGTACTGCAATAAACATGGGAGTGCAGAAATCTCTTCAACATACCGATTTCATTTCCTTTGGATACATACCCAGTAATGGGATTGCAGGATCATATGGTAGTACCATTTTTACTTTTTTGAGGACTCTCCATACCATTTTCCATAATAGTGGTATTAATTTACATTCCCACCAATAGTGCACAGAGTTACCTTTTCTCTACATCCTTGCCAACCCCTTGTTATCTTTTGTCTTTTTGATAATAGCCATCCTGACAGGCATGAGGTGAAATGTTGAACATTTTTTCCTATACCTGTTTGGCCATTTGTATGTCTTCTTTTGAAAAATTCAGGTCTTTGCCCATTTTAAATTGGATTATTTGTTTTCCTGCTATTGAGTTTTTTGAGTTCCTTTTATATTCTGGACATTAACTCCTTGCCAGGTACATAGTTTGCAACTGCTCTCTCCCATTCTGTAGGTTGTCTCTTCACTCCGTGGATTGTTTACTGTGCAAAAGCTTTTTAGTTTGGTGTAATCTGGTTTGTCTGTTCTTGCTTTTGTTGCCTATATTTTTGGAGTCATATCCAAAAAGTTATTGCTCAGACCAGTGTCATGGAGCTTTTTATTTATGTTTTTTTTCTAATAGTTTCATAATTTTATGTCTTACTAAATTTGCCTTTTAAAGAAAATTTAAAGGCAATTTCAAAAATTGTGTTCAAGAATAATAGCATCATTGAAGTAAATATATGGATGCCCACATATGTTTACTGAAAAATGAGACTCAATTCCATAGTTATACTTTGTGGGCTCTGAAAGACATGTTTACCATTATCATCTGGGACAATGAAAGATAAGCATAATATACTATACTTTAGGCTCTAGATGTGTTTTTAATGAAACCAAGTCAGTTTACTTAACTAAGCATGGAAGAAAATCTCAAACTTAGAACATGTACAGAAAACCAGAATCCAAAAATATACACTAGCTGATAAGATCACAGATAATTGAATACCTTTTCTGTTCTTTTCATTATTTTTTTAAACTTTTATTATTCAAAATATGGCCTACTTATAGTTAAAACGTTTACAATGAAACAGATATGGACTGACATAAGGAAAGAGTAAAAATGAATAATGTAATTTTGGGACACATTTTTTAAAAATGTATAATCGTTCATAAAGCAGCCTGAAAAATGAGGTTCATGGTAGATAAACATCTCATCGCTTATTTTTCTGTTCTTCTGTTCCAGAGGTTTACAAGACGACTTTTGTCCTATATTTTTTCCTGTGCCTATGCAGTATATATCAGTATTCTTCTTAAAAAGTAGGCTGGGCACAGTGGCTCAAACCTGTAATCCCAGCACTTTAGGAGGCCAAGGCAGGTGGATGACGAGGTCAGGAGTTCAAGACCAGCCTGGCTAACATAGTGAAACCTCATCTCCACTAAAAATACAAAAAATTAGCCATGCATGGTGGTGGGTGCCTGTAATTGCAGCTACTTAGGAGGCTGAGACAGGAGAATCACTTGAACCTGGGAGGCGGAGGTTGAGATCGTGCCATTGCACTGCAGCCTGGGTGACAAGAGTGAAACTGTCTCAAAAAATAAAAATAAAAAAAGTAAATCTTACATGTGAAAATTTGTGGTTTTCCATAATCGTAAATGAGAAGTAAATTGTTAACTGATTTAAACATGATTTAGAGAAACCTTATAGACATACCATTTGCTATGTATTTACAACTGTGTTTCAAGTAAAGCACAGGGAAAGAGAGATTTTTTTAATAGTCTTGAAGTAGAAAAATCTCTCTTTTTTTTTTTTTGAGATGGAGTCTCACTCTGTTGCCCAGGCTGGAGTGCAATGGCTCGATCTCGGCTCACTGCAAGCTCCACCTCCTGGGTTCAAGCAATTCTCCTTCCTCAGCCTCCTGAATAGCTGGGATTACAGGCACGTGCCACCATGCCCGGCTAATTTTTGTATTTAGTAGAGACGGGGTTTCACCATGTTGGTCAGGCTGGTCTCGAACTTCTGACCTCATGATCCGCCTGCCTCGGCGTCTCCCAAAGCGCTGGGATTACAGGCGTGAGCCACTGCGCCCAGCCGAAAAGAGAAAACACTTAATTCTACCTTGCTGAATTTAATATTAGCTTGGGTTTATGCTATGATAAAGTATAATTTAGTATAATAGCTGGCAAATCCTGCTTTCCCATTCTACCTCTGATATCGCATAGAAATTTCAACCCTTGTAGCTAATTGGAAAATACTGGAAGTCCCTTAGGTATTCCACTGCAGTAGTATCATAAGCCTAGAAAATCTGGAACAATTCTGTGAGGGTTTAGAAAAAGGGACATTGAATTCAGTCTCTAGCAGTATGGTAGATGAGACTCAATGAACAATCTTGTCACAAACCAAGGACATCATCTGAAAAAATGTTTTAAGTCTTTTGAAATGATCTGTCAAGAAAACAGGGAATCATCAGACACCAAAACCAAAGTGTAAGTAGCAGAGGTCAGTAAGCACTCAAGGTGGCCCCACCCTGGAGGTTTCTACCAAACCTCAGGGAACTTTTTTTTTAATTATTATTATACTTTAAGTTTTAGGGTACATGTGCACGACGTCCAGGTTTGATACATATGTATACATGTGCCATGTTGGTGTGCAGCACCCATTAACTCGTCATTTAACATTAGGTATATCTCCTATTGCTATCCCTCCCTCCTACCCCCACCCCACAACAGGCCCCGGTGTGTGATATTCCCCTTCCTGTGTCCATGTGTTCTCATTGTTCAATTCCCACCTATGAGTGAGAATATGCGGTGTTTGGTTTTTTGTCCTTGCAATAGTTTGCTGAGAATGATGGTTTCCAGCTTCATCCACGTCCCTACAAAGGACATGAACTCATCATTTTTTATGACTGCATAGTATTCCATGGTGTGTATGTGCCACATTTTCTTAATCCAGTCTATCATTGTTGGACATTTGGCTTGGTTCCAAGTCTTTGCTATTGTGAATAGTGCCTCAATAAACGTACGTGTGCATGTGTCTTTATAGCAGCATGTTTTATAATCTTTTGGGTATATACCAGTAATGGGATGGCTGGGTCAAATGGTATTTCTAGTTCTAGATCCACCTCAGGGAATTTGAGATTGATTTTGAGAGCGCTGTGAGCACAGGAGGCTAAGCTAGAGCCTGCCCAGGTTGGGAGAAGTCTAACAGGAAAAAGCATTCTCCTTCACCCATATAAAGTTGAAACCCAGTGTGATGCCAAATTTGAGGTAAATCTGTTCTGCAGATGGGGCCTCTGACTAAACCTGTCTCAACTGTAGTTGCTGGCTGGGGCAGGTGTGGAGTCGCCAATAAAAATGTTTAACTTCATCCTGATTTGTCTCCAATTTCACAGAAAAAATTCAATTTGAAAATGTATCTATTTTCAAAAAACATTTTCAGATGGTCTTGGATGGGAAGCTTTTAAGTACATGGTAGAAGTAAATTCATTCCCATCTGGGAAAACTCATTCAACCTAAGGCTTCAACAAAGTTAGACAAAGTTCCAAGGGAGAGCTCACTGTTGCAAAAGACAAACTAAAAAGTTTAGTTTTAGACAAAGTTCCAAGGGAGAGCTCACTATTGCAAAAAACAAACTAGACAAAGTTCCAAGGGAGAGCTCACTATTGCAAAAAAACTAAAAAAAAAAAAAAAACAAACAAAAAAAACATGCAAAAGGAAACAAAAAAACAGATTTCAAAAATGTACATTATCAGAAAACAGAATATAAGACATTTATATATATAAAGAAGTTAAGAATTAGAAAACATGAGTACAAAACAAGTAACTTTTAAAAATGAATAGATTTGAAGAAGAACCAACTTGAACTTCTAGAAATGAAAGATATAGGATAGTAATTGAAATTAAAAACTCACTGGACAAATTAGGCAGCAGATTAAGTGAAAAAAATGGTGAACTGGCAAATAAATGTGAAGAGATTATCTAGAATGCAGTACACACAAAGATGAAAGATACGAAAACTAGGGTTAGCAACATGGAAAAAGAGAATGGGGAAGAGGAAATCTTTGAAGAAATAAAGGCTAAGAATTTTCCAGAACTGATTTTTTTTAAAAAACATAAATCTTAAGCAAAACAAAAGGAAGTCACACCTAAACACATCATACTGAAAGGAAAACCAAAGAAAAAGAGAAGATGTTGAAAACAAGGAAAAAGAATTCCTTTAAAAAGCTGAAATCAGGCTCTTCAAAACCAGAAAACCAAGGAATAGTATTTTCAAGGAATGGAGAAACAATAACACTCAACCTAGAATTTAACATAAAACTGAGGTATACCTAGAAAAACTATCCTTTAAGAATGAGAATAAAGATAATTCCAGATGATACAACTAAGAATTTACTGTAACAGATTCTCCTGAGAAATACAACATGCTGTGATACAGAGTGTTTCTATGTCATGAATTAGCTCATATGCAATGGTAAATAGAATTTTGTTAGAGTGTATGGAATTTGCAGTTTTGTGTATAATTTTTCCTGGCCCATAATATTTTGTATCGTCAAGCAATAGCAAGTGAAGGCAAAGTGAACTGGGGAAGAAAAGACCAAATATATGCTTTCTTACAATTAAAGATAAAGCCTTCCCTGCATGAGGACCTTTTAAAGGACGAAATCTCTGTGGAAGTGCTGACTTTTCATGCAATTAGTAGCTGGTTTAGGGGCTTCAAGGACTCAAACATTCTACAACATTAAGCTATCTAATAAAACACATGTGGATGAAGCGGCTGAGAGTATAAGCTGAGGTAAAGAAGCTGCCAACGCTTTTCCTTTTGTTGAAATTTATTGTATTGAGGCAGAGGGCTAAAATATGGATCAGATTTTGATGGAACTGCTCTCTGTTTAAAGAAAATACCCTCAAGAATTTCCATCTTGAAGTAGGAAATGGGAGGCCAGGTTTAAGTCTGTAAAGAACAGACTGCCTGTATGGGACACAAATGTCAGTGTGTAGATTCATCTGTGCTAAGACTCTTATTAGGATTGTTTTGGTTTTTCTTAGTGCTTTGGCCACCAGTTTTGAGTGGTCTGCCCCAACTCTCTTTTTCCCATAAACTTTTCAATTTTTAGTGCACAGTTTTGTAAAACACAAGTTTTCAAATGGAAACATTTCACTTTTTTTTTGGCAGGGTATCGCTGTGTAACACAGGCTGGAGTGCAGTGGTGCAATCGTAGCACACTGCATCCTCAAACTTCTGGGCTCAAGGGATCCTCCTGCCTCAGCTTCCCGAGTAGCTGGGATTACAGATGCCCACCACCATACCCAGATAATTTTTATATTTTATATTTAGTAGAGACAAGGTCTCACTATGTTGCTCAGGCTGGTTTCGAACTCCTGAGCTCAAGCAATCCTCCTGCCTTGACCTCCTAAAGTGATGGGACAGGCATAAACCACCATGCCTGGCCTATTTCACATTCTTATAGAAATGCTTTTCCTAAAGGAAATGCTTTAGGCAGCAGGATAATTGTCCCAGATGAAAAATTTGAGGCTGGATGAGGAGGTTCACACCAGTAATCCCAGCACTTTGGAAGGCTGAGACAGGAGGATCACTTGAGCTCAAGACTTTAAGACCAGCCTGGGTAACAAGATGAAACCCTGTCTCCACTAAAAAATTTTTAAGAAATTAGCCAGGCATGGTGGTACACACCTGTAGTCCCAGCTACATGAGAGGCTGAGGCAGGATGATCACTTGAGCCTGGGAGGTTGAGGCTGTAGTGAGCCATGATTGTGCTACTGCACTCCAGCCTGGGCTACAGAGGGAGACCCTGTTTCAAAACAAAAAGAAAGAAAAGTTTGAGATGCCATAATGAATGATGATTTCAAAAAAGGTACCTTAGTAGGTAATTCTAAACAAATATTGACTATAAAAAAAGTAACAATAATGTCTAATTCAAGACAGAACTAAATTTGTGTTAAAATTATAAAGAAAAAAGTGAATGGTGAAGAAAGTCAAAATAATGGTTCCTTCTGGCAGTATAAAGGGAGATGGATGGGGAGGGGCACATAGGCAGATTCAAAAGTACTGGTAATATCCGATTTCTTAAGATGTTGGCAGTTACCCAGTTGGTCATCTTACTGATACTCTTTACAGATTAAACATGATTATAAATATTTGCATTTTCATTCAGTATTTATTTTTACAAATTATTTTAGATTTTGTCAAAACCTCCATGTGACAACTTATTGATAGTAACTAGTATTCCTGGTTTATTTCAGTTACCATCATTGTTCTTCTGTGGGCTGTAGTTTGGTCAATTACTGGCAGTGAATGTCTTCCTGGAGGAAACCTATTTGGAATTATAATCCTATTCTATTGTGCCATCATTGGTGGTAAACTTTTGGGGCTTATTAAGTTACCTACATTGCCTCCACTGCCTTCTCTTCTTGGTAAGTGCTAAATGTTTCCTGTTCTATCCAGAGTAAACTATATTTTTAAGATAATAGTTTGGAAAGCTTTGGGAAATAAAGGAATAAAATATTTCTGTATTTGCCATGCTGGAGCCAAAAGCCAGTTGTTAAATTTTGAGTAGTTCTGTAATCTAGTTGTTAAACATAGCAATTTAAAAAATTAAATTATCCTGGCCCGTGTGCTGTGGTTCACACCTGTAATCCCAGCACTTTGGGAGGCCAAGGTAGGCAGATTGCTTGAGCTCTGGAGTTCGAGACCAGCCAGGGCAAACATGGTGAAACCCTGTCTCTACAAAAAAAATACAAAAATTAGCCGGGCATGGTGACGTGCACCTGTAGTCCCAGCTACTCAGGAGGCTGAGGTGGGAGGATTGACTGAACCCAGGAGGTCGAGGCTGTCATGATTGCACCATTACACTCCAATCTGGGCAACAGAATGAGACCTTGTCTCAAAATATGTTTGTGTTTGTGTGTGTGTGTGTGTATATATGTGTGTGTGTGTGTGTATATATATATATATATATATATATATATACTTAAAATTAACTGACATTAAAAACAAGCATTCAGTGCTCAACACTGAAGACTTCCTAATGTTTTAGTCTATTTCCCCTCACCTATGCTCTTGAGATTATGGAAATACTACATAATGGTGTGCCACTGCCACCTCTTCCCAACTCCACGTTCAGTGACATCATGTTGTAGCTTAAAATCGGCCATGGTAGAAGTATCTGTAACAACAACAACAAAAAAAATCAGCAAATGCTACAAATCAAAGTTTGTCATAGTATAAGTCACTTATGACATTGACAGAGTGAAGTTCTGACATGTATTTTTATTGTTTCATTTTCATCTTATAAGCAAAAATATCAACCAACATTCATGGTAACACTGCACTTGCTCATTCATGATATGTGACTTCTTTGCTGAATCAGATAGTATGCAACCATTTATTTGTAGTCTGATTCTGTCAAATCTTGGTAGAACTGCAACCATAGATGGTTATGGACACAGAAGTTTGACAAACAGCAGTGAAAACATTCTGTGAGAATAAATTGGCTATATAGAATTTACAGTGAAGATGGTTGTATATTTGTAAACTGTGTGCTGCACATCCTTTATATCAGTAAAATTTAATAATGTATGTGCCTATATAAAATGCATACTTTTTTGGCAAGCCACCTGTTAAGCATTTACCAGCACACCATTGGGTATATTTAAAATATAATATTGGCCGATCATGGTGGCTCACACCTGTAATCCCAGCACTTTGGGAGGCCAAGGCAGGCGGATCACCTGAGGTCAGGAGTTCAAGATCAGCCTGGCCAACATGGTGAAACTCCATCTCTACTAAAAATAAAAAAATTAGCTGGGCGTGGTGGCGGGTGCCTGTAATCCCAGCTACTTGGGAGGCTGAGATAGGAGAATTACTTAAACCTGGGAGGTGGAGGTTGCAGTGAGCTGAGATCACACCACTGCACTCTAGCCTGGGTGACAAGAGCGAGACTCCATCTCAAAAAAGATAAAAATGAAATAAAATACCATGATTCTTAAAGACATAGCTGAAAATACTCTTCCAGAGGCAATGAGAACTGCCCAAACAAGACACATACACAAATTAGTCTTAAAACTAGGTGTGATACCTTTAACGTTTCTTCAAAGAATTCTGCATTATAGGCCAGGTGCGGTGGCTCACGCCTGTAATCCCAGCACTTTGGGAGACCAAGCCGGGCAGATCACGAGGTCAGGAGATTGAGACCATCCTGGCTAACATGGTAAAATCCCGTCTCTACTAAAAATACAAAAAAATTAGTCAGGCGTGGTGGCGGGCACCTGTAGTCCCAGCTACTCGGGAGGCTGAGGCAGGAGAATGGCGTGAACCCGGGAGGTGGAGCATGCAGTGAGCCGAGATCGCGCCACTGCACTCCAGCCTGGGTGACCGAGCGAGAATCCGCCTCAAAAAAAAAAAAAAAAAAGAATTCTGCATTATAAAATTTGTTTACCACAGAGGCATTTTGTGTTCATTTCTAACAGATTTATTAATCACTCAGTTTTAGTAAAAAACCACCTACCTTTCATACATGCATATATATTTACACACATTTCCTGAACAGTTTTTTTTTTTCTGTTAGCTGTATGAGTGAGAACAATCAGGATTCGCTAACATTCACCAAAATTATCTGCTTTTGAACTTGTGGTCAGTAGTTAAAGTTAAATATAAAAAGAAGTAGAATTATTTATCTCTTACTATGCCCCATTTCTCAATGTATTTCTAATTTTAGGTAAAACTAAAGATAGTCCACTTAATTCATATTATTTCTCATGGAAACTTTTTGTTCTCTAAAGTTATTAATTGTATTATTGTTAAAATGAATTGTTTCTTTTTTTTAAATTATACTTTAAGTTTTAGGGTACATGTGCACAACGTGCAGGTTAGTTACATATGTATACATGTGCCTTGTTGGTGTGCTGCACCCATTAACTCATCATTTACATTAGGTATATCTCCTAATGCTATCCCTCCTCCCTCCCCCCACCCCACAACAGGCCCCGGTGTGTGATATTCCCCTTCCTGTGTCCATGTGTTCTCACTGTTCAATTCCCACCTATGAGTGAGAACATGCAGTGTTTGGTTTTTTTGTCCTTGCAATAGTTTGCTGAGAACGATGGTTTCCAGCTTCATCCATGTCCCTGTAAAGGACACGAACTCATCATTTTTTATGGCTGCATAGTATTCCATGGTGTATATGTGCCACATTTCCTTAATCCAGTCTATCATTGTTGGACATTTGGCTTGGTTCCAAGTCTTTGCTATTGTGAATAGTGCCACAATAAACATACATGTACATGTGTCTTTATAGCAGCATGATTTATAATCCTTTGGGTATATACCCAGTAATGGGATGGCTGGGTCAAATGGTATTTCTAGTTCTAGATCCCTGAGGAATCACCACACTGACTTCCACAATGGTTGAACTAGTTTGCAGTCCCACCAACAGTGTAAAAGTGTTCCTATTTCTCCACATCCTCTCCAGCACTTGTTGTTTCCTGACTTTTTAATGATCGCCTAAAATGAATTGTTTTTAAATATGCCTATATGCTAGGATAAAGGGTGGGCAGACTAATTCTCTTTATAAATTAATATTAATTGGAACCCACCCACGTTTATTCATTTACATATTGTCTATGTCCTTCACATTATACTGGCAGAGTTGTGAAGTTGTAACAGAGACTTTATAGCCCACAAAGCCTAAGATATTCATTGGCCCTTTACAGAACATTTTTGCTGACCCTTGCATCAAAATTAGTGACTCTCAAAATTCATTGTAAAGAGGATGACCTTGGAATTTGTTAAAATACAAATTCTAATTAAGTAGGTCTTCATGGCCTGAGATTCTGCATTTCTAAGCTCTAAGATCGCATTTTATGTAGCAAGATCATTCATTCTAGAACTTGGCTGCACATAAGAATCTCTCATTGGTTGTTTTGTTTTGTTTTGTTTTTGAGACAGGGTCTCATTTGCCCAGGGTGGAGCGCAGTTGCACAATCATTGCACAATCATGGCTCACTGCATCCTCAATCTCCTGGGCTCAAACAATCTTCCTGCCTCAGCCTTCCCAGTAGCTGGGACTACAGGCACATGTCCCTACACCTTTTTTATTTTTGCAGAGACAGGGTCTCACTTTATGGCTCAGGCAGGTCTTGAACTCCTGGGCTCAAGCAATCCTCGTATCTTGGCTTCCCAAAATGCTGGGATTACAGGTGTGAGCCACCATGCCAGGCCAGGAATCACCTGTCTTTAAAAAGCTGCTGGTTTGGGAGGCCGAGGCGGGCAGATCACGAGGTCAGGAGATCAAGACTATCCTGCCCAACATGATGAAACCCCGTCTCTACTAAAAATACAAAAAATTAGCCAGGCATGGTTGGCCCACACCTGTAGCCCCAGCTACTCAAGAGGCTGAGGCAGGAGAATCACTTGAACCCAGCAGGCAGAGGTTGCAGTGAGCCGAAACCGCACCACTGCACTCCAGCCTGGTGACAGAGCGAGACTCGGTCTCAAAAAAAGAAAAAAAAAAAGCTGATGCCTAGGTCTTACCCCAGAGATTCTGAATTAATTGAAATGGAATATGGCCTGGACATCAGAAGTTTTAAAAAGCTCTCCAGATGATTCTAATATGCAACCTATGTTGAAGACTGTTGTTCTAGACACATGAAAATGCCCATTACACCCCATTTGTCTTTTTTTCACTCCATGCCTATTGCAAAAACAAAATATACCATGTTGCAAAAAGATGTAAAGTCTTGGGATTTGTGATAAAATGAAATCTCCTAAGGTAACTGAAATCATTCTCAAAAATTATATATGTATTTTACCATTCTTTTTTATAGTTGTATACTTGCATAGAGGAAGAAAGTTTACTGGTTCTTATTACATTAAGGCCAGTATCCAAAACTGAAGCATTATCTGAATCCATAAAGGAAACTTATTAAGACAAAATGTATGTGATGGTTGCCTGTTCTATATTTTTAAGAGTTTAATTGAAGTGATTGCCAGGGTCGGAGTATGAGTGAGCATTTTTGATTCCTGAAATGAATTTGAAAACGGCTTCCCTTTGGAAGAGAAGAAAAATCATTATTGAAAAAATTTCCATAACACAAATAATAAAAAAAAAACTTGGGAGTGGATGAAATGAGATTAGCCATGTGTTGATAATTTTCATAATACAAAATTTTAAGAGAACAACACTCCTCTATCCAGGAAGATGTTCTTTCCTCCATGACCAGGGGAGGCCCTAGAGGCAAGAGTGGGGACATGTGCCAAATCAAAATCAGGTGGTCACATTACATCAACCAGACCACTAGCAAAGGAAACAGTGTCCCAGGGAAGCTGCTGTCACGTTCATTTCAGGAATGAAAAATGCTCTCTCAGGCCAAGAGAGAGCAGTGGCTCATACCTGTAATCCCACCACCTTGGGAGTCTAAGGTGGGTGAATCGCTTGAGCCCAGGAGTTTGAGACCAACCTGGGCAACATATCAAGACCCTGTCTCAAAAAAAAAAAAAAATGTCCCCTCATATCCCCCAAAACAAAAAAACCTCTTAACATAGTTTTGAGTTCTTCTTAGGATATTCCATTTGATTTCAGGTCATTGAATGCCATTGTTAATTTAGGAGTGGCTTAGAAACACATTTTAAATTTCATTAAAGAGCTATTGTAATGATAATGGAATGTAAGCATTAGTGCAGTATTTTTGGCTGTTAAGCTATCAATATATATAAAAATGACATATACCTATACCATAGGGCCTAACATTTCCACTGCTTGAAATTATAATATGAATATAGTTAATGTAAACCTACAAATATATAAGCTCCATATGGACAAGGACCACATTAGTCTAGCTCATGGGTGCCCAAGCCCCGGGCCGTGGCAGGAGGTGAGCGAGCATTACTGCCTGAGCTCTGCCTCTTGTCAGATCAGCAGTGACATTAGATTCTCATAGGAGCATGAGTTCTATTGTGAACTGCACATTCAAGGAATCTAGGTTGTGTGCTCCTTATGAGAATCTAATTAATGCCTGATGATCTGAGGTGGAAAGCTTCATCCTGAAACCATTCCCCCTGCCATCAGTGGAAAAATCGTCTTCCACGACACCGGTCCCTGGTGCCAAAAAGGCTGTGGACTGCTGGTCTAGCTCACCTCTTTGTTACTAGGATCTCATACAGGGCTAGCATGTAGCAGGCACTTAAATACTTGATGTATGAATTGTGCTCATTTCAGCACTGTTTATAATGAAAAACCTGAAAAGTTTCTTAAAATCTATTATTAGTGGTCCAAAAATTATGGAACTTCCAAACAGTGAGATACTATTCCAGTTATTAAAAGAGAATAAAGCAAATATATATGTGCTTCAGTGGGAAAATGTCCAGGATATATTATTAAATGGGAAAAAAACCCAAGCCGTACAGCAGTGTATAAGTGTCCTATTTGTGTCCAGCACAAAAGAGCTTATACACACAGAAATATACTTGAATAGGTACAGAAACTTTCTGGAAGGGCACAGAAGACCCTTAACAGTGAAATACATTCAGGAATGAAGATGGAAGGTTGCAGTTGGGGTACAGTATGTACTTGTCACTTTACATTTTGTCAGCAATGTCTTAATTTTACCATGTGCATATATAACTCATCATTATTTCTTCCAAAAACCAAGCCTGTTCATATTGTTGCCCAATAAACATTCCAGAAAGACCACTGCCACAGCATTCAGAACTTACGAGACTTTCCCGTAGATAAATGGCAGTGATGAGAGATACCTGGAGTGATGCTTTCATGTGCAGCAGGTTGTCTCTCTTCTCCCATCTTGCATCACAAAATAACCTAACTTCAGTAAATTTATTTAGTTGTTTGAAGTGTGGTGCTTATAGGGACAAGGTGAGAAGAGGGCACTGCTGGAGAAGCATGGAGGGAAGAGGCTCAGTCTCTCACAGAAACCTTTCCCTTTGTGTGGGCATGTGGTATCAATGAAGGCAGAATTCCCTCACTAACTACTCAGCTTCCTCAGTTACACTCAACTACTTGCAGTTTTCAGAATGAGTCACTTTTTCTTTTACCTTTGAATAAACTACTGTCTTTTCCAGAAACTTCTCAACTCCCCTAGCCGTTTCTTCATCCTCTTCCCCCTTCTCTAAATCCCCCTTCCTGCCTCAGCTCATGTAACATCCCCCTCATGCCTTCATAAAATTGGTATTGTCCGTTTGTCTTGTTCCCTAGAGGCTGAAAGCTTGTTGAAATGTAATCCATTATTATATGTGTGATACATACTCTAGTGTCTAAACTACTGAAGGCATTCAGTACAGTTGAATGACTGAGTGAAAGAAGAGTCACCAGCTGACATGACAGGGCAATGTCCATTTCATCATAATTGACATCTAAAACCTTTGCAAAGTAGATTATCTGTCTCTTATGAAATTATCTAATCTGAAGGTAAAATAGAATCCATATAAGTATTTATTGATATTTCAAGTAATCTGACATAGCAAATAATTTCATGCGCTGTTTGCTGTTTGCACGCAAAGGGCTGACTGAGCTGGCATTGTATTAAAACATTTTATATTTAGAATTTGATCATACTCTCTATCCAAATGCTGCATCTTGTCTCCCTTTTAAGTTCAGTTATTTTGGGAATATTAATTATTATAATCTATCTTTTTATCTGTACATTATTTTCTTAGCTGCTTTATTATACTAATTTTTACTTAAAAGTTTAACTTAATTTCTTCTAAGCATAAGTGAAGTGGTTCCTGGGATTATATAGTAGTCTGTATAAAATTAAAGTACTAAAAATATTTTCTGTATTTGAAAACTAACTAGATATGTTTGATTTCTTCGTTCAAGGCATGCTGCTTGCAGGGTTTCTCATCAGAAATATCCCAGTCATCAACGATAATGTGCAGATCAAGCACAAGTGGTCTTCCTCTTTGAGAAGCATAGCCCTGTCTATCATTCTGGTTCGTGCTGGCCTTGGTCTGGATTCAAAGGTATGAAATGTAAATTTCTCATTATTAAATAGGAATCTTGTTTCTTCAATGCTTCAGGTATCTAACAGAATCACTAAGCATTAGGAAATGGATGTGGACACTTTGCATGACATTCTTGAGAATAAAATAGAATTTATTTCATGGAGGATTGTTTTGCAAGTGAGACCTTGTTGTGGTTTGCAATAACTCAAAAGGTGGTCTCATTTTCTTCCTTTTTTTTTTTTTTTGAGACAGAGTCTCGCTCTGTCACCCAGGCTGGAGTACAGCGGCTTGATCTCAGCTCACTGCAACCTCTGTCTCCCGGGTTCAAGTGATTCTCCTGCCTCAGGCCTCCCAAGTAGGTGGGATTACAGACATGCACTACCACACCCGGCTAATTTTTGTATTTTTAGTAGAGACGGGGTTTTGCCATGTTGGCCAGGCTGGTCTCAAACTCCTGACCTCAGGTGATCTGCCTGCTTCCCCCTCCCAAAGTGCTAGGATTACAGGCATGAGCCACTGCGCCCAGCCGGTCTCATTCTCTTCCTTGGAGAAAGGTAGAGTCTGTCTATGGGGCCAGCACCAAGAATAAAGGCCCCACTTTTCTCTGATGTACATATAGACCAGGGTTATAAATAATGCTCACAGGGGAGAAAACAACATATTTTTGGTTTGCAAAGCCCTATACAAGTGTTCAGGGCTAACTATACTAGCTCAGGAAACTGCCTAATATATAAAATGAGGGTCAAGTATGCCTTTTTAATGCTTTTTTTTCATGTATGTTTTTGAATACAGGAATGAATTTTCTTGGGGGATCAGGCTCTTCACTTTAGTCTCATTCTGGGACCACAAATTATAAATAAAACTAATGAGAATGTTAAATTAGCTAGAGATTATGAACACAGATGCTGAAAGCAGCCTGCCTGGGTTCAAACCTGGCCCCATCACTCACCAGTTTCATGATCTTGGGCAAATGCCTTTAGCCTGTGCCTTTTCAGATGAGGACATCTAAAAATATGGGGATAATAATAGTATTACCTATCTTATAAGGTTGCAGTGAGGACTTAATAAGCTGTCTGAAAACACTTGGAGTGCTAAAATGTTTGTTAAATACAACTCATTACCTTGAAAACTCATGATGACCCAGACGTGGTCCATATACTGAAGAGAAAGCATTCAAGGTCATCTTCTCTGCACATCTTCAGAGGATTATATTAGGATGTCTACTTTTCTATTTCAGGCCCTGAAGAAGTTAAAGGGCGTTTGTGTAAGACTGTCCATGGGTCCCTGTATTGTGGAGGCGTGCACATCTGCTCTTCTTGCCCATTACCTGCTGGGTTTACCATGGCAATGGGGATTTATACTGGGGTAATGATTGTTTCTTTGTCATATGAAAATATGTAGGGACATTTAGGGCTTTCCCTGATTGCATACAAGAGAATGCATAATAGAATTTTCTTATAGATATCAGAAAATGCAACATAGATGTTACAGCATAATTTAAATATTCTAACTTCAAAACATAGTTTATGTGTTAATAGGCGCTAACTCTTACAGTTAGCACCTACTATTCAAACTGTTGAAGAAGTCGTGGTCTTTTGCCTACACCTGATTCAATGCCTGTTAAAGAGATACCGGATTCCACCTAACGTCTGCACAAAGGATAATAAACACAGCAACAGTGATCAACAGCTACTATTGTTTTCCTCCTGTCACCAGACTATTATGACTTGGCAGTTCTGCTGTCTCTTCGTTCCACTGTCAGTTCTTTACTTCCAACAGTTAAGAGCCACACAAAGTAAATAAATAAGACAGGACTTAGTAAGAATTTAGTGCTAATAAGAGGCAAGAAGTAAGAAATTCTTCTCATGGTTAAGTCTCTGGAACTCTACTCCCTGGATTCAAATCCCAGCCTTGTGATTTTTCCGGTGTGTGATCTTTAACAAGTATTTAATCTCTCTGTGCCTCAGTTTCCTCAATTATAAAATTAAGATAGATTTTGTCTATTTTATAGGGTTGTTGTGAGGATTAAATTAGTGAATACGTGTAAAGTGCTCAAAATGGTGTCTGGTACATAGTAAATACTGTAAAATGCTTTCTGCTGTTACCACTGCTGTTGTTACTGGTATCAATGTGACTGTCATATCGTTTTCTTCTAATCTGTTGCCTTATTTGACATAGCAAGCCCTAATAGAAGGCCTAGCATCACTGGGTTCCAAATCAGAAAGTCCATGCATTTTCAAACCTTATAACATGAATTTTTTTGTTTAAAAAAGCCAGCATCCTGGGGCCTACCCTCATTAGGCCTTCTATACCACTAATAAATATATCTTTTTAGGCAACCTAAGTAGTCTGAAGCAAGTTGTCTATGGCTACATTTTGAAAAACAGTGTTCTGTAGAAGTTTTACACATACATGTTTTTCTGGATTCATGCTTCTCTGCCATTTGAAAGACTGTAGTTGTCAATGATAGACTGGATTAAGAAAATGTGGCACATATACACCATGGAATACTACGCAGCCATAAAAAAGGATGAGTTCATGTCCTCTGTAGGGACATGGATGAAGCTGGAAACCATCATTCTCAGCAAACTATCGCAAGGACAAAAAACCAAACACCACATGTTCTCACTCATAGGTGGGAAATGAACAATGAGAACACATGGACACAGGAAGGGGAACATCACACACCAGGGCCTGTTGTGGGGTGGGGGGAGGGGGGGAGGGATAGCATTAGGAGATATACCTGATGTTAAATGACGAGTTAATGGGTGCAGCAGAACAACATGGCACATGTATACATATGTAACAAACCTGCACGTTGTACACATGTACCCTAAAACTTAAAGTATAATAAAAAAAAGAAAAAAAAACAAAAAACAATTCTTATTAAAGTTTGTTTTCTTAATTTAGAAAAAAAAAAAGAAAGACTGTTGTTGTCCAAGTATAACCCCTAAAAAGTGGAGGGCATTATAATTTCAAAATAGTAATAAGTAAGATGTTATCATAAATGTTTAAAATGCTGTCTGCCTAGTTTTGTTTTAGGTGCTGTATCTCCAGCTGTTGTGGTGCCTTCAATGCTCCTTTTGCAGGGAGGAGGCTATGGTGTTGAGAAGGGTGTCCCAACCTTGCTCATGGCAGCTGGCAGCTTCGATGACATTCTGGCCATCACTGGCTTCAACACATGCTTGGGCATAGCCTTTTCCACAGGTAACCTAATCAGTTCACAACAGGCTTTACTCTTGCATTCTAGGGACGTAGGTTAAAATGTTATAAGCATGACATATTTGCTTGATAATTGATTAAGGCAAATTAAAAATAGGCAAAAGAACACTAAGAGTTCTGTACCTAAGGAGGGTCCAGAAGCTGTCTGTCTTTACTCTCTTGCTCCCTCTAGAGACTGCTCAAGTAGCATGCAGTAGGTGCAGTACGGCAGGGGCGGTAGAAGGTAGAAAGATTTAAAGAACAGTTTCTGCTTGAAGTGATCCAGGAACGTTCAGGCTTCACACAAAAGATGTGTGGAGACTTCACACAAAAGATGTGTGGAGACTTCACACAAAAGATGTGTGGAGACTTCACACAAAAGATGTGTGGAGACTTCACACAAAATATGAGTGGGTTTTTCAAGGAGCACAAATGACAGAGAGCAGTCCAAGTGAAAGGAACAGCATGCCTTTAAAATAAGAAAAATTTCTCTTCTCTCCTCTTCAGCTTTTTATGGGTAATAACAGCAATGATTTTAATGGATGTCCCATTAATACTTAGTAAGTGTCTGAAATTGAGGTATTTTGTTTCAAGTATAGTAAAAGAGGAACTTAAGTTATTTTTTCTCCCACTGTTGTTCAACACCTATATTAAACTGATGTGAACAGATAGTACGCTTGATCTTAGCCAAAAGGCCAAAAGCAGTTCAACACTTTTATTATCCTGTGGTACAGCACAAGTTTAAGTTCATTTCTTAATCTTATGTTCAAAATTGGGATATAAAATTTGCAACATTATATGATTGACAAAGTATAATTGTAATCTAAGTTTAGCTTTAGATTCTGTAGTGGGAACACATCTTCTTGGCAGGTTATACATTCTCGTTATCTCCCTATAGTTATCTCCCCATTCTGTGATTGTGTATGATTTATGCCTGTTACCTAGAATCCCACCCTGTCTCATTGCTCCAGAGCCTGCCTTCCATCCATTCCCTAGTAAATTGATTTTCTTAAAACATTGTTTTCATTACATTACTTTCTTGTTCAAGAACCTTTGAGGATGCTCTCTTACCTATTAAGTCAAATTCATACTCCTATTTTTAATGCTACTACACATACCCAAATTTATGTTCTTACCACTTTCCTGGTATATACCTTTAAAACAATTGTTCTCAGCCTTACCATCACACTAGAATTACCTGGGCGATTTTTAAAAATACTCTTATGTAGGTCCTATCTTAGACAATTAAATCAGAACCTTTTGGAGTGGAAACCAGTGCAGCTTGGAATAGGAACCACAGCTTTAGAGCAACAGAGTTTGCATTAGAATCATGGTGGTGGGAGGAGAAAGGAAAGAGGCAGTGGGGTTTTCATAAGCTACAGCTCGAAGAACCTTCCTAGTTGACTCTGCTGTGTTTCCTCTCCCCGCCCCACCCCCCCACCAACTACGTGTGGTCCTTAGACCTTTTGGATCTGAGCCCTGCTAGACTTACTGAATCAGATTTTTAGGGGTGGGGCCCAAGACTTTTTTTTTTTAATCACCTCAATATACCAGAGACTAAAGCTAATTAGCTACTTTCTACACATTCATAGTAAATTATTACCACAATAGCTTAAGCATAATGCTACTATCACAACTAGATGTTTTTAACAGTCATAGCATTACCTGGTAGAAAGCGATCCTAGCTAAATAAAATTACTTCAGAGGTAATTTTATTTAGATAAGAAGAATGATTGCCATAATAACAAGAGACCACAGAAACCAGTTAGTACATTTTTCTTAGGACAGTCTGTGAAGAAGTGCTTTATGTGTGGAGAAACTTTAATATAATTTTCTGCACAATGTGCTAACAAAAAATTTTTTTTAATTAAAGTTTCCTAAATCCTATATGCTATGGGGGAAAATGTAGGTTCCACTTACATATTTAAGAATATGGAAAGCAGAAACTGTCTTTAAAATGTTTCTTCTTTGTAATTAGATGCTTCATGTTGATGATTGTGGAATAAAACCTGTGTATTTGTTGGATTTAGAGCTCTAAGTTTTTTTAATATATTTTTCAGGCTCTACTGTCTTTAATGTCCTCAGAGGAGTTTTGGAGGTGGTAATTGGTGTGGCAACTGGATCTGTTCTTGGATTTTTCATTCAGTACTTTCCAAGCCGTGACCAGGTGAAAGAAATAATATGTGGGAAAGTTGTGCTCTGAAATATCATTGGGAAAACATTCTAGAACACTTCCTTCAAAGACAGATGTGAAGGACATGTTTGAGCAAATGGTTCCTCATTTTAAAATTGCTTACTGCTATCCATGAGATTTATGAAGTGGGCTCAATATAGAAGATTTTAATGCAGTCCTGTAATGGGTTCCCGTATTATATTCTGTACATTTCAAATTCCACTGTAAAACAAATAATATCGTTCCAAAGTAATAGGATATGCAAGTTTTTTAAGTGTTCATAATACTCAACTAAACCCAGATATATAATAGCTTTTTTGTGCCCTTTTTTAGTATCAAAATACCTTAGATTCTAGCCAGGCCTGGTAGTCCCAGCCACTCAGGAGGCTGAGGCAAAAGGATCCCTCTGGGAGTTTGAGTCCAGTCTGGGCAACACAGCAAGAGCCCATATCTAATACATACATGCATACACACATACATAAATCAGTCAATCATCATCTAGTGCCACTTTGTTCAGTACAGTAGCCACTAGCTACACGTGGCTATAGCAGATACAGAACATTTCCATCATCACTAAACATTCTATTGGAAAACACTGCTCTAGTACAACCGACAAAATAGTTCATAAAGAGATTTCTATTACTATGACCATTTTACTGATAAGGAAATTGAGGCTTAGGCAGGATAAGTGACTTGAACAAGGTCACATAGCTAGAAAGCGGTGGAACTGGGAATGAACTCAGGTAATTCACCTTCAGAGCTTGCATGCCTTTGCCAAGTCAAGCACTTTTAAAGACCTACTTTCTAAAGTGATCAAGAAGTTTAAAAGCCTGGACAGGGAAAAGTAAAGGGAAAAAAAGTACACAATTCTTAGACTTTAAAACAACAGCAACAAAAACTACTGTCAGTCTAGAACCTCTTAAAGCTTCCTGGTTTCCAAAGATTTAGAAAGAAAAACCAAGGGGGCGTCAAATTTAAAACAGTAAACATAGAGCCTGAAAATAATAGAGATATATATTTAACCTTCACACAAACCCTATGATGTAAATGCTTTCAGGAAACAAAGCTTGGAGTGGTTAAGTAATGTGGCTACTACATACACCAACAATGTATAAAAACTATAAATTTAACCTTGGTCTGTCCAGCTCCAAAGCTCATGTACTTTTTTTCTGCTACTTCATTAAGTGCTGTGAAATTCTGCATTGATAACTGTAGAGGAGAGAATTGGTGTTCCTGAAAGAAGAGCTCACCATTGCAGTGTGCTAACTCTGCTTTTGTTTAAGAAGAGAAAGTAAATGTTATGTAGTGCACTTGTTTTGTCTATTTATATAGACATTTTAATTTTTATTTTCTTTCTAAATCCTAGATATGGAAAAAATCAATCATTAAAAATCAGGGATTTGAAATAATTGAGCAAATGAATTTTTTTCTCCTAAAGGACAAACTTGTGTGTAAGAGAACATTCCTTGTGTTGGGGTTGTCTGTGCTAGCTGTGTTCAGCAGTGTGCATTTTGGTTTCCCTGGATCAGGAGGACTGTGCACGTTGGTCATGGCTTTCCTTGCAGGCATGGGATGGACCAGCGAAAAGGTGAATTTCATTTTAAGTTTTTCTGCTCATGACTCTTTTCTAATGAGATTAAGTTGGCTTTCCAGATACTTTCTTAGCATCAAATTAATAAAGTATTTCATTATAAAAGCTATCTTAATGTGCATATACAAATGTACACCCAGTGTTCATCTTTTTTTTCCCCTTACACATCAATCTATAACTTGATGTCTTTACTTAAAATATATCATGGTCATACTACCGTAATGCCTTCCTTATTCTTTGTAATGGCTACGGAGTATTGCATTTTATAGATATTTACGTTGTTTCTAGTTTTCTGCCAAGATAAACAGTGCTTCAATAATATATCCTTACATACCATATTTCATCTGAGTCTGTCAATTCTAAAAAACACAATTATTTTATATGACACCAAGAAAGAAAAAAAATAGTGCCAATTAAACGATAACATAACATTCTAATTTCAGAAATGTTAAAATATAAAAATATGTGTCTTAAAATAAATAAAATATAGTATATATTTTAGTTTATACAATAAATTTCTAGAAATCAGATTGCTCTAGGAAAGAGTACTCACATTTATACTTTTGATAATATCAATATGACCTTTTAAAAGACTGTACCAATTTATATTTTTACCAATATTATGTGAGAGGATCTGTTTTTCTGATCTAAGTCTTTGAGATATTTTGCTGATATTATGAATTAAAAATATATCTCATTATTATTCTGATTTTCATTTCTTTATGGGCAATGCTAATCATGTTTTCATATGATTACTACCCAGTTTGTTCAAAAGCCTTTGCCATTTTTATAAGGTTGCTTTGGTTTTTCATACTGATTTTCAAGATTATTAAGAATATTCATTTGGTTTATATGTATTATGGAAGTTCACTAGTTGTCATTTATTTATTTTAATTTTCAGATTCATTTTTGTAGATTTGAACTTGATAGGATTGTATGCTATTCTGCTTAATGAAGATGTCGGTGACCTAAAATAAATGCAGCTATATCATTTTGTGATAATCTTACAAAGCCTGAAGACAACTGTTCAAAATAATTAAACTTAAATAATTAAAATAATGCCATATGGAAAATATGGAAACGTTACAAATTTTGAGATGAGATATATAATCATAACTCAATTAAGTGGATCTCTGTGGGGATCTTCCATAGACAGCATTCACTGTGGGTAAATAACATTCATTCTCATATCAACAGTGTAACAGAAATGCATTCTGTCACCAGCTCTTTAAAAATCTTTGCAAATTGAAATCAACTCATTATATTATACTGTCATGGGTAAAAAGAGAAAAAGGAATTAATAAATTTTTGTTGCTACGCTGTATGGCTCTGTATGAGGCACTAAGTGGATATGGTCATTTATTTTCACAAAATTACCTTTGAAAAGTATTATGATTTCTACCTTATAGAAGCTGTAAGTCAGAAAGACTTAAATAACATGTCCAAGGTCACACAATTAGAAAATGGCACGGAGATTTAAGCTCAGATTAATTTGACTCCAAGGTGAGTTGTACTATGCTGTAGTACAACTGTAGCATTATTGTGCATGACACAATTTTATATTTTGACATCTGTTTGAGTAACACTTACCATGTGTATTTAAACATAATTCTAAACTTTTGCAGTTTAAAATTCAGCTTCTAAATTCATAAATGATAGGATAAAAAGAATAAACAATGAGAAGGAGCAATATCATTTGAAACAGAGCATAAAAAAGTAGTTTTAGCAACAGAGAAATGAAGGAGAGACTGATACCTCCTGCAAGTGGGCACTGGATAAGAGCACAGAAAGAAAAAGGAGGGAAAGGGAAACTGATCACTTCCGATTACACTGTTATTCAGAGAAACTATAATGTGGTTATCTATAAATGATTCTTATAAACCAAACCATTGTTCCCTTTGTTTACATTTCCTGTAGTCCTGCTATGTAGAAGGTCAGTGTAACCCCACAACCAGAAAGATAACTATTAACATTTTTAAAAATATTTACCTCTAGTAACTCTGCTATGTGAATCTCTTTATCTACACACATGGATGCACCATAGTTGGGTTTTTGGTTTTTTTACCCATTCCTTTATATATAGTTATAAGGTTATTTCCAGTCTCTGCTATTTTAAATTATGCTGAAATGATCAGAAATTGATCACTTCCTTAAGGAATATTCCTAACAGTAAAATTTGGGGGTGAAATAATATGAACATTTTGAGGTTTTCGACACATATTACCAGACTGCTTTCTAGAGTTCTATCCATTTACTTTTCTACCAGTAAAATATGAAGTACCTGTCTCATTACAACTTCACCTTAGAATAGTTTTCTCAAACTTTAGCAGAATTACCTAGAAGGATTGTTAAATTTGAGTTCTGGGCCCTACTACAAATTTCTGATTTTAGACTGTGGTGGGGCTTGAGAATTTGCACGTAATTAATTTCCAGATGAGGCTGATGCTGCCAGTCTAGGGACCACACTGTGAACCACTGGCTTAAAATATTATTGCTTTTAATCTTTAGCCATACTGATAGGTAAAAAGTTGCATCTTGTTTATTTTGTGTTTCTTTAACAGTGAAATTGAACAGTTTTTCACATATTTAGACACTTGTGTGTTTTTTCTTTTTCTTTGGTAGGTCTTTTGTTCATTATCTTCCAAAGTATAATGTGTGTTGATTATCCATCTGTAAGATACACCCCCAATACACACATCTATATAAGTGATGACACAGTCTTGATTACCCTGGGCTTATCTTTTATACACAGCCTATTCAATGACTCCATTTTGTTTATAGGCAAATTCATTTTAGTTTTGGCATTATGAAAAACCCACAAGAAGATACGTTGTAACTTTTCTGTTTTTCTGTGTTTTGCAATATATAAGCCCATGTCTGATGTTCAACTAGTCTGAAGCATTATAATCAAAATACAAATTGTGGCCTTTGTCTACACTTTAGAAATAAAAAATAATTTGATATAGAAATCTTTTTAGTCCTTCTACTTTCATTACTATTCTGAGTGTATGAAATACATTTGAGGACTTCTGTTAAACAATTAGTCCCAGCAACAGAAGTCTAAGTAATCTTTGTACCTTTTTATATT
This sequence comes from Homo sapiens, assembly GCF_000001405.40. Taxonomy (NCBI): domain Eukaryota; kingdom Metazoa; phylum Chordata; class Mammalia; order Primates; family Hominidae; genus Homo; species Homo sapiens. The sequence continues at coordinate 103,040,204 of NC_000004.12, read as the reverse complement.
GTTCACTTTTAACACTTAGATATTTTATATTTTCATGTAGTCAGATCTGTCAGTCTCCTATAATAGTTTTAATTTTTTTGAAGAGCTCTTTGTTAGTGAGATATATGTTATTTATTCTTAACAATAATCTTGAAAGGTAAACATTAGAGCAACTTTTAAAATCAGGAAACCAAGGCCTACAAATACTAAGTATATTGCGAAGGTCAAAAATAAGGACAAAAAGTAAGTGACAGAGCCAGGATAAGAATATACCATTTGAGGCTGGGTGCGGTGGCTCACACCTGTAATCCCAGCACTTTGGGAGAACGAAGTGGGCGGATCATGAGGTCAGGAATTCGAGACCAGCCTGGCCAGCATGGTGAAACCCCATCTCTACTAAAAATACAAAAAATTAGCCGGGCATGGTGGTATGCGCCTATAGTCCCAGCTACTCGGGAGGCTGAGGCAGAGAATTGCTTGAACCTGGCAGGCGGAGGTTGCAGTGAGCCCAGATCACACCATTGCACTCCACCCTGGGCGACAGACCGAGACTCCATCTCAAAAAAAAAAAAAAAAGAATATACCATTTGAATATATAAAAATGGTTCCCCAAAAAAAGGAAGGAAAAGTAATGTTTATTGACTCTGTCGTGTGGCAGGTACTCTCCATATCTTTTCTAATTTAGTACTCAGGAAAGTTCTTATTCCTGTAGGAACCAAACCAAAGTCCTGAGTTTGGATTCCTTTTCTTACCTTATTCTAAAGGATAGCCTAGGGCCAAGAGCTCAGACTCCTCAGGCCAGTCTCAACACTACAGCTTTTACTAGGTGTGTCTGACCATGTGCAAGTTATCTAACTTCCCAGTGATGATGACAACTTCACTGACTGGAGGATTCGGTAAAATAACCTGTACGAAGCACTAAGGAAAGTTATTAATCATAGAACACATTCAGTAAATAATAACTCTTATTATTTTTATAATTACCTCCAGAACAGCATGATATCATACTAAGAGCATAAGATTTAAAATATGGAGATTGGGATGCCAATCCCAGTTCTACTACTTTCTAGCTGTATAATCCCAAGCAAGTCATTTGCCTTCTGAAATACTCAGTTTTCTCAACTCTAAAGTGAATACAATAATCATCTAAAAAATTGCTGTAACTATTATGTGAGAAAATGAAAATGACACACTTGTAAATTCTACAGGGCTGTAGCAATATTGTTGTTAACTTATTAGACTTTGAAAAGCTAAAATATTTTATAAGATTCTGTTTGTGTCCATAGTTTTCTGATATTATTTTATACTTTGTGCTTGGTCTTATAAGCATTAATCTTTCCATTTGTTTGTTGTATTCAGATGCACTCACCTTTTTTAAAGCTGCTTCTCTTTTTTTGTCTGTTGTCAAATCTAGTGCTGCTTCTAATGACTTTTACAGATTTTTTTGTTGATACGGTATTTTGGATTTTCTGAATCTTAAAATGTTCTTTCAAAAAAGTATAAACTTAAGTAGATATCCAACTCATGATGAAACTTCCATTTATCTTAACTTTCTCCTTTGTTGGTCCTCCAAAGTAATTGATATTTTTTCAGATTCTTACTAATGATGCATACAAATGTGTCAAATGGCCTTAATTTTCAAGGGACAACACAGTCTTCATTACCCTGGGCTTATCTTTTATACACAGCCTATTCAATGACTCCATTTTCTTTATAGGCAAATTCATTTTAGTTTTGACATTATGAAAAACCCACAAGAAGATACATTGTGACTTTTCTATGTTTTTCTATGTTTTGCAATATATAAGCCCATGTCTGATGTTCAACTAGTCTAAAGTGTTATAATCAAAAACAAATTTTGGCCTTTGTCTACAGTTTAGAAATAAAAAATAATTTGATTAGAAATATTTTTAGTCCTACTTTCATTTGTATTCTGAGTATATGAAACACATTTGAGGACTTCTCTTAAACAATTATTCATGGCAACAAAAGTCTAAGTAATCTAAAATTAATAGAGTTGATTCTTGTTCTTTACTACAATGAGTATCAACTAAAGTCTTACGTTGGCTGGGTGCAGTGGCTCACACCTGTAATCCCAGCACTTTGGAGGCTGAGGCAGGCAGATTGCCTGAGCTCTGGAGTTTGAGACCAGCCTAGGCAACATGACAAAACCTCATCTCTACTAAAAATACAAAACTTCCCCGGGTGTGGTGGTGCACACCTGTAGTCCCAGCCTACTCAGGAAACTGAGGCAGGAGACTCACTTGAACCCAGGAGATGAAGGTTGCCATGAGCCAAGATCACACCACTGCACTCTAGCCTGGGTGACATAGCAAGACTCTGCCTCAAAAAAAAAAAAAAAGTCTTACCTTTAGCTATAATATACTCAAAAAACTAAATTAAAAAGTAAAATTTAAAGATATGTGGAAGGATGTTAACTGGATCGTAGTTTTGGCAGAACTAGCCATTACATAATAAATGATCTTAGATGTTATCTAATATAAACCTTTTGTTCTACACATGAGAAAGTGAGGTGCTGAGAGGCAAGTGCCTTGCAGTTAGTGGTGGAGGGTTCAAACTTAACTCGTTATCTGATGAAAACATAATATTTTTCATGCTATAGAAACAGAACTATTAAATAAATCAACCAATGCCCTCACATATGCTCTCTTTCAACACTTGTAAGCTGAATGGAAATATAATCTTCCCACTATAAACACATCAGAAATAATGCAAATAAAGAATACAAAGAAACATTGTAATCCTTCTTTGTCAAACTGCTGAATATATTAATAGTAAGTCCTCATTTTAGCATTGTCAATAGGTTCTCAGAAGCTGCAACTTTAAGTGAAAAGACAAATAACAAAACCAATTTTACCATAGGCCAATTGGTATAAACAAGAGCTAAGTTCCTAACGCATATTTCTGGTCACAAAAACATCACCAAACTTCTGAATAAAAACCAAAACACTGTGAAGATTAAACATTGAAATAATTGTAATCTACACATACATTTCAGAAAGGTTAATAAAAACAAGTAAGATAATAAGCCCGAGCCTATCCCAGGCACCAACCCTACACAGGATGCCATCCCATCACAGGGTGCATTCACACACACCCACAGTCATTCAGATAGGGACCATGTAGACACATCAGTTCACCTAATGAGAACATCTTTGGGATTTGGGAGGAAACCAGATTACCCACATAAAATGCTTGCAGATATGGGGAGAACATGAAGAATTGATTTTTTTTTCATTGTTGGAAGGAAACAACATTGAAAGAAACGACATTATTTGAGGACCTGGTGTATATATTGCAGATCCTTAAATTGTGTAATTGTAAGCATTGAAATGTCATCCAAAAATATAGCTTCTTTTCAGTTATGAGAAAATCTGTTCTATGTAAATTCTTAGACAGTATAATAGGTACTGCTCAATTGCCCTCCAAAAAAGCATTATCAATTTGTTGTCCTGCCAAATGGTGAGTTTCCTTACAAAGTCATGAATACTTTTCATTATTAAAACCTTTTAGTATTTTTCCAATGTGGTGTTCCCCCTTGAAAAAAAAAAAAGGCATGTCAATTTAATTTGTGTTTCATAATTACTCCGTTTTAGTGTCTTAGATTTTGTGACTATTTGTATCTCTTCTTCTGTGAATTAGTTGTGCATATGTTTTGCCCATGTTTCTTTTTTTTTTCTTTTCAGCTTTTATTTTAGGTTCAAGGGGTACATGTGCAGGTTTGTTACATGGATAAATGATGTGTTGCAAGGGCTTGGAGTACAGACAATTTTGTCACCCAGGTAATCAGCATACTATTTTCAATCCTCCCCCTCCTGCCACCCTCCACTTTAAAATAGGCCGCAGTGTTTATCATGCCCTTCTTTGTGTCCCTGTGGACTCACTGTTTAGCTCCCACTTGTAAGTGATAACTGTGGTATTTGGTTTTCTGTTCCTGCATTAATTAGCTTAGGATTATGGCCTCCAGCTCCATCGATGTCACTGCAAAGGACATGATTTCATTATTTTTTATGACTGCATGGTATTCCATGGTATATATGTACATGGTATATATGAGTCCTTGCCACATTGCTTGTTCTTGTTGGCTTTGTGACATATCAGATGATTGTAGGGGTGCAGCTTTATTTCTGTGTTCTCTAGCCTGTTGTTTTGGTTCATGTGTCTGTCTTAGTACCAGTACCATTGCTGTTTTAGTTACTGTAGCCTTGTAGTATAGTTTGAATTCAAGTAGTGAGATGCCTCCAGCTTTTTTCATTTTTCATATCTGCATAGTATTCTATGGTGTATATGTACCACATTTTCTTTATCTAGTCTACCGTTGATGGGCATGTAGGTTGATTCCGTGTCTTTGCTATTGTGAATAACACTTTAATGAACGTACACGTTCATGTGTCTTAATGGTAGGGTGATTTCTATTCCTTTGGGTATATAACCAGTAATGGAATGGCTGTGTCAAATGGTAGTTCTATTTATTTGAGAAATCTCCAGACTGCTTTCCACAGTGGCTGAACTAACTTACATTCCCACCAGCAGTGTATCAGCATTCCCTTTTCTCCACAACCTCACCATCATCTGTTATTTTTTGACTTAATAATAGCCATTCTGTTGGTGGAAGTGTAAATTAATTCAACCATTGTGGAAGACAGTGTGGTGATTACTCAAACACCTAAAGACAGAAATGCATTTGACTCAGCAATCCTATTACTGGGTATATACCCAAAGGAATATAAATCATTCTGTTATAAAGACACATTCATGAGTATGTTCATTGCAACACTATTCACAATAGTAAAGACATGAAATCAACATAAATGCCCATTAATGATACATTGAATAAAGAAAATGTGGTGTATATATACCCCATCGAATACTATGCAGCCATAAAAAAGAAGATCATGTCCTTTTCAGGGACATAGATGGAGTGGGTGGCCATTATCCTTAGCAAACTAACACAGAAACAGAAAACCAAATACCACGTTTTCACTTATAAGTGGGAGCTAAATGATGAGAACACATGGACACATAGAGGAGAACAACACACACTGGGGCCTATTGTAGGGTGGAGGGTGGGAGGAGGGAGAGGACCAGGAAAAATATAACTAATGGGTACTGGGCTTAATACCAGAGTGATGAAATAATCTGTACAACAAACTGCCATAACACAAGTTTACCTATGTAACAAACCTGCACATGTGCCCCTGAATTTAAAATAAATTTTTTCAAAAAATTAAAAAGTATCAAAAGATGTACAATTATGTTTCATTTGACATTTGGTCACGCAGTTTACTTCCACAAGCTCAAATATTCAAAAAATTAAAAAGTATCAAAAGATGTACAATTATGTTTCCTTTGACATTTGGTCACCCAGTTTACTTCCACAAGCTCAAATATTGTGGTTAATTTTAAATATTAAAAAAAATAATAATAGCCATCCTGACTGATGTGAGATGGTGTCTCATTTTGGTTTTGATTTGCATTTCCCCATTGATTAGTGATGTTGAACATTTTTATATGCTTGTTGGCTACATGTATGTGTCCTTTTGAGAAGTGTCCGTTCATGTGCTTTGCCCATTTTTTAATGGAGTTGTTTGTTTCTTGCTTGTTGATTTGTTTGAGTTTCTTAAAGATTCTGGACATTAGACCTTTGTCAGATGCATGGTTTGCAGATATTTTCTCCTGTTCTAAAGGTTGTCTGTTTACTCCATTGATAGTATCTTCTGCTGTGCAGAGCTCTTTAGTTTAAGAAGGTCCCATTTGTCAATTTTTTGTTTTGTCACAATTGCTTTTGGAGTCTTCATCTTGAAGTCTTTGCCTGGGCCAATGTCCAGATTGGTATTTCCTAGATCTTCTAGGGGCTTTGTAGTTTTCGGTTTTACATTTAAGTCTTTCATTCATCTTAAATTTATTTTTGTATACGTTGTAAGGAAGGGGTCCAGCGTCAATCTTCTGCATATGGTTAGCCAGTTATCCCAGCACAGTTTATTGAATAGGGGGTCCTTTACCAGTTGCTTGTTTTTGTCAGCTTTATCGAAGATCACATGGTTGTAGGTGTGCAGTTTTGTTTCTGGATTATCTAACCTGTTCTATTTGTCTATGTGTCTGTTTTTGTACTAGTACCATCTGTTTTAGTTACTGTAGCCTTGTGGTATAGTTTGAAGTCGGGTAGTGTGATATCCCTGGATTTGCTCCTTTTGCTTAGGATTGCTTTTGGCTATTCGGGCTCTTTTTTGGCTCCAAATGAATTTTATAATGTTTTTTCTAATTCTGTGAAAAATGTCATTGGTAGTTTGATAGGAATATCATTGAATCTATAAATAGCCTTGGACAATATGGCCATTTTAACAATATTGATTCTTCCTATCCATGAGCATGGTATGTTTTTCCATTTGGGTCATCTCTGATTTCTTTCAGCAGTGTTTTGTAATTCTCATTGTAGAGATTTTTTACCTCCCTGGTTAGCTGTATTCCTAGATATTTTGTTCTTCTTTTGGCGATTGTGAATGAGATCACGTTCTTGATTTGGCTCTCAGCTTGTACGTTATTTGTGTATAGAAATAATGATTTTTGTGCATTGATTTTTTATCCTAAAACTTTGCTGAAGTTGTTTATAAGATCTAGAAGCCTCTGAGCAGAGACTATGAAGTTTTCTAGGTATAGTATCTCTGTACTATTCTTGGTATAGTATTTCCAGGTATAGTATAATCTGCGAAGAGAAATAGTTTGACTTCCTCTCTTCCTAATTGGATGCCTTTTCTTTCTTTCTCTTGCCTGATTGCTCTTGCTAGGACTTCCAGTACTCCGGTTAAATAGGAGTGGTGAAAGTGGGCATCCTTGTCTTATTCTGGTTCTCAAAAGGAATGCTTCCAGCTTTTGCCTATTCAGTATGATGATGCTGTCTCTGGGTTCATTGCCCATTTTTCTGTTAGGATCTATGTCTTTTTTTTATTGATTGGCCAATGTTTCTTATTCTGTTACACATGGTACAGATATTTTCTTCTAGTTTGTCACTTTTTTGGTTTATGGCTTCTTTTGCCACAAAACATTTTGATGTTACTCTAGTCAATTGTGTCACTGTTTTCCTAGAGTCTTTTGCATTATGTGTTACAAAGTTAGTTCTTGTATCAATTAGGGTCCTATGAGGAAAGAGAAATCAAATAGTAACTGGAATAGGAAAAGTTGATTATTAACCACACCAGGGATTCCAGTAACAAGGTATTGGCTAGTAAGATGTGAAGACATCCTTAAAGAATATGAGAATAGCACCTATGGCTATAATAGATCATCCCCTTAAGCCTGTACCCTCCACATTCCTGCCTGCAGGGCTGAGATCCAGACTCTGTTAGAGCCTAGAGAAGTCGCTGTGGTGCTGTGCTTGCAGAATTTGCTGAAAATCTACCCTCCCAATTTGCAGGAGATCCATCCCCTTGGGTGCATGGGGAAGTATCTTGCTCAAGAGAATCTGCTACGAAACTGCCCCAGGGGTATGCTAGGGAATGTAATGGCCACTAGGTGCTGCTGGTTGCATGAATTGTAGGACCCTGATACTGGAGAAGCCACCTGGGATGCAGGAACCTAGAGCTAAGGCCACCAGTGCATGCTATAAGATCTTGCTAGGAAGAGCCACAGAAACCAGGAAGAAAAGCACCTTCAGCTTGCAATATCTCTTTAGCACACTCTACTGACAAAGTTTAACATGGTGCTACCTGGCAAAGGAAAAATATTTTAAAGGCCCAGCTCCATTTTCTGTGGAGCAACAGTGAAAGAGGAGCTGGAGATAATGGGCAATAAAGTGATAATTGGCACTGATAATCACTTTAGTAAACCTGGATTTTATTTTTGTGCGTGATTTGAGATAACCTTAAACAGTATTTTTTGTACAGATAAAATTGGAAACAATTTAAAGATCTGTCAATAAAGAAATGATTGAATAAACTATGGTACTTCTATACTGTAGATCACTATGCAGCAGTAATAGGGGCATATCTAGATATATGTACCAATATTGCAAGCTCTCTAAATCATATTGTTGAAGGAAAGTCGACATAAAATTTTAAACTACAAAACACTACTATATATTACAATATGTATACACACATGCACATACACACGATGTATTCAGAAGTAGGAGTCCTCATAAGATTACTTTATAAGAATCTTTTTATTAATATCCATGTGCAAACTAATATTTAGTATGCTAAAACACCTCATGTATCTTAACTGTGATAGAAAGATCTTCATGCAGTTTTTTTGCTCTGTTCTAGCTAACCTTTTAGTTATAGATGGCACAGAAATAAAGCTTATCTCAGGCCAAATAATTCAAACCTCAAATTAATAAAATTCTTTGCATTTGTAACTTCACATAATAAAAATCTGTGTGTGTTTTATTGTTATTTTAGGCAGAGGTTGAAAAGATAATTGCAGTTGCCTGGGACATTTTTCAGCCCCTTCTTTTTGGACTAATTGGAGCAGAGGTATCTATTGCATCTCTCAGACCAGAAACTGTAGGTAAGAATTTCAAAATGTGCTTTTGTTAAAATTCACTTTTTTTGGTCAGCCTACTCACCAATAAAGTCTACTTTTTATATTCATTGAAATATCTCCAGCAGGTATGTGTACAGTGGTTACTATTGTCACAATTATATAAAAAGTTAATTATGATGTAAGTTTTTTAGAGTAGTTGGTTAGAAAATAATGCTTGTTCATCTAAGATGGTATATTTTACACATTTAATATTGTTCCTTGTATATGAAAGTGACACTGCTGACCACTACCCAGAAAATTCAGGCCTTAACAATTCTTTTTCCAAGGGTAAGAATATTCATCTAGCCTTGTCCTGAACAAGAGCGAGAATTTTAAAGACAACTAGTTAGTTCTATAGTTTGTACCCATGGGATAGAAATGCCTTGTTGTTCATTAATTATTTTATTTATTCCTACATTCAAAAGCCATCATATTAAAACTCTGTTGATTCAAAACACTGCACTTAAAAATTAATTTGTATATATGTACTCATTATTTCCTTCTTTCCTTCCATCACAGTATTCTTCCATCCATACTAGGAATCCCATCTCCCGCTACTCCTTCTGAATCTTGCATATGGATTCTTTCCTTTTCTCATACATCTTAAATATCCATGTCGCAATTTTCTTCTCTTCAGAATTTAGTCTCCAATCTCTCTTATCTTAAAAAAAAATGCTTCTCTTCTGACACATGCTGCAACATGGATGAACCTTGAGAACATTATGCTAAGCGAAATAAGCCAGTCAGAAAAAGACTAACCCTGTATGATTCCACTTACATGAGGTATCCAGAGTAGTCAGACTCATAAATGGTACTTGCCAGGGGCTGGGAGTAAAGGGAAATTGTTGTTTAATGGGTATAGAGTTTAAATTCTGTGAGATGAAAAAATTCTGGAGATTGGTTGCATAATAGTGTGAATATACTTAATGATACTAACTATACACATAAAAATGGTTAAGATGGTAAATGTTATGTGTATTTTACTACAATTAAAATAATGTATATTAAAATAATATGTTAAAATTATATATATATAAAATTCCTCTATTTCACTTCCCCCCGTCTCTACCATGCTACCTCTCTTGTCTTCTTTTCGGACTTTTCAAAAGAGGTCACTACATTCCCCTTTCCACTTCAGTTCCCATTTCCTCCTTCTATACATTTTAGCCCAGCTTCTGCCTATCACACAACCTGCCAACCTCTCACACAACCTGCCAGCCTCTCACCAAGGTAATATTGCTAAATCCAGTCTTTGCTTTACTTGATCTGTCAGCAGCATTTGCTGCTTTTGACCCTCTAACACTCCTTTATATTAAGTTCTTAAACTTCCTATTTCCCAGTGCTGTTTGAGCCTTTCCTTACACCATATGTAGCTTAAATGCTGCCCTTTATCAAATTGCTTTCTAACTTTGTGCCTCTGGCTCTATATAACTTCTCTAACCTTATCTATACTAGTGACATCAACTATAAACTGTATAATTCCAAACTATTTATCTCTAAATCAATATATCCAATTGTTGATTGGACAGCACCACTTGTATGTCCTGTTAACGTTCAAACTCAACTAAAACTTCCTTCTCATCCTCTTCTCAAACTTTCAATGTTTCCTTCTGGGAATGATATCAACTCTTTATCTTGTACTTCAGGCTACAGATATTTTTGAATACTTTCCAACCTTGAAGAAATACCTTTCAACAAAGAACCACAAAACTTTCCCATAAAAAAGCCATATGGCAGATTTACAATAGATCCTCCCGCTATGTCTGTCTGATGTTTTACCCGCCCTTTGAATTTGAGAAAACTACTTATCCTTTCTGAGCTTCTGGTTTTTTCAACTATAAAATAATACTTACTCCACGGGTTGTAAGGACTAAGTAAAATAATACATTTAAAGCTTAGTACAGCATTTGGCACAGAGTAAACACTCAACAAATGTTACTTTTTAAAAAATCACCCTAATACTCAGGAGTCACCTTAGCTGTATCATTCTTAGGTCCAGTAGCATGTAGCAGCACTACTCACAATCCCTTGTTTGGCAAATGATGATGAACTTGTCTTTATCAGCAAAGAATTCTACAGGACTAAATGGAGTAGCTGTGTATGTTAACCAGGGATAATTGGGACCAGTACGACCAGTACACATCAGTATGGTGAAACAGTGGTAGACTGCCAGTGTCTATTCTGATTGGTCAGTGCCCAGCCAGCTCTGATTGGCTAATTCCCTCCATACTGGCTCATAAATATTTTAGCTATCACTTCTGGTCTTATACCCTGTAAAGAATTATTGACTTTTTGGGTTAAAATATTGTTTTTCCCTCTTTTATGCCCTTAGTTTGTTTATACCTCACTTACTGTATAGTCTATGAATTGGTTGTTTATGTGTCTTTCTCTGACTTTGAGGCAAAGTCTATACATTGTACATTTATGTGTACACAGTACTTAGTTTAAAGCTTATTACTTATCATTTAATCATATCATTTAATAAATTCTTCTTACACACATGAACAAGCATGGTTCTTGCTATAAAGCATAAGACATATATAACATTCAAATCTCTACATAAGAATTCAAATATGCTTAATTTCTGGTTTTAATCTACAGAAACACCTTATTTTAAACAAATAGCCTGATTGATCCTTAATATTGATTGTTTTTATATATTCTTCCTAAACATTTTTGTATTTGTAATTTTTAATGCTTTAAAAATTATTTCTGTTGATGGTTATTTTGAATTAGTAACCATGAGATGCAGTTTCTCTCCTAGTATTTTATTATTTCTAAAAATTGAATATTTCTTACAGGCCTTTGTGTTGCCACCGTAGGCATTGCAGTATTGATACGAATTTTGACTACATTTCTGATGGTGTGTTTTGCTGGTTTTAACTTAAAAGAAAAGATATTTATTTCTTTTGCATGGCTTCCAAAGGCCACAGTTCAGGTATGATGGATAGGATGGCTTAGCATTTTAACTGCTATTTCTGCATGACACCTTGAAATATTGAATAAGAGGGCTTGTTTAAATTTAGTGAAAATAAATAATTGAAGTGGATTTATGAAAAGAGTTTATCCTAATCTATTCTTTAAAACCTGTATTTTTGGTATATTCATTCCTTAAATGTGATAGCTCATTAAATTTCCTTAGATCACCAGGGTATAAGTAAAAATCCAGTAAATCCCTATTCTACTAGAAAGCAGTAGTAACAGGAGAGAAGAGTTTTCATCAGTCGGCACTCTGTAAGTCACCCAAGGAAAGAGTTCTTAACTCTTTTCATGTTAATAGCTTCCAAGAAGAGAGTAAAATAGAAATAACATGGTTCCCTTAATGTTTGGAGATATTTTAATGTTAATATGATTGATGATCAGTTGAGCTTGACCAGAGTCTTTGTATGTAATGGAGAAAAGATTTATTGAAAAACAACTCAGAAAGCACTTTATTGATTTCCTAGATTATTAGTTGGTATTAATTATTCAAAACTCACTGAACTTCCTGGCAAATGTCTCAATCACTTAACCGAAAATTTGTGCATTCTAATAAACGTGATAAATAAAGCTATTATAGATAGGTGCTTGAATTTGTTGACCATGCATTTGTTAGAATATCTATGATTGCTAATTAAGTTAGAACTGTATAGATTATGATTTGTTGCAAATGTGATGTATCTTTGGTTGTATATTTTCAGACTAATTACATCAAACAACATTTAACTGTTTTGCCCCAGATTATTTTATAATTAAATATTCCAATTTCTGTTATTAAGGAATTAAAATCAAGTGTTTTTCATTTAGGAGGCTTTGGGGGATGTGTATGCTCAGCAGTTATATTCCAGATTTCAATTATGCTCTTTGCATTTGGGCATTACTCCAGAATTCCCCTCACCCCTATCAGACTTTCAAAAATGTCTAAAACATAATGGCTAAGAGTTCTATAAAAAGGTCTCTGGACAGCAATGTGACCAGCCAAACTCCAGGAGTTCTATTATAGAAGGGAAAGGGGTCATTCATGTTTTTGTGAGCAACTAGTAGTTTCTGCCATTGTTTCTGATGCACATTTTTCTTTTTCATTGTCTTAGAGGCTTACATTGTTCTCTGTGGAATAAGGGATAACCAGATTAATTAATACATTTTTCCCATCTGCACTGATAATATTGCATTTTGCCTCTAAAAGAAACTGAGAATTTTCATAATGTTTTCCAACAGATGCATTCCAAATAAAACATTTCACCAAATTCTGTGGCAAGGAGTTGACCAAATACCTAATAAGATCAACTTCAAGTTGTCAAGGTGTCCACTATTTTCATGTTTCATGACGTTTGACAATGAGTTTAAGCTCTAAAGTAATATATATTTATTTAAAATTTAACAGTTTTCAGTAGGTATCACTGCATGTTTTTCATCTTATTTTTTAGTTCCACATTCCTAAAGATAAAAGGAGATGACCAGTAATTTCCATCTTTATTCAGGAAAAATTTAGTACATAGAACTTTATGTTATATTTAATTAATATTGTGATTCTGGATTTGCTTTGTGTTTTGAAATGTATTTTACTGATATTTATGTAACCCTACCTTACACAGATAAGTACAAATGAGTCATCAGTATGTTCCCATGCAAGGGCAGAGTTTTTAGATCATCAGAACCAGCTGGGCTGGGCACAGTGACTTACACCTGTAATCCCAGCACTTGGGAGGCTAAGGAGGGAGGATCACTTGAGGCCAGGAGTTCAAGACCAGTCTGGGCAACACAGCGAGACCCTGTCTCTAAAAAAGTAAAAAAACAAAACAAAACAAAACCTGCAATACACTTTGAAAGAATACTAAAACAACTTTCTTTTTTTTTATTTTATTATTATTATACTTTAAGTTTTAGGGTACATGTGCACAACGTGCAGGTTTGTTATATATGTATACATGTGCCATGTTGGTGTGCTGCACCCATTAACTCGTCATTTAGCATTAGGTATATCTCCTGATGCTTACAACTTTCTTAGTTGAGCAAAAGAACAAGCAATTTGCTTTTGCAAACAATAAAAAACTCACTTTTTTTATATGTGCTTATCTTATCATGATTCCATTTTTACCCTTAAACTTTTATAGGCTGCAATAGGATCTGTGGCTTTGGACACAGCAAGGTCACATGGAGAGAAACAATTAGAAGACTATGGAATGGATGTGTTGACAGTGGCATTTTTGTCCATCCTCATCACAGCCCCAATTGGAAGTCTGCTTATTGGTTTACTGGGCCCCAGGCTTCTGCAGAAAGTTGAACATCAAAATAAAGATGAAGAAGTTCAAGGAGAGACTTCTGTGCAAGTTTAGAGGTGAAAAGAGAGAGTGCTGAACATAATGTTTAGAAAGCTGCTACTTTTTTCAAGATGCATATTGAAATATGTAATGTTTAAGCTTAAAATGTAATAGAACCAAAAGTGTAGCTGTTTCTTTAAACAGCATTTTTAGCCCTTGCTCTTTCCATGTGGGTGGTAATGATCTATATCACCAACCTTAATCTCTCTGCCTTTTTTTTCAAACACCCCTTCATCATCCATCTTAATTTGCATAAGGACATATCTACTTTAATGTACTACCACAGTTTACAGTTAATGTGGGAAAGACCAGCTTCAGTATCCTCTTCAGCTAGGATTGCCCTAACTTTTAACTTTCACAGTTTCCTGATTCATATTTGCCCAGGCTCTGATGCCTTGAATTGGTTTTGGCTCTCTTTTTTGGATCTGTTTTTGTTGTTAAACATCATAATGCAGTCTCTCATTAATTTTTACCATCATTTACCCTGATAATCTGCCTCTTCTCCATTTCTCCTTCCCTTACTACCTTTCTTTGAATTACTGTAACTGATTGGTCCCACCAAAATTTTAAAGTACATGAAGTATCTTCATTGGTTCATCCTCTTGCCCCCTCCAGATGTCAAAAAACTTTATCCTGCCCCCTAGCTGACCACCCAGGTTCCTTTATTTCAGTGGCCCATGTGAGTCTACCTTCCCCTAAGGAGTGCCCTAATCCAGCCCTTTTTTTGTTTCTTATGACCCATATCTTTAGGCTCTTCCCATTTCTAGGTGGGAGATAGGTAAGTTTCAAATCTATGCCAGTCTTATGAATATTACATTAGGGTAATGTGCTATAATGAAGAAATAAAAAATACAGTGCTTAAAAGAAAATAAAATTCTATTTCTGTCTAATGAAACTGGCTGGTTCGTTAATACCAACAGGGTTACTCTGCTTATGAGGTCTGCTCAGAGTCCCATGTCTTTCTGTCCTGAAGCTCTGCCATTCCCTAGCTTAGGACATGGCTTAACCTATTTATGCCAGAGGTTGCAAAAATTTTTTGTGAAAAATCAGACCTTGGCAATGACCTTGAGCAGTGGGATATAAATAACTCCCACAGGCTTAGCATTCTAATAATGGAACACTAGGCATAAATGGGTTAAAAATGGATCTCTACCATATCTCCATTCTATCTCTCAAGGAAAATGCAAGTATAGCAATTTATTTTTGAGGAAGTGATGTGGAAGTTGGACACATCTCTTTTCCTACATTTATTGGTATTGATCATATCCGGCTGTGAGGCAGCTAAGTGTTGTCTCTAGCTAAGCATTCACACTCCTAGGAGGAACGGAACATCAGATTTTCGGGGCCAGAGCTTCCACTGTGTTGGATGTTACCATCATTCAGTAGCATATTCTTACATGCAAACAAAAGCTTTTGAAAGACATTGCCTTAAACCAAAAGAGTGACTTCTATGGCAGGGATTTCAGAAATTGTGACTTGCCAGCAGAGAAAATATTAGAAGAAAGACTTACCTGCATAGGTCATATTTTATCCTACTTTGTAACAGGCCATCTCTGCTTTTGTGTATCACTCATAAGTTCCTCTTCACTCTAGGTCATCTTCTGTGTAGTTACTGAAATAATCACATTCACATACAGTTTACAGTTTTTATCATGTTATCTGTGTACCTGAAGTGTTTATTACATACTTGTCATATCCTATCTAAACTCCTCGACCTAGAATTCAAAGTTCATTTTAATCTTGAAGTAGATATTAAATATGTATTAGATGAATGAATTATGAATATCCTAATCCCACCAAGCTGATCTGCATAAATAAAGCCTGTCCATTCCTCTCTTCATTAGACTTCTGTTCGAGCCCTATCCACCATGGCTTTCACCTCTATTCAAAACTAGTTTAATATTCACTTCTTCTAAATAGCCTTCAATTTTATGTCAACTTTGCTTTGGTTACCCTATGGTGCTGTATTCCTTTAATGTTTATGCTCTTGATTTGGACTTGATTAATTTATACCAAAGGTCAGATAAGTGTTTTGAACTGAACTTCATTGGTTAGGTGCACTTTGCTGGGAGCACCATAAACTTAATGATCATCTGGTCCTCTATTTTTGCAGGCTCTAAAAGTAGATGCATCCAAAAAATACTTACTGAAAGCTTTTGAGATCCAGGCACATCATCAAGAATAATATTGTCCCTGTCCTTAAGGATTTAACAGTCCAATAGAGAAAACAGACAGTTAAACAAGACATTGCAAAACAATATGATAAGTGCTATTATGCAGGAACTACAGGGCTGCTAGGGAGCTCATGGCAGGAGCACTCAATCAATCCAAGGGTGGTGGAGTTTAGGCACAGCTTCCCAGAGAAAGTAGGGCATTGGCTGAGGGAAGATTAGGACTTAGCCAGCAAAAGGGATGTAAGACCAAAAAGTGTTACACTTCATGCTGTTTCCCAGGTCATCAGTGGCATTTTCTCCAAGTAACAGGCTTGGAATATTTATTAACTTATACATAATACAGTTAGTATAACTAAATCAGAATGCTATTGAATATGTTTAGGGCCCCTAGGAAAATTAGAAATGGAAGTCCACAGAGTACAGAAATGATTGAAGGGCACCTGAAGCCACTGCCAATACCTGTTTTCATTTTGAGGTCATGCAGCAAACTCTTTTCTACCTCTAAGAGGGTAGCCACCATCTAAATCTCTGTGACTGCCCAGTGCTGGCTTTTTGACTTCCTCTATTGGATCTCTGAAATTTGTGCCTATTCCTGGAAGCTCTTTGTAGGAATTTATTAATTGCTATAAGACTATGTTGCTGTTATATATCATGGAGATGGTGAGGTCAAGAATGACAGAGGCTGACCATTCAGCAGGGCTCACCATGTGAAGGCCGGGGTTTGTCACCACATTGAAAGCCACATCTCTTGACTTGGTTGGTGAACTTAGGGTTAACCTGATAGAGTACTGACCAACTCAACCTATCCCCTCTTAAACCACAGATAGAAACAATTACTCTAACTTTTGGGTCCCTTATACATACTTATGTCAGAGCACATGTAACACTTTTTTTCACTTTATTTACATGTTTGTCTCTTATTAAATCAGCTCCCTATGGGTAGGAACCTTGTCTTAATTATCCTTGAATCCTCAGCATTTTTCACAGGGCATGGAACACAGTAGACATTTAATAAACATTTACTGACTAAATCTGAGAGGAAGAGGATCCTCTCTCAATATCAGAAAACTACTTGCCACACGACAGTTCGGATCTTAGTCCACTTAGTCTATCTTAGTCAGCTTGGGCTGCTATAACAAAATACCATACACTGGGTGGCTTACACAACAGAAACTTACTTCTATTAAAGGTTGGAAGTTCGAGATCAGGATGCCAGCATTGTTGGGCTCTGGTGAAGTCTCTCTCCCTGGCTTGCCAATGGCCACATTCTCACCCTCTCACTCATGTGTCATCACTTGATGCCGAGAGAGAGCAAGCAAGCTCTCTGGTGTCTCTTCTTATAAGGGTACTCTAATCACAGCATGAGGGCCCTACCCTCATGACCTCATCCAAATCTAATTGCCTTCCCAAATCCTCATATCTAAATACATCACATTGGAAGTTAAGGCTTCAACATATGAATGTGTGGGGAAGGACATAATTCAGTCCCTGAAAGAAGTGTCATATTTCCAAGGACAGTATATTTCTGTCTGGTATTAACTCCCAATCACCTTGATTGATCTTGATGTCCTCAAAATTTCCTCAGGTAAACATTTGCAAATGATCTCATCCACTACATTCTTTAAAAATAGTATTTTTTTCTGATTATAAAGTAACACATTTTCATTGCAAAAAATTTAGAACACAGAAAAATACAAACAAGAAAACTGAAACTAATATAAACATGTATTTTATTTTTCTTTAAAATTGTACTGCAGTTTTGGGGGATGTATTATTTTCAGAAAGATATATCATCAACTGAATTTGTTGGGTGAAAGGCAACATAAGTATTTCATATTTGGCTTTTATGATGCTATGTAGATTGAAGAATTTTTTTGTATATAATGAATGCTAAGCCTTCATGTTTATATTCAGATATTCATTTTGCAATGAATAAAACAGACAAATCCCTGCCTTCATGGAGCTTGTTTTAAAATCCATTTACTCCCTCACTCAGAATATATTATAACATGCCTACTGTGTGCCAGGTCTTGTGCTAGATACTAGGGAATACAGTGATGAACAAGATATTCAAGGGCTTGGTTTTCAATAGAACTTGATTCTAGTGGAAAATTGACAATGTGAGGAATACAAATATGAATAAGACATGATACTTGCCTTTAAGAACCTTAGAAGGAAATAAGATATGTACAAATAGCTATAATCCAAGTGAATAATTCAAAAGTGTTTTTAGTGTAGAAGTTGAGGAAATCTTAGAGGAACTGATACTTGAACTAGACCTTCAAGAATGGAGAGGATCTGGATGGATGGGGTAATATTAGGGAGTAAGGTGAAGATGGGAACAACTAGTGTGGGAGGCTGGCATATTAGCAAAGTTTTGAAAACAGTAAAGCCTGGAGCATAGAAAGTGATTGGCACTTGAGATTGATGAAGAGAATTAGAGATAAGACTAGAAAAGAAAGTTGGCACTGAAATCATACTAAATAGATCATTGGCTAAATATTTTTATTGAAGTACTTTCAGAAGTATGAAACTATGTAGAAAGTGTTAAAACTTTTTTTATCATGTCATGTATAGTTTTAAAAAATTGCTCTCAGTTAAGATTCTCCTTATTCCTCAAAAGCTTTTGCTTTCCATGACTTTGTTGCAAATATAATCAATTTACTTATTTTTAAAACTTAATTTTTATAAGAAAGGTTATCAGATGATTGTTTAAATGTTTTTTATTAGTAAATTTTCATTATATTGTCTCCCAAAGAACCACTGTATTTTTTTAATGTCTCAGAACATTATATTTTTATATGAATCATTTATGTACCTCTCTGTAACAAGTGGGAATTGCTTCATGGCATTTGGGGAGTACGTAATATTATATTTATAGTTGACTGACTCAAATCCAGCCTGAGCCCTCTGGCCTGGTGAGAATTCCAAAACTCCATTTGTTGATGTGCGCTCCATCTTCCTTACATGGACCCTAAAGCACTTACCTCTCCAGGAGCCCATTCCTTCTAGAGCATAAGAGTAGTGCCTTGGAGGCAAACAGACTCCTAGCAAAGGTCTTCCTTCCCAGGTTTACCATTTGTCCCAACTCCCATTATCTTTAGGGATCTACCTGCTTTTCCTGTGAGTACAAAACATTTCCTTTTCATGAGTACAAAACATTTCCTTAACCCTATAATCATGAAACCCTGTCTACTCTCCTGAAACGAGGAAGAAAAATAAATCCTTGCTGAGATGTCTATAACACGTTGAAGGAGGGAAGGTGTTAAAAACAATAAAAAGGGCAGGGCTGTGGTGGCTCACGCTTGTAATCCCAGTACTGTGGGAAGCCAAGACGGGCAGATCACTTAAGTCCAGGAGTTCAAGTCCTCCTGGGCAATATGTGAAACTCCTCTCTACTAAAAATACAAAAATTAGCCGGGGGTAGTGGTGCCCACCTGTAGTCCCAGCTACTCAGGAGGCAGGAGGATCGCTTGAACCAAGGAGGAGGAGGCTGCAGGGAGCCTAGATCGCACTGCACTCCAGCCGGGGTAATAGAGTGAGACCCTGTCTCAACAACGTCAACAAAACCAATAAAAAGATAATTTCGTATTTAAGTTACCCAAGAAGGAACGGTAATTTGGATCAGATCTTAGATGATGACTAAGAAAAAGAACACTCCGGTAGAGGAATTAACTTTACAGAACGCACTGAGGCAAAAAGGAATACAGTGTTCAAGAGTAAACATTGAGTGTCAGGAGAAACATTAGATAGGAAAGGGCAGTTTGTCTTTCTAAGAAGTTTACACTTTCTCCAATAACAGTTGTTTTTGTCTTTTATAGGAAGCGCGGATTCTATTACTGGAAACTTTGGGACTGAAAGGCCAAAGCTTCTGGGCCCACCATCAACGCAGCTCCGCTTTCATTTCTTTCACATACAACTTTCCACATAAGATTTCATGCGGAAAAAAAAAAAAAACTCACAAAGGTTTTATACTGATAACAGTATATTAAGTGTTTACTTTGTACACAGCGTCTTTGTTCCAGACACTTGCCATGTCTCATTTATTCTCACACCACCACCACAGCGTCCTTTACAGATGAGAAGACAACCTCAGGGAGACGATGTATTTGCCTAGGTCCCATAGCTAGCAAGTGACAGCGCTGCAGTTTAAGCTCAGGCCGTCTTGGGGAGAGACCGTGCTCTTCTACCATTGCACTTTAAGCTGACTTTAGGGGAAACACAATCTGAGTTTTGACAAGTTTACTTCTGGCACATGCAGTCCCGAGCACTGCTTTTTGGCTAAAATGCCCAGTGATGTCAACTCTGTCCCTGGATTTCTACAACCCGATGAGTCAATATTCAGAAGAGACGTCGAAAGGAAAGGGTTCAATAGACAGAAAACACACCAGACAGTCCCAGAAACCCCAGAACCCTCGCCTCTGCCGGCGCGGACAGCCAAGACGTCACTTAAACGCGCTGCCGCCTCCTCGCCCCGCCCCGCCCCTGCGCGGAAGTCTATCCGGGCTTTCGCGTCACCACCCTGCCCACCTGGGTGGCGCGTGGCTTACGCAACGGTCACTGGGCTCCTGGGCCGCTCCCGGGCCAGCGAGGGCTGCGAAAGAAGTTGTAGGTACGGCCCATTTTTCTTAACGCCGCCCTTCCAAGCCCTTTGGCGCTAGTCCCGGGTCTGCCGCGATCGTTTCCTTGCGGTAGGCCGCAGGAGGGCCTTTCCTCCCCCTCAGTTCAATGGGATTCTTGGGCTCTTCTCCCAGACGCTGAGGGAACAGCCACAGACATTGTCTCTCCTCTCCGTGACTCCTTTCCTTACTCCGTCATCCCACATCTCTCTTGTTTGTTCTCTTTTCCTCCTGTTTTTCTTATTTTACAAATACTCGCCAGTAAGAAAGAAGAGATCTGTCAGTTAAGATTGACCTCAAAATTAATTTTATTAAGCGTGTACTATTTTACAAACGGTGGATCCCTGCAAATAAACCTTCACATACATGCTCCTGCGACTGGAGATTCTGGGATTGGTTGCCGATCCTGAGAAAGCTCTCTTCCCCCACCCACCCACATCCACGCCCCTTAATCCTGTTTACTCCTCTTGGCTTTAACCCAGGGGACAAGCACTTCCAGCAGTCCCCAACCTTTTTGGCACCAGGGATCAGTTTCATGGAAGACAGTTTGGGGTGGGGGGCAAGATGGGATGACACTCTTCTATCTCAGATCATCAGGCATTAGATTCTCTTGAGAAGGCGCAATTTAGATCCCTCACATGCGCAGTTCATAATCAGGTCTGTGCTCCTATGAGAATCTAATGCCTTTGCTCATCTGACAGGAGCTGGAGCTCAGGCATAATCCTCTAGCCCTGCTCACCTGCTGTGTGGCCTGTTCCTAATAGGCCACAAACCTGTACCTGTCTGCTGCCCAGGGGTTGGGGATCCCTGCTTTAGACCAGTGCTTTTGAAGGAAAAAGGAAAGTTGCACACATACTGTGTCTGTCACATCAATCAGTAGTGTTACAAGAGCTCTTCACGGGACCATACCAGGTCCCTCACTCCCCCTCTATGGGTGTCCTAGAGCCTGTGAAATAACAGATTTGGTGATGTGGGGAGACAACTGGCCCAGGTGGCACTGAGGGAGGCCACACCCCACTCTCTGATTTTCCTTAGAGATAAATATAATTATGTGTGCAACAGAAGCATGAAAAATGACACTTATTATTGTCACCCCTAGAGAATTCATGCCCCAAATATTTTAGTCACTGTGTGCCTATGAAAAGGGCATTCATAGGTATTGTCCCCTGTGAGTACCAGAATTTTTTTTAACTTACTTTTTAAAATTCTATACAGATTTAGTTAGTACAAGTTCAGTTTTGTTGTGTGGATATATTGCACAGTGGTGAAGTCTGGGCTTTTAGAGTACCAGAATTTATACTGCTGTTTTTCAGTTGGCTCTTGTCATAAGGTCCTGCCAATTACTAGACACAAGGAAATAGGTGGGTGCTATAGTTGTAACATATAAAGTATCGTTTTTATAGTACTTCTCATTTTGTACTTATTTTTGTACTCATCCTGTTTAAACACTTCTGTTGGTTAACCAAATCCCATGTTACTGTGGTGTTTACTAAACACTGAGATTGAATAGTACCTGGAACATAGTGTAATATATGTTCAATAAATATTTTTTGAGGGAATGAATGGATGAGCTTCTGAAGAAGCCATACCTTAGCCACTTTTGTTTTTCCTGGATCCAGAGCTTAGTCTAGCAGTAGTAAACTCACCAGTGTGAGTTAAGTAGAGAAGTCAAGTGACTTGCTTAGGGAAAGGCATTCATTAAGTATTTTTTAAAGAATATCCTACTTTGTCAGGCGTTGTTTTAGGCATTGTGAATACAATGGTAAGAAAGACTAGCAAGATCGCTGTTCTTATGAAGTTTAAATTCTAGTGAGTGTAAGATAGAAAATAGGTAAACTATATGAGCAAGGAATTTTGGATAATAGTAAGCACAGTGAAGAAGTAAAACTGTAAAGGTCTTCCTTAAGACTGGGGGAGGGGTTAGTTTAGATTGATTGCTTAGTGATATTTTTAAAAACCAACCATGGAAATATTTGGGATCAGCGCACTACAGGTAAAGGCAACTCCAATTGCAAGAGCCCTAAGGAAGGAAAGAACTTGGCTCCTTCCAGGAACATCATCAAGACCACTGAAGCTAAAATGTAGAGAAAGTGGTACAGGATGAGCTTGGAGGGATAGGTAGGGGCCAAATCATGTAAGGCTTTGAATAGGCCATGGAAATCTACCCATGGAATAAGTTTGGAATTTATTTAAAGTGTAAAGAGAAACCAGTAGTGAGTTGGAGGGAGTGATAGGATCTGATTTACATTGTAAAAAGGTTTGTTCTGCCTATTATGTGATGACTGAATCATACTGGGTGGGGAGCAAGATCTATAGCAGAAGATAATTGCAGAAATCCAAAGAGGAATGACAAGTTTGGGATAAAATAGCAGAGAAGTAGATGTATGTGAGCTCTATTTTGGGGGCAGAGCCTACAGATTTTGTGATGTTTTGAATATAGAGGTGATGAAAAAGGAGTCACCTCTAGCCCCTAAATTTTTGTCTTGAGCTTGTGTGGATGATTGTGCCATTTACCAAATGGAAAAGACTAAGGAAGAAAAAGGAGCAGCCAGGGCGGTGGGAGGGGGGAGTTTTATTTTGCTTACCTTAATTTTTACATTCTTATTAGAAATCAAAGGTAATTTGAGGCTTCAGCTCTGTGCAGAGTGCAAGGAACCAAAGATGCAAAGTTGGGAGTCACCAGCATATGGAAAACTACCTAGGGCAAGTGTGCTCACCGATAACATTGCAGTGACTAGTGTAAAGCAGAGGAAAAGAAGCCAACAAAAGAGATGGAAGAATAGCCAATGAAGTAGGAAGAAAATCTGAAGAGTGCAGTGACATAAAAGCCGAGACTGGCCGGGCATGGTGGCTCATGCCTGTAATCCCAGTACTTTGGGAGGCTAAGGTGGGTGGATCACCTGAGGACGGGAGTTCCAGACCAGCCTGACCAACATGGAGAAACCCCATCTCAATTAAAAAAAAAAAAAAAAAAAGCCAAGACTACAAAACATGGCCAACAGTACTGAATCATGCTTAGAAGTCAAATAAAATAAAGAGATCTGTGCATTGGGTTTTGGAAACATTAAGTAGTTATATGCCTTGACTAGTACAATAAAGAGAAAATGTGGTGTCAAGAAATTGACATAGTACTGCTGGCTGGGCAGAAATTGACGTAGTACTATAGACATCTCAAGATGTTTTACTATGAAAGAGAGCCAAGAAATGGAGGTAATAGAGAAATATGTATGGTCAAAGAAGGGTTCTTAAAGATAAGGACACTTAAGCATATTTAGACTGAGAATAATCCAATAGAGGGGGGTGGAAATGATGGTATAAGAGAGAGTGTGTATATTTTAGGAGTGAAGTCTTTGAGAAAATGAGAGGGTATGGAATCCAGGGAATATATAGAAGTATTGGCCTTAGGTAGGAACATGAACATATAAACATATACTTTCCTTTTTTTTTTTTTTTTTTTGAGACAGAGTTTGGCTCTTGTTGTCCAGGCTACAGTGCAATGGAGCAATCTCAGCTCACTGCAACCTCTGCCTCCCGGGTTCAAGCGATTCTCCTGCCTCAGCTTCCTGAGTAGCTGGGATTACAGGCGCACACCAACACACCATGCCTGGCTAATTTTTTGTATTTTTGGTAGAGATAGGGTTTTACCATGGCCAGGCTGGTCTTGAACTCCTGACCTCAGGTGATTCACCTGCCTCGGCCTCCCACAGTGCTGGGATTACAGGTGTGAGCCACCGCACCCAACCACATGAACGTATAATTTCTGGTAAGAAGAAAGACAGCAAGTATGGGTAGAGATGCAGATAGATGGGTAGATTCAGTGGTCAGAGGTGAGACCTTCGGCCTGATACTGATACTTTTTCTCAATGAAGATAAGGTATGACGCAAGATTAGTAAAGAGTGAGGAGGAATATTTGGGTAGGAGGTTTAAGGGGAGAAGATAAGATACAAAATAGTCATTTGGAGGATGGAAAGCAATCAGAATAATAGCACAGCTGGGCAAAGTTGAGTGGCCATTTGAGATTTGTGGCCCTGTGAGTGAGTGGCTGAGATACAGTGAAAGAAAAAGACAATAGGAGCTAAGGAGATCAAGGAACTGAAAGACTAGAGTGTTGGGTGGGTAGACCACCTGGGTATTAGTGGTTGAATTAGTAGCTAAATTAGTATTTGAGCCCAGATATCTTGACTTTCTAGGTCAATGGGTTACCATTTTACTGTGAAACAGTTCACAGCATTACTCTTTTGTGCCACCTACCTACCCTTCTGGTCAACATTAAAAAAAATTGTGGCCTGATTTTTTTTTTTTTTTTTTTGGTCCATACATTCAAATTATAAACTGTCATAGGCTGGTACTTTTGTCTTGTCCCTTTCATACATTAATGTATACTTATTCAATTTTGGGCTTGTTTTTCTTTGTGATTTTTAACCATTTCCATCAATATGTGTTTATTAAAGTACAAAAGATTATCTCTTGGATGGTAAAGGGAAGATGAAGAATGAACTTTGAAAATCTTGTAGCCTTACAGAGCTGGGATAACCAGTCATAAGGAGACTTGATCTGCATTGACTTTAATAACAATAATAATAATAGACATCATTTTGGATAACCTCTTACATTTTATGCTTTTATTTTCTCTTTATCTCATTTCATTCTCCTAATGGCCTTTTTCAGATGAGGAAATTGAGACTCAGAGAGGTTAAGGGTCTTGACGAAGGACATATACCTAGTAAGTGGCAGAATTATTAATCACAGTGTTCTGACTCTAAGTCCCATATTTTCCACTATATTAGTTTGTCTCTTTGCTTTTTACACTCTATTGTATGCAAAGTGATATCAAAGAAAAAGTTGCTGGGTAGAAAGTATTGGCTGGCTGGTGGCCTCTTACAATGCAAAGAATATTTAGTATGTATTTAAAATCCAATAATTGATGGTATAAAATATTTATCTACTATATACTATGTTAGGCAATTCAAATAACTCAGAAATGATTATGAAACTGTCTCTGGTTTAATTTAGTAGGGAAATAGATGGGAACACAAGTCACTAAAAAGCATTTCTTGGACTTCTCTCACATCCTAAACGTGCTTCTACAATACTCTATATTTACCACATTCTGTATACAGAGGAGAATACAGTATCTGTAATATAATGGGCTCTCAATGAATATTTGTCAAATTTAAAAATGATGACAGTTAAACAAGGATTAAAATAGTGGGGTGGATGCTGTGATAAGCATTGGATGCCATGATAAGGATGCATGTTGAAGGTAGCGTCAGGAAATCTTCTGGAAGAAATGACTTCTAAATTGATGAAGCGTTAGCTGGATGAAAAGCAAGAGTGTTGGTGTTGGAAGGCAGCGTACAGAATGCATAAAGTTTTGGAGATGTGAGACATGGCAAGTTTGAAGAACAAAAATTTAGTATGGCTAAAGTTTAGAGTGTCAAGTGATGAATGAGAAGGTAGGCAGGGTCAAGGTTAGAGCCTTATTCAAAGGACCCTATAAGCTGAATGTAAGGAGTTTTAACATTTTTCTTCTATGGGAAGTCATTGAGGAATATTAAGAAGGTTGTTGCCATAATCAAGCTTACATTTAAGAATATTGTTCTGCATTGTGAAAATTACATTGAGGAGGAACAAGACTGGATGTGGGGAAAAGTTGGAAAGCCATTACGGTGTTTAGGTGGGGAAATGCTTATGGCCTGGACTGGACTAGTGACAATTTATCTGGAAAGAAATGAATAAAATTTTTAAACATTCAGTAACTTGTCTTAACATGATTTAGTAATTCACTTGATTTTAGCAGATAAAGAAAAGCAGCGAGAAAGAATGACTTCTCAGTTTCTGTTTTGAGCAACTAGGTCGATGGTGGCTTCATTCTCTGAGATAGGAAATTATCCAGAGAAGGAATAACTTTGGTGGGGAAAGATCTTGAGTTTGTGCATATACTAACTTAAGATGCTTGTAAGACAAGTAGAGATATTCAATAAGTAATTAGATATACTAAATAGAATCTTGAGAGCTTTTCTAGTTCAAATTCCTCAGCATATTAGTTAGAATTGTAGCCATAATAGTAGAATAGATGTTGAGAAATGTATATAGAGTGAGAAGAGAATAGGGCATAGAGAAGAATTCTGAGGAAGCCCAATATTTAAAGGATGAATAGGGGAAAGAAACCACTAACAAAGACAAAGAAAGGACACCAGAGAGGTAAGGATGGTAGAGCAAATAACAAAATGATGTGAGAATTCAAAAGGGGAAAAACACATCCAGTTTATGTAGTGTGCATTGCAGGAAGCTTTATTTAGAATAATCAATGGATATTTACAAAGAGGTTCAGTGGGAAGATGTTCCAACCAAATAAAGGCATGGAGTGCAGTTAACAGTTTGACTGAAATGTTGGGTCAAAAGAAAGAACCAGAAAGAAAGCTGGTGAGACAGTTTGATTCCATGTATAGCAAACCTTGGATTCTGGGTAAGTTTTTGGTAGCTTTGTCTATAGTTGAGAAAAACCATTGTGTTTGGTGCTAAGAGAAAGAAAAGAATATAAAACATGCCTGGAATGGTTTATGCTATGGTTTGACTGTTTATGTCTCTTCCAAAATTCATGCTGAAACTTAATCTCCAATGCAACAATATTAAGAGGTGAGGCCTTTAGGAAATGGTTAGGTCATGAGGGATCTGCCCTCATGAATGTATTATAAAAGTCCTTACAAGAGGCCTGGGGACAGCTAGCTAGGACTTTTTTGCCTTTACATGCCTTCCACCATGTGAGGACACAATGTTCATTCCCTTCAGAGAATACAATGTTCAAGGCACCCTTTTGGAAGCAGAGACCTCACCAGACACTGAACCTGACTGAACCTTAATCTTGGATTTCCCAGCCTCCAGAATTGTGAGAAAGTAGGTTTCTGTTATTTATAGATTACTCAGTCTCAAGTATTTTGGCATAGCAGCAGGAATGGGCTAAGAAATTGTTACTAAGAAGTGGAGTGTTCCTATAACAAATGCCTATTATTGTAAAAGCAGCTTTGTAGCTAGTAGTGAATAAAAGCTAGAACAGTTGTGAAGTGCCTCCTAGAAAAAGTCTAGATTACCATGAACAGAGCATTAAGGGCAATTCTGATGAAGGTTCAGAAGACGAGGAGAGCTGTATAAAGAGCCTTCATGTTCTTAGAGATTATCTAAGTTAATCATGATCAGAAGGCTGGTAGAAATGTGGAGAGTAAAGACCATTCTGATGAGTTCTTCAGTGGAAATAAAGAATGTCTTACTAGAAACTGGAGGAAAGGTCATCCTTGTTATAAAGTAGCAAAGAACTTGGCTGAATTCCACCTGTGTCCTAATGCTTTGTGAAAGGCAGAACCTGTGAGCAATGAAATAGGATATTTAGGGGAAGAAATACCTAAACAAAATGCTGAGGGTGCTACATGCTTCTCTTGACTGTTTATGATACTGGACAAAAAGAGAAAAATTAATTCAAGATGGAATTTATAATCAAAAAGGAAGCAGAACTTAAAGAATTGGAAATTTTTCAGCCTAACCAGGTTGTAAAGACTGAGTTCAGGAGAGAATACCAAGAATATGGCCAAGTGCATGTTTGATAAGCAGATTAGTATGGATGGAAGGAAGCCAGATGTTATTCATCAAGTCAGTGGAGGAGTGGCCCTGAAGGTATTTCAGAGATCTTTGAGGCTACCACTCTTATCACAGGCTCAGAGTGCCAGGGCCTTCAGGGCAGAACAGTTTCAAGGGAGGGGCCCAGGGTGTCCATGGGAACTCAGGGCTTGCTGCCTAGGGCCACGTCAACTTTCTGCTCCACACATGTGGCTCAGCATTCCTTAGCCACACCAGCTGTGGCTCAAGCAGGCCCAGGTGCAGTGTCAGAGAGTATAAACAGTAAACCTTGGTGGTGCCCATGTGGTGCTAAGTCTGTAGTCATGGCTATCTCCGCATAGATTTCAAAGGAGGTCACAGAGAACCTTGGGGCCCAGGCACAGAACTGCCAGAGGTGTGAGGTCAGCACAGAGAGTCACCACTAGGGCAGTGCCTACAAGAGCTGTGGAGTCAGGGATACCGCAGAGAGCCCCCATAAGAGCAATGCCTAGTGGAGCTATGGGGGCAGAGCCACCACCAAGACTGTAGGCCACTAGAGATACCAGTGTGCAATTCCTGCCTGGGAGAGCGACAGGCATGTGATGCCAACATGTGAGAACTGGTGCATGGTCTGCTCCCCCTAAAGCCATGCAGGCAAGGCTCCCAGGAGACATGGGGGCTCAACCCCTTCCCCATTGTATGCAGAAGGCAGGACATGGAGTCAAAGAAGATTATTCTCAAGTCTCAAGATTTAATGTTGTTTGCCTTGCTGGGTTTGGGACTTACTTGGAACTTATTACCCCTTTCTCCTTTTCTATTTCCTCCCTTTTGAAAAGGGAATATCTATCTTTCCTCTGTCTGTCCCACTATTGTATTTTAGAATGATATAACTTGCTTGATATCATAGGCTTACAGCTGGAGAGCAATTTGCCTCAGGATGAATCAAACCTTGAGTCTCACCCATATCTGATTTAGATGAGACTCTGGACTCTGGACTTTTGAGTTGGTATCGGAAACAGTTAAGACTTTTGGAGCTACTGGGATGGAACAAGTGTGTTTTATATGTGAGAAAGACATGAATTTGTTGTGGGGGAAGGGGCAAAATGCTATGGTTTGAATGTTTGTGTCCCTCCAATTTCATGTTGAAACTTAATCCCCAATGCAACAGTATTAAGAGCTGGGGCCTTTAGGAGGTGACTAGGTCATGAGGGCTCTGCCCTCATAAATGGATTAATGCCCTTATAAAATAAGTGGAGGGAGCTAGCTAGCCCCTTTTCGCCCTTCTGTCTCTTCCAACATGTAAAGATACAGCATTTATTTCCTCCAGAAGATGCAGCATTCAAGGCACCATTTTGGAAGCAGAGATCTGAGCTTTTACCAGATGCCAAATCTGTCAGCACTTTGATCTTGGATTTTCCAGCCTCCAGAACTGTGACAAAATAAATTTTTGTTATTTATAAATTACCCAATCTTGAGGATTTTGTTAAAGCAACACAAATAGACTAAGACACTACTATGGTTTGAATGTTTGTCCCCTCCAAAACTCATGTTGATTGTAACAGTATCAAGAGGTGGGACCTTTAAGAGGTTATTAGGCCTTGAGGGCTGTGCCCACATGGGTGAGGTTAATTTCATTATAAAAGGACAAGTTCTGCCACCCATTTGCGTCCCTTACCCTTATACCTTCTGCCATGTGAGGAGGACATAGACTCCCTCCCCTCCAGAGAATGGAACAAGAAGGCCCTCTCAAGATGCTGGGGTGCCTTGATCTTGAACTTCTCAGCCTCCAGAACTATGAGAAAGAAATTTTTTTCATTATAAATTATCCAATCTGTGGTATTCTGTTACAGCATACAAAATGACCTAAGACAGACACCGTGTCACTTTATTGTGGCAACAAGATCTAGGCACCCGAAAACGGTTTAAAATCAAGGTACTATCTGACTAATGAGATCAAATCCTAAATACTATTAGGAATTTTAACAATGACAGTCAATTTGAATTATAGTAGTAGAAGTTTAGCCCAGATTTGTATTGTCCTGATTAAATAATAATACTAGGTAGTCATTATCTTAAAAAAAATACTGACCTAGTTTGAATGCCTTTTATAAAGAGTATTCTGTTATGCATGCATGTAGGTCTCAAATTCATTTGTTCAGAAAGATGTATACTGTGGTTGTTTATAATTGTGTTAATCTTTTATCTGACCTCAAGAAGAGTTCTTTGTTTGAAAGGCAGCAATAGTTCCAAAGATTCCAAAGCAATACATACTCACAACTGTTGATGCATATGTTTTACCTAACATTAATTGAATAAGTATGTGTTAAATGCCTACTACATGTCAGCAATGCATAGTAGATAAGAGAATAGACTATATTTAAACACACTGGAATTGAAAATCCCAGCTTTGCCACTCTCAGTGGAAGGAAAAGAGCTGCAGTCTCATTTAGAATAATTTATACTGAATTCCATATACATTATGATTTTTAAAGGAAATTTCAGTTCTTATTTAGCCAATTATTAATGCTGTTGTCAAATTTAATTGGCATACCTTTCTTTAGAGGAGAGAGGTGAGGAATTATTTAAAAGTATTTAGCTGGGCTACAAAGTAAATCATCCACATTTAGAAGAGTACAAGTTGGCCATAAAGTTTTGCTGAATGATCTGTGATATGTAGTCACTAGATGTCACTGTTGCACAACATTGCTCCAAAAGCATAAACCCATAGTATTGTGTATGGACACACCAAGGAAAGACAAGTTGTTTATATTAAGTGATACATATGCACATACATGGTATTTAAGAAATGAAGTTCCCAAGAAGTACGTATTGCTATTCTTTCAGCCTATTTCTTGGTATGCCCCTCAGATAATAGAATCATAGACTTAAAACTGTTAAAGCCTGGCCAGGCGCAGTGGCTCACACCTGTAATCCCAGTACTTTGGGAGGCCAAGGTGGGCGGATCACGAGGTCAGGAGATCAAAACCATCCTGGCTAACACGGTGAAACCCGTCTCTACTAAAAATACAAAAAATTAGCCAGACGTGGTGGCACGCGCCCGTAGTCCCAGCTGCTCGGGAGACTGAGGCAGGAGAATCGCTTGAACCCGGGAGGCGGAGGTTGCCGTGAGTCGAGATTGCGCCACTGCACTCCCGCCTGGGCTACAGAGCGAGACTCCGTCTCAAAAAAAAAAAAAAAAAAAAGAAACTGTTAAAGCCCTTAGATCATCTAAGATCCTCACTCCCTACGTCACTTTATAGGTTTGGAATCGAGCAGAGAGATGAAATGACAAGAAATTTACTCAATATGATGTATCAGGGTCAGGTGCGATGTCTCATGCCTGTAATCCCAGCACTTTGGAAGGCTGAGGCTGGCGGACCACTTGAGATCAGGAGTTTTAGACCATTCTGGCCACCATGGTGAAACCCCATCTCTTCCAAAAAATAAAAAAACTAGACGGACACAGTGACTCACGTCGGTAGTCCCAGCTACTCGGGAGGCGGAGGTTGCAGTGAACCCAGATCGCACCACTGCACTCCATCCTGGGCGGTGAGATTCTGTCAAAAAAAAAAAAAAAAGTAGCAAATGAAAAACAGAGAACTTAGATTGCCCAGTTCTTTTTACAATACCACACTGTGTCCATTATTAATATATAATCAAACAGACATTCTAAAAAACCAAGGTGAAAATGGAACTTCTAAATCCATCAAAATTTTTCACTATTTTGAAAGCAAAGCCTAGCAATATAACAGCAGTACAGACTTCTAATAAGTTTTAAATACCATAGCTTTTGCTATAAGTTGTACAAACATCTCACTTAATTCCCATAATAGCAAGATATGTATATATGTGTGTTTATGTATGTACTTATATCTACCTCATTCCGAAAAGGATTTTAAGAAGCTTATTGAAATAAGTAAAGCATAAAAATTTTTTAAACTGAGCTGATCATTTATATGTAAGACACTGGAATATAAACCAGTAAGAAGTCTTATTTTTGTTAGTACAAAAAGCAGGCCATAATTTCTAATAAACTTATCCAGTCAACTCATATTTGGGTGTCTGTCCTCAAATGTGATTCTGCTTTCCCTAGCTGTGAATATGAAGAAAAACAGATAGTACTATGCCCAATAAAAGCTGATGAGATTTGGGAGGCCAAGGCAGGAGGATCACTTGAGCCCAGGAGTTCAAGACCAGCCTGGGCAACATAGGGAGACCCCGTCCCTACAAAAAATTAACCAGACATGACATGTCTGTAGTCCCAGCTACTTGGGAGGCTGAGGTGGGAGGATCACTTGAGCTGGGGAGTTGGAGACTGCAGTGAGCCATGATCACACCACCGCACTCCAGCCTGGGTGACAGACAGAGTGAGAACCCATCTCTCCAGAAAAAAAAAAAAAAAAAAAAAAGATGACAAGAGATTGTAAATTACCCAAGATCATACAACCAGTATATTTCTGATTTCAAGGCTGTTATGCATTTATAGTGATGCCAAGATACTGTAGCATGAAATGTTTTTCCCTTTGTGTCATATCTGATTTCTTTCAGCAGTGTTTTGTAATTCTCATTGTAGAGATCCTTCACTTCCCTGGTTAGCTGTATTCCTAGGGTATTTTCTTTTTGTGGCTGTTGTATATGGAATCTTGTTCTTGATTTGGCTCACAGCTTGGACTTGTTGGTGTATAGAAATGCTACTGATTTTGGTACATTGATTTTGTATCCTGAAAATTTTCTGTAGTTTTTTATATCTAGGAGCTTTTGGGCAGAGACTATGGGGTTTTCTAGGTGTAGAATCATATCATCTACAGACAGAGATTGTTTGACTTCCTCTCTTCCTACTTGGATGCCTTTTCTTTCTTTCTCCTGCCTGATTGTTCTGGCTAGAACTTCCAGTATTATGTTGAATAGGAGTGTTGAAAGAGGGCATCCTCGACTTGCTCTGGTTTTCAAGGGTAATACTTCCAGCTTTTGCCTGTTCAGTGTGATGTTGGCTATGGGTTTGTCATAAACGACATTATTTTAAGATATATTCCTTCATGCCTATTTGTTGAAGGCTTTTAACATGAAGTTATGCTGAATTTTATTAAAAGCCATTTCTGTATCGAGATTATTATATGGTTTTGGGGTTTAGTTCTAATTATGTGATGAATCACAATTATTGGTACATATGTTGAACCAACTTTGCATGCCAGGGATAAAGTCTACTTGATCGTGATGGATTAGCTTTTTCATGTGCTGCTGAATTCCATTTGCTAGTATTTTGCTGAGGATTTTTGCATCAGTGTTCATCAAGGATATTGGCCTTTTTCTTTTTTATTGTGTCTCTGCCAGGTTTGGGTATCAGGATGATGCTATCCTCATAGAATGACTTGGGGAGTTCTTCCTCTTCAATTTTTTGGAATATTTTCAGTAGGAATGCTACCAGGTCTTCGTTATATATCTGGCAGAATTTGGCTGTGAATCATTCTGGTCCTGGGCTTTTTCTAGTTGGTAACCTTTTTATTACTGATTCAATTTCAGAATTCATTATTTGTCTGTTCAGGATTTTAATTTCTTCCTGGTTCAATCTTGGGAGGTTGTACGTTTCCAGAAATTTACCCATTTCTTGTAGTTATTCTAATTTGTTTGCATAGAGGTGTTCATAATAGTCTGAGGATTTTTTGTATTTCTCTGGGGTAATGTCCCTTTGTCATTTCCAATTGTGTTTATTGGGATGTTCTCTCTTTTTTTCTTTGTTAGTCTAGCTGTGGTCTTATTTATTCTTTCAAATAATCTTATTTGTTCTTATTTATAATCTTATTTATTCTTTAAATAATCTTATTTATTCTTTCAAAAAACCAACTCCTGGATTCCTTGATCTTTTTGTATTGCTTGTCATGTCCCAATTTCATTCAGTTCAGGTGTAATTTTGGTTATTTCTTTTCTTCTGCTAACCTTGGGGTTGGTTTGCTCTTGTTTTTCTATTTCTTCTAGCCGTAAGGATAGGTTGTTAATTTGAGATCTTTCTAACTTTTATATGGGGGCATTTAGTGCTATAAACTTTTCTCTTAGCATGCTTTAGCCCTGTCTCAGAGATTCTGTTATATTGTATCTTTGTTCTCAATAGTTTCAAAGAATTTCTTAATTTCTGACTTAATTTTATTGTTTACCCAAAAGTCATTCAGGAAACAGGTTGCTTAATTTCTATGTAACTCTATGGTTTTGAGAGTTCTTTTTAGTATTTATTTCTATTGTTACTGCACTGTGGTCTAAGAGTGTGGTTCAGTTTTTTTAAATTTGCTGAGAATTGTTTTATGGCTGATCATGTGGCCAATTTACAGTATGTGCCATGTGCAGATGAGAATAATGTATATTCTATTGTTTTGGGGTGGC
Organism: Homo sapiens; assembly: GCF_000001405.40. Classification (NCBI taxonomy): domain Eukaryota; kingdom Metazoa; phylum Chordata; class Mammalia; order Primates; family Hominidae; genus Homo; species Homo sapiens. The sequence continues at coordinate 103,005,628 of NC_000004.12, read as the reverse complement.
AAGTTGTGTAAAAGTCTGTTAGGTTCATTGATCAAGTGTTGAGTGCAGGTCCCAAATATCTTTGTCAGTTTTCTGCCTCAGTGATCTGTCTAGTACTGTCAATGGGATGTTTAAACTTCCCACTGCTTGTATGTGGTTATCTAAGTTTCTTCATAGGTCTTTAAGAACTTATTTTATGAATCTGTTTGCTTCTGTGGTGGGTTCATATATATATTTAGGGTAGTTAGGTCTTCTTGTTGAACTGAACCCTTTACCATTATGTAATGTCCTTCTTTGTCATCTTTTTTCATCACTGTTTGTTTAAAGTCTGTTTTGTCTGAAATTAGAACAGTAACCCCTGCTTTTTTCTGGTTTTTTTTTTTTTTTTAATTTGCTTGGTAGATTTTTCTCTATTCCTTTACTTTGAGCTTATAGTTATCATTGCATGTGAGATGAGTCTTTTGAAGACAGTATATTGTTGGGTCTTGCTTCTTTATCCAACTTGCCATTCTGTGCCTTTTAATTGGGGCATTTGGCTCATTTACATTCAAAGTTGATACTTTGATATATGCAAATTTAATTCTGTCATCATGTTGCTAGCTGTTTATTATGAAGATTTGATTGTGTAGTTTCTACTTTATAGTGTCAATGGTCTATGTATTTAAGTGTGTTTTTGTGGTGGCTGGTAACAGTCTTTAATTTCTATGTTTAGCACTCCCTTCAGGACCTCTTGTAAGGCACATCTGGTGGTAACAAATTCCCTTAGCATTTGTTTGTCTGAAAGGATCTTATTTCTCCTCTGCTTATGAAGCCTCTTTTAACTAGATAAGAAATTCTTGGTTGAAATTTCTTTTCTTTAAGAATGCTGAATATAGGCCCCTCAATCTTTTCTGGCTTGTAGAGTTTCTGCTGAAAGGTCCACTCTTAGCCTAATGGGGTTCCATTTGTAGATGACCTGCCTCTTTTCTCTAGCTGCCTTTAATGCTTTTTTCTTTCATTTCGACCTTGGAGAATCTGATTGCTTTGTGTTTTGGGGATGGTCATTGTGTATAGTATCTCACAAGGGTTCTCTGCATTTCTTGAATTTGAATATTGGCATCTCTAGCAAGATTGGGGAAATTTTCATGGATGATATCCTCAAATATGTTTTCCACATTACTTACTCTTTCTCCCTCTCTTTCTGGGACATAGATGAGTTGTAGATTTGTTCTCTTTACATAATCCCATATTTCTCAGAGGTGTTTATTCTTTTTGTTCTTTTTTCTTTATTTTTGTCTGACAGTTGTTTCAAAGAAATGGTCTTCAAGCTCTGAGATTATTTCCTGAGCTTGGTCTATTCTGCTGTTAATACTTGTGGTTGTATTATGAAATTCTTGTAGTGAGTTTCTTAGTTCTATCAGATCAGTTTGGTTCTCTCTTAAATGGCCATTTCATTTTTAAGTTCCTATATCATTTTATTGTATTCCTTAGAATCCTTGCATTGGGGTTCAACTTTCTCCTGAATGTCAATGTTCATTTCTATCCATATTCTGAATTATATGTCTGTCATTTCAGCCTGGTTAAGAATCATTGCTGAGGAACAACTACATTCATATGGAGGTAAGAAGATACTCGGGCATCTTGAGTTGCCAGAGTTCTTGTGCTGGTTATTTCTCATCTGTGTGGGCTCATGTTCCTTCAACATTTAAGTTGTTGTCCTATAGATGGGGCTTTTTGCTTTTATCTTCTTTGATGCCCTTGGGGGTTTGGTTGTGGTATAAGGTGGGTTCAGTTGGCTGGCTTCATTTCTGGAAGATTTTAAGGGGTCAAGGCTCAGCTGAGCTCTCCTCAGCTGTGTGCTGTAGCTCTGGGGGGCTGAAACCAGGCCCCTAGCTCTGTTCTCTGGCCCCTCAAGGTTAGGAACCTGCTGTGCTGCAGGAGCCAAGGTATTCCTAGTCCACTGCCACAGTACTCCAATGGGGAATTACCCCCATTGGAGTGCTTCACTGGGGTAGTGGCAAGAGGATCTTTGCATGCTCACACATGCCAGCTGCCTCAGCAGTGCAAAAGGGTGCATGTGTGTCAGCTGGGGAGGGGCATCAGTGGAAGTAGGGCAGCAGCATCCCTAGATTGAGGTGTTTCTACAAATGTGCAACAATGAAGCAACAAAGATATTTCAAGATAGTTTAAGATATTTATAGCAGTATTTTGAGGATGATGGATCACAGGTATTGAATACAAAAACAGGTAAAGAAGGAAGAGGGCAAAAGTTTGAGTTACAGGGTTCATTACACTGCACATCCTGATGAAAGTGAAGAATAATTGGAGGGGATGAAGTGAATACAACTGAACAAGAGAACTGAAAGAAGATGAAGTAGTATTCAGAGATGTAGATGCTTGAAATCATGATTATCGATAATAGAGCATTTCAGATGATAGAAGGTTTTAGTGTGGTCTTTCCTTTATTAGAAAGGAAGTAAAGAACTGAAGAAACAAGATAGTAGATGAATTATCCAAGTGTGTAAGATGAAAAGATTACAAATATGGGGGTCAAGCACCAACATCTTTGGTGAATAATGGAAAGGGATCAAAATAAGGTGAGTAAGTAACAGTGAGTAGAAGGGGAGGAAGGTGATATTGTCAAATTATACAAGCTTTAAAAAAGCAAGGATTTTGTTTCTTTTTTATATAAGAAGTTTTAGAAATAGCAGTAGGGTGTCAGAAGGAATGTTAGTGAATAAACTGCTGTTATGTGAGAGGACTATAGGGGAAGCAGTGTCCTCCTTAAAGGAAGGGCTTGGTTTCATATAGGGCACAGAATTTGAGAGAATGCTTTGAAAAGAGGTTGAGAATATAATACAGTTTGATAATCATCTGGCAGAAGTTCCAGAGTGTTCAGTGAAAGCACTCGAGAGTTAAGGACCATGGATAGGGCTGCTCAGAGGCAATGGAATAGCATTATTGGCATAATCCCCAAGGGTCTGAACAGCTTTGTAATTGATTTCCAATGGGCTATTTCTAAACCATTTTAGCCTTCTGTGACTTATTCATCCTTTATTTTCTATTTTTAAGTTTTTCTTAAGACTCTTTTTTACTTCCTAAAGAAGTTACTCGTACTAGTTCATTTTCTAAAATGGAAAAGTCAAAAAATCATATAGTTGTTGGATTTTTTTCTCTTTTCTTGGTAGATCATTTAATCTTTTATAGATTTAAGTTATTACAGCATTTTCTAAATGTTAGCCTATAAATTCTTATGAGAGCTTTAGTCTGTGTCTTGCACAGAATACTTGTCACATTATAAGCAGTTTAGTTTTAAGAGTATGGGCTCTGGAGTCAGACTGCCTGATGGGCTCCAACTCCTTTATTTATAGTTATGTAACATTGAAGATGTTAATTCAGCTCTTCCAATATAGGAAAGTATGGACAGTAGAAATAAACCAAGTTAGGAAATGGTAAGGTATGCCTGATATGGTTTGGGCCTGTGTCCCCACCCAAATCTCATCTTGAATTGGAATCCCCACGTGTTGAGGGAGAGACCTGTAAGCCCACATGTTGAGGGAGAGAGGTGATTGGATCATAGAAGCAGTTTTCCCCATGCTGTCCTCAAGATAGTCAGTGAATTCTCATGAGATCTGATAATTTTATAAGCATTTGGCCTGTTCCCTTCTTGCACTTCTCTCTCCTGCCACCATGTGAAGAAGGTCCGTGCTCCTCCTTTGCCTTCCACCATGATTGTAAGTTTTCTGTGGCCTCCTAAGCCATGCAGAACTGTGAGTCAGTTAAACCTCTTTTGTTTATAAATTACCTAATGTTGGGCAGTTCTTTATAGCAGTGTGAAAATGGGACTAATACAGAAAATTGGTACTGTGAAGAGTGGGGTACTGCTATAAAGATACTTGAAAATGTGGAAGTGACTTTGGAACTGGGTAACAGGTAGAGGTGGGAACAGTTTGGAGGGCTCAGAAGAATAGAGGAGTATGTGAGAAAGTTTGGAACTTCCTGGAGACTTGTTGAATGGTTTTGATCAAAATGCTGGATGGTGATATGGACACTGAATTTCAGGCTGAGGTGGTCTCAAATGGAGATGGGAGCTTATTGGAACTGGACCAAAGATCACTCTTCTGTGCTTTAGCAAAGAGACTGCTGGCATTTTGCCCCTGCCCTAGAGGTCTGTGGAACTTCATACTCAAGAGAGATGATTTAGGGTATCTGGCAGGAGAAATTTCTAAGCAGCAAAGCGTTCAAGAGGTGACAGACCATAAGAGTTTGCAAATTTTGTGGCCTGACCATGTAATAGAAAAGAAAAATCCATTTTTGGGGGAGAAGTTCAAGCTGCCTGCAGACATTTGCGTAAGTAATGAGGAGAATGGGGAAAATATCAGAGATCTTCATGGCAGCCCCTCCCATAACAGGTCTGGAAGCCTAGGAGGAGAAAGTGGTTTTGTGGGCCAGGCCCAGGGCCTTGCTGCTTTGTGCACTCTCAGGACTTGGTTCCCTGCATCCCAGCCATGGCTAACAGGGGCCAATGTACAGCTCAGGTTGTTGCTTCAAGAGGGTGAAACCCCAAGCCCTGGTGGCTTACACGTGGTGTTGGGCCCATGGGTGCACAGAAGTCAAGAATTGAGCTTTGCAAACCTCCACCTAGATTTCAGAAGATGTATGGAAATGACTGGATGCCCAGGCAGAAGTTTGGTACAGGGGTGGAGCCTCAAGAAGAACCTCTAGCTAGGGCAGTGTGGAAAGGAAATGTAGGGTTGGACCCCCTCACAGAGGGTCCCCAATGGGGCACTACCTAGTGGAGCTGTGAGAAGAGGACCATCATTCTCCAGACACCAGAATGGTAGATCCATTGACAGCTTGCACCATGCCCCTGTAATGTCGGCAGACACTCAATGCCAGCTGTGAAAGCAGCCAGGCATGGAGCTATACCCTGCCAAGCCACAGAGGCAGAGCTGCCCTAGGCCATGGGAGTCTACCCTTTACATCAGCATGCCCTGGATGTGAGACATGGAGTCAAAGGAGATTATTTTGGAGCTTTAAGGTTTAATGACTGCCCCCACTGGATTTTAGACTTACGTGGGGCCCATAGCCCCTTTGTTTTGACCAATTTCTCCCATCTAGAACAGGAATATTTACCCAATGCCTGTACCCTCATTGTATCTTGGAAGTAACTAACTTGCTCTTGATTTTACAGAATCATAGGTGGAAGGAACTTGCCTTGTTTCAGATGAGACATTGGTCTGTGGACTTTTGAGTTAATGCTGGAATGAATTAAGACTTTGGGGGATTGTTGTGAAGGCATGATTGGTTTTGAAAACTTGCCTTGCCTCAGATGAGACTTTGGACTTGTACTTTTGAGTTAATGCTGGAATGAGTTAAGACTTTGGGGGACTGTTGGGAAGGCATGATTGATGTTGAAATGTATAAAGGACATGCGATTTGGGAGGGCAAGGGCAGAACAGTATGGTTTGGTTCTGTGTCTCCACCCAAATCTCATCTCATATTGTAATCTCCATGTGTAGAGGAAGAGACCTGTAATTTCCATGTGTCAAGGGAGGAAGGTGACTGGATCAAGGGGGCAGTTTCCCTCGTCCTATTCTCAAGACAGTGAATGCGTTCTCATGAGATCTGATGGTTTTATAAGCATCTGGCATTTTCCCCTGCTTGCACTTCTCTCTTCTGCCACCATGTGAAGAGGGTCCTTGCTTCTCCTTCACCTTCCACTTGATTGTAAGTTTCCTGAAGCCTCCTCAGCCATGTTGAATTGTGAGTCAATTAAACCTCTTTCCTTTTTAAATTACTCAGTCTTGGGCAGTTCTTTATAGAACAAGTGTGAAAACAGAATAATACAATGCCTGATATGGGAGGAATCAAGTGACACTGCCATAATTTATCAAGGAAATCACCTAGGGCAAAATCCCTAAAGGACTATACTTGAGGAACAAGGACAAATTGAAATAAAACTGAGCATTACAAAGCTATCAACTGAGCTCAATCTCTGATTTGGTTAAAGTGATTTTTTCACTCCCCCTACTCCACATATTTCTTTCCAAAAGAAGTTATCATCTGGAGACTGTACAATTTGTACACAATGTCAAACTTTCAATAAAAATTGTGAACCATAGTATTAGACAATGTTATATGACCTTAAGCCAAGATAGAAAATTGAAAAGGGAAACAGACTCAAAAGGGATCCAGATTTTTGAGTTAAAGAGGTTACAATAACTACGATTATAAAAACTAAAAATATTAAAACTCTTAAAGGAAAATATAGAAGGAAAGCTTCATGATATTGGATTTGGCAGTTTACTTCTCGGCTATGATGCCAAAAGTACAGGCAACAAAAGGAAAAACAGATAAATTGGACTACATTAACATTTAAAACTTATGTGCAACAAAGGACACTATCAACAGAGTGACAAGGCAACTTACAGAAAATACTTGCATATTACTAATAAGATATTAATACCTACAGTATATAAAGAACTCCTACAACTCAGCAACGGAAAAAAACAAACATCCCAATTTTAAAATGGGCAAAGATGCTGGGTACAATAGCTCATGCCCATAATCCCAGCACTTTGAGGCTGGGAGTTTGAGACCAGCCTGGGCTACACAGCAAGACCCTGGCTATACAAAAAAATAAATTGCTGGGTGTGGACGTGTGCACCAGTAGTCCTACCACTTGGGAGGCTGAGGCAGAGGATCCCTTGAGCCCAGGAGTTCAAGGCTGCACGATCTATGTTTGTGCCACTGCACTCCAGCCTGGGTGACATAATGAGACCTTGTCTCAAAAAAATAAGAATAAAAATGGACAAAGGACTTGAAGAGACATTTCTCCAAAAAAGATATATGCAAATAGTAAGCACATGAAAAGATACTCAACCTCATTAATCATTAGGGAAGTGGAAATGAAAACTACAGTAGATACCATTCACACCTATTGGGATGGCTATTACCAAAAAACAGAAAATAACAAGTGTTTGCCTGCATGTGGAGAAACTGGAATCATTGTGCATCGTTGATGTCAATATAAAATGATGTACCTGCTGTGAAAAAAAAAAAACCATATGATGATGGTTCCTCCAAAAATTAAACATAGAATTACCATATGATCCATCAATTCCATTTCCAGGTATATACCAAATAGAATTGAAATCAGGGATTCAAACAGATATTGGTACACCTATTTTCATAGCAGCATTATTCACAATAGCCAAAAGGTCTATCAGTAGATGAATGGATAAACAAAATGTGATATATACATATAAATGCATATTATTCAGCCTTTAAAAAGGAAGGAAATTCTGTACATGCTACAACATGTACAGAATTTTGAATAAATTTTGGATGAATTTTGAAGGCATGATAAGTGCAATAAGCAAGACAAAAAAGGGCAAATATTGTATGACTTGAATCATATAAAGTACCTAGAATATTCACATTCATAGAGACAGAAAGGAGAATGGTGGCTATCAGGGATTGGAGGAGGGGAGAATGGGAAGTTATTGTTTAATTAATACATACACAGTTTCAGGTCAAGATAATGAAAAAGTTCTGGAGATGGATGGTGGTGATGGTTGCTTAACAATGCAAATATACATAATGCCCCTGGAACTATATACTTTAAAGTGGTTAAAATGGTAAATTTTATGCATATTTTACCACAGGAAAATTGCTTAAAATAATTGTGATTAGTATCAGCCAAAGTAAAAAAGATATTATTATTATCAAAGGAATCATAGCAAGAATGACAGTTAAATTTTTAACAGAAACTATGGGAGCCAGAATACAGTGGAACATCTTTAAAGTACTTAAAGAAAATAAACTCTAACCTATATCTAATAAGAATCACTTTCAAAAGTGAAGGTTAAGTATAGATATTTTTCAGGCAAAGAAATAAGGAATTTATCGCCAACAGATCTATATTAAAACAAATTCTGAAGACAGACAATACCAAGGTTAGCAATGATTTAGAACAACTGTAACAGCAGGTTAAAGCCAGAAAAACAAAGAAAAAGGGAGAAAAATACATAAAATTTAGAGAGGAAGAAATAAAACTTATATTTGCTGACTGTGTATGTATGTACTTAGAAAATCCAAACAAATCTACAGACTATTAGAATTAAGTGAATTTATCAAGGCCTGATACAAAGTGAAATGAATGAAAATTATTCATATTTCTGTATGCCAGCAAGAAACAAATAATGAATTTTTAAAGTTATAATTTTTATAACCATCCAAAAAACATAAAATACCTAAAAATAAGCCTAATGAAAGACATACTGTTCTGTACATTGAAAACACAAAAAATTATTAAGATCAAGAAAATCTAAATAAATGGAGGAATATACAGTGTTCAAAGATTGGAAGACTCAATATTGTTAAGATGTCAGTTCTCCCCAAATTAATCTATAGATTCAATGTAACTTCAGTCAAAATTCCAGCTGTGTGTGTGTAAATTGACAACTTGGTCCTAAAATGTATGTGGAAATACAAAGGATCAAAAAGTCAATCCAATTCTGAAGAACAACAAAAGTGGAGAATGTACACCAACACCAGATGTCAATATCTGTTATACTGGCCAGACACAATGGCTCATGCCTGTCAGCACTATGGGAGGCTGAGACAAAAGGATTGCTTGAGCTCAGGAGTTTGAGACCAGCCTGAGCAATATAGTGAGTCTTCGACTCTACTAAAAATTTAAAAAAAAAAAAATTGCTGGACATGATGGCTTGTGGCTGTAGTCCCAGCTACTTAGGAGGCTGAGGTGGGAGGATCACTTGAGCCCAGGAGATTGAGGCTGTAGTGAGCTATTATTGTGTCACTGCACTCCAGCCTGGGTGACAGAGGAAGACCCTATCTCAGAAAAAAAAATACAAGCACTAGCATAATGTTAGCCTAAGGATAGACAAATGGGCCAGTGGAACAGGATAGAATATGAAAATAAATTCATATATGTGTGATTACCTGATTTACAAAAAAAAGTGGCATTGCAATACAATGTATAGAGGATGATATTTTTAATAAATTGTGCTGAGTCAATTAGATATTGATATGGGAAAAATAAACTTTGATCTCTTCCTCACATCCCATATATGAAATTCAATTCCAGATGGCTCATAGACCATAGACCTGTTGTTGTTCCTTTCCTATGTGAAAAGCAAAACAATAATGTTTGTGGAAGAATATATAGGAGAATAAACATTCTCCTACATGGGTTGGCAAAGATTTCTTAAACAACAAAAGCTCTAAGGATAAAGAAAGGAAAGAATAAATTGGGCCAAATTAAAGTATCTTTTAAAAAAGGTATTATCAGCGTAAAAAAGCAAGACACAGAGTGGGAGATGATATTGGCTCTTTATATATCCAATAAAAGATTTACATTTTTAATACCTAAAAAGAACTCCAACAAATCAGTATGAAAATGGGATCCAGTACAACAAAAAAATGGACAAGAGATTTGAACACTTTACTAAAGAAGATATTCAAATGGCCAGTAAATATATGAAAAAATGCTCATTATAGAAATGCAATTTAAATTCATAATGCAATGTCACCACAACAGTTAAAAGAAAAAAGAGACAATACTAAAGTTGACAAAGATCTGAGTAATATTAAAGAGTACTTCATTTAAATTCCAGCTCCCCACTTGCTAGTTATATGACCATATTGAAAGTTAAATTACTTAACTTTCCTGCATCCATAGTTTGAACATCTATAAAATGGGGATAATAGTATTAAATACCTCATAGAGTTGTTGAGAGAATTGAGGAAGATGATTCATGTTAAGTGCTTAATATAGTTCAACTGGCATTAGCTATTATAATTTAATTATTATGATAACCAATAAACTAAGCATTATTATATATTTTTTCAGATAAGGAAATTGAGGCCAGTGGAGATAAATCACTTCCCACAGTTATGAAAAGATAAGAGAAGAGTTGAATACATTTCTTTCTCAACTCAAAGTCCTTGCTTTTAGGCATACCACCTACCAATTCCACTCTTGGCAGATATATAAAGAGGGTATTGAGTGACTGCCAGTCACAAATATTGCTTGACTCAGTATAAAGCTTCTCTTATAGCTATTAACCTGTGCATCTATTATTCAGACCCCTTACTTAGGTTTTGAAGTTCTAATACATAGTCTGCTTGCCTGGGTTCCAAGCCCTGCTATCCTAATCATTATAGTTACATATCTTAAAATATGCTGCCTAGTCGCTTGATGTCTCCATTTGTATGATTCTTGGTGTTATGTTTGCCTGCTCCTTGTCCATCTGCTTACTTATGACTCACAGCTTCTCCTCATTTAGGACACAGTTCAAATGTCACCTTGATCTCTATAATATGATCCTCATTTATTTTCTGCAGTACTGAAAATGTTTTTTATAATCTTCCCCTTCCACCTAACAAGAGTATAAGATCCATGAGAACAGAAGCCTATATTTCTGTTTTATTTTGTTTTGATTGGCTGCTTTGCCTTCAGAGGCCAGAAGAGTAGGCATTCAAAAATTATTAAGTGTGTAAATTAATTTTGTGTCCTCTCCTCAAAATTTATGTGCACTTCAGCTCAAACTTTTTAATGGCTCTAACTCCCAGTCTGTCTATTCAGAACATGACACAACTTAGGTGATTCACCTACCTCCCTTATTCTTACCAATTACCTCATAATCTAACAGCTTATGACAAGGTAGTCATTTGATATGGTTTGATTCTGTGTCCCCACCCAAATTTCACCTTGAATTGTAATAATCCCCATGTGTCAGGGGTGGAACAATGAGGAGGTAACTGGATCATGGGGGTGGTTTCCCCATGCTGTTCTCATGATAATGAGTGATCTGATGTGATCACGTCATGAGATCTGATGATTTTATAATTGTCTGGCATTTCCCCTGCTTTCACTCATTCTCTTTCCTGCTGCCTTGTGAAGAGCTGCCCTCTGCCATGATTGTAAGTTTCCTGAGGCCTCCCCAGCCATGTGGAACTGTGAGTCCATTAAACCTCTTTCCTTTATAAATTACCCAGTCTCGGGTATTTCTTTGTAGTAGCGTGAAAAAGGACTAATGTAAACTGGCACCACAGAGTGGGCTGCTGTTATAAAGATACCCAGAAATGTGGAAGCGACTTTGGAACTGGGTAACAAGCTGAGGTTGGAACAGGTTGGAGGGCTCAGAAGAGAGGAAGATGTGGGAAAGTGTGGAACTTCATAGAGACTTGTTGAATGGCTTTGACCAAAATGCTGATGGTGATATGGACAATGAAGTGTAGGCTGAGGTGGTTTGAGATGGAGATGAGGAACTTGTTGGGAATTGGAGTAAAGGTCACTCTTGCTATGCTTTAGCAAAGAGACTGGTGGCATTTTGCCTCTGCCCCAGAGATCTGTAGAACTTTGAACTTGAGAGTGATAATTTAGGATATCTGGCAGAAGAAATTTCTAAGTGGCAAAGTGTTCAAGAGGAAGCAGAGCATAGAAGTTTGGAAAAATTGCAGCCTGATGATGCAATAGAAAAAAAAACATTTTCTGGGGAAGGGGGTAGAATTTCAAGCCTGCTGCAGAAATTTGCATAAGTAATGAGGAGTCAAATGTTAATCACCAAGACAATGGGGAAAATGTCTCCAGGGCATTTTCAGAGACCTTTGTGGCAGCCCCTCCCATCACAGGCCTGGAGACCTAGGAGGGAAAAATGGCTTTGTGGGCCAGGCCCAGGGTCACCCTGCTCTATGCAGCCTTGAGACATGGTGCCCTGCATCCCAGCTGCTTCAGCTCCAGCTATGTCTAAAGGAGGCCAGGTACAGCTCTGGCATTGCTTCAGAGGGTGCAAGCCCCAAGGCTTGGCAGCTTACACGTGGTGTTAGGCCGACAGGTGCACAGAACTCAGGAACTGAGCTTTGGGAACCTCCACCTAGATTTCAGAGGGTATATAGAAATGCCTGGATATCCAGGCAGAAGTTTACTCCAGTGGCAGAGCCCTCATGGAGAACCTCTGCTAGGGCAGTGCAAAGGAAAAATGTGGGGTTGGAGCCCCCACACAGAGTCCCCACTGGGGCACTACCTGGAGGAGCTGTGAGAAGAGAGCCACCATCCTCCAGACCCCAGAATGGTAGATCCACCAGCAGCTTGCACCATGTGCCTGGAAAAGCAGCAGACCCTCAATGCCAGCCTGTGAAAGCACCAGAGAGTGGGACTGTAACTCTGCAGAGCCACAGGGGCGGAGCTGCCCAAGGCCATGGGAGCCCACCTCTTGCATCAGCGTGACCTGGATGTGCCACATGGAGTAAAAGGAGATCATTATGGAACTTTAAGGTTTACTGATTGCCCTATTGGATTTCGGACTTGCATGGGGTCTGTAGCCTCTTTGTTTTGGCCAATTTCTCCCAGTACCCTCATTGTACCTAGGAAGTAACCAACTTCCTTTCGATTTTATAGGCTCATAGGCAGAAGCGACTTGCCTTGTCTCAGACAAGACTTTGGACTTAGGCTTTTGAGATAATGCTGGAATTAGTTAAGACTTTGGGGGACTGTTGGAAAGGCATAATTGTGTTCTGAAGTGTGAGGACATGAGATTTGGGAGGGGCCGGGGCAGAATGATATGATTTGTCTCTGTCCCCACCCAAATCTCACCTTGAGTTATAACAATCCCCACATGTCATGGGTGGGACAAGGTATAGGTAGCTGGATCTTGTGAGTTAGTCTCAGAAGATCTAATGGTTTTATAAGTGTCTGGCATTTCCCCTACTTGCACTCATTCTCTCTTCTGCCACCCTGTGAAGAGGTCCCCTCCAGTATGATTTTAAGTTTCCTGTGGCCTCCCCAGCCATGTGGAACTGTGAGTCAATTCAACCTCTTTCCTTTATAAATTACCCAGACTCAGGTATCTCTTCATAGCTGCATGAAAATGGACTAATACATCATTCTAATGACAAGATAGTTATTTTGACAGTCACTTCAATCAAAATGGAACTACACTTTAAAGGAATTTAGATCTAAGTTTCTGATCAAAATTTTTAAAGGTTATTTTTTGCTTTAATAATGTTATAAATTCAGTTATGATTCTTTATAGGATTTTATGCAGTAATATTTTACTTCATTATGGTAAGACAATAGATGTAAAGCAGCTAGCATATGGTAGCTACTCAACTGTTAATGTTCCTTTTCGTTAACAATTTTCATTATTAAAATTGTTTTCCTTTTAGAAAAGTATAGATACTTGAAGCACTACAGGATATGGTAATAAGACTATCTAAAAATTAAAACTTGAAATCTTTAGTTTTGTTCTTAACAACAACTCAAAAATTGAGAGAAGATATTTTTAAGAAAAGTTACCCTACTTATATTTGAAGCTAGCAAAGATTACAGAGGAGGTAGAAACAACAGATACTTTAAAATAAAAGTTATAAGTAATTATTATTTTATTCATCTAGTTTATTCTTCTTCAAAATAAAACTTTATAGATATATTTAAATGTTGGACCTACAGATCCTTCAAATGGGCCACATAAAAAGATAGTATGTATCAGTAACTTATAGATGTAGGTATTAATGTAGTTGGTCATATTTCATTTAAAATTTTTCTGGAGTGTTTTATGTAAGAGCATGACAGAAGATAGATTAAATCAACAGTGGATATTAACTCAAACACACCAGTTCAGTGCATAAAATAAATTTCTGCATTTTCTGATACATGATTCTATGATATGGGCCAGCATTATGAACTGTTGAGAAATATTACATTTCTGTATGATAATGGTTTTTAAAACTTATGCATATGGCTTTGGTTAATAATGTTAAAGATGAATATTTGGATCTATGTTGACTATAAAGATATCTGACTTGACTGTGATACAACTTTAGAACAAAAAATCCTTTAAAAAATTAATCCCACTTAACCATGTTTGTTTTCATATGGATTTATAGTCTTGTTTCTTCTTTTAAAGTATTTTTCTTTTAAATCTTAGCATGCATACCACAGAATCAAAAAATGAACATTTGGAGGATGAAAACTTCCAAACATCTACAACTCCTCAGGTAAAAACTTAAAAGTATACTGTAATATATGATATAAAATCAACCTGATCTTAAAATTTATTCCTAATTTACTTATTAGATAGGTTTCTTTTATATATCTGGTTAAAAATGAAAAGTGGTAAATTTTAAAATAGCTAGTTGTAATGGGTCCTAGGAAATGAGCAGAAATAATGAAACAAATGGAAAGGTGTGACTATAGAGCATTTTGGAGCTAAAGAGCACAGATTTTAGGAATAAGAAGAAATGTCGCTTATTATTTCTCACCACATTCAGGGAAAACTCAGTAACTTAAACTAACAGAGGTAAAGATAAGTCTAGATTAATTAAAATGTTGTGCTGTGTGTTTTGAAGAGACCCAAGTTTTTTATTTTTATAGATATATAGAGCAAGTCGTTAGACCTTTTGTTGATCTAGTTTTACTTAGTAATAATTGCTCATAATTAGAATTGTAAATTTCGTATTTTTTTAAAATAGAGATTTCTACAGTTCTTAAGGGTCAAAAAGTCATTTTTAAAAATATTTTAAATATTCACCATTGATTCTAATTATCTGTGAAGAAGTCATCTTAGTCTACATCAGTTTATTACAAATTCTAAAATAATAAAACTTAAAATAATATGGTTTTACTCTACATGACCTTTCACCCACCTTAATAAAAATTCACCATTGTGTCTTTATCCCTTTTATATAGTAACAGAATTTTCAGAAAAAGCCTGCCTCTATACCAGAACTCCAATAGGTTAATTATGATCAGATTTGAAGAACTTTGATCTTAAAGAGCTACATAATTCATTTTTAACCATCAGCTGCCTTGATATCTCTGTCTCCTTAGTCATTACATGTAAAATTCCCTTCCTCAATGTGTCCATGCACTCTAGCCTTTTTATTGTTTCCTGTGATGATAAGATGTTCCCTCTTTCACTCACTCAAAGTATTATCAAGTCACTCAAATTGCTGGCACACACACCCCCACACCCACCCACCCATGACAATCATAAGGCAAATTTGGAGATTTCTACTGCAGAGTTAACTCTACTCTGGTGTTTTGTTGTTGTTATCATTGTTTATGTTTTGTTTTTTACATTGGAAGAAGTTTCTCAATATTCTCACAAACCAAAGATTCCTTTTTTTCAAAATCAGCAGTTTCATAATCAGGCTACCATTAAAAGGCCTGGGAGATTAAGGTATACCCTTGCACTATTTAATATGTTATCTATAAATATTAGTGGAAGCATGCTTGAATTTCCGAAGGCTTGACCTATGTTTTTCTCATTTTTCTTTCAGTTATATAAATTTATCAAATGAGATGAATCCAAGTAAAATTATATTTCACCTCCTTTCTAATTGAGTTGTATTTTCATTTCACAAAAGTTTTGGTGAATAATCTTTGGGATGTATACAGAGGATGGACACTTTTAATTATTGTGCCCAAACTGTAGGCACCTTTATTCAGTATACACAAATGATTGAAAATAGTGGGGACCCAAGTCTATAAAAGGTTCAATCAAGGTACCTTGCAAAATACACTGCTGTTACATCCCCAAACAGCTACTGATATGGAGCATGAATCTTCTTTTGTATCTGTGATTCCTCGCATTGACAGTAATAATATAAATTTAATTCTAAAATTTGGTGGTTTATTTCATTCATAAAATTATACAGAAAGTATGGTTCCTTAAAGATTTTCTTGTTTTACTACAGAGTCTCATTGATCCTAATAATACTGCACAGGAAGAAACTAAAACTGTCTTATCAGATACAGAAGAAATAAAACCACAGACAAAAAAGGAGACATACATTTCTTGTCCTCTAAGAGGAGTATTGAATGTAATTATTACAAATGGTATGTGAAACAAAAAATGTAAATGAAGAGAAGATGAGAAATATGTTTGATAAATATTAAAACATGAGACAACAAAGACACTACTTAATCAATATACTCCAGATCAGATGATCAGCTTTGTTACAAGCAATATGTGAACAAAGAGGAAATATTTTCTTGAATCTTTCAAAGATAAAAACAAAAACAAAATATTGCCTAGGAGGTGTATGTTTTAATATTTGTCATACTTTTTTATGTTAAATTTTTGGGATTAGAAACATCATTGATTAAAGGATTTTATTTAAAACCTACTTTGACATTTAGTTTTAAGTTAGCTAGAAAGAACATTATAATTTTGGAAATAATTATGTTTCTTATTAAAATTGGGCCCTAAGTTTTAAAACAGCAGCAACCTTGTAAAAAGTTGTATAACACTTGCTTTCCCACTACAATTTTAAAGCATAGTGTTGTTGTCAGCAAATACTTATAAAGAGATTTTCTTGTGTATGTTTTTCTAAATATTCTGTTTGATTAAACCTATGAGAGAAAGAGATTTTGGCTTCCAGAAGTATATAGAATTTTGTTCCCTATAGAGAACAAAAAATTGATTAAAAATGATGAAGCACAAGTAATTGAAGTTTTAAATTTTTATTTTCTTATTTGCTGCTTGCTAACTTTAAACTTTTGAAGCAAATTTTATTCATTGATTTTTTTCATTAGTAAAGGTTGCTTTTTAATTTACGTCAGTATATTGATGGCCTTGAATCAAAGTTTTCTGTGAACTTGAATAGTCCTCATCTGCCAGTGTAAGTGATTGGACTCCTTTGTAAATATACATATGTTCCCATGACTTGGTCTATTTAGTAGGCCATTTCTACAAAGCAGTTATTAGGAGTAGGGCCAGGGTCTGTGGAAGAGAGGGAAATGTATTATTTACCAAAATTATTCACTGAGTGTGGACTACAGTTTGCTCAGGAACTAATTGAGGAGTTCTAGAACATCAGAACTAAAACTGCAGGTTTAGATATAACTCATTTCCCCCTTTGTTTTCTTTCATTTTTGATTTTGCAGTTTTGGAGACATTTATAGGAAAAGGAGATTTTCTGTGTTTCTATTTAGGGGTGCATATTCTTGCACTCTCTTTTTTGAAATCAATCTCTCTCTGTTTGTCCCTCTCTCTCAACACACTCCCTACATTCACACTGTTTCCTTTATACACAAAGTATAGAATCTCAATCTCTGGGTATGCTTAGAACATGCCACTGTTAGTAATCCCACTCTGCCGCATCATGGAATAAGTAATGTACAACCATGTGTAAGCAGAATGAAACAACAAAATAATTTCTTAAAACTGCATAGAGTTTGGATAATAAAAGGAAATAGAACAACATGTTTTTCTATAAATAATAGTTAATTCACCAATACCACATGTGTACAAGTTAAATTTAAATAAGAAATCTAAACTCTCAAATGCACACAGAAATCAGTCTCATCACATTTAATATCATACTGTTTGCATACCTCATTTGGGGAATGGCTTGCTTCATCCCAAATAAATGGATAGTCTAGGACAGTAGATTTAGAGCTTAAGATATTATTCCTTTTTGTTTCTTTTCAGCCTACTTTTAACAAAAATGCTAATATATTTTTATGAAGCTTTTTTTCTTTAAATGAATTAAAGTTTTCTTGTATGTCCAACTATGATTTTTAAGTAATCTTGGGGACAGAACTTCTCCATTAAAATTTTATTATCAGTTTTATGAAGTTAGCAGTCTTGGAAATTTAAGGTTCAAAAATAATATCCCAGAGACTTCCAGTTTCCAGTTCTACACGTAAGGAGATTAGAAGTCATCACTCTGTCCTAAAAACAAATAAAAAGCTGAAGAAACTGAAAAATCAACAATTCTTCTTAAATCCATCAGAGAAGTGAGTCACAGGGCAAACTGCTGCCCAAAAAATAGGAGTGATTAGACAGATTCAGAGAATCATAACTTACAGGAATGAAAACCTCTTTGGGAACCAGGAGCAGGGTACAAAAACCTGAATTGTAATTTAAAACTTGGCTAAAGCTCTGTGTGGAAAAGTCGAGGAGGTCCCCAATTATGGGATGGGAGAGGCCCACACTTTTTTAAGTTTTACCTTCTGCAGCCAACCAGCAGGAGGAGAGGGAAAGTATCAAGGAAAGAGGAGGGTAACCATTGTGAAATATACCACAGTATTCTGTTCTTCTTACAAAGTCTGCCCCCCAAAAAAAAATTTTTTATCAGAGCCTAACCTACACATGTTTTTATCAGAGCCTAACCAACTTAGATCTGATGGATCTAAGAAGAGTTGTTGATTTTTCAGTTTCTTCAGCTTTTTATTTGTTTTTAGGACAGAGTGATGACTTCTAATATCCTTACATGTAGAAATGGAAACTGGAAGTCTCTGGGATGTTATTTTTGATCTAAACTTCCAAGACTGCTAACTTCATAAAAACTGATAGTAAGATTTTAATGGAGAAGTTCTGTTCCCAACTCTAGTCAGCCTCCTCTAGCCTTCCACATAGTTGAAGGAAAATATCCAACTCTGGCCTCCTCTAACCATCCTGCACCAACTAAGGGAGTGAAAAAAACCAGAAAAGCATTTTTTGACATTCACAGCTCAGAGGCACAGGCCTACTAAAAGACTGAGATCTAGTGATAGAACTATAGAATTTTCTCCCCACCCCCAACACACACACCTTATCACCACATTACTAAAGTCTTACTTACCACAGGTCCTTTTACTCAGTACATCATGTTTATCTTTCAACTAAAATTTACAACGTGTATTAAAAGGCAAAAAACACAGTTTAAAGAAATGGAGCAAACATCAGAACCAGACTCATATATGGAGGGTATATTGGAATTATCAGACTGTGAATTTAAAAGTTATGTTAAATATGCTAAGATCTCTAACGGAAAAAAATAGAAAACATGTAAGAACAGATGAGTATTATAAACAGGATGAAAATTGTAAGAAAGAGATGCCAGATATCAAAAACACTGTAACAAATGAAGAATGCCTTTGATGGGCTTATTAGTAGGCTGGACAAAGCTGAGAAAGAATCTCCGGGCTTGAGAATATGCCAGTAGAAACTTCTAAAACTGAAAAGCAAAGAGAAAAAAATACTGAACAACAATGAAACAGAATATCCAAGAATTGTGGGGTCACTACAAAAGGTGTAACATACATGAAATGGGAATATCAAAAGGAAAAGGAAGACAGAAAGGAATAGAAGACATAATTGAAGCCATAATGACTAGGAATTTCCACAAATGAATGTCAAGCACCAAGTCACAGATTCTGGAAGCCCAGAAAAGACCAAACAGGGTAAATGTCCAAACAGACTACACCTAGCCATATCATATTCAAACTTCAGAAAAGTCAAAGATAAAGAAAAAATCTTGAAAGAAGACAGAGGTAAAACTACCCATAAAAGAGCAAAGGTAAGAATTACATCCAACTTCTCATCAGAAACCATGGAAGCAAGAATAGAGTGGCATGAAATATTTAAAATGTTGAGAGAGAGAAAAAAAAAAAAACAACACCAGCCTTAGAATTCTGTATCCTGTGAAACTGTCCTTGAAAAGTGAAGGAGAAACAAAGACTTTCACAGATAAACAAAAATTGAAGAACTTTTGTGCCAGTTGACTTGGCTTGCAAGAGATGTTAAAAGATGGTCTTCAGAGAGAAGGAAAATGATGTAGATCAGAAACTCACATCTATGTAAAAAAGGAAGAATATTCGAAAGGAAATACACAAAGATAAAATTTTTTAAATTCTTAATTTATCTAATAGATAACAATTTGTTCAAATTAATAATAGCAATAATGTATTTATGACTATAGCTTATGTTTAAGGGAAATGAATGAGAGCAATAATACAAGAAATGGGAGGGAGGAATTAGAAATATTATTATAAAGTGTTTGCTCTACCTATAAAGCCATATAGTATTATTTGAAAGTGGACTTTGACCAGGCACAGTGG
The DNA here is from genome assembly GCF_000001405.40 of Homo sapiens. NCBI lineage: Eukaryota > Metazoa > Chordata > Mammalia > Primates > Hominidae > Homo > Homo sapiens. Next base: position 102,985,809 of record NC_000004.12, on the reverse strand, counting down.
CTCACACCTGTAATCCCAGCACTTTGGGAGGTGGAGGTGGGTGGATCACTTGAGGTCAGGAGTTTGAGACCAACCTGGCCAACATGGTGAAGCCCTGTCTCTACTAAAAATACAAAAAATTAGCCGGGCATGGTGGCAGGCACCTGTAATCCCAGCTACTCAAGATGCTGAGGCAGGAGAATTGCTTGAACCCAGGAGACGGAGGTTGCAGTGAGCCGAGATCACACCGCTGCACTCCAGCCTGGGCAAAAGAAGGAAGAAAAAAAAAAAGAAAAGAAAATGGATTTGTATTAGTTGTAAACGCATGTTGTAAGCTCTCAGGCAACCATTACAAAAATTTATAAAGAAGTATAATTGATATGCTAACAGAAAATTGAATCATATAAAATGCTCAATTAAAACCACAAAAGGCAGGAAAAGAATGGAAGACAAAAGTAGGAACAAAGAAGGGCAATGAATAGCAAAGAGGAACAAGCATGATTGATATTAACCCAAATATATCAATAATCACTTTAAATGTCAATGGTCTAAATACACTAGGTAAAATACAGAGATTGCTAGAGTGGGTCAAAAATAAGACCGAACTATGTGTTTTTTACAAGATACATATTGATTAAGGAAAGAGATGGAGAATGATATTCCATTCTAACACTAATAAAAAGAAAGTTAAATTAGCTATATTAATTTCAGACAGCAGACTTCCAGCAATGAGTGTTATCAGGAATAAAGTGGAGCATTACATAATAATAAAAGGGTTAATTTTTCAAAAAGACATGACAATCCTTAATGTATTTGTGCCTAACAAAAGAATATTAAAATACGTGAGTCAAGCCAGGCTCATTGGTATGCATCTTTAGTCCCAGCTACTCTGGAGGCTGAATAGGAGGATTGCTTAAGCCCAGGAGGCCAGCCTGGGGAACATAGCCAGACCCTTTTTCTTAAAAAAAGAACACATGAGTTAAAAACTGGCAAAACTATAAGGAGAAAGAGATAACTTTCATTTTTCTAGTTGGAACTTTAACACCTGTCTATCCGAAATGGACAGAGACAGCAGGCAAAAATTCAATAAAGACATAGTTGAACTCAACAGTATCATCAGTCAACTGGATATAATTGACATTTATAGACTACTTCATCCCAAAAGAGCAAAATACAAATTCTGCTCCGGCTAATATGGAACATTCACCAAGACAGACTATATCCTGAGCCATAAAACATACCTTAATAAATTTGAAAGGATGCAATCTCTGCTCTCAGACCACAATGAATTTTAACTAAAAATCAGTAACAGAAAAACAGCTTTAACATCCCGAAATACTTAAAGATTAAACAACACACTTCTAGATAACACCAAATCAAAGAACTCTCAAGAGAAAGGTAAAAATACTTTGAACAGCCAGACATGTTGGCTCACACCTGTAATCCCAGTACTCTGCTAGGCCGAGGCAGGCAGATTACTTGAGCTCAGGAGTTTGAGACCAGCCTGGCAACATGATGAAGCCCTGTCTCTACAAAGAAATATAAAAATTAGCTGAGTGTGGTGACGCATGCCTGTAGTCTCAGCTACTTGGGAGGCTGAGGTGGGAAGATTGCTTACCCCAGGAGGCAGAGGCTATAATGAGCCAAGATCACACCACTGTATTTCAGTGTGGGTGACAGAGTGAGACTCTGTCTCAATAAAATAAAATAAAATAATAAAAAATACAAGTACTTTGAACAAAATGAAAATACTACTTATCAAAATTTATGGGATGCAGCAAAAGCAATGAGTAGAAGGAAACTTATAGCATTTGATAATATTTCTTAATAGAAAAAAAGAAAGATCTAAAATGAATAAATTAAGCTTCCACCTCAGGAAGCTAGAAAGAAAAGAGCTAATTGAGTTCAAAGTAAGCAGAAGAAAAAAAGTAATATAATTTAGAGTAGATATCAGTACAATTAAAAACAGGAAATCAATAAATTCAATGAAACAAAAACCTGGTTCTTTGAAAAGATCAACACAATTGATAAGCCTTTAGCCAAACTAACTAAGAAAAATATGAGAGAAGACACACATTACTTATATCAGAAATAAAAGAGAAGACATTGCTACAGATCCCATGGGCATTAAAAGGATAATAAAGTAATACTATGAACAACTTTATTCCCACAAATTCAATAACCTAGATAAAAAGGACCAATTCCTTGAAAGACACAATCTGCCAAAACTCAGAAGAGGAAGTGGATAATATGAATAGGCCTATAACTATTAAAGAAATTGAATCAGTGTTTCTTTCCAAAACAGAATGTACTGGGCCCAGGTGGATTCGCTGATAAATTCTACAAAACATTTAAGGATGAAATTATACAATTTTCTCAGCTATTTCTAGAAGACATAAGCAGAAGGAATACTTTCCAATTTATTCTATAAGGTCAGCATTCCTAATATCAAAATCTGGCAAAAACATTATAGAACCAATATCTACAGACCAATATCTCTCATGCACATAGATGCAAAAATTCTTAACAAAGTATTAACAAATTGAATTAAACAGCATATAAAAAGGATACACCATGACCATGACCAAGTGGGATTTATCCCAGATATATGAGATTAGTTCATCATTCAAAAATTAAGTAATGTAATCCATCACATCAACAGGCTAAGGAAGAAAAATCACATGATCATATCAGTAGATGCAGAAAGGTATCTGACAAAATCCAATGCCCAATCATGATTAAAAATAAAAAACTATCAGCAAGCTAGAATAGAGTGGAAACTTCCTCAACTGCATAAAAACTATCTACTAAAATCCTACAGGTAACATTGTACTCATTGGTGAAAAACTAGAAGCTTTTCTTCTAGATCAGTAACAAGGTAAGGATGCCTCCTCTTACCACTTCTTTTCAACATTGTACTGGAAGTCCAACTAATGAATTATGACAAGGAAAGTAAATAAAAGGTATACAGGTTAGGAAGGAAGAAATAAATTTGTCTTTGTTTACAGATAAGATGATTGTATCGGTAAAAATTCTAAAAGAATCATGTAAAAAAAACTCCTGGAACAACTACTAAGTGAGTAAGATGGCAGGTACAAGATTAATATACAAAAGTCAATTGTTTTCCTATGTGCCACAGTGAACAAATGGAATTTGAAATTAAAAACAGCACCATTTACATTAGCACCACAAAAATTAACATCTTAGATATATGTCTAACAAAAATATATACAAGATCTATTTGAGTAATAACTATAAAACTCTGATGAAATAAATAAAAGAACTAAATAAATTGAGAAATATTTTATGTTCATGAAAGACTAGTATTGTCAGATGTCAGTACTTCCTAACTTGATTCAATGCAATCCCAATCAAAATTCCTGAAAGTTATTTTGTGGATATGAACAAATTTATTTAAAAATTTGTTTGGGCAGGCAAAAGACCCAGAAAAGCCAACTCGACATTGAAAGAGAGAAACAAAATCAGAGAACTGACATTACCCAACTTCAAGACTTACTGTAAAGCTACGATAATCAGGACAATGTGGTATTGGTAAAAGACTAGACAAAGAGATCAATCAAACAGAATAGAGTCCAGAAATAGACCCACAAAAATATTGTCAACTGATCTTTGACAAAGGAATAAAGGCAATACAATGGAGCAAACATAATCTTTTCAACTATACATCATGACAAAACATATGGACCTCCACATGGATGCAAAAAAAAAAAGGAATCTATACATAGACCTTAAAACTTTCCACAAAATTACCTCGAAACATATCATAGACTTGAATGTAAAACACAGATCTATAAATGTAGATGGTAACATAGAAAATCTAGATGACCTTTGGTATGGTAATGAGTTTTAGGTATAATATCAAAGGCACACTCCATGAAAGAAATAATAGATAAACTTGATTTCCTTAACATTAAAATGTATGTTCTTCCATGCTGTTCCCTTCTGTGAAAGAGAAGGGAAAAAAATCTATGCTCTGTGGAATACACTTTCAAGAGAATGAAAAGACAAGCAACAGATTGGAAGAAAATATTTGCAAAGGACATATTTGATAAAGACTGTTATCAAAATATAAAAAGAACTCTAAAACTTCACCAAAAAGAAAACAAACAACCAGATTAAAAAATGAACACAACACTGCAACAGGAACCTCACGAAATAAGATATACAGATGGCAAGTAAGCTTATGAAAAGATGCTCAACATGATAGGTCATTAGGTAATTGTAAATTAACACAACAGTGAGAGACCACTACACACCTATTAGGATGGCCATAATCCAAAACACTGACACCACTAAATCTTGGCAAGGGTACGGAGCAACAGGAACTTTCATTCATTGCAGGTGGGAGTTGTACAAACTGTACAGCCCCTTTGGATGATAGTTTGGCAGTTTCTTGCAAAAATAAAAAGACTTACCATACAATCCAGCAATTACACTCCTTGATATTTACCCAAATGAGCTGAAAACTTAAGTCCGCACAAAAACCTGCACATAAACATGGATGTTTATGGCAACCTTATTGATAATTATCAAAATTCAGAAGCAATCAAAATGTCTTTCATTAGGTGAGTGAATAAATAAACTGTGGTACATCTAGAAAGTGGAATATTATTCAATACTGAAAAGAAATGACCTATCAAGCAATGAGACAACTTGGAGTAAACTTAAATGCATGTTTCTAAGTGAAAGAAGCCAATCTGAAATAGCTACATTCTGTGCGAGTCCAACTATATGACATTCTAACAGGGGCAAAACTATGGACACAGTAAAAAGATCAGTGGTTGTCAGGAATTGAGAGGAGGGAGGGATGAGCAGGCAGAGCCCAGAGGATTTTTAGGGCAGTGAAACTATTTTGTATGATATTATAATGATGGAAATATGTCATTATACATTTGTTAAAAGCCATAGAACATACAAACCCAAGAGGGAACCTAATGTAAACTCTGAACTTTGGGTGACCATGATGTGTTAATATAGGTTTATCAATTCTAACAAATGGACCACTCTGGTGTGGAATGTTGGTCATAGAGGAAGTGTGTGGGAGCCGGGATTTTTTTTTCATCAACTTTTATTTTAAGTTCCAGGGTACATATGCAGGATGTGCAGGTTTGTTACATGGGTAAACATGTGCGATGGTGGTTTGCTGCACAGATCAATCCATCACCTAGGTATTAAGCTCAGCATCCATTAGCTATTCTTCCTAATGCTCTCCGTCCCTCAACCCCCTCAACAAGCCCCAGTGTGTGTTGTTCCCCCCATGTGTTCTCATCATTCAGCTCCCACATATAAGTGAAAACATGTGTTATTTGGTTTTCTGTTTCTGCATTAGTTTGCTGAAGATAACAGCTTCCAGCTCCATCCATGTCCCTGCAAAGGACACGATCTCATTCCTTTTTATGGCTGCATAGTATCCATGGTATATGTACCACATTTTCTTTATGCAGTCTATCATTGATGGGCATTTATGTTGATTCCACATCTTTTTTATTGTGAATAGTGCTGCAGTGAACATCCATGTGCATGTGTCTTCATAATAGAATGATTTATATTCCTTTGGGTATATACCCAGTAATGGGATTGCTGGGTCAAATGGTATTTCTGCTCCTGGATCTTTGAGGAATTGCCACACTGTCTTCTACAATGGTTGAACTAATGTAAATTCCCACCAACAGTGTAAAAGTGTTTCTTTTTCTCTGAACATCACCAGCATTTGTTGTTTTTTGACTTTTTAATAATCACCATTCTGACTGGCATAAGATGGTAAATCATTGTGGTTTTGATTTGCATTTCTCTAATGATCAGTGAGGTTGAGCTTTTTTTCATACGTTTGCTGGCTGCATAAATGTCTTCTTTCGAGAAGTGTCTGCTCATGTCCTTTACCCACTTTTTAATGGGGTTGTTTGTTTTTTTTCTTGTAAATTTGTTTAACTTCCTTGTGGACTCTGGATATTAGACCTTTATCAGATGGATAGATTGCAAAAATTTTCTCCCATTCTGTAGGTTGTAGAGAGCGGGGATTTTTGAGATCTCTCTGTAATCTCTGCTCAATTTTGCTGTGAGCCTAAAACTGCTCTAAAAAATAAAGCCTATTAAAAATACAATAATATCCACATTCCTTCTGGGTTATAGTCAGTAGAGAACAGACACTAAGGAGCCAAGTGGGGATGAACATAGTTCCATTAGTGGAGGGCCAGTGCTTCCCCCAAGTAAGATCTCCTTGGAAAAATGGAGTAAACATAAGGCTTCTCCATAGATCGTGTCTCCTCCTGTCTGGAAAGCTGATCCTTCAGAGCAGACTTTGAGTACGCAGTTAACTATGAGGAAGGACTTGCCTCAAAAACACTATCATGAGCAGACTGGAGTTCACTAGAGGCTGGAGAAGAGAAATGGATGCCTTTTAGAGGGGTCCTGACCCACATGTGTTTACTACTGAGAATAACAAATGAAAAGAGGAGAGTTTACTCATCCAAACAATGCAAAACAGACAGAGGAATGGATTTCTCACTTTTGAGGCAAAAGAAACCTACCTACTGATTCTAGGATATGGCTCAATAACTATGAGGTTCTCACCAATCAGGTTAACTACTTACTATTCCAATCTTGGCAAAGAGCAAATAGGAAATGAAAAGAGTTGAAAACGTTTGTCTCTAACATCAATGAACTTGAGAAGGGTTTTCACCTACAGTTTTACATTATAATGCTTTTTTATTCCCCAAGAAGTCATCCATTCAATTAAGTATGTTTGCTCAGTGGTTTTTACCCTGTCATAAGTAGAACTATTTATGCAGTTGCTCTCTGTAACACCTTTCACAGCATCATATTTAAAAAGCTTTTAATAATGAGTATAACCATGTACGGTAAATTAAGAAACCAGAAAGCTAACCATATCAATAAATACTAGAGAGCAAATAAAAAGTTTTAGAGCATTTATTTTAGAAAAGTTTTGTAGTATTATCCTAAAAATAAGAACACGTTTTTAATCCTTTGGTTATATACCCAGTAATGGGATTGCCGGGTCAAATGGTATTTCTAGTTCTAGATCCCTGAGGAATCGCCACACTGACTTCCATAATGGTTGAACTAGTTTACACTCCCACCAACAGTGTAAAAGTGTTCCTATTTCTCCACATCCTCTCCAGCACCTGTTGTTTCCTGACTTTTTAATGATCACCATTCTAACTGGTGTGAGATGGTATCTCATCGTGGTTTCGATTTGCATTTCTTTGATGGCCAGTGATATTGAGCATTTTTTCATGTGTCTTTTGGCTGCATAAATGTCTTCTTTTGAGAAGTCTGTTCATATCCTTCGCCCACTGGTTGATGGGATTGTTTGTTTTTTTCTTATAAATTTGTTTGAGTTCATTGTAGATTCTGGATATCAGCCCTTTGTCAGATGAGTAGATTGCAAAAATTTTCTCCCATTCTGTAGGTTGCCTGTTCACTCTGATGGTAGTTTCTTTTGCTGTGCAGAAGCTTTTTAGTTTAATTAGATCCCATTTAAGGATTATAAATCATGCTGCTATAAAGACACATGCACACGTATGTTTATTGCGGCGCTATTCACAATAGCAAAGACTTGGAACCAAGCCAAATGTCCAACAATGATAGACTGGATTAAGAAAATGTGGCACATATACACCATGGAATACTATGCAGCCATAAAAAATGATGAGTTCATGTCGTTTGTAGGGACATGGATGAAGCTGGAAACCATCATTCTCAGCAAACTATCGCAAGGACAAAAAACCAAACACCTCTTATTCTCACTCTTAGATGGGAATTGAACAGTGAGAACACATGGACACAGGAAGGGGAACATCACACACCAGGGATGGTTGTGGGGTGGGTGTAGTGGGGAGGGATAGCATTAGGAGATACACCTAATGTTAAATGACGAGTTAATGGGTGCAGCACAACAACATGGCACATGTATACATATGTAACTAACCTGCATATTGTGCACATGTACCCTAAAACTTAAAGTATAATAATAAAAAAAGAATATGTTTTTAAAAATTTGTAACTTCTCATAGACTATATATTTTTAAAACTCTAGCTGTCCCATATTAATTGCTTAGCCATATACTGCACCCAGCTGGGGCTCTGAGAATGGCACATTGAAAAGAATTATTAGGGACAAGAAATTTTTCTGGTTGTTAGAAAAAAATTGTACTAGTGTTCTAAAAGTTCATAATTAAAGTATTCCCAAAAACGTTCTCAACATTGGTGTTTAGGTGCTCTCCTGAAGTAACATTAATTTAGATACATCAAAATGTCATTTACTCAGCAAACATTTATTGAATACCTATAAGGTTCTGTTTGCCAGGGAGCTAAAACAAAATATCTACCCTCAACTACAAGCATAATAATAAATTATTTAACCAGAATCCTGTTTGTAATTCTCTTAAGGTCACTTACACCAGTGTAGTCAAAAGTATCTTCATCTTCTCACTAGAAAACTCTGCTCCTCTTGTTCTTCTTCCTTTTTTTCTGTTTTTTTTTTTTTTTTTTTAAGTTATAATATTGTCTCAGTTATACAGCCTAGAGAGCTCATAAGCATCTTTGACTTGGCCTTTTTTCTTCATGCTGTTATTCAGTTTGTTTATAAGCCCTATCAATTCCACTTCCATAATATTTCTCTCTTTTTTTTTCTTTTTTTGGAGGCAGAGTCTCACTCTGTTGCCCAGGCTGCAGTACAGTGGCACCATCACAACTCACTGCAACCTTGACTTCCTGGGCTCAAGTGATCCTCCTGCCTCAGCCTACTGAGTAGCTGGGACTGCAGGCACATGTCACCATATCTGGATAATTTTTAAAATTTTTTGTAGAGACAGCATTGCCCTGAGTTTCCCAGGCTGGTCTTCAACTTCTGGGCTCAAGCCATCTTCCAGCCTTGGCCTCCCAAAGTTCTGGGATTACAGATAATAAGCCATTGCACCCAGCCCATAACATTTCTTATGTTTATTTTACTCCTAAAGTTTAGCAAAGCATTCAAGACACTTCATGTTTCAATTATGAATTTTCTTTCCACTCTCACCTGCCAAAATATCTCACTTCATCCGGACAAATTTACTTACCTCTCAATGTGCTCTTGACTTCACGTTGCTATATCTGTGTCCATCCTATCCCTTAACTTACCATGTCCTTATCTTTGCCTATTGAAATTTCATCTTTCAAGAACCTATGATTTTTTTCCAGATTTTCCAGTTTTACTTTGGCACTTATGCCATTTTAATTTGTACAACATTTCTGTCTTTTTTATTAAATTAATTGTAAGTTCCTTCAAAGCAGGTATTAGCTCTTTATGACTGGGACCTATCCTTGCATATAGTCTTTCAGAAACCATTTATTAAATTAGCTAATGCAATATAAATTAGTTATTGCTTCAAATGAGATGTCATGAAAACTATTGATGACTGTTAAGAAATGATAATATCTTTGAATTTCAGAAGAGACTTAATTTCTTGATTTTAAAGTAGAAGTTCAAAGTAAATCAATACTGATATCTACATTCAAGACCTAGAATATTACGTAGGCTAGTAAATGTTATCCTTCATCTCTGGAGTATGAAAACGACCGTAACTGGTGAAATTGCTGGGGTTTATCTGACTAAGTGTATTAACCAAATCCAGTGAACGTTTCTGTCTGCATCGTATTCAAGATCTTTCCAGCTTTTGACACCAATGATCACTCTCTTATTGAAACACTTGTCTTTTTTTTCTAATTCTGAGGCACCAACTGGTTTTCTTCTTCCCTCACTGCTTCTTCCTTTCTTGTCTTCCATATTCCATTCTTCTTTTCCTAACTTCTAAATACCAAATATCACTCAGGACTTAGACCTGGGCCTTTTCCTCTTTTCTTTTTATATAGTTTTTCTATGTGGTCTCATCAATGTCCAAGATATCATATTTATGCATGTGACCTTCTAATTTAAACATTATCTGGCCAGGCGTGGTAGTTCACACCTGTAATCCCAGCACTTTGGGGGCTGAGGCGGGCAGATCACCTGAGGTTGGGAGTTCAAACCAGCCTGGCCAACATGGTGAAACCCCATCTCTACTAAAAAATACAAAATTAGCCAGACATCATGGCATGCACCTGTAGTCCCAGCTACTCAAGAGGCTGAGGCAGGAGAATCGCTTGATCCCCAGGAGGCGGAGGTTGCAGTGAGCCGATATTGCACCACTGCACTCCAGCCTCAAAAAAAAAAAAAAAAAAAAAAATATATATATATATATATATATGTATATATAATCATTATAGATATAGTTGAAGCTTCCTGTGTACTATTTTCCAACCTCATTCCCCTCCTTTTCCTGGAGGTACCAACTATTCAGATAAAAGCAGAAATTAATGTCAGTAGCAGTGTGTTCATCATGTGTCTATGCCTTCATGACAAAGGAAGTTTAAAAACTTGAGTTCCTGGCTTCTACACTGGGAAAGTAATATTAATAATGTTAGAAATTCTCCAAACATGGGGTGACTTATTAAAACCTGCTCAGGCCAGGTGCCGTGGCTGATGCCTGTAATCCCAACACTTTGGGGCACCAAGGTGGAAGAATCATTTGAAGCCAAGAGTTTGAGGCTAGCCTGGGCAACATAGTGAGACTTCATCTCTACAAAATAAAAACTTTTTTAAAATTAGCTAGGCATTGTGGTGTGTGCCTGTAGTCCCAGCTACTCAGGAGGCTAAGGCAGAGGGTCCCTGGAGCCCAGGAGTTCAAGGATGCTGTGAGCTATATGATCATGCCAATATTCCAACCCAGGCAGCAGGGCAAGACCCTGTCTCTTTAAAAATAATAAAATAAAATAAAAGCTGCTTGGGCAAACTGTTAAATGTTTGCTTCTATTCCTGAGGTACCCAACGGGTCCAGAATTTTTTTAGAATACATTACTAGATTTACTATTATTTTATTTTAGATGTTTGTATCTAAGCTTAGTTTGGCCTCCAATTTTCTTGGATTATAATGATCTTAAATATTTATATTGCATTTATGTTAGCCTCACAAAATGAATTGAAGGTGTTCCCTCTTTTTCCATTCTCTGAAATTATTTTGATGTGATAGTGGTTATTTATATGTTCTTTGAATGTTTGGTAGAACTTTCATATTAAAGTATCTCATACTAGTGGGTGTTTTCTGAGAAAGTATTTACTGATTGAATTTTTAAAAATAGATACAGGAATATTCAGGTGTCCCATTTCTTCTTGACTAAGTGTTTATAAGTTATAGTAGCCAACGAAGTTGTTCATTTCACTTATGTTTTTAGACTGTTGTCATATAGTCATTTATAGTATTCACTTTATTTTTTCACTCATATTTTATGTTACATTTCATTTTTTATTCCTAATATTGCTTATTTATGCCTTCTCTTTTTAATTAATCAATCTTACCAGAAGTGTGTCTATTTTATTATTCTTTTCAAAGAATCAGCATTTGGTTTTGTGAATCTTGCCTATTGTTTTTTTGTTTTATAGTTTATTAATGTCTATTTCTACTTTTTGCCTTATTTCCTTTAATTTATTTTATTTAGGTTTACTCCGATTTTTTTTTTTTTTTTTTTTTTTTCAATTTTAGACAGAGTCTTGCTCTGTTGCCCAGGCTGGAATGCAGTGGCCCAATCTCGGCTCACTGCAACCTCTGCCTCCCCAGCTCAAGCAATTCTTCTGCCTCAGCCTCCTGAGTAGCTGGGATTATAGGCACCTGCCACCACACCCAGCTAATTTTTGTATTTTCAGTAGAGATGGGGGTTTCACCATGTTGGCCAAGCTGGTCTTGAACTCCCGACCTCAGGTAATCCGCCCGCCTTGACCTCCCAAAGTGCTGGGATTACAGGCCTGAGCCACCATGCCCAATCTCTTTTTCTCTTTCCAAACTTCCGAAGGTGGACGCTTAACTAATTTTCACCCTATTTTTCAATATAAACATTTAAAGATATAAATTACCCTTTCAGTACTGCCTCAGCTCTATCTCACAAGTTTTGTTATGTAGTATTTCACTTCCAAATATCTTCTGATTTTTGTTTTCATGTCTTCTTTGACTGAAAAATTATTTAAGGTATGCCTTTAGTTTGAAAATGAAAGAAATTTACATTTTTTTCTATTATAAATTGCATTTTAGTTACAGAGTATAAGCCACATGTTATAATGTTTGTTTATTTGTTGTGATTTGATTCATAGGCTAGTATAGGTTCAGTTCTCCTAAGACTTTATCAGGCTTCAAAGTATATATATTCTCTAATTTGAGCATATGGAAGTCTATATATTTCCTTTAAATTAAGCTTTTTTAATACGGTGGTTAAAATCTGAGATAATCTTACTACATTTTGATTTTCATTGACTCAGAGGTTTAAGTTTCTTCAAGGTTGAGGATTTAGCCATTTTTCTTTGTAATTCTGTCAATTTGTGCTTCATATATTTTAAGGTTGAATTGTTACTTGCATAGATGTCTTTACATAATGACTTTTATTCCTCAGAATGTTTTTTGTCTTATAGTTTTTGATATGAAAATAGCTATACCAGCCATATATTGGTTAATATTTGTTTTATTTATCATTTACTCTTCTCATACCTTCAGAATTTTGTGTCTTCATGTTTTTAACTATTACAGGTGATACCTGGATTTTCATGTTTTTAATCCAGTCTTCAAGTGTCTGTCTTTAACTAATTTAGACCATTTAAGTTTATTGTGGTTATTGATAAATTTATATTTATTTCTGTCATCATGTTTTGTGCTTTCTGTTAACCATATTATTTCTCTAATACTTTTCCCCAATGCATTCTGTTAGATTGATCAAGGTTTTTCCCCTCTATTTGTTTAAAAGTTGTATGTTCTAGTTCTATTCTATTCACGATTACCCTTGAAATTTAATATGTGTACTTGAATTAACAAGTAATTAAAAAATTAATTTTAAAATTAAAATCACGTTTCATCTTGAAGGATGCATTAATTTTGATCACCCTCATTTGTCTCCAACTTATGGTTTTCCAGTACTTTTGTTCCAATTTATATTTTATCAGCTTTTTTGAGGTATAATATACAGACCACAAAATTTATTTATTTTAAATGCACATTTTGATGAGTTTTGGTAAATTTATAGAGTTGTACAACAATTACAAAAATTCAGTTTTTGAATACTTACATAATCTCAAAAAGTTTCCTCATGCTTATTTGCATTAAATCCTCCCTCCCACCTACCCAAGTCCCAAGTAACAAATGATCTGCTTTTTTTATAGTTTTGCCTTCCATGAAAAGTTACATAGATTGGCCAGGCACAGTGGCTCACACCTGTAATCCTAGCACTTTGGGAGGCCGAGGCGAGCAGATCACCTGAGCCCAGGAGTTCAAGACTAACCTAGGCAACATGGTGAAACCCCATCTCTACTAAAAATACAAAAATTAGCTGGGCATGGTGGCACACCTGTCAGCTACTCGAAGGCTGAAGTGTGATGGATTACGTTTATTGATTTGTGTATATTGACCCAGGCTTGCATCCCAGGGATGAAGCCGACTTGATAGTGGTGGTTAAGCTCTTTGATGTGCTGCTGGATTCGGTTTGCCTGTATTTTATTGAGGATTTTTGCATTGATGTTCATCAGGGATATTGGTCTAAAATTCTTTTTTTTGTTGTGTCTCTGCCAGGCTTTGGTATCAGGATGATGCTGGCCTCATAAAATGTGGTAGGGAGGATTCCCTGTTTTTATATTGATTGGAATAGTTTCAGAAGGAATGGTACCAGCTCCTCTTTGTACCTCTGGTAGAATTCAGCTGTGAATCCATCTGGTCCTGGACTTTTTTTTGTTGGTAGGCTAATTAATTATTGCCTCAATTTCAGAGCCTGTTAATGGGTCTATTCAGGGATTCAACTTCTTCCTGGTTTAGTCTCAGGAGGGTGTATTTCTCCAGCAATTTATCCATTTCTTCTAGATTTTCTAGTTTATTTGTGTAGAGGGGTTTATAGTATTCTCTGATGGTAGTTTGTATTTCCATGGGATCAGTGGTGATATCCCCTTTATCATTTTTTATTGCATCTATTTGATTCTTCTCTCTTTTCTTCTTTATTAGTTTTGCTAGTGGTCTATCAATTTTGTTGATCTTTTCAAAAAAACAGCTCCTGGATGCATTGATTTTTTGAAGGGTTTTTTATGTCTCTATCTCCTTCAGTTCTGCTCTGATCTTAGTTATTTCTTGCCTTCTGCTAGATTTTGAATTTGTGTGCTCTTGCTTCTCTAGTTCTTTTCATTGTGATGTTAGGGTGTCGATTTTAGATCTTTCCTGTTTTCTCTTGTGGTTATTTAGTGCTATAAATTTCCCTCTACACACTGCTTTAAATATGTCCCAGAGATTCTGATATGTTGTGTCTTTGTTCTCGTTGGTTTCAAAGAACATCTTTATTTCTGCCTTCATTTCATTATTTACCCAATAGTCATTCAGGAGCAGGTTGTTCAATTTCCATGTATTTCTGTGGTTTTGAGTGAGTTTCTTATTCCTGAGTTCTAATTTGATTGCACTGTGGTCTGGGAGACAGTTTGTTGTGATTTCTGTTCTTTTACATTTGCTGAGGAGTGCTTTACTTCAAACTAGGTGGTCAATTTTGGAATAAGTGAGATGTGGTGCTGAGAAGAATGTACATTCTGTTGATTTAGGGTGGAGGGTTCTGTAGATGTCTATTAGGTCTGCTTGTTGCAGAGCTGAGTTCAAGTCCTGGAAATCCTTGTTAACCTTCTGTCTCATTGATCTGTCTAATATTGACAGTGGGGTGTTAAAGTCTCTCATTATTATTGTGTGGATGTCTAGGTCTCTTTGTAGGTCTCTAAGGACTTGCTTTATGAATCTGGGTGCTCCTGTATTGGGTGCATATATAGTTAGGATAGTTAGATCTTCTTGTTGCATTGATCCCTTTACCACTATATAATGGCCTTCTTTGTCTCTTTTGATCTTTGTTGGTTTAAAGTCTGCTTTATCAGAGACTAGGATTGCAACCCCTGCTATTTTTTGCTTTTCATTTTCTTGGTAGATATTCCTCTATCCCTTTATTTTGAGCCTATGTGTGTCTCTGCATGTGAGATGGGTCTCCTGAATACAGCACACTGATGGGTCTTGACTCTTTATCCAGTTTGCCAGTCTGTGTCTTTTAATTGGGGCATTTAGCCCATTTACATTTAAGGTTAATATTGTTATGTGTGAATTTGATCCTGTCATTATGATGTTAGCTGGTTATTTTGCTCGTTAGTTCATGCAGTTTCTTCCTAGGATCGATGGTCTTTATAATTTGGCATGTTTTTGTGTGGCTGGTACTGGTTATTACTTTCCATGTTTAGTGCTTCCTTCAGGAGCTCTTGTAAGGCAGGCCTGGTGGTAACAAAATCTCTCAGCATTTGCTTGTCTGTAAAGGATTTTATTTCTCCTTCACTTATGAAGCTTAGTTTGACTGGATATGAAATTCTGAGTTGAAAATTCTTTTCTTTAAGAATATTGAATATTGGCACCCACTCTCTTCTGGCTTGTAGGGTTTCTGCCAAGAGATCTTCTGTTAGTCTGATGTGCTTCCCTTTGTGGCTAACCCGACCTTTCTCTCTGGCTGCCCTTAACATTTTTCCCTTCATTTCAACCTTGGTGAATCTGACAATTATGTGTCTTGGGGTTGCTCTTCTCGAGGAGTATCTTTGTGATGTTTTCTGTATTTCCTGAATTTGAATGTTGGCCTGCCTTGCTAGGTTGGGGAAGTTCTCCTGAATAATATCCTGAAGAGTGTTTTCCAACTTGGTTCCATTCTCCCCATCACTTTCAAGTACACCAATCAAACTTAGATTTGGTCTTTTCACATAGTCCCGTATTTCTTGGAGGCTTTGTTCGTTTTTTTTTACTCTTTTTCTCTAAACTTCCCTTCTCACTTCATTTCATTCATTTGATTTTCCATCACTGATACCCTTTCTTCCACTTGATCGAATCAGCTATGGAAGCTTGTGTATGCGTCATGTAGTTCTCATGCCATGGTTTTCAGCTCCATCAGGTCATTAAAGGTCTTCTCTATGTTGTTTATTCTAGTTAGCCATTCATCTAATCGTTGTTCAAGGTTTTTAGCTTCCTTGCAATGGGTTCGAACATCCTCCTTTGGCTCGGAGAAGTTTGTTATTACTGACCTTCTAAAGCCTACTTCTGTCAACTCGTCAAAGTCATTCTCCATCCAGCTTTGTTCCATTGCTGGCGAGGAGCTCCGATCCTTTGGAGGAGAAGAGGCACTCTGGTTTTTTGAATTTTCAGCTTGTCTGCTCTTGTTTCCCCCCATCTTTGTGGTTTTATCTACCTTTGGTCTTTGATGATGGTGACCTACAGATGGGGTTTTGGTGTGGATGTCCTTTTTGTTGATGCTGTTCCTTTCTGTTTGTTAGTTTTCCTTCTAACAATCAGTACCCTCAGCTGCAGGTCTGTTGGAGTTTGCTGGAGGTCCACTCCAGACCCTGTTTGCCTGGGTGTCACCATTGGAGGCTGCAGAACAGCAAATATTGCTGCCTGATCCTTCCTCTGGAAGCTTCATATCAGAGGGACACCCGGCTATATGAGGTGTCAGTCAGTCCCTACCAGGAGCTCTGCCCATTCTCAGAGTTCAGACTCCATGGTGGAGAACCACTGCTCTCTTCAGAGCTGTCAGACAGGGACGTTTAAGTCTGCAGAAGTTTCTGCTGGCTTTTATTCAGCTATACCCTGCCCCCAGAGGTGGCGTCTACAGAGGCTGCCAGGCCTCGTTGAGCTGCAGTGAGCTCCACCCAGTTCGAGCTTCCCAGCTGCTTTGCTTACCTACTCAAGCCTCAGCAATGGTGGACGCCCCTCCCCCAGCCCAGGCTACCACCTTGCAATTCCATCTCGGACTGCTGCGCTAGCAGTAAGCAAGGCTCTGTGGGCGTGGGACCCACCGAGCCAGGCAGGGGATATAATCTCCTGGTGTGCCGTTTGCTAAGACCATTGGAAAAGCATAGTATTAGGGTGGGAGTGTCCAGATTTTCCAGGTACCGTCTGTCACGGCTTCCCTTGGCTAAGAAAGGGAAATCCCCCGACCCCTTGTGCTGCTTCCCGGATGAGGCGATGCCCTGCCCTGCTTCAGCTCACCCTCTGTGGGCTGCACCCACTGTCCAACCAGTCCCAGTGAGATGAACCAGGTACCTCAGTTGGAAATGCAGAAATCACCTGTCTTCTACGTCAGTTGTGCTGAGAGCTGCAGACAGGAGCTGTTCCTATTCGGCCATCTTGGAACAATCCTCTCCTTTCATTTATTTAAGAAATATTTGAAAAGCAAAGATTTCATCATTTTGATGAAGTCCAATTTACCAGTTTTTCTTTTATGGAATATGTTTTTGATATTATATCTAAGAAACCTTTGCTTAGTCCAAGGTCATAAATATTTTCTCCTATATTTTTTTCCTAGAAGTTTTATAGTTTTAGCTCATACAATTAGGTCTGTGATCCATTTTAGTTAATTTTTGCATATGACCTAAGGATCTAGGTTTAGTTTTTGTAAATGAATAACCAGTTATTATAGAATCATTTGTTGAAAGAACATCTTTTTCCTATTGAATTGTCTTAGCATCTTTGATGAAAATCAATTGACTATTTATGTGGGTTGGATTCTGAACTCCACTTAGTTCCATTGATCTATCTATCTCTCTTAATGTGGATTCTACACTGTCTTGACTACTGCTGCTTTACACTGAATTTTCAAATAAGACAGTATTAAGTACTCTAACTTCATTCTTACTTAGCAAGATTTTTTTGGCTATTCTAGGTATTTTTGTATTTCTATATAATTTTAGAATCAGCTTGTCAATTTTTCCAATAATCTTTCTAGACTCTTGGCAGGAATTGCAGTTAATTTGTAGATCAATTGACATCTAACAATATTGAGTCATCTAATCCATTAACATGATATATCTCTCCATTTATTTAGGCATTTATCTGAGTGATGTTTTTTAGTTTTCAGTGCAAAGGTTTTGCACTTATTTTGTTAAATTTATTCCTAATTATTATTGCTATAGTTTGAGTGTCTTTACCAAAACTCATGTTGGAATGCTTAAGAGGTGGGGCCTAATGGGAAGTGTTTGGGTCTTGGGAGCTTTTCTTTTGTGGGCAGCTTGGTACTATTCTTACACTGGTGAGTGAGTTCTCACTCTTGTGGGATTAGTTGTCTCAGGAATGGATTAGTTACCATGAGAATGAGTTGCTATACGGTGAGGTCACGCTTCATGCTTGGCCTCCTGGTACATGCCTACTCCCCTTTGACCTTGTTCTACCATATTGTGATACAACACTAAAGCTTTCACCAGAACCCAAGCAGATGCCAGTGTCATTCTTTCCAGCCTGCAGAACTGCAAGCCAAATATACCTCTTTATAAATTACTCAGTCTCCGGTATTCTGTTATAGCAACACAAAACGGACTAAGACAGAAAATTTGTACTGAGAGTGGGATGTTGCTATTTAGATACTCAAAAATGCAGAAGCATCATTGGAACTGGGTAATGGGCAGAAGTTGGACAAGTTTGAAGGAGCAGACTAGAAAAAGACTGTATTGCCATAAACAGAGCATTAAGGATAATTTCAATGAGGGCTCAGAAGACAACAAAAAGACGAGAGAAAGTTTAGAATTTCTTAGAGATTGGTTAAGTAGTCATTACCACAATGCTGATAAAAATATGGACAGCAAAGGCCATTCTAATGAGATCTCAGATAGAAATGAGGAACAAGGTATTAGGAACTGGAGACCAAGTCATCCTTGTTAGACCATAGCAAAAATTTGGCTGTGTTGTTTCTAAGGCTTTGTGCCCTAAGGTTTTGTGGAAGGCCAAACTTAAGAGTGATGAACTAGGGTACCTGGCAGAAGAAATTTCTAAGCAAAATATAGAGCAGCTATGTAGTTACTTCTTACTACATTCAGTGAAATGCAAAATGACAAGGGAAGCAAGCATAAAAATTTGAAAATTAATAGCCTGGCCATGTGGTAGAGAATGAAAGAGCATTTTCAGGAGAGGAATCCAAGGGTGCAGCAGAACAACCAATACTAAAGAGATTAGCACTGAGAGAAGAGAGCCAGTTGATAATTATTGAGACAATTTTTTAAAGGCCCTGAAGACATTTCAGAAATTTTTGAGGTTGCCTTTCCAGAGGTCTAGGAGGACGGAATGGTTTTAAGAGACAGAATCCATGCATCACTGCCCTGTGCTGTTTTGAGATCCTGCTCCCCAAATTCTGGCACAGCCCTCAGCAGCCACCCCAGCCATGGCACAATCATACCCAGGTATGGCTCAGGCTGCCATTCCACAAGATACAAACCATAAACCTTGGTGGCACGCAGTCGTGGATCAAGCAGCCTCAGGTACAGCTCATGACAGCACTCTGGAGGGTGCAAGTGGTAAGCCTTGATGGCGTTTACAACCATGTGGTACTAGTTTTGCAGATGTGCAGAATACAAGAGAAGTGTAGTCATGGTGGCTTCCACCTAGATTTTAAGGAATGTACTGAAAAGACTGGGAGCTCAGGTGGAGATTTGTTGCAGGGCCAGAGCCACTGCAGTGTATCTTCCCTAGGGCAATGCTGAGCAGAAATGTAGGGTTGGAGCTGCCACAAAGAGTCTGTACCAGGGCAATACCTAGTGAATCCATGAAGTGGACCACCACTGGGACTCCAGAACTATAGAGCCATTGCCACCATACAACCTCAGCCTGGAAAAGCCATAGGTATCCAATTCCAACCAGTGAGAGCAGCCATGTGGCTATGCCCAACAAAGCAATGGAGGTGGGGCTGCCCAAGGCTTTAGGGATAAAAACTCCCCACTGTGCCCAGGAGGTAGCACGTGGAGTGGAGAATTATTCTGGAGTTTTAAGATTTAGTGTCTGCCCTGCTGACTTTTGAACTTGCTCGAGGCCTGTCACCTCTTTCTTCTTTTGGCCTATTTCTCCCTTTTGGAATGGGACTGTCTGCCATATGACTATTCCACCATTGTATCTTGGAAGTAAATAACTTGTTGTTTTTTTTTTTATTATTTTACAGGCTCATAGCTAGGAGGAACTTGCCTTGAGTCTTATATGAGACTTTGGACTTTGACCTTTGAATTGTTACTGGAATACATTAAGACTTTGGGGACCATTGAGATTGAATAATTACATTTTATAGTGTAAGAGGGACATGAGTTTGGGGTTCCAAGGGTGGAATGCCATGGTTTCCGTGTCTCTGCCAAAAATCATGTTGGAACCTTTAAGAGGCAGGGCCTAATGGGAGATGCTTGGGTCATGGGGGCTCTGCCATTTTGAGCAGCTTGGTGCAGTCCTCATATAGTGAGTGAGTTCTTGCTCTCATGAAACTGGATTGGTTCCTGTGGGAATAGATTAGTTACCCTGAGAATGGATTGTTATAAAGCAACCCATTGTACAAGGTTGTACCTTGTGTTTGGCCTCTTGGCACATTCCCACTTCCTCTTTGGTCTTCTGCCATGTTGTGATGCACTACTAAAGCCCTCACCAGAAGCTAAGCAGATACTGGTGCCATGCTTCTTGAACTTCCCGGTCTGGAGAAACATGAGCTAAATAAACCTCTTTATACAGTCTCAGGTATTCTATTATAACAACATAAAACAAACTAAGACATTTATTTTTGATGCTATTGTGATTGGAATTGTTTTCTTTATTTCATCTTTGTACTGTTTGTTGCTACTATATATATAACCGATTTTTGTATATTGATCATATACTCTACAAACTTGCTAAGCCACCCTCTTAGTTCTAGTAAGTCTGGGAGGGGGTGTGGTATGTGGGTGTGTGTGTGTGGGTGTGTTCCTTAGGATTTTCTGTATACAAGGCTAACAATAAAAAGAGTTGTCTTTTTTCCATAACTTTTTTCCTTGACTATTGCAAGGAAAAAATAGAAGTGGTAAACACAGATATCTTTGCATGTTTCCTAATCTAGAGGTAAGCACATTTTTACCATTAAGTATGTTGGCTGTAGGCTTCTGGTAGATGCCTTGATCATTTGAAGAAGTTCCCTTCTATTCATAAGCTGATGAGATTTTTTTAAATATATGAGTGTTGAATTCTGTCAAATGCTTTTCTGCATCTATTGAGGTGATCATATGGTTTTGTCCTTTATTCTGTTAATATAGTTTATTACATTGATTTTTGGATGTTAAGTCAACCACCTCACATTCCTGAGATAAACTTCATTTGATTATGGTATAAAATCCTTTTCATATGTTGCTCAATTACATTTACTAATATTTGGTTAAGAATATTTATGTCTAGGTTCATAAGGGATATTGGTATATAGCTGTGTTTTCTTGTAATGTCTTTGTCTTGTTTTGATATCAGGGTAATATTGATATCAAATGAAATAAAGTTCATTGGGAAGTTTCCTTCCTCATCTATTTGCTTAATAAAGTTTTTGTAACATTGGTATTATTTCCTCCCTTAATAGTTGGATAGAGTTCACCAGTGAAGTATATTTTTTCTCTATAGGAAGATTTGAAATTACTGATGCAATTTCTTTACTTGATATTGATATTTGTTTTTTTTTTCCTTTTTCCTTGAGTCAGTTTTGGTAATTTGTGTCTTTCTAGGAATTGTTCTATTTTATCTAAGTTGTCGAATTTTTTGCCTTAAAGTTATTATGCTATTTTCTTAACATCCTTTTAAGGGTAGGGTCTGTGATGATATTTTTCTTTGATTCTTGATTTTGGGAATTAGTGTCTTCTTTCTTTTTTCTTGGTCAATGTAACTAAATATTATTTATCTTCTTGACTTTCCGAAATAAGCAATTTTGAGTTTCTTTGGTTGTTTTTAATGTTATCCTGTTCTGTATTTATCGTTTTCCACTGTGACCTTTTTATTTCATACATCCTACTTACTTTTGGCTTGGTTTACTCATCTTTTTCTAGAGTCTTAAGATGGAAGTTTTAATTACCAATTTTAGATTATTTTTTCTTTCTGTTTTTAAAGCTATACATTTTCCTCTATACACTGCTTTAATTGCATCCTGTAAATAATGTTATGTTATTGGTTTTTTGTATTTTAAGTTTATAACATTTTATTTATAAAAATAGGCTGGGGGAAAAGGATTTATACCACTGCATTATTTCCTGGGGGAGAACTATTTTGGGCCATTTTTGAAATTTTTTTTCCTCTTAACAATTTTCAAAGTCACATTTAAATTCCTTCAGAATGGTATTTGTCAACAAAAAAGCTCAAGTGAAAAGGAGGAGGGAAACTGGGGAAGCATGAAGAAAGGGAGTGAGAGAAGAAGGAGTGGGCATACAACAGTCAACACATAAAGAAATGGCTTTTACTGAAATGACTCTGCCCTGTGCCTCATGCACTAGGTGATGCAAGCATGCTGCTCAGACATCAACACCAAATGTCATTTAGAAATGGTAGTCTTCTCTGGGTTCTGAAGGACACTTGTTCCCCAACATGACACTATTAAATGATGCTTTCAAGGCAGACACTAAGACATTACTCCAAAGAGAAGGCTGTGGTGGCAGATGCTGGGGCCATATTCTTCATAGTCCTTCTTGGTGTGACAGGCCTGAAATAACTCCAGAGTTGAGGCTATCATTAAGCTTCCAAACCATAAGGCATTGTGGTGCATGTGATGGATTACCACCTGAACCTCTGCAAACTTAGGTTTGATTCTCCTGCCACTGAGCTCCTTACTGAGTTTTAATCTGGCATGTACCACTCTTCAAATCTCTCTGTAGTTGAGGTTCAAATCCCCGAATATGGTCAAACCCCTTGAAAGAACAACATTCTTATACAGTGGACCATGCACATCAATGGGACAGTTTTGTATTCATCAACAACATTCAAGATGGATTCCATAAAGTCTGGGTTGGCAAACTCTGGGTAAAAAAATATTTCAGGTTGCAGGAACCTTTTGTAACCAACATCTATTATGAACTTCTCCTGGTTGATCACATTGATACCTGTGTATTGTTTGATCCACTTCCAGGAATCCACATCATGCTTAGCAAATTCCTTGACTGTATCAGGGCAAATGTAACAGTATTTCTCCTTAATGGCTTTTGTGGTCTCCAGTGACTGCTCAAGAGGGATTCCTACCTCCCTCTCCCTTAGCAGCTGTTGAGTGAAATACACAGTATCACCTACAATCAGGATGTGATTGATGCAGCTCCCAATTACATAACCTTCTACAACTGGGAGAACATGGGTGACTCCATCTCCTTTGTCAATGACTATACTCATTAACATACATTCACCCACTTGTTGAGATGTCCAAGATACTGCCAAGGCCAGTACCTCCTGAACTGCAATGTAGAATCCTGGTACATTAAATAATTCAAACATAATTTCTGCAAAAATGCTCTGTATTTTCTAGTGTATTCAGTGGAAGTTCTGTCATTAAAAAATAATGGTCCTCAGATTCTGCTCAAAGATATTTAAAAACCACTTGCTCCATGAACCTTTCCATAATATCCCAGTCTTCAGTGATTCCAGTCATATTGACCACTTTGTAGCATACATAGATTTATCAATGGCTTCATCCTGTATGAAAAAGTCAAGGTCATCAACTCCCCTCAACATTCTCCTTTGGGCTTTGTCAACTACCTTTGCTGACTCTCTGATAGAAATGCAAGAAAGAATAGTAAACTATGGCTCAGTGTTGCCTGCATAGCCAAGCTCAGAATATCTACTGAGGTGATCACAGGGCTGAGACCCAGAGCAGTGGGTGCAGCTCAACCTCCAGGTGTGGGCTGGATGCCAGGGGCTGAGAGCAAGGCAATGGAGGAGCCAGGGTGGGCACCAAGTGGCTCTTACCTGATGCCACAGTCTGCCACACAGGAAGGCAGGAACCCCGCCATGCTTGGAATACACAGCATTTAGCCCCACTGGCCACCCTGGAGCACCCTGCCACCATCCACTTGGCAACCCACTCACCCCATACACCATGTCTTCTGCGTGTTTCCACTTTTATTCATTTTAAGATATATTGTAGATGGGTGCAGCAAACCACATGGCACATGTATACCTATGTAACAAACCTGCACGTTCTGCACATGTATCCCAGAACTTAAAGTACAATAAATTTTAAAAAAGGAATATTTTAAAGGATCAACCTACTATTTGACAGTCATGGAAATAGTGAATGGGAATTAAAGGGAAAAAAATAAGTAAGCAAAGGAAGGGAGGAGGAAATGGAAAAAGAAAGGAAAGAAAAGGAAAAGGGAAATACAAGAAAAGAGCCAAATAAATAAATAAATAAACAAATAAGTGACTGAAAGTCTGGGAGTTGGCAAATACTATTCAGACAACACTGACAAAATAGGCCTCTTGCTAAAAATAGCAGAATGCACAAAGTACAGGAGCAGCCTGTCTGTCCTGAGAGGCTGGGGAGGTTTAGGAAAAGAGGCTGGGGAGATTTGAGACAGATCTGAAGTATGTAGTCAGTTTTTGCTTGGTGGAAAAAGTAATCATGGGTGATTCAGAAAAAGGAAGATACTTACATAATAATTGTTTTGTACCTTTTTTTAGTCTTCTATTACTTTCATAAAATTATCTTTGCATCAAAAGTTATTAACACTTTCAGGACTCCTTGTACGCAAAATTCTTTGAATTGCATTTCTTAATTTGTGATCACACTGGTAATTTATATAGCACAATGAACTGAATGTGTGTCTTTATGTTTAAAGGGAAAAATAAAATTCAAAACAGCATATTTGATATAATTTATGATTACATAATAGAGAAATACCAATTTTGATATAATTTTTAGAAAGTAAAGCTTAGGCCAGTCACGGTGGCTCATGCCTGTAATCCCAGCACTTTGGGAGGCTGAGGCGGGCGGATCACCTGAGGTCGGGAGTTCAAGAGCAGCCTGACCAACATGGAGAAACCCTGTCTCTACTAAAAATACCAAATTAGCCGGGTATGGTGCTGCATGCCTGTAATCCCAGCTACTCGGGAGGCTGAGGCAGGAGAATCGCTTGAACCCGGGAGGCGGAGGTTGTGGTGAGCCGAGATCATGCCATTGCACTCCAGCCTGGGCAACAAGAGCAAAACTCCATCTCAAAAAAAAAAAAAGAAAGAAAGAAAGAAAGTAAAGCTTAATGAAAATTTCTTATTAGTAGAACTACTAAAAAAATACAGTGACTCTAAACTCATATCTTACCACTCAATAGATGTGTATCGGAATTTAAGCAGCAGAGAAATCATTTTTAACTTTTTTTAAATTTTTACTTATCAAAAAACCATATGAGCTAAAAATAACAAGGCTTCCTAAAATGTACAAACCTCACCACAGCTTTACCACACTGTTTTTTGGGGGGTTTTGCTATTTTAAAATATAAAATAATTCTTCAATATAACTCACAATTATTTAAGTATCAGCAATACTATGTTATTTATATTAATAAATTCTGCTTCCTTTTGTGAGATTAATTACTCCATAGCCTTTGCCAGTCTGTTTCTGGCCATTTTACTATTTCTCTACCCAGAGTTGTAATTGCCCTTTACCTATCCTTCTTAATCAGAACATCCTTCCTTTATACCACTTATTAAAAAATAAATTTAATACTTAATTCAATTTAATACTTCTAAATAAACATATATATATAATATAGTCAAGTTCATTAGGAATATATGTGTGATTTTTCACATTTCTTTAATGTCCAAAAAGATATCCCAGTGCATATATGTTTTCTGGTGAGTTTTAATGTACATATTATTTATTATTCTTTTTTCCTGACACTAGTGCTTCTCAAATTATCTGTGATGAAGAAACAGATGTGGTTTTTTTGTTTTGTTTTTCTTTTAAAAAAAAAAACTTTTATTTTGGGTTCAGGGGTGCATGTTCAGGTTTGTAACATAGGTAAACTTGTGTCATGTGGATTTGTTGCACAGATTATTTTGTCACCTAGGGACTAAGCTTAGTAGATTAATACCCAATTGTTTTTGTTTTTAATTTCCTATTTGATGTAGACTGATATTTACTTTTTATAAAATACAGTGTCAAATTGCTATAGAAGTTTGTAACCACTCTCCATTTCTGTATTTGTCTTGTCACTGAGAACAAATCCTTGGCACCAGCCAAGCGGGCCCCTGACCAACAGCACAGGGGAGTGTCCTTCTGGCTCCTTGCTTCCTGTCAGCGATCCGCTCACTAGACAAGTGCCTGAACCACTCCCTTGTCTTGTCTATTGATATTCAAGCAAAATCTCAATGCAAAAAGAGAATCCATGATGTAATTAGAGAAGATAAAGTGTTCTTTTCACATATATCCTAAAAAATATCTTTCCTCAAAATGTCAAAAATTCTATAACCAGAAATGTTCTGATTTTCCTAGAATGCAAGAATTCCTGGAAGAACATCTTAACAGATTGCAATGTTCTTTCATGCTCACTAGTTCATTTTATTGTAACAAAACCTATTTATGTTGGCAGGAGATAATTTTTTTATCCCCATTTTACAGATAATAAAACTGACTTACAGGTTAAAAAAATTACATATATATAGTAATTACACTTATGTTTTCTTCTTTCCCCATAATTACCATTTGCGTATGTGTGTGTGTGTGTGTGTGTGTATATATATATGTATGTCTCCTAATCTCCTATCCTTTTACATTCAACCTGCTTGTTTTATCTAAAGTTTGTTTCTTGTAGGCACCATATAGCTGAATCTTGTTTTTTTAAAGTCCTGTACAGTAATAGTTGCCTTTTTATTTTAGTCCATTCACATAATTATTGATATGGTTGGACTTGCATTTAACATTTTGTTATTTGTTTTCTATGTGTCATGTCTTTTTGTTTTTCTTTTCTTACATTACTGCTTCTTTCATGTTAACCAAGTATTTTTAGTGCCCTATTTCAATTTCTCTGTTGATTTTTTTTTTTCTTGAGACGGAGTCTCGTTCTGTCACCCAGGCTGGAGTGCAGTGGTGGGATCTCGGCTCACTGCAAGCTCCACCTCCCGAGTTCACGCCATTCTCCTGCCTCAGCCTCCCAAGTAGCTGGGACTACAGGTGCCTGCCACCATGCCCGGCTAATTTTTTTGTATTTTTAGTAGACACGGGGTTTCACCATGTTAGCCAGGATGGTCTCCATCTCCTGACCTTGTGATCCGCCCACCACGGCCTCCCAAAGTGCTGGGATTACAGGTATGAGCCACTGCGCCTGGCCTCTCTGGGGCTTACTTTTTTAAGAGACAATGGCATGGTCATAGCTTATTGCAGCCTCAAACTCCTGGGCTCAATCAGTCCTCTCACCTTTGCCTGTCAAGTAGCTGGGACTACAGGCATGTGTCATCACACCTGGGTAATTTTGCTTAAATTTTTTAGAGACAGGTGTATTAGTCCATTCTTGCATTGCTTTCAAATACCTGAGACTCGATAATTTATAAGTGGTTTAATTGCCTCACAGTTCTTCAGGCTGTACAGGAAGCATGCAGGCATCTGCTTCTGGGAAGGCTTCAGGAAGCTTACAATCATGGCAGAAGGCAAAGACATGTCACATAGCGAAAGCAGGAGTAAAAGAGCAAGGGGCAGTGCCACACACTTTTAAATGACGAGATCTCACAAGAATTTACTCACTGTCCCAAGGACAGCACCAAGAGGATGGTACTAACCATTCAGGAGAAATCTGCCCCCATGATCCATTCACCTCCCAGCAGGACCTATCTCCAACATTGGGGATTACAATTCAACATGAGATTTGGGCAGGGACACATATCCAAACTATATCAACAGAGTTTCATTGTGTTACTTAGGCTAGTCTCAAACTCCTAGCCTCAAGCAATACTTCTATCTCAGCCTCCCAAGTACCTTTGGGGGTTATAATAATCAATCATCTTCACTTTTTACAATCTACTTTGGTTTAATAATTTTTACTTAATTCCAGTGTTATATAGCAACTTTGATCCAATGTACCTCTTATATGCTATGAACTCAGCAGTATTGTTATAGTTATTGCCTATAATAATCAGATGCTTTTTTTAAAAAAGAGATGAAATCAGAATACACACACACACACACACACACATATACACACATACACACATACAATCTTTTATACTTACAAATTTATTTACCACTTCCAGTGCCGTTTATTCCTTATAGGTTCAAGTTGCCATCTGGTGTCATATCCTTTTATCTTAAAAGCATTTTATTTAGTGTTTCTTTAGCAAGGATAAGTTCTCTTTATTTTTATTTATCTGGAAATGTCTTTATTTCAGCTCCATTTTTGAAGGATCATTTAACTGGATACCGAATTCTTAATTGACAGTTATTTTTCCCTCCACTTTTGAAATGTCGCTTCATAAGGCCTCCATTTTTTTCAGATAAAAATGCCAGTATTGATCATATTATTGTTCCCCTGTATGTGATAAGTCATCTCTTGCTATTTTCATGATTTTCTTATTATCCTTGGTTTTCACCAATTTGACTATGATGGCTCTAGGTGTGAATCTCTTTGTGTTTATCCTACTTGAGATTTGTTGAACTTCTTATATTTGAAGATTAATGTTTTTCATAACATTTTTGAAGTTTTCAGACATTATGTTTTCAAATATTTTTCTGCCCTCTTATCTCTCTCTTCTCCTGGAATTCCCATTATGCATATGTTAGTGCTCTTGATGGTATCCCATAAGTTTCTGAGGATCTGTTTATTATTCTTCGTTCTTTTTTCTTTTTGTTCTTCAGATTGATTAACCTCTATTGGTCTATCTTCAAGTTCACTGATACTTTCTTTCACAAGGTCAAATATGCTACTGAACCTCGCTAGTGATTTTTTCACTTTAACTGTTGTACTTTTCGATTCTAGATTCTATTTTTAAATATATTCTGTCTCCTTATTCATGTTCTCTATTAGACAGCACATTATCATATTTTTAATTTGAACATATTTATAATATATACTTTGAAAACTTTCTTTCTAAATCCAGTATCTGAATTGAGAGTTTCTATTCACTGCTTTTTTTCCAGAGTATGAACCATATTTTCCTGTTTCCTTACATGTCTGATAATTTTTAATTGAAAACTAAACACTTTAATTACACATTATAGCAAATCTGGATTTGGTTTTTATTTGTGATTGTTTTTGTTGTTGTTATTGTTTTGGTAATTGGCCTATACATGTGCTGTGTAATCCTTCTGCCCAGTGGTTTTCAGCAGTGATGTCTTTTATATTGTGTTGTTGTTGTTATTGTTGTTTTAGCCTGTCTTTCTAGGGATTTCCTTTGTGTCTGTTGCATAGCTTGATTTTGGAGAGACATTATGTTAAAGCTAGTAAGGCTTCCACTGTCTGCCAAATAATCTGTGGGTGGGTGGGTGAATGCATTCAAAGTTGCAATTAATACTCAAGTCTTACTTCATTTTTACTTTTTGTCATACTCTCTTGAGTCTTTCCTGCACTTCCATACTTTTCCAATCGGCCATATATGTGTGGAGAACTTATCACAAACTTTCTATTATTCTCTCCTTTCCAGGATCAGTCTTTTTTTTTTTTTTTTAGTAATACTCAGGTTTTTAATTTATTATAGTGAATGGATACAAAGCAAAATTAGCAAAGGGAAAAAGTTGTGTGTGGTAAAGTCTGGAGGATACCAGGCACAAACTTCCTGGAATCATCTCCTGTGGAGTTACAAGGATGTGTTTCTCTTCCCCAGCATGAAATTTTGACAGCACATGTGCAATGTCGTCTACCAGGACCAGAGTCTCATTAGAGACTCAGTACTCAGGATTTTACGGAGGTTACTGTCCTTCACATGTACCAGAATTCCAGACTCCCAGAAGAAAAGCAGCTGTTCAGAGTAAACCATATTGTTTGTATAAACAGTTTAGGCACCGTGAGCCACTCTTCTCAGTGAGAGAATTGGAACTTGGAACTGGAAAACTCTAGCCTTGCATGTGGGTCTTTCTCTCTCTTTCTTTCTTTCTTTCTTTCTTTCTTTCTTTCTTTCTTTCTTTCTTTCTTTCTTTCTCTCTCTCTTTCTTTCTTCCACTTTGTTTGTTGTTTCTCTCTCTCTCTTTCTTTCTTTTTTAATTTTACTTTGAGTTCCAGGATACATGTGCAGAACGTGCAGCTTTGTTACACAGGTATACATGTGCCATGGTGGTTTGCTGCACCTATTGACCCTCAGGATCTCTCATTTAAATTTTTGTCTTGTCTTCCACTTCCCCAATTGAAACTGCAACCTCAGACTAGCAAAGCTGCAATTCTGTCTGTTCATTCTCAAACCACTCTGCTATATTTAACTGGCAAAACCATTGATTTCTTCCCTCTACTCCATACCAAATCCACCCCTGCCCCCAGCCCTAACAGGAAAGCTGCTGGGTTTTACATCCAGCTTCAAACTGGTAAAACTACTGTTTTTCCCAGCTGAGCTTGGGGATGAGAAGAGAGATGAGAGTGTATTAGTCCGTTTTCATTCTGCTGATAAAGACATACCCAAGACTGGGAAGAAAAAGAGGTTTAATTGGACTTATAGTTCCAGATGGCTGGGGAGGCCTCAGAATCATGTCGGGAGGTGAAAGGCACTTCTTACATGGTGGCGGCAAGAGAAAATGAGGAAGATGCAAAAGCAGAAACCCCTGATAAAGCCATCAGATCTTGTGAGACTTATTCACTACCACGAGAACAGTATGGGGGGAACCACCCCCATGATTCAATTATCTCCCACAACACGTGGGAATTGTGGGAGTACAATTCAAGATGAGATTTGGATGGGGACACAAAGCCAAACCATATCAGGGAGCAACCCCAGTCAGGAAGGGCTCAGACTTTTACCAATCCTACCCAAAACCCTAACACTTTTTTCAAGGATAAATGCTTCTTAATTTGATAACTGCCTTTGATGAGTTTTCAGGGTCCTGAAATGTTTGTTTTTGGTATTTTTGCAATTTTTGGGGGGAGTTTTGGTGTGGAAATAAATTGCCAACCTTTTCATGTCACCTCCCAACCTTATCTTTATATCCTCTGATTAACAATTTTCATTAGTAATGTGTTACACAACCAGTACTTGTTTAGACTAACCTACATTTTACCAATTTCTTTGCACATTGTTCCTTCCTTTTTGGTTCTATGTCATATTTCTAAAGCATATCTTTCAGTAGATTTTTCCCTGGTAAAAAATGGCATATGTTCTTAAATGTATTTGTTTGACAATATCTTTCATTTGTCTTTTGTTTGAGTGACAGTTAACTGGCTACAGAATTCAACATTGAATGATTTCTTTATCTCTGTACTTTGAAGACTTTATTTATCTTCCATCTTCTATTGTTGCTGATAAGTACTGAGAATCTGCTCTATTGTTTATTCGATTATGATTAATCTCTTTTTCTCTGTCTAGATTCTTTAAGATTTTATTTTTGCCTGAGACACAACCAAAAAAGAGAATTTTAGACCAATATCCTTGATGAACATTGATGCAAAAATCCTCAATAAAATACTGGCAAACCGAATCCAGCAGCACATCAAAAAGCTTATCCACCATGATCAAGTGGGCTTCATCCCTGGGATGCAAGGCTGGTTCAATATACGCAAATCAATAAATGTAATCCAGCATATAAACAGAGCCAAAGACAAAAACCACATGATTATCTCAATAGATGCAGAAAAAGCCTTTGACAAAATTCAACAACCCTTCATGCTAAAAACTCTCAATAAATTAGGTATTGATGGGACGTATTTCAAAATAATAAGAGCTATCTATGACAAACCCACAGCCAATATCATACTGAATGGGCAAAAACTGGAAGCATTCCCTTTGAAAACCAGCACAAGACAGGGATGCCCTCTCTCACCGCTCCTATTCAACATAGTGTTGGAAGTTCTGGCCAGGGCAATCAGGCAGGAGAAGGAAATAAAGGGTATTCAATTAGGAAAAGAGGAAGTCAAATTGTCCCTGTTTGCAGACGACATGATTGTTTATCTAGAAAACCCCATCGTCTCAGCCCAAAATCTCCTTAAGCTGATAAGCAACTTCAGCAAAGTCTCAGGATACGAAATCAATGTACAAAAATCACAAGCATTCTTATACACCAACAACAGACAAACAGAGAGCCAAATCATGGGTGAACTCCCATTCACAATTGCTTCAAAGAGAATAAAATACCTAGGAATCCAACTTACAAGGGATGTGAAGGACCTCTTCAAGGAGAACTACAAACCACTGCTCAAGGAAATAAAAGAGGACACAAACAAATGGAAGAACATTCCATGCTCATGGGTAGGAAGAATCAATATCGTGAAAATGGCCATACTGCCCAAGGTAATTTACAGATTCAATGCCATCCCCATCAAGCTACCAATGACTTTCTTCACAGAATTGGAAAAAACTACTTTAAAGTTCATATGGAACCAAAAAAGAGCCCGCATTGCCAAGTCAATCCTAAGCCAAAAGAATAAAGCTGGAGGCATCACACTACCTGACTTCAAACTATACTACAAGGCTACAGTAACCAAAACAGCATGGTACTGGTACCAAAACAGAGATATAGATCAATGGAACAGAACAGAGCCCTCAGAAATAATGCCGCATATCTACAACTATCTGATCTTTGACAAACCTGAGAAAAACAAGCAATGGGGAAAGGATTCCCTATTTAATAAATGGTGCTGGGAAAACTGGCTAGCCATATGTAGAAAGCTGAAACTGGATCCCTTCCTTACACCTTATACAAAAATCAATTCAAGATGGATTAAAGATTTAAACGTTAAACCTAAAACCATAAAAACCCTAGAAGAAAACCTAGGCATTACCATTCAGGACATAGGCGTGGGCAAGGACTTCATGTCCAAAACACCAAAAGCAATGGCAACAAAAGACAAAATTGACAAATGGGATCTAATTAAACTAAAGAGCTTCTGCACAGCAAAAGAAACTACCATCAGAGTGAACAGGCAACCTACAACATGGGAGAAAATTTTCGCAACCTACTCATCTGACAAAGGACTAATATCCAGAATCTACAATGAACTCAAACAAATTTACAAGAAAAAAACAAACAACCCCATCAAAAAGTGGGCGAAGGACATGAACAGACACTTCTCAAAAGAAGACATTTATGCAGCCAAAAAAACACATGAAGAAATGCTCATCATCACTGGCCATCAGAGAAATGCAAATCAAAACCACTATGAGATATCATCTCACACCAGTTAGAATGGCGATCATTAAAAAGTCAGGAAACAACAGGTGCTGGAGAGGATGCGGAGAAATAGGAACACTTTTACACTGTTGGTGGGACTGTAAACTAGTTCAACCATTGTGGAAGTCAGTGTGGCGATTCCTCAGGGATCTAGAACTAGAAATACCATTTGACCCAGCCATCCCATTACTGGGTATATACCCAAATGAGTATAAATCATGCTGCTATAAAGACACATGCACACGTATGTTTATTGCGGCACTATTCACAATAGCAAAGACTTGGAACCAACCCAAATGTCCAACAATGATAGACTGGATTAAGAAAATGTGGCACATATACACCATGGAATACTATGCAGCCATAAAAAATGATGAGTTCATATCCTTTGTAGGGACATGGATGAAATTGGAAACCATCATTCTCAGTAAACTATCGCAAGAACAAAAAACCAAACACCGCATATTCTCACTCATAGGTGGGAATTGAACAATGAGATCACATGGACACAGGAAGGGGAATATCACACTCTGGGGACTGTGGTGGGGTCGGGGGAGGGGGGAGGGATAGCATTGGGAGATATACCTAATGCTAGATGACACATTAGTGGGTGCAGCGCACCAGCATGGCACATGTATACATATGTAACTAACCTGCACAATGTGCACATGTACCCTAAAACTTAGAGTATAATAAAAAAAAAAAAAAAAAAAAGATTTTATTTTTGCCTTTGGTAGTCTATAGTTTCTCAACATTTTATCTAAGTATCTATTTTTACTTAATCCTGATTAGAACTCATTTGACTTCCTGTGTCCAAATCAATAAAAACCCTAATCAATTCTGTAAAGTTTGAAGCCAGTTTTCTTCTCAAATATTATATCTTCTTCATTCTTTCAATTATGTTTCTGAAACTACTATTAGTTGTGTTTTAGATCTTTTCCATAATCTAAATCTCTCATTTTCCACCTCATTTTTTTGTGTGTGTGTGCTATGCTCTTAAGTAATTTCCTCATATCTACTACTTTGCTGTGTTCTCTCTTCAGCCATGTCTAGACTGCTGTTTGGGTACTTAGTGGTTTTTTTTTTAGTTGAGTAAATTTTACAGTTTTTTCTAGATGTTCTATTTAATTATTTTACAATGCTTTCAAGTAATTTCTTCTTCTCATGTCTCCAATTTTTAAAAATTGTCTCTAGTCCCTTTGAAAATACATATTTTATAGTGTCTATCTAGTGGTTCTATTAGCTAAGGTTTTCAGACATCTAATCCCATTCTTTGTAGTATCTGTTAACTTTTGCTCATGGGATATTTCTTCTTATTTTAAGTTCAGATTCACTTGGCTTTACCTTTGAGACTTTATGCAGTCTGGGATCAGGACTGTCTATTAGAGATTTTTTGAATTAGCATCTACTAAGTGTGTTCTAGGGATACTTCTATGCAGGGACACTTTTATGGTAGGTTTAGAACTTTGGGATCCCTAACCTGTGCACATAATGTAATTTGAGCCCTACACATAAGTTGGATGAGGCCAGTTTTACCTATGAATTCTCAAAAAAGACTTTGCCACCCAGAGACCAGCTAAGACAAACTGCCTTGTCTTCTCAATTTGTCAGTAGGATGACATTTTCTTGTCCGTGTTTTGTTTTGTTTTGTTTTCTGTTTTGTTTTGTTTTGTTTTCTTGAGATGGAGTTTTGCTCTTGTTACCTAGGCTGGAGTGAAGTGGCGCCATCCCAGCTCACTGCAATGTCTGCCTCCTGGGTTTAAGCAATTCTCCTACCTCAGCCTCCCAAGTAGCTGGGATTATAGGCATGCGCCAACAGGCCAGGCTAATTGTTTGTATTTTTAATAGAGACAGCGTTTCACCATGTTGGTCAGGCTCATTTTGAACTCCTGAGCTCAGGTGATCCACCTGCCTCAGCCTCCCAAAGTGCTGGGATTACAGGCATGAGCCACCATGCCCAGCCTGGTCCATTCTTTTAGTAAGAGTTTAGCCCTCCAAGGCTTCCAGTTTTGCAGGATGACAATAATCAGAGGGGAGGAGGAAAGAGATACTTTGTTCTAACTTTCTGCCTGGAGTGAGTCAAAATCGTCCTCTTTTACCCTGGCAAATTCTATACAGCCGGAAAGGGGTCATAGCTAAAAAATGCATATAAACTGTTTTAAGAATATTAAAAGCATTAGCAATTATGATTCATAGCAAATAAAGGTAGCAATTTAATTAGCATATGGAAATTTACCATGTTATTGTCTGTCCTTTATAGAAACCTATGGATTCCTCAGTGAGTAGCACCTAGTTGCCAGAAACAAGATGTCTAGTAACTTATACCTACTCATCTTATCTACCTCTACTTCCTACACATAATCTAAGATACTTTATATTTATTCCCACAAAATCTAGGTTCATTTCTTCCAGCCATTACCTCCTCTAATACATTTATGCCAAATATCAGTTGAATTATCCTTTCAATACAAAGATTTAGTAGGTTCCTCTTAAAAGATTTGGCACCTTGACACTGTGATCTTCAATAAGGTTGTGAATTCTTATCACAGCCAGTCATCCTCTTATTTTCCATCCTGATGAAAAAGCTATTTTAAAATATAAAATGAAGTAAATCTCATCATATTGCCATGATGTTTTTAACTATCATATATTATAATGGTTAGCATTTTCCAGAGTTCACATATAGGTTTTTTTTATTTTTTTATTTTTTTATTGAGACTGAGTCTCACTCTGTCACACAGGCTGGAATGCAGTGGCACAATCTTGGCTCACTGCAACCTCCACCTCCCGGGTTCAAGCAATTCTCCTGACCCAGCCTCCCATGTAGCTGGGATTACAGGCACGCACCACCACGCCTGGCTAATTTTTGTATTTTTAGTAGAGACGGGATTTCACTGTGTTGGCCAGGCTGGCCTCAAACTCCTGAACCTCATGTGATCCAGCCTGCCTCAGCCTCCCAAAGTGCTGGGATTAAGGTGTGAGCCACTGCACCTGGCCCACATATAGGTTTTAAATATTTTTAAAGTAAAAACACTTTGTTTGAAACCTACTTCATAAATTGACAGGTTATTTGGAATATATGTTAAGCAGATATCTCTTTCACCAAACTAGTAAGCAATGTTGATCTATACCATGTATCATTTTATAAAACTGGCTATTAGTATATATGATAAAAGAGAATTGATCCTTTGTTTGTATACATCTATGTGTATGTAGATATATAGCTGTACACTTTTTTGTATTTCAGGAGTTATACTGTTTGTGATATGGTGTATGACCTGGTCAATCTTAGGCTCTGAAGCTCTCCCTGGTGGAAATTTATTTGGGTTGTTCATTATTTTTTATAGTGCCATTATTGGGGGAAAAATTTTACAACTCATTAGAATACCTTTAGTGCCTCCACTTCCACCTCTTCTTGGTAAGTATATAATTAGCTCTCTTTTCTTTATTATTGACTATATGCAAATGTTGAACATTTTCTTGTTGAATTAGTTATAATTCAGAAATATTTCAATGTAGTATGTTTTATATAGTTTCTTCATGTATGTATTTACTGTATGTGTGTGTGTGTGTACAGCTCCTTTATAGATGCATTTATTTCTCTGTCTACATATATACACACAAGTTTTATCCAAAATTTATTTTTAAAATAAATTTAATATCCTTAGTACATTATTCCTGTTGCTTTATTGTTTAATAGAATCTTTAAAAATTTTAGATTCACGGGGTACATATGCAGGTTTGGTACATGGATATATTGCATAATGGTGACATTTGGGCTCTAGTGAACCCATCACCAAATAGTGAATACTATACCCAATAGGTAATTTTTCAACCTTAACCCTCCAACCCTCTCTCCTTTTGGACTCCCCAGTGTCTATTATTTCCATCTTTAGGTCCATATGTACCCATTGTTTAGTGCCCACATATAAGTGAGAACATGTGGTATTTGATTTTTCTGTTTCTGAGTTGTTTCACTTAGGATAATGG
Organism: Homo sapiens; assembly: GCF_000001405.40. Classification (NCBI taxonomy): domain Eukaryota; kingdom Metazoa; phylum Chordata; class Mammalia; order Primates; family Hominidae; genus Homo; species Homo sapiens. Next base: position 102,948,684 of record NC_000004.12, on the reverse strand, counting down.
TGTTCAGCTTTATCCATGTTGCTGCAAAGGACATGATGTCATTCTTTTTTATGAATGCATAGCATTCCATGGTGTATATGTACCACATTTTCTTTATTTAGTCATTTAAGTTGATTCCATGTCCTTTTATTGTGAATAGTGCTACAATGAACATATGTGTGTATATGTATTTATGGAAGAATGATTCACATGTTGAACCATCCTTGTATTTCTGGAGTAAAATCCACTTAACTATATTATCTTTTTGATGTACTATTGAATTCATTTTGCTAGTTCAGAATTTTTGCATCTATGTTCATCAGGGATATTGACCAGTAGTGTGTGTGTGTGTGTGTGTGTGTGTGTGTGTGTGTGTGTGTATGGCTTTGCCTGATTCGGGTATAACTGTGATACTAGATTCATGGAATGTGTTAGGGAGGGAGTCCCTCCTTGATTTTTTTGGATTAAGTTTCAGTCACCTTTGACCCTGAACTAGAATAAGTGGATTGTACGATGAATAAATGAATGAATACAAATTATTGTAAAATAAAATTTTGTTAAGTATATGGTAACCATACAAATGCATGACAATAGACAATGTGATATGAAAACTCTCAGCCAGCCTACCATATTTGTGATTGTTTTTGAACTGCATAGTGGGAGGAGGTGCTCCTTACAATTTTCACTTTGTAAACATTTATTCTTTGATTTTAACCATCACCGCTATAACCACCATCACTCATGGATTCACCAAAAATTAAGTAAATAATTATCTTATTTGTTTTTATAAAACTTTCTAAAGTGTATGTAGAGCTCACATTTATTTCATTGTTTAATACTAGAAGTGTTTTGGATCTTTATTTAGAAGTTTGGTGATGTTTTGTGACCGGAAATATGCTGTAGGAAATTGACTGTTGTTTATATCATTTAGCCTATGCTAAAATTGGTTTTGTTATATACCATTTTACTCAAAGTTGCCATTTCCAATAACCTATTGATGATGTTAAGTGAGAACTTACTGTATTCAAATATATCTAAATATTCAGTACAGTGGGCCAGGCACGGTGGCTCATGCCCATAATCCCAGCACTTTGGGAGGCCAAGGCAGGAGGACCACCTGAGCCCAGGAGTTCAAAACCAGCCTGGGCAATATAGCAGACCTTGTCTTTACAAAATATTAAAAATTTTTCTGGGTCTCAGCTACTCAGGAGGCTAAGGCAAGAGGATCACTTGAGCTCAGGAGGTTAAGCCTACAGTGAGCCATGTTTGCATCACTGCACTCACCTTGGACAACAGAATGAGACCCTGTCCTCAAAAATAAATATATATTCAGTACACTGTCAGTAGAGATAATCTCTACATCTTATCTCTGCTGTCCCTTCTGTATCCACAATTTTCTTACAGCACCTTCTAAGTATTTATTGAATCATTTTCCTCCTCTCCAAACTTTCTCTTTTGCTCTAGCTTAGGCTATTTGTTTCCAACTTTTGCGTGGACTGTGGCAGAGCCTTCAATTTGGTCTCTGTCTCCAGTTTTATCCCAAACTAATTCACCAAGACCCTCACATAAAAAACGCAAGACTCATTATGTTACTTCCTGCCTAAAACCTTCCCATGGTGCCTTACTTTGCCAAAGTGGGGGGAGACCTTTCTATGATCTGGCCCACCCAAGCTCATTCTCCTCCCTCCTTTCCTTGCCCTGTATGTTCCAGCAACACTAACTTACTTGTTGAACCCCATTTAGGTGTATTGTTTCTTATCGCCATTCCTTTATTCATGCTGCCTTCTCTACTTGCTTGTAACCTGCCCTTTACCAAAATAATGAGAGACATAGTGCATTAGAAAAGAAAGTAAACATTTCCGTTTTCTTTCTCAGAAAAATGAACTGTCATGTATCTTTATTTTCTTTCTTTTAAGGGATGTTACTGGCTGGTTTTACGATTAGGAATGTTCCATTCATCAATGAACATGTCCATGTTCCTAACACATGGTCTTCAATTTTAAGAAGCATTGCCCTTACCATTATTCTAATAAGAGCTGGGCTTGGACTCGATCCACAGGTAGATTTACAATTACAAATCGAGTAAGGTTATTTCAAATATTAGAGGACGGTGAGAAAGAAAAAGAAGCAAAAATTTTATTTTCCTGTTCCAAATAGAGTCTGTAAACAAACCTAAGATAAAGAAAAAAAGGCCGGGCATGGCGGCTCATGCCTGTAATCTACAAAAATTAGCCGGGCTGGTGGCATTTACCTAGTAATCCCAGCTACTCGGGAGGCTGAGGCAAGAGAATTGCTTGAACCTGAGAGACGGAGGTTGCAGTGAGCTGAGATAGTGCCACTGCACTCCAGCCTGGGGGACAGAGCGAGACTCCGTCTCAAAAAACAAAACAAAACAAACAAACAGAAGAAAAAAACAGAAGAAAAAAAGACTGTATAGAAATATTGGCACCCTAATTTCTATGTCTAGCCATCATTATCACTGATATGAAGAGAATTGACTGTGTTGTAAGGTCTTTATTAGCGATCTAATCATTTGCACAGAGATAAATGTCTCTTATATAGCACCTATATTATTTGGGAGGCTCTTCTATGGAGAAGTATGTACTTTTCAGTTAACATAGGATAAGAAAAACCTTATAAAAGTCTTTTTCTTTTTTTAGGGAGATTAAGGATTTCAGTAATTTTTTTATGACATTTTCTCCACAGGATTATGTTCCTGATTATCTTTGCATTATTGTAAAATCCAATCTTTTAAAGCATTTCTTAAAATATTACATTCTAGGGATCATAAATCCCATCTATAAGAAGATGACTATTCATGAATATGACAGCCACTCAAATAAATGTGGCAAATGTGGTTTAATAGAAATAGCTCAAGAGCATAAATAATTATAGCCAATAAGATTATATTCTCCAGCAGAAAGTATGAACCAAGGAGAACATTGAAAAGTTCTCCCTTTTAAAATGAATTATGCAGTTTTTAAGTTATTTTCTTTGGCATGTTGGTATTCTATTTATACTTATTAAGTTAATCAAACAGTTCATATCAAAAAGTTAATGGGAAAACACTAATAGGACACTATTATTATACTATTTATTAGGAAAGTTCAGGAAGGTAGCATTAGCTATTTAATCACAGTAAAATTGATCTTTTAATAATTAAAATATAATAATATTTTTAAAAAGATGAAATTGTTTATAATCCAACCTATGATGACATATAAAATGTAATAGAGTTCAAAGTCCAGTGGGACAATCTGTTGAAATGAGATTTCGTTTAGTGAAAGCTTCTTATGAAAAAAGACTTTATAGTTTGACATTTGTTAAAATAATTTTCTTGTTGGCCATTGTAAATGTATCTAAGTGTGACTGTTTTGTGTTTCAGGCTTTGAGGCATTTGAAGGTCGTTTGTTTCAGATTGGCTGTAGGTCCATGCCTTATGGAGGCAAGTGCAGCTGCTGTTTTTTCACACTTCATTATGAAATTTCCCTGGCAATGGGCATTTCTATTAGGGTAATTTCTTTCTCATTTTTTCTTATGAAAATATTCAATTAAGGATGCTTCATTAAAACTGTTAAAATATTCAGAATGTTGTATAGAAAAGCTCTATTAAAATTCGTTTCAGTGTTAAAATCCTTGGAAAGCAGTTGATTAAAAGCAGAGCCATGTCCCAAATTGTACGAAATTTTTTTAACAAACATTCATAGCCCCTAAATGTTTATCATCAAGAAAATTCACATGATCAATTTATTCCTTTTCATCTGTATTATAACATATCTGTATGTTTTAATCTATCTAATGGCCTCTTCCTCATAGCTGTATGTAAGTACAGTTGCACATTTCATATATATGTATGTGTATATATATAAGTATATTTGAGAAACATTTTATATAGACATAGGTGTATAAATATAAACTCTCCCATTTTAAAGAAAGCAAGCAAACAAAAACTCTTGCCGTATATCCAATGCCCCATCCATCTTTATCTACCATCCATTTGTCTTATGTTTGAATTCCTCAAAATAAGTCTGTAACTACTGTCTCTAGATCCTAACTCCTTTTCATTTCTTAATTCATCAACTTTTGTCTCTGCTTATCCATTCCAATGACACTCATAGCAAAGTTCATCCATTACATAGTTACTACAAAATCCAGTGAATTCTTAAATTAATGTTTATGATAAAATACTCAAATGCACTTTTATTTTAAAAATTAGAACTTTATAAATAAAGGAGGAATGACCTTAGAATATGCCTTCAAATCATAATGCCCATAACTCTACCCAAAGTGACAACTCTTACGAGTTTTTTTCTTCTCCAATTTTTATTTCGGCTCAAGGGGTACATGAGCAGGCTTGTTATATGGATAAATTGCATGTCACAGGGGTTTGGTATGCAGATTATTTTGTCACCCAGGTAATAAGTATAATACCCAATAGGTAGTTTTTCTATTCTCCCCCTCCTTCCACCCTCCACCCTCAAATTCACCTAGTGACGATTGTTCCCTTCTTTCTGTCCATGTGTACTCAGTGTTTAGCTCCCACTTATAAGTAAGAATATGGGATATTTGGTTTCCTGTTCCTGTGTTAATTCACTTAGGATAATGGCCTCAACTCCATCCACGTTGCTCCAAAGGACATGATCTCGTTCTTTCTTGTGGCTGTGTATTATTCTATGGTGTATATGTGCCACATTTTCTTGGTCCGCAGTCTGATGCTCTAACCCTGAGATATACCCCCTCCTATGTGCCACATTTTCTTTATCCAGTTCACCATTGATGGGCATTTAGGTTGATCTCATGTCTTTTTTCTTTTTTCATTAGTTTTTAAGGAACAGGTGGTGTTTGTTTACATGGAAAATATTTTTAGTGGTAATTTCTGAGATTTTGGTGCACCCATCACCAGAGCAGTGTACACTGCACCCAAGGTGTAGTCTTTTATCGCTCACCCTCCTCCTACTCTTCCCCCTAAGTCCCCAAAGCCCATTGTATCATTCTTACGCTTTTGCATCCTCATAGCATAACTCCCACTTATAAGTCAGAACATACAATGTTTGGTTTTTTCATTCCTGAATTACTTCACTTAGAATAATGGTCTCCGACTCCTTCCAGGTTGCTGTGAATGCCATTATTTCATTCCTTTTTATGGCTGAGTAGTATTCTGTCGATGGTGTGTGTGTGTGTGTGTGTGTGTGTGTGTGTATACATACACATATATACACATAGATACGTATATATACACCACATTTTCTGTATGCATTCATTGATTGATGGGCATTTGAGCTAGTTCCGTATTTTTTGCAATTGCAAATTGTGCTGCAATAAACATGCGTGTGCAAGTGTTTTTTTCATATAATGACTTCTTTTCCTCTGGGTAGATACCCAGTATTGGGATTGCTAGATCAAATGGTAGATCTACTTTTAATTATTTAAGAAATCTTCATACTCTTTTCCATAGTGGTTGTACTAGTTTACATTCCCCCCAGCAGTGTGAAAGTGTTCCTTTTTACTACACCCATGGCAACATCTATTTTTTTTTTTTATTTTTTTGATTATGGCTATTCTTGGAGGAGTGAGATGGTATTGCATTGTGGTTTTGTTTGCATTTCCCTAATAATTAGTGATATTGAGGATTTTTTCATGTTTCTTGGCCATTTATATATCTTCTTTTGGGAAGTGTCTATTCATGTCCTTAGCACACTTTTTGATAGGATAATTTGGTTTTTTCTTGCTGATTTGTTAGAGTTCCTTATAGATTCTGGATATTAGTACTTTGTTGGATGCATAGTTTGTAAACATTTTCTCCCACTCTATAGGTTGTCTTTTTACTCTGCTGATTATTTCTTTTGCTGTGTAGAAGCTTCTTAGTTTAATTAAGTCCCATCTATTTATCTTTGTTTTTGTTGCCTTTGCTCTTGGGTTCTTGGTCATGAAGTCTTTGCCTAAGCAAATGTCTAGAAGGGTATTTCCAATGTTACCTTCTAGAATTTTTATAGTTTCAGGTGTTAGATTTAAGTCTTTGATCCATCTTGAGTTGATTTTTGTATAAGGTGAGAGATGAGGATCCAGTTTCATTCTTCTACATATGGCTTGCCAATTATCCCAGCACCATTTGTTGAATAGGGTGTCCTTTCCCAACTTTATGTTTTTGTTTCCTTTGTTAAAGATCAGTTGGCTTAAGTATTTGGCTTTATTTCTCAGTTCTCTATTCTGTTCCATTGGTCTATGTGCCTATTTTTATACCAGTGTTATGCTGCTTTGGTGACTATAGCCTTATAGTATAGTTTGAAGTCAAGTAATGTGATGCATCCACATTTGTTCTTTTTGCTTAGTCTTGCTTTGGTTATGCGGGCTATTTTTGGGCTCCACATTAATTTTAGGATTGCTTTTTCTAGTTCAGGGAAGAATGATGATGTAGATTGTTTTTGGCAGTATGGTCATTTTCACAATATTGATTCTACCTATCCATGAGCGTGTGATGTGTTTCTATTTGTTTGTGTCATCTATGATTTCTTTCTGCAGTGTTTTGTAGTTTTCACTGTAGAAGTCTTTCACCTCCTTGGTTAGGTATATTCCTAAGTTCGTTTGCTTGGGGTTTTTTCTTTGGTTTTGTTTGTTTGTTTGTTGTTTGTTTGTTTGTTTTTGCAGCTGTTGTAAAAGGGGTTGAGATCTTGACTTAATTCTCAGCTCAGTCACCATCGGTGTATACCAGTGCTACTGATTTGTGTACATTGATTTTGTATCCTGAAACGTTACTGAATTCATTTATCAGATCTAGGAGCTTTTTGGATGAGTCTTTAGGGTTTTCTCATTATATGATCATATAATCATGAATAGCAACAGTTTGACTTCCTCTTTACTGATTTGGATGCCCTTTATTTCTTTCTCTTGTCTGATTGCTCTGGCTAGGACTTCCAGTACTATGTTGAATAGAAGTGGTGAAACTGGGCATCCTTGTCTTGTTCCAGTTCTCGGGGGAATGCTTTCAACTTTTCCCCATTCAGTATAATGCTGGCTGTGGGTTTTTCTTTCTCTCTCTCTCTCGGGTTTTTTTTTTTTTTTTTTTTTTGAGACGGAGTCTTGCTCTGTTGCCCAGGCTAGAGTACAATGGCCCAATCTCAGCTCACTGCAACCTCTGCCTCCCAGGTTCAAGCAATTCTCATGCCTCAGCCTTCCAAAGACCTGGGAGTAGCTCCCCAAGCTCGCCAGCATCTGTTACTTTTTGACTTTTTGATAATAGCCATTCTGCCTCCTGTGAGGTTGTATCTCACTGCAGTTTTGTTTTGCATTTCTCTAATGTTAGTGATGTTGAATATTTTTCCATATACTTGTTGACTACGTGTTTGTCTTCTTTTGAGAAGTGTCTGGTCCTCTCCTTTGCCCATTTAATGGGGTTGTTAGGTTTTTGCTTGTTGATTTTTCTAAGTTCTTTTTGGATTCTGGATATTAGACTTTTGTCGAATGCATGGTTTGCAAATATTTTCTCCCATTCCATAGGTGGTTTGTTGATGATTTCCTTTGCTGTGCAGAAGCCCTTTAGTTTAATTAGATCCCATTTGTCAATTTTTGTTTTTGTTGCAATTGTTTTTGGCGTCTTCATCATAAAGTGTTTTCCAGAATTGAAATTTCCTAGGATATGTCCAGAATGGCCTGTGTCCAGAATGGTATTTCTTAGGATATCTTCCAGGGTTTTTATAGTTTTGGGTTTTACATTTAAGTCTTTAATCTATCTTGAGGTGATTTTTGTAAACGGTGAAACGTATGGAGTCCAGTTTCAGTTTTCTGCATATGGCTAGCCAGTTATCCCAGCACAATTTCCGAGTAGGGATTCCTTTCCCCATTGCTTGTTTTTGTCAAGTTTGTTGAAGAGTAGATGGCTATAGGTGTGCGGCTTTATTTCTGCGTTCTGTAACCTGTTCCACTGGTCTATGTCTGTTTTTGAGTTCCTTATAGATTCTGGATATTAGTACTTTGTTGGATGCATAGTTTGTAAAGATTTTCTCCCACTCTATAGGTTGTCTTTTTACTCTGCTGATTATTTCTTTTGCTGAGCATAACCATGCTGTTTTGCTTACTGTAGCATTGTACTACCGTTCGAAGTCAGGTAGTGTGATGCTTTTGGCTTTGTTCTTTTTGCTTAGGATTGCTTTGGCTATTTGGGCTTTTTTTGTTTGTTTGTTTTTTTGGCTCCAAATGAATTTTAGGATGCTTTTTTTAATCCTGTGAAAAATGTCATTGATAGTATGATAGGAATAGCATTGACTCTGTAAATAGCCTTAGGCAGTATGGCCATTTTAACAATATTGCTTCTTCCTATCTGTGATCATGGAATGTTTTCCTTTTGTTTCTGTTGTCTCTGATTCTTTGAGCACTCGTTTGTAATTTTCATTGTAGAGATATTTCACCTCCCTGCTTAGCTGTATTCCAAGGTATTTTATAGTTTTTTTGTGGCTATTGTGAATGGGATTGCATTCTTGATTTGGCTTTCAGCTTGGATGTTGTTGGTGTATAGAAATGCTACAGATTTTTGTACATTGAGTTTTGTAACCTGAAACTTTGCTGAAGTCATTTGTCAGATCTGGGAGCTCTTGAGAGGCTACTATGGGGTTTTCTTGGTATAAAAGTGTTTCACCTATGAAGAGGCATAGTTTGGCTTCCATTCTTCCTATTTAGATGTCTGTGTTTCTTTCTCTTGCCTAATTGCACTGGCTAGGACATCCATTACTATGTTGAATAGGAGTAGTGAGAGTGGGCATCCTTGTCTTGTTCCAGTTCTCAAAGGGAGTATTCCAGCTTTTTCCCATTCAGTATGAAGTTGGCTGTGGTTTTGTCATAAATGGCTCCAATTATTTTGAGGTATGCTCCTTCAGTAACTCATTTGTTGAGGGTCTATATCATGAAGGGATGTTTTTATTTTTAGTTCTATTATATGATGAATCACATTTATTGGTTTGTATATCTTGAACCAAACTTGCATCCCAGGGATAAAGCTTACTTAATCATAGTGGACTAGCTTTTTGATATGCTGCTGGATTCAGTTGGCTTGTATTTTGTTGAGGATTTTTGCATCTATGATCATCAGTGATAACTGTCCTGAAGTTTTCTTTTTTGTTGTGTCTCTGCCAGGTTTTCATATCTGAATGATGCTGGCCTCATAAAATGAGTTAGGGAGGGATCCTTCCTCCTCATTTTTTTGGAATAATTTCAGTAGCATTGGTACCAGCTCTTCTTTACACTTCTGGTAGAATTTGTCTGTGAATCTGTTGGGTCCTGGGCTTGCTTTTTTTTTTTTTTTTTTTTTTGGCTCAGAGACTTTTTATTACTCATTCAGTTTCAGAACTCATTTTTGATTTGTTCAGGATTTCAGTTTCTTCCTAGTTCAATCTTGGGAAGTTGTATGTTTCCAGAAATTTACCAATTTCTCATAGGTGTTCTACTTTGTTTGCATGAAGATGTTCATCGTAGTCTCTGAGAGTTTTTTGTATTTCTGTGTGGTTGGCGGTAACGTCCACTTTGCCATTTCTGATTGTGTTTTTTGGATCTTCTCTCTCTCTTTTTTTTTTTTCCTTATTGGTCTAGCTAGTGACCTATCCAATTTATTTATTCTCTCGAAGAACCAGCTTTTAGTTTCATTTATCTTTTGTATGGCTTTTCATGACTCAATTTCATTCCATTCTGCTCTGATTTTGGTTATTTCTTTTCTTCTGCTAGCTTTGGGATGGTTTCCTCTCGTTTTTCTGTTTCCTTTAGGTATGATATTAGGTTGTTAATTTAAGATCCTTCTAACTTTTCAATATGGGCATTTAGCACTATAAACTTTTCCCTTAACACTGCTTTGCCTGTGTCTTAGAGAGCCGAGAATGTTGTATCTTTGTTTTAATTAGTTATAAAGAATTTATTGGTTTCTGCCTTAATTTCATTGTTTACCCAAAAGTCATTCAGGCACAGGTTGTTTAATTTCCATGTAATTGTATGGTTTTGAGAGTTCGTCTTAGTGTTGACTTCTATTTTTATTACACTGCGGGTCCAAGAGTGTGGTTGGCCTGATTTCAGGGGTTTTCTTAAATTTATTGAAAATAATTTTAGACTGATAGTGTGATCAATTTTACAATATATGCCATGTACAGATGAGAGGAACATATATTCTGTTGTTGTTGGGTGGAGTGTTCTGTAGATGGCTGTTAGGTCCATTTAGCCAAGTGTTGACTTCAAGTCCTGAATATCTTTGTTCATTTTCTGTCTCTTTGATCTGTCTAGTACTGTCAGTGAGATGTTGAAGTCTCCCACTATTATTCTGTGGTTATCTAAGTTTCTCTATAGGTCTCTATGAACTTGTTTTATGAATCTGAATGCTCCAGTTTTGAGCACATTTATCTTTTAGACAGTTAAGTCTTCTTGTTGAATTGAACCCTTTATCATTACGTAGTGCCCTTCTTTGTCTTTTTGATTGTTGTTGGTTTAAAGTCTATTTTGTCTGAATTAGGATAACAATGCTTACCCTTTTTTGTTTTGCATTTGCTTGCTAGATTTTTTTCCATCCTTTTACTTTGAGCCAATGGGTATCGTTGCATATGAGCTGGGTCTCTTGACAGCAGATACAGTTGGGCTTTGCTTCTTTATCCAACTTGCCATTCTGTGAGTTTTAAGTGGGGCGTTTATACTGTTTACATTCACAGTTAATATTGATATTTATAGCTTTGGTCCTGTCATTATGTTGTTAGCTGGTTATTATGCAGACTTGATTGTGTAGTTACTTTACAATGTCAATGTTCTATGTACTTAAACGTATTTTTGTGGTGGCCATTAACAGTCCTTCACTTCCACACTTAGCACTCCTTTAAGGACCTCTTGTAAGGCATGTCTGGTGGTAACAGATTCCCTTAGCATTTGTTTGTCTGAAAAGGATCTTACTTCTCCTTCAATATGAAGTTTAGTTTGGCTGGATATTAAGTTCTTGGTTGAATTTTTTTTTTTTTTTTTTTTTTGGCGACAGAGTGTTGCTCTGTCGCCAGGCTGGAGTGCAGTGGTGCTATCTCAGCTCACTGCAACCTCCACCTCCTGGGTTAAGTGATTCTCCTGCCTCAGCCTCCCGAGTAGCTGGGACTACAGACACGCATCACCATGCCCAGCTAATTTTTGTATTTTTAGTAGAGATGGGGTTTCACCGTGTTGGCCAGGATGGTCTTGATCTCTTGACCTTGTGATCCACCCCCCTCAGCCTCCCAAAGTGCTGGGATTACAGGCATGAGCCACCACACCCAGCCAAGTTTTTTTTTTTTTTTTTTTTTTTTTTTTTAAGAATGCTGAAGGCCAGGCATGGTGGCTCATACCTGTAATCCCAGCACTTTGAGAGGCCGAGGTGGGCAGATCACGAGGTTGGGAATTTGAGACCACCCTGGCCAATATGGTGAAATCCCGTCTCTACTAAAATTACAAAAAATTGCCAGGTGTTGTGGTGCGCACCTGTAGTCCCAGCTACTTGGGAGGCTGAGGCAGAAGAATCGCTTGAACCCGGGAAGTGGAGGTTGCAGTGAGCCAAGATAGCACCAGTCCACTCTAGCCTGGGCAACAGAGTGAGACTCCATCTCAAAAACAAAAAGAAAGAATGCTGAATATAGGCCCCCAATTTCTTTTGGATTGTAGAGTATCTTACAGTTCCACTGTTAGCCTGATGGGATTCCCTTTGTAGGTGACCTGCCCCTTCACTTTAGCTGCCTTTCATGTTTTTTTCTTTCATGTTGACCTTGGAGAATCTGATGACTTGGGGATGTCTTGGGGATGGTCATCTTATGTAGTATCTCACAGGGGTTCTCTGCATTTCCTGGATTTAAATGGTGACTTCTCTAGCAAGATTTGGGAAATTTTTGTGGGCAGTATCCTCAAATATGTTTTCCAACTTGCTTATTCTTTCTCCCTTTCTTTGAGTGATGCCTTGAGTCATATGTTTGGTCTCTTTACATAATCTCAGATTTCTCAGAGGTTTTGTTCATTCTTTCTTGTTCTTTATTTTCATCTGACTGAGTTAATTCAAAGAAGTGGTCTTTGAGATCTAAGATTCTTTTCTCAGCTTGGTCTGTTCTGCTGTTAGTACTTGTTATTGTATTATGAAATTCTTGAGGCGCATTTTTCAGCTCTATCAGTTTAGTTTGGTTCTTTCTTAAAATGCCTATTTCATCTTTCAGCTCTTATGTCATCTTATTGGATTCCTTAGATTATTTGGATTGGATTTTGACTTTCTTCTGAATCTCAATGATCTTTGTTTCTATCCAGATTCTGAATTCTATGTCTGTCATTTAATCCTGGTTAACAACCATTGTTAGAGAGTTAGTATGATTGCTTGAAGACAGGAAGACATTCTGGCTTTTTACATTGCCAGTTTTTGCACTGGTTCTTTCACATCTGTGTGGGCTAAGGTTCCTTTAATGTTTTGAGTCACTGTCCTTTGGATGGAGCTTTTTCCTTTTTTATATTCTTTAATGCCCTTGAGGGTTTGACTGTGGCACAAGGTAGGTTCAGTCAAATGGCTTCATTTCTGGAAGATTTCAGGGGGCAAAGGCTCAGCTCAGCACTCCTGAGCTGCATGCTCTAACTTTGCAGGGCTGGTACCATACCCACAGATTTGTTGTCTGGCCCTTCAGTGTTAAGCACTGAGGTGTTCCCAGTCCACTGGCAACAACACTCTGATGGGGTGTGCCAGCCAGAGTGCTTCATTGTAGTGATTGTAGCAAGGTCCCTACTCACACATATGTGCCAGCAGCAGCAGCACACAGCAGGTATGCCTGTGTTGGCAGGGGTGCAGTGCCGGCAGGTGTGGGATGGGGTTGTTCTGCATACTTGCATGGGTCAGCCAGGGCAATGGTGCTGTGGGGTGCACTCATGTGCCACTGGGGACAGAGTGGCAGCATCTTCGTGAGTTTTATGTTACCATTCTAGATCTTTGAAAATAATGTTCTGGACTTCTAACAAGTGTATTTGTGAACCCAGAGAAAAAAAAGAGTATTATTTTGTGCATTTTTACTTAATCATACCCAAGAAAATTTTACTTTACAATTTGTTCTTTTCACTTAACAATAGTCTTGAGGTTTATCCATCTCAAGATGGATACACACGTAGTTTATTCCTTTTAATTGTATAAGACTACATTGTATGTCAACAGCAGATTTTATTTACAATGTTATAACAAAAATAGCATTTTATTTGTCTCATTTTACTTAAATATAAGTTTGTCTAGAATAGTTACCTGGGTTATATGCATTTTTAGTTTGATATACACTGCCAAAATCCCTTCGGTATGGCCACTTTAATTTGCCCTAATACCAATAGCTTATGAGCATACCTGTTGTTCTTGAAAATCCTTGCAAATCCTTGATATTATTAAATTTTATAATGTTTTCACATCTGATAATTGAAAAAATGGCATATTTTTGTTGTTTTAATTTGCATTTCTGTGATTATTCACAAACTTGAATATCTTTTATATATGTGTTGTCCTTCAACTTTTCCTTATCTGTAACTAGCCTGTTCATATCCTTTGTCCATTTTTTTGTTGAGTCTTCAACTTCTTTATTAATTATATCTGTTATATGTATTTGTAAATTATATGTATTGCAAATATCACTAGATATTTAATTTTGTTTGTGATGATTTTTTTTCTCTCTAAGAAGTGTATTTTGTTATTTTCAACAGACAGAATTGCCAATACACAACACCATTCACTTGACTTTGAAAATGAAAAAGAAAAAAAGGGGGAGAAAGAGCAGAATTGCTTTTGAAGTAGTACTTTATTGTAGTACTTTTGAAGTTGCTTTTGAAGTACTACTTTAATATAATTGAATGTATCAAAATCTCTTTTTATGTCTAATGCCTTTGTATGTATCATTCAAAAGGTCCTTTTTACCTCATGATCACAAATATATTATTCTACATTTTCTTTTTTTTTTTTTTTGTGACAGAGTCTTCCTGTCACCCAGGCTGTAGTGCAGTGGCGTGATCTCAGCTCACTGCAACCTCCACCTCCCGGGTTCAAGTGATTCTCCTGCCTCAACCTTCCAAGTAGCTGGGACTACAGGCATGCACCACTGCACCCAGCTATTGGTTTCACAATGTTGGCCAGGCTGGTCTCAAACTCCTGATCTGTCCGCCTCAGCCTCCCAAAGTGCTGGGATTACAGGTGTGAGCCATCGCACCTAGCCCCCTACATTTTCTTATTACTACTTTTCCTTTTGAGCTTTTAACATTTATTATGTGTAAGGATCTATCTATATTCCTTTCCACATAAATAGTTATCTCAACACCATTTATGAAAGATTTCTTTCTTTCTCCCACTGATTTAAAATACCAATTGTATGATGTAACAAATCCCATAGATTTGTTTCCACACATTGTATTTTCTTTTCTTCCAATTTATTTTGTCTATTTATATGTCACTATTATTCAGTTTTAACTATTTTACCCTTACAAAAACAGTATCTTGTTTTCTTAAGTTTACTTGATCTTTTGTTCTAAGATCTTATTCTTCCAAATGAATTTTATAATCAGCTTGTCAAGCTCAGTAAAAATCCCTGCAAAGATTTTGATTGGTGTATCTCTGATTAATTTATTTGGGGGAGAGATTACATCTTTATATTATTGAGGCTTTGGCCGGGCATGGTGGCTCACACCTATAATCCCAGCACTTTGGGAGGCCAAGGTGGGCATATCACTTGAAGTCAGGAGTTCAAGACCAGCCTGGCCAAAATGGTGAAACACCGTATCTACTAAAAACACAAAAACTAGCCAGACGTGGTGTTGGGCGATGGTAAAATTGAGGCTTTTTAGTTCACACTTGTGAAATGTCTCTCTAAGTATTCAGGTATTATCTTAATTATTATATTATTATATTCACAATTTTTATAAAAGTATAGACTATCTTCACAGTTTTTTTCTTAGATATTTTGTGTTTTTAATTGATGTTATGGATTAAATTCTCTTTGATCACTTATTCCTGGGGAAGCCAGCTGCCATGTCCTGAGGCAGCCCTGTGGAGAAAACCCCATTGGAAAAAACTGAAGCCTGCAATAGCTACATGAGTAAACTTGGAAGCAGATCTTCTCCCACCCCACCCTACCTCATGGGAAATCTTAAGTGAAGGCATACAGCTAAGCCATGCCCAGATTCCTGACCCACAGAAGTCATAAGACAATAAATATTTGTTGTTTTAAGCTGCTATGTTTGGGGATGACTTGTTAAGCAAAATGAGAAAAATAATACAACAGGTGATTACAATGTGCAGCAGAGTTTAGGAACCACTGAACTAGACCAGTATGTGGTCTTAGAGAAGTCTAGTCTCTTCTTGAGCCCACAGGGAAATCTGTAGCATAAACTGCACCATAGAGGTTGTACAGCCAGAAGCAAATGGGCTAAACTATTAGACACTCACATCAGTCAGTCATTGGCAGATGCTGTCTGGAGGGAAAGTAGAGGGGTGCACAACCTCCCTAGTATTCCCAGGTAGGTGCTTGTCAGCAGGACAAGGGTTCTAGAAATCTGCAGATATTAGCAGCCAACAAGCAGCACTGGGAGATGTGTTCATTTACCAGGTCAATTCTGGCAGGAGCACCAAAAGCATTTCTACACAGGATATACTTCAGCCTTTATAAAGTAAATGTAGAAGAGATGAGGCGAAATTCTGGATAAGATATGTCAATAGAAGGTATTCGGAGCAGGAGCCTCCCCATTCCTCATGGGTGTCATCAACCACTCCAGAAATGTTCTCATTTGCCTTTGTAACTTAGGTGGCCACACTTGTTTTTTTGGGCAGACAACTCTGTTCCTTCCTTCCTTACTTACTTATTTACTCAAGAGGTAGGAAATGTGTGGAAGATAGATTTGTCTGACCATTCTTACAGTGGTACTCCAAATAATTAACTATTTGGTTTCCCCAGAGGTCTCTCCTGCTCCCAGCATCTGCCATTTCAGGGCTTGGAGCACTTTTAGAAGCACATGTATCTTTTGAGGCAATCTTATTTACACAGATTTTGGTTTATGGTTTCCTTTTTTCAATCCTAAATTGTCTGTCTCTTATCTTACTGGGATATACTTAGTTTCTTGTCCATTGCGGATTCACCTTTTGCTTTCTGGTTAGGTTATGAATTTTTCTATTACTTTTACATCTTCACTTCAAAGGATTTAGGAATAGAGGGAGAGGCTGCAACCTGTGTTCAGCCCAACATTTTAAACCACATCTGTATAAAATTTTAGCCAGCACTAAACAATGCATGAAAAGTTTTATCACCATTAAATTGCATTCACTCAAATTTGAAATTCTTCTAAACAATGTTTGTTATAAAGTTATTATAAACTACTTGTACTTATAAAACACTACTTGATTTAAAAGATGCTTTTAAATTAATTTTCATTCTTTCTTTCAGTTTTGTTCTAGGTGCTGTCTCTCCTGCTGTTGTTGTCCCTTACATGATGGTGCTGCAAGAAAATGGATATGGTGTTGAGGAAGGCATTCCAACCTTATTAATGGCTGCTAGCAGTATGGATGACATTCTGGCTATCACTGGATTCAATACATGCTTGAGCATAGTCTTTTCCTCAGGTAAACAAGAAAATATAACAACCACTAGATCATTCATGACCTTTTTTGTTACTTCTTTAAACAGGGTTTCTGGCTTTGCTTCTTCATTTATTAACCAAGACTGTTCAATTTAACATCTTTTTAATCTCCATAGAAAGCTCATTCTAGACCAAGGAAGATATTTCAGTGGCTTAAGATACCACTACTTAACACACATGATCTCATTTTAATAATCATGTGACAATTAATTTGATAAACCATATTATTACTATGTATCTGCTTATATTGCTTTGGAATTTTATCAGTTCTCATTAGAAAAAATTCAGCGGTATTATTTGTACTACTAATATTTTAATAGGCATTTTTGAAATGTGCCTTTTTGGCCATCCTAATAAACAACTGGTTGCTCTATTATAAGACAACCTAAACATACAGAGCTGGGTCAGCCATATGCCTTAATGGTAGTGTTAGGACAAGATCCTGCACCAGTTCTGATTCCAAGGTGATATCTGGTCTTGAATATCACTACAGAAATTGTGAAAGTAAACATTTCCACATTTAGTAATGCTTTAATTATCTGCAATGTTGAAATTGAGTCTTCTGCATTATTGAAGCACTAAAATATTTTTAAGTTGAAAAGTAATATATATAGTTTTATAGTTTCTCTTAAAATCAGAAAATATAAATAAATAAGAAAAAGAGGAAAAGTTAAAAAAATCTGCAGTAGTCACATCCAGAAGAAAAGAATCATTTCCTTCTGAACCTTTTGATATAAATCCACCCATATTCCCTTCCCTTCCCTTCTTCCCTTCTTCCTTTCCCTTTCCTTTCCCCTTCCCTTCCCTTCCCCCTCTCTCTCTGTCAAATATTCTTATAAAAATCAGTGAATATTGACCAATATGTTCTTTTTTTTTTTTTTGAGGCGGAGTCTTGCTCTGTCACCCAGGTTGGAGTGCAGTGGCACAATCTCGGCTCACTGCATGCTCTGCCTCCCGGGTTCACGCCATTCTCCTGCCTCAGCCTCCCAAGTAGTTGGGACTATAAGCACCCACCACCACGCCCGGCTAATTTTTTTTATATTTTTAGTAGAGACAGGGTTTCACCATGTTAGCCAGGATGGTCTCAATCTCCTGACCTCATGATCCGCCCGCCTCGGCCTCCCAAAGTGCTGGGATTACAGGCGTGAGACATCGCACCTGGCCTAATATGTTCTTATAACCTGAATTGTTTTACACTTAACTGTATATCACAAACATGTTTCTTTTCAGTAAATGTATTTGTATATCATTTTAATAGTTGTTTAGCTTAATGAAAGAGTATTCAATGTGCTGCATCATAATTACTTATCCTGTTCAAAATTAAACTTGACTCCAATATTTACTATTAAAATAATACTTAGTTGTGCTGCTATAAAAATTTTTTTTAATTAAAAAATTGGCCAGGCATGGTGGCTCATGCCTGTAATCCCAGCACTTTGGGAGGCCAAGAAGGGTGGATCACTTGAGATCAGGAGTTCAAGACCAGCCTGGCCAACCAACATGGTGAAACCCTGTCTCTACTAAAAATACAAAACTTAGCCAGGCATGGTGGTGGGCATCTGTAATCCCAGCTACTCAGGAGGCTGAAGCAGAAGAATCACTTGAACCCAGGAGGCGGAGGCCGTAGTGAGCTATCCAGCCTGGGCAACAGAGTGAGACACTGTCTCAAAAAAAATTTTTTTTTAATTTAAAAAATAATACTTAATTGAACATATAGAGAAATATTTGTACCTATTCTTCATATTTTCTTAAGCTTAAAAGTGTAATTGTTGATCTAAAAGATATCTACATTTATGAGTGTTCTGAAACAAATTGCCACAATATCATGTCCTACCAGGGTACATAAACTTGTCATTTCCTCTCACCTGTCTTCAAAACTTGGTAATACTAGCCTTTTTCATCTTTGCTAATTTGATAGGTGAAGGAGGGATCTCTATAAATGAAGTATTTTGAATACTAGTGCTGTTAAATATCCATGTTTATTAGTCATTGGCATTTTGTAAATTGCTTTTCTTGGAAGTCTTTTGCCTATTTCTTTTAGGTGGGTTCACCTTTTGTTCTTTTTGATTTGTCAAGATTCTGCATTAAATTGAGAATGAAAACCTTTGTTTTATATACTTTAGTTTTTTCAATTTGTAATTTGGCTTTTAATTTTCTCACTCTTTTTACCATTCAGAAGTTAAAGTTTTTTATTGTCAATTGTGAAAATCTTTTCCTTCATGATTGGTATCTGTCATTCTTTCAAAAAATACTGTTATCAGTCATGTTTCAAAAAAATATTTCCAGGCCGGGCCCAATGGCTCACGCCTATAATCCCAACACTTTGGGAGGCCAAAGTGGGTGGATCACTTGAGGACATGAGTTCAAGACCAGCCTGGCCAACATAGCAAAGCTCCATCTCTACTAAAAATACAAAAAGTTAGCTGGGTGTGGTGGCACAGGCCTGTAATCCCAGCTACTCAGGGGGCTGAGGCACAAGAATTGCTTGAACCCAAGAGGCAGAGGTTGCAGTGAGCCAAGATCACACCACTGCACTCCAGCCTGGGTGACAGGGGGAGACTGTCTGAAAAAAAGAAAAAAAAAATTCCTCTTCCTTTTGCCGGCTACTATGCCAAACACTGAGAATAAACAGTAGGCAACAACATTAGCTTTTATTGAATACTTGCTTGGCTCTTGTTCTAAGTTCCATATATGTCACCACTCATTTACAGGTAAGGAAACTGAGAAAGATGTTAAGTAATTTACTCAAGGTCAGAGATCCAGTAAGTAGGGGAGCCAAGATGCAAATCTGGCAGTCTGACTCCACACCCACACATTTAACTCTTCTCTTCTCCACTGCCTCCCAAGAAAACAGAGAGACAAGATCAAATGGTGCATGTTCTCAAGGAGCTTGTATATTAAAGAAAAATTACAAATGGGATGAATATTACATTGTGAAGATTAATATTAAGTAAGTGTCAACTTGATTGGATTGAAGGATCCAAAGTATTGTTCCCGGTTGTGTCTGTGAGGGTGTTGCCAAAGGAGATTAACATTTATTTAGTGGACTGGGAGAGGCAGATCCACCCTCAGTGTGGGTCGGCACCATAAAATCAGCTGCCAGCATGGCTAGAATAAAGCAGGCAGAAGAAGTTTAGGAGAAGCTGACTTGCTGAGCTTTCTGGCCCTCATCTTTCTCCCATGCTGGATGCTTCCTGCACTCAAATATCAGACTCCAGGTTCTTTGGCTTTTGGACTCTTGGACTTACTCCAGTTGTTTTCCAGGGACTCTCAGGCCTTCATCCAGAGACTCAAAGCTGGCCTGTCAGTTTCCCTACTTTTGAGGTTTTGGGACTCGGACTGAGCCAATACTAGATTCCTTGCCCCTCAACTTGCAGACGTGTTGTGGGACTTCACTTTGTGATGGTGTGATTCAATTCTCCTTAATAAACTCCCTTTCATACATACATATATCCTATTAGTTCTATCCCTCTAGAGAACCATGACTAATACAGATTTTGATACCAAGGTAATGGAGTAATGCTATAAAATACCTGAGAATGTGGAAGTGACTTTGGAGCTGTGTAATGTGCAGAGGGTGGAACAGTTGGGAGGACTCAGAAGAAGACCAGAAGATGTGGGAAAGTTTGGAACTGCCTAGAGACTTGTTGAATGGCTTTGACCGAACTGCTGATAGTGACTTGGACAGTGAAGTCCAGGCTGAGGAGGTCTGAGATGGAGATAAAGAACTTGTTGGGAACTGAAGTAAAGGTCACTCTTGCTATGCTTTAGCAAAGAGGCTGGTGGCATTTTGCCCCTGCCCTAGAGATTTATGGAACTTTGAAACTGAGAGAGATGATTGAGGACATCTGGTAGAAGAAACTTCTTTTTTTGTTGGTGTTGTTATACCTTAAGTTCTAGGGTACAGGTGCACAACATGCAGGTTTGATACATAGGTATACATGTGCCGTGTTGGTTTGCTGCACCCATCAACTCATCATTTACATTAGGTATTTCTCCTAATGCTCTCCCTCCCCCAGCCCTCCACCCCCCGACAGGCCCCAGTGTGTGATGTTCCCAGCCCTGTGTCCAAGTGATCTCATTGTTCAATTCCCACCTATGAGTGAGAACATGCGGTGTTTGGTTTTCTGTCCTTGTGATAGTTTTGCTGAGAGTGATGGTTTCCAGCTTCATCTATCTCCCTGCAAAGGACATGAACTCATCCTTTTTTATGATTGCATTAGTATTCCATGGTGTATATGTGTCACGTGTCTTAATCCAGTCCATCATTGATGGACATTTGGGTTGGTTACAAGTCTTTGCTATTGTGAATAGTGCCGAAATAAACATACATGTGCATGTGTCTTTATAGTAGCATGATTTAAAATCCTTTGGGTATATACCCAGTAATGGGATTGCCGGGTCAAATGGTAATTCTAGTTCTATATCCTCGAGGAATCGCCACAATGTCTTCCACAATGGTTGAACTAATTTACACTCCCATCAACAGTGTAAAAGTGTTCCTATTTCTCCATATGCTCTCCAGCATCTGTTGTTTCCTGACTTTTTAATGATTGCCATTCTAACTGGCATGAGATGATATCTCATTGTGGTTTTGATTTGCATTTCTCTGATGACCAGTGATGATGAGCATTTTTTCATGTGTCTGTTAGCTGCATAGATGTCTACTTTGGAGAAGTGTCTATTCATATCTTTGCCCACTTTTTGATGGTATTGTTTTTTTCTTGTAAATTTGTTTGAATTCTTTCTTTGTCAAATGGGTAGATCGCAATTTGTCTCCCATTCTGTAGGTTGCCTGGTTCACTCTGATGGCAGTTTCTTTTGCTATGCAGAAGCTCTTTAGTTTAGTTAGATTCCATTTCTCAATTTTGGCTTCTGTTGCCATTACTATTGGTGTTTTAGTCATGAAGACCTCGCCCATGCCTATGGCCTGAATGGTATTGCCTAGGTTTTCTTCTAGGGTTTTTATGGTTTTAGGTCTAACATTTAAGTCTTTAATCCATCTTGAATTAATTTTTGTATAAGGTATAAGGAAGGGATCCAGTTTCAGCTTTCTACATATGGCTAGCCAGTTTTCCCAGCATCATTTATTAAATAGGCAATCCTTTCCCCATTTCTTGTTTTTCTCAGTTTTGTCAAAGATCAGATGGCTGTAGATGTGTGGTCTTATTTCTGAGGCCTCTGTTCTGTTCCAT
Organism: Homo sapiens; assembly: GCF_000001405.40. Classification (NCBI taxonomy): domain Eukaryota; kingdom Metazoa; phylum Chordata; class Mammalia; order Primates; family Hominidae; genus Homo; species Homo sapiens. Next base: position 102,926,911 of record NC_000004.12, on the reverse strand, counting down.
TGGTCTATATATCTGTTTTGGTACCAGTACCATGCTGTTTTGGTTAGTGCAGCCTTGTAGTACAGTTTGAAGTCAGGTAGTGTGATGCCTCCAGCTTTGTTCTTTTTGCTTAGGATTGTCTTGGCAATGCAGGCTCTTTTTTGGTTCCATATGAACTTTAAAGCAGTTTTTTTTCCAATTCTGTGAAGAAAGTCATTAGTAGCTTGATGGGGATAGTATTGAATCTATAAATTACTTCGGGCAGTATGGCCATTTCCATGATATTGATTCTTCCTATCCATGAGCATGGAATATTCTTCAATTTGTTTGTGTCCTCTTTTATTTCGTTGAGCAGTGGTTTGTAGTTCTCCTTGAAGAGGTCCTTCACAACCCTTGTAAGTTGGATTCCTAGGTATTTTATTCTCTTTGTAGCAATTGTGAATGGGAGTTCACTCATGATTTGGCTCTCTGTTTGTCTATTAATGGTGTATAGGAATGCTTGTGATTTTTGCACATTGATTTTGTATCCTGAGACTTTGCTGAAGTTGCTTATCAGCTTAAGGAGATTTTGGGCTGAGATGATGGGGTTTTCTAAATATACAATCATGTCATCTGCAAACAGGGACAATTTGACTTCCTCTTTTCCTAACTGAATACCATTTATTTCTTTCTCCTGCCTGATTGCACTGGTCAGAACTTCCAACACCATGTTGAATAGGAGTGGTGAGAGAGGGCATCCTTGTCTTGTGCCGGTTTTCAAAAGGAATGCTTCCAGTTTTTGCCCATTCAGTATGATATTGGCTGTGGGTTTGTCATAAATAGCTCTTATTATTTTGAGATACGTCCCATCAATACCTAGTTTATTGAGAGTTTTTAGCATGAAGGAGTGTTGAATTTTGTCAAAGGCCTTTTCTGCATCTATTGAGATAATCATGTGGTTTTTGTCTTTGGTTCTGTTTATGTAATGGATTATGTTTATTGAGTTACATATGTTGAACCAGCCTTGCATCCCAGAGATGAAGCCGACTTGATCGTGGTGGATAAGCTTTTTGATGTGCTGCTGGATTCGGTTTGCCAGTATTTTATTGAGGATTTTTGCATCGATGTTCATCAGGGATATTGGTCTAAAATTCTCTTTTTTTGTTGTGTCTCTGCCAGGCTTTGGTACCAGGATGATGCTGGCCTCATAAAATGAGTTAGGGAGGATTCCCTTTTTTCTTTCTTTTTTTTTTTGGACAAAAGAAGAAGTGTTTAATTTTTTTGATGTTTTCAATGTTGATATTTTTTCCAAGAAGTAGAGAAGTATCTCTGGATGGCTATCTAAAATTTATAATTTTTGTACAGATATGGTATATAGGACAGTGTCATAGTTTTTTTTGTTATTATACTTTAAGTTCTAGGGTACATGTGCACAACATGCAGGTTTGTTACATATGCATACATGTGCCATATTGGTGTGCTGCACCCATTAACTCGTCATTTACATTAGATATATCTCCTAATGCTATCCCCTCCCTCCCCACACTCCATGACAGGCCCCAGTGTGTGATGTTCCCCACCCTGTGTCCAAGTGTTCTCATTGTTCAATTCCCACCTATGAGTGAGAACATGCGGTGTTTGGTTTTCTGTCCTTGTGATAGTTTTCTCAGAATGATGGTTTCTAGCTTCATCCATGTCCTTATAAAGGACAGGAACTCATCCTTTTTATGGCTGCATAGTATTCCATGGTGTATATGTGCCACATTTTCTTAATCCAGTCTATCATTGATGGGCATTTGGGTTGGTTCCAAGTCTTTACTATTGTGAATAGTGCCACAATAAACATACGTGTGCATGTGTCTTTATAGCAGCATGATTCATAATCCTTTGGGTATATGACCAGTAATGGGATGGCTGGGTGAAATGGTATTTCTAGTTCTAGATCCTTGAGGAATCGCCACACTGTCTTCTACAATGATTGAACTAGTTTACACTCCCACCAACAGTGTAAAAGCATTCCTATTTCTCCATAACCTCTCCAGCACCTGTTGTTTCCTGACTTTTTAATGATCACCATTCTAATTGGTGTGAGATGGTATCTCATTGTGGTTTTGATTTGCATTTCTCTGATGGCCAGTGATGATGAGCATTTTTTCATGTGTCTGTTGGCTGCATAGATGTCTTCTTTTGAGAAGTGTCTGTTCATATCCTTTGCCTACTTTTTGATGGGGTTTGATTTTTTCATATAAATTTGTTTAAGTTATTTGTAGATTCTGGATATTAGCCCTTTGTCAGATGGGTAGATTGTAAAAATTTTCTCCCATTCTGTAGGTTGTCTGTTCACTCTGATGGTAGTTTCTTTTGCTGTGCAGAAGCTCTCTAGTTTAATTAGATCCCATTTGTCAATTTTGGCTTTTGTTGCCATTGCTATTGGTGTTTTAGTCATTAATTCTTTGCCCATGCCTATGGCCTGAATGGTATTGCCTAGGTATTCTTCTAGGGTTTTTATGGTTTTAGGTCTAACATGTAAGTCTTTAATCCATCTTGAATTAATTTTTATATAAAGTGTAAGGAAGGGATCCAGTTTCAGTTTTCTACGTATTGCTAGCCCGTTTTCCCAGCACCATTTATTAAATAGGGAATCCTTTCCCCATTTCTCGTTTATGTCAGGTTTGTCAAAGATCAGATGGTTGTAGATGTGTCGTATTATTTCTGAGGGCTCTATTCTGTTCCATTGGTCTATATCTCTGCTTTGGCACCAGTACCATGCTGTTTTGGTTACTGTAGCCTTGTAGTGTAGTTTGAAGTCAGGTAGTGTGATGCCTCCAGCTTTGTTCTTTTGGCTTAAGACTGTCTTGGCAATGCAGGTTCTTTTTTGGTTCCATATGAACTTGAAAGTAGTTTTTTCCAATTCTGTGAAGAAAGTCATTGGTAGCTTGATGGGGATGGCATTGAATCTATAAATTACCTTTGGCAATATGGCCATTTTCACAATATTGATTCTTCCTATCCATGAGCATGGAATGTTCTTCCATTTGTTTGTGTCCTCTTTTATTTCGTTGAGAAGTGGTTTGTAGTTCTCCTTGAAGAGGTCCTTCATTTCCCTTGTAAGTTGGATTCCTAGGTATTTTATTCTCTTTGAAGCAATTGTGAATGGGAGTTCACTCATGATTTGGCTCTCTGTTTGTTATTGGTGTATAAGAATGCTTGTGATTTTTACACGTTGATTTTGTATCCTGAGACTTTGCTGAAGTTGCTTAGCTTAAGGAGATTTTGGGCTGAGATGATGGGGTTTTCTAAATATACAATAATGTCATCTGCAAACAGGGACAATTTGACTTCCTCTTTTCCTAATTGAATACCCTTTATTTCATTCTCTTCCCTGATTGCCCTGGCCAGAACTTCCAAGACTATGTTGAATAGGAGTGATGAGAGAGAGCATCCTTGTATTGTGCCAGTTTTCAAAGGGAATGCTTCCAGTTATTGTCCATTCAGTATGATATTGGCTGTGGGTTTGTCATAAATAGCTCTTATTATTTTAAGATACGTCCCATCAATACCTAGTTTATTGAGAGTTCTTAGCATGAAGGGCTGTTGAATTTTGTCAAAGGCCTTTTCTGCATCTATTAAGATAATCATGTGGTTTTTGTCTTTGGTTCTGCTTATATGATGGATTACATTTATTGATTTGTGTATGTTGAACCAGCCTTGCATCCCAGGGATGAAGCCAACTTGATCGTGGTGGATAAGCTTTTTGATGTGCTGCTGGATTCAGTTTGTCAGTATCTTATTGAGGATTTTTGTATCAATGTTCATAGGGATATTGGTCTAAAATTCCCTTTTTTGTTGTTGTTGTGTCCCTGCCAGGCTTTGGTATCAGGATGATGTTGGCCTCATAAAATGAATTAGGGAGGATTCTCTCTTTTTCTATTGATTGGAATAGTTTCAGAAAGAATGGTACCAGCTCCTCTTTGTGCCTCTGGTAGAATTCAGCTGTGAATCCATCTGGTCCTGGACTTTTTTTTTGGTTGGTAGGCTATTAATTATTGCCTCAATTTCAGAGCCTGTTATTGGTCTATTCAGAGATTCAACTTCTTCCTGGTTTAGTCTTGGAAGGGTGTATGTGTCCCAGAATTTATCCATTTCTTCTAGATGTTGTAGTTTATTTGCATAGAGGTGTTTATAGTATTCTCTGATGGTAGTTTGTATTTCCATGGGCTCAGTGGTGATATCCCCTTTATCATTTTTATTGCATCTATTTGATTCCTCTCTCTTTTCTTCTTTATTAGGCTTGCTAGCAGTCTGTCAATTTTGTTGATCTTTTCAAAAAACCAGCTCCTGGATTCATTGACTTTTTGAAGGGTTTTTTGTGTCTGTATCTCCTTCAGCTCTGCTCTGATCTTATTTTTTGCCTTCTGCTGGCTTTTGAATGTGTTTGCTCTTGCTTCTCTAGTTCTTTTAATTGTGATGTTAAGGTGTCAATTTTAGATCTTTCCTGCTTTCTCTTCTGGGCATTTAGTGCTATAAATTTCCCTCTACACACTGCTTTAAATGTGTCCCAGAGATTCTGGTACATTGTGCCTTTGTTCTCATTGGTTTCAAAGAACATCTTTATTTCTGCCTTCATTTTGTTATTTACCCAGTAGTCATTCAGGAGCAAATTGTTCAGTTCCATGTAGTTGTTCAGTTTTGAGGGAGCTTCTTAATCCTAAGTTCTAATTTGATTGCACTGTGGTCTGAGAGACAGTTTGTTGTGATTTCTGTTCTTTTACATTTGCTGACTAGTGCTTTACTTCCAATTATGTGGTCAATTTTAGAATAAGTGTGATGTGGTGCTGAGAAGAATGTATACTCTGTTGATTTGGGGTGGAGAGTTCTGTAGATATCTATTAGGTCTGTTTGTTGCAGAGCTGAGTTCAGGTCCTGGATATCTTTGTTAACCTTCTGTCTTCTTGATCTTTCTAATATTGACAGTGGGGTGTGAAATTCTCCCATTATTATTGTGTGGGAGTCTAAGTCTCTTTGTAAGTCTCTAAGGACCTGCTTTATGAATCTGGGTGCTCTTGTATTGGGTGCATATATATTTAGGATAGTTAGCTCTTCTTGTTGAATTGATCCCTTTACCATTATGTAATGGCCTTCTTTGTCTCTTTTGATCTTTGTTGGTTTAAAGTCTGTTTTATCAGAGACTAGGATTGCAACCCCTGCTATTTTTTGCTTTCCATTTGTTTGGTAGATCTTCCTCCATCCCTTTATTTTGAGCCTATGTGTGTCTCTGCACGTTAGATGGGTCTCCTGAATACAGCACACTGATGGGTCTTGACTCTTTATCCAGTTTGCCAGTCTGTGTCTTTTAATTGGGGCATTTAGCCCATTTACGTTTATGGTTAATATTGTTATGTGTGAATTTGATCCTGTTATTATGATAGTTGCTGGTTATTTGCCCGTTAATTGATGCAGTTTCTTCCTAGCATTGATGGTCTTTACAGTTTGGCCTGTTTTTGCCCTGGCTGGTACCGGGTGTTTCTTTCCATGTTTAGTGCTTCCTTCAGGAGCTCTTGTAAGGCAGGCCTGGTGGTGACAAAATCTCTCAGCATTTGCTTGTCTGTAAAGGATTTTATTTCTCCTTCACTTATGAAGCTTAGTTTGGCTGGATATGAAATTCTGAGTTGAAAATTCTTTTCTTTAAGAGTGTTGAATATTGGCCCCTACTTACTTCTGGCTTGCAGGGTTTCTGCTGAGAGATCCACTGTTAGTCTGATGGGCTTCCCTTTCTGGCTAACCTGACCTTTCTCTCTGGGTGCCCTTAACACTTTTTCCTTCATTTCAACCTTGGTGAATCTGATAAGTATGTTTCTTGGAATTGCTCTTCTCAAGGAGTATTTTTGTGGTGTTCTCTGTATTTCCTGAATTTGAATGTTGGCCTGCCTTGCTAGGTTGGGGAAGTTCTCCTGGATAATATCCTGAAGAGTGTTTTCCAACTTGGTTCCATTCTCCTCATCACTTTCAGGTACACCAATCAAATGTAGATTTGGTCTTTTCACATAGTCCCATATTTCTTGGAGGCTTTCTTCATTTCTTTTTACTCTTGTTTCTCTAACCTTGTCTTCTCACTTTATTTCATTTATTTGATCTTCAATCACTGATACCCTTTCTTCCACTTGATTGAATCGGCTATTGAAGCTTGTGCATGTGTCACAAAGTTCTCGTGCCAAGGTTTTCAGCTCCATCAGGTCACTTAAGGTCTTCTCTACACTGTTTATTCTTGTAAGCCATTCATCTAATCTTTTTTCAAGGTTTTTACCTTCCTTGCGATGGGTTCCAACATCCTCCTTTAGCTCGGAGAAGTTTGTTATTACCAACCTTCTGAAGCCTACTTCTGTCAACTCGTCAAAGTCATTCTCCATCCAGCTTTGTTCCATTGCTGACAAGGAGCTGCGATCCTTTGGAGGAGAAGAGGTGCTCTGATTTTTAGAATTTTCAGCTTTTCTGCTCTGGTTTATCCCTATCCTTTTGGTTTTATCTACCTTTGTTCTTTGACATTGTTGACCTACAGATGGGGTTTTGGTGTAGATGATCTTTTGGTTAATGTTGATGCTATTCCTTTCTGTTTGTTAGTTTTCCTTCTAACAGTCAGGACCCTCAGCTGCAAGTCTGTTGGAGTTTGCTGGAGTTCCACTCCAGACCCTGTTTGCCTGAGTATCACCAGTGGAGGCTGCAGAACAGCAAATATTGCTGCCCGATCCTTCCTCTGGAAGCTTCGTCCAAGAGGGGCATCCGCCTAAATGAGGTGTCTGTCAGCCCCTACTGGCAGGTGTGTCCCAGTTAGGCTACACAGGGGTCAGGGACCCACTTGATGAGGCAGTCTGTCCATTCTCAGAACTCAAACGCCATGCTGGGAAAACCACTGCTCTCTTCAGAGCTGTCAGACAGGGACGTTTAAGTTTGCAGAAGTTGCTGCCTTTTGTTCAGCTATCCCTGCCCACAGAGGTGGAGTCTAGAGGCAATAGGCCTTGTTGAGCTGCAGTGGGCTCCACCCAGTTCAAGCTTCCCAGCCGCTTTGTTTACCTACTTAAGCCTCAGCAATGGTGGACGGCCCTCCCCCAGCCAGGCTGCCACCTCGCAGATGGATCTCAGACTGTTGCGCTAGTAGTGAGCAAGGCTCCATGGGTGTGGGACCCGCTGAGCCAGGCACGGGAGAGAATCATCTTGTCTGCTAGTTGCTAAGACCTTGGGAAAAGTGCAGTATTTGGGCAGGAGTGCCCTGTTTTTCCAGGTAGTCTGTCACGGCTTCCCTTGGCTAGGAAAGGGAAATCCCCCAACCCCTTGTGCTTCCCGGGTGAGGTGATGCCCCACCCTGCTTCAGCTCACCCTCTGTGGGCCTGCACCCACTCTCCAACCAGTCCCAATGAGATGAACCAGGTACCTCAGTTGGAAGTGCAGAAATCACCTGTCTTCTGCGTCGATCATGCTGGGAGCTGCAGACCGGAACTGTTCCTATTTGGCCATCTTGGAACCCACCCAGGACATCTGGTAGAAGAAATTTCTAAGCAGCAGAGTGTTCAGTTTATGACCTGAGTGCTCTTAAAAGTGTTCAGTTTTATGCATTCACAAAAATATGGTTTGGAATTGGAACTTATGTTTAAAAGGGAGACAGAGCATAAAAGTTTGGAAGATTTGCAGCCTTATGATGTGATAGAAAAGAAAAGCCCATTTTCTGGGGAGAAATTCAAGCTGACTGCAGAAATTTGCAGAAGTAACAAGGAGCCGAATGTTAATTGCCAAGATAATGGGGAAATTGTCTCCAGGGTATGTCAGAGTTCTTCACAACAGCCCCTCCCGTCACAGGGTTGGAGGCCTAGGAGGGAAAAAATGGTTTTGTGGGCCAGGCCCAGAGCTTTGCTGCTCTGTGCAGTCTTGGGACTGCACTATGTCCCAGCCATGGCTAAAAGGAGCCAACATACAGCTCAGGCTATTGCTTCAGAGAGTTCAATCCCCAAGCCTTGGCAGCTGCCACATAGTGTCGGGTTGATATGCTAGTTGGCCATTTGTATTTTTTTTTGGAAAAAATGTCTGTTCAAGTCTATCTTAGTCCATTCCTGCTGCTATAACAAAATACCTTAGGCTGGTAATTTATGAACAACAGAAATTTATTTCTTGCGTTCTGGAATGTGAGAAGTCCAAGATTTAGGCTACAACAGACTCAGTGACTGGTGAGGTCACTATATTCACTATAGATAGCACCTTCTCTTTGTCCTCACATGTTCAAAAGGGAAAGTAAACTCCCTTAAGCCTCTTTTATAAAGGCCCTAGTCCCATTTCTGAGGGCTATGACTTCATGAACTAATCATCTCCAAAATGCCCCACCTCTTAATATTATCACATTGAATATTAGGCTCCAGCATATGAATATTGGGAGAACATAAACATTTGGACCATAGCAAAGTCAACTGACCGTTTCTCATTATGTTGTTTTGTTATTGAGTTGTTGTTCTGTATATATTTTAGATATTAACCCCTTATCAGGTATTTGGTTTGCTGGGAGGTTTTTGATTCCTGATTCAGTTACTAGTTATAGGTCTATTAAGATTTTTTATTTTGTGACTTAGTCTTGGTAACTTGCATGTTACTAGGAATCTGTTCATTTCTCCTAGGTTATCCAACTTGTCAGTATATAATCATTCATAGTAGACTCTTAGAATCCTTTTTATTTCTGTAATATCTGTTGCAATGTCTTCTCTTTTGTTCCTAAAAGAAGTTGAGTCTTCTTTATTTTTTTTCTTAAATATTCTAGCTGATTATTTGTCAATTTTGTTGAACTTTGAAACAACTACTAGTTTCATTGGGTTTTTTTTTTCTCTAGCCTTTTTTTTTTTTTTTTTTTTGAGATGGAGTTTTGCTCTTATTGCCCAGGCTGGAGTGCAGTGGCACGATCTCAGCTCAGTGCAGCCTCTGCCTCCCGGTTCAAGTGACTCTCCTGCCTCAGCCTCCAGAGTAGCTGGGATTACAGGCATGCACCACCATGCCTGGCTAATTTTGTATTTTTTAGTAGTGACAGGTTTCTCCATGTTGCTCAGGCTGGTCTCAAACTCCTGATCTCAGGTGATCTGCCTGCCTCGGCCTCCCAAAGTGCTGGGATTACAGTCGTGAGCCATTGCACCCGGCCTTCTGCTCTAGACTTTATTATTTCCTTCCTTTTGCTAACATTGGATTGAGTTCTTCTTTTTCCAGTTTCTTGAGGTGTAAAGCTAAGTTGCTTATTTTAGATCTTTCTTCTTTTTTAAGGTAGGTAGTTAGATATATAAACTGTCCTCTTCATATTCATTTTGCTGCATCCCACAAGCTTTGGAATGTTGTGTTTCCATTTTTATTTGTCTCGAGACATTTTCTAATTTTCCTTGTGACTTATTCTTTGACTATGTATTAATCAGAGTTCTCCAGAGGGTCAGAACCAATAGGAGATATAGATATAGATATAGATATAGATATAGATATAGATATAGATATAGATATAGATATAGATACATGCATATAAAAGAGAATATATTTACATATATATGAAATATAATTTATTAAGGAGAATTGGCTCACATAATTACAAAGGCAAAGTCCCACAATAGGCCATCTATAAGCCGGAAAATGAGAGAAGCCTAAAGCATGGCTCCCAAGGAAGCCAGTGACATGGCTCAGTCCAAATTTGAAAGTCTCAAAACCAGGGAAGCTGACAGTGCAGCCACTAGTCTGAGGCCAAAGGCCTGAGAGCTCCCAAAAGGCTGCTGATGCAAGTTCCAGGGTCCAAAGGCAAAAGAACCTAGAGTTTGATGTGCAAGGGCAAGAGGAGAAAAAGGCATACTGCTCTGGAAGAGAGAGAAAGTGCATAAAAAAGAAATCCAAGCAAGCTGAATGTTCCCATTCTTCTGCCTTTTTGTTCTAGCCACACTTGCAACCAATTGCATGATGCCTACCCACAGTGAGGATGGGTCTTTCTCTCTCAGTCCACTAACTCATCCATCATTCTCCTGTGGCAGCACCCTCACAGATATACCCTCACTCAGTGCTTCATCAGGCATCTAAGCATCCCTCAATCAAATTGACAATTAATATTAACCATACAGGCCAATTGGTTAACAGAGTATATTTTTGTAATTTCCACATATTTATTACTTTTCCTTTTTCCTTCTGCTATGAATTTCTAATTTCATTTAATGTGGTCAGAAAAGATACTTGGTATGAGTTCAGTTTTCTTAAATTTTTAAAAACTTGTTTGTGGACTAGCATGCCATTTATCCTGGAAAAGTCTTGGTATGTACTTGAGAAGAAAGTGTATTTTGCTATTATTGGGTGAAGTGTTCTGTATATGTCAGATAGGTCCAATTGGTCTACAGTGTTGTTCAAGTTCTCTGTTTTCCAGTTGATCTTCTGTCTGGTTATTGTATCCATAATTGAAAGTGGGATATTGAAGTTTTCTGTTATTATGATGTTGTTATCTATGTTACCCCTCAATTCTGTCTATGTTGGCTTCATATATTTAGATGCTGTACTGTTAGTTGCATATATATTTATAATTGCTATATCTTCTTGGTCAATTGGCCCTTTTATTATTATGTAATATCCTTGTCTCTTGTGCTATTATTTGACTTAAACTCTATTTTGTCTAAGTATGGCCATCGTTGTTCTCTTTTGGTTACCAACTGCATTGAATATCTTTTTCCATCCTTTCACTTTCAACCTTTGTGTGTCTTTAGATCTAATGTAAGTCTCTTGCATATAGTATATATTTAGATTTTTTTAAATCCATTTGGCCAATCTCTGTCTTTTGATTGGAAAATTAGCCTATTTGCATTTAAAGTAGTTACTGATAGGGAGGGGCTTACTATTGTCATTTTGTTTATTGTTTTATGTATGTCTTGCAGCTATTTTTTTCCACTTTTCCTCTCTTCCTGCCTCCCTTTATGTTTCACTGATTTCTTTTTTTGGTAGGGGCATGCTTGGGTTCCTTTCTCATGTTTATTTGTGTATCTTCTGTAGGTCTTTTCTTTGTGGTTACTGTAGAATTACATGAAAACATCTCATAGTTATAATAATCTATTTTAAATTGACAACAACTTAACTTTAATCACATACAAAAACTCTACTTCTTTACACTTCCTTCTCACTTTGTTATCAGTGTCACACAATATATATTTTTATATTGTTTATTCACATAATTTAATACAGTAATGTTATGCTTTTACTTTTTAAATTCTATGCTTCAATTAAAAGTGAATTACAGGCTGGGTGTGGTGTCTTACACCTGTAGTCCCAGCACTTTGAGAGGCCAAAATGGGAGGACCACTTGAGCCTAGGAGTTTGAGACCAGCAAGACCTTATCTCTGCTAAAAATTTAAAAATATTATCTGAGTGTGGTGGTGCATGTCTGTAGTCCCAGCCACTTGGGAGGTTGAGGTGGGAGGATTGCTTTAGCCCAGGCCTGCAAGGCTGCAGTGAGCTGTGATCAAACCACTGCACTCCAGCCTGGGCAACAGAGCAAGACTTTGTCTCAAAAAAGAAAAAGAAAAAAGTAAAGAAAAAAAGTGTTTTACTTACCACCATTACAGTATTAAAGGATTCTATGTTCACTCATATATTTACCTTTACCAAAGAAGTTTATGTTTTGTATGCTTTTGTATTTCTATCCAATGCCCTTTCATTTCCACATGGAGGACTCCCTTTAACATTTTTTGTAAGGTAGGTCTAGTGGTGATCAATTCCCTCACCTTTTAATTCTCTGGGGAACTCTTTGTTTGTCCTTCATTTTTGAAGTACAGTTTTACTGGCTATACAGTTCTTGGTTGACAGTTTTTTTTTTTTCTTTCAGCCCTTTTAATATATCATCCCATTCTCTTCTGGCCTGTAGAGTTTTTGCTGAGAATTCCACTGATAACCATATGGCATCTCCCTTGTATGTGAAAAGTTGCTTTGATCCTGTTCCTTTCAAAATTCTCTCTTTGTCTTTGACTTTTGACAGTTTGATTGTAATGTGTCTCATTGTAGGTCTTTTGCAAATTATCCAACTTGGAGTTCTTTGAGACTCTTGGATTTGTATGTCCATTTCCTTCTTTAAATTTGAGAAGTTTTTGGTCATTTTTTTAACTGGCTCTCTGCCCCTTTATTTTTCTCTTCTTCTGGCACTTTCATAATACATACATTGGTCTGCTTGATGGCATCCTATAAGTCTCTTAGGCTGTCTTCACTCTTCATTCCTTTTCCCTTTTGCTCCTCTGACTCCATAATTTCAAATGACTAGTCTTCTGTTTCACTGATTCTTTATTCTGCTTGATGTTATTGAAACTGCCTTTGCAAAAATTACAACTGAAGAAATTATGACAGTGAAAGACATCAGACCTAATCAACTCCATCTTGCTTCTAGCATTTAAACTGTCCTTGTTCATTCCTGGCAGTCGGATGAACTAATTTTGGGAAGGTATTCAGTTCATGGTTTGACTCTGAAACAAAGTTGATAATAGCCATTTCCTGAAAAGATCCCCTTCTTGCCTGGAACCAGTCTGCCTTTGCAGGATAAACAAATTAGCTATAGCATTAGAAATTACAGTTGAAGGGTTATGCAGCCTCTGGCTCCAAGAGTCTGAACCTCTCCAAATTGCTCCTGGGGATAACATCACTATTGTAAAACCTAAAATCATTGCTTGAGATATTTTGCAGACCCTGCACTGGCTGATTCATCCAGTGCACCCAGACTGGTAATAATGGCTCAACTAGTTCTGCCATCCCACCCACAAACAGAAGACAGCAAGAAAACATCACTTCAACCCCCTATGATTTCATCTCCAACCTGATGAATCAGCAGTCCCCACTTCCCAAGCCCCTACCTGCCAAATTATCTTTAAAACTTCTGATCCCCGAATGCTCAGGGAGACTGATTTTAGTAATAATAAAACTCTGGTCTCCCGCACAGCTGGCTCTGGATGAATTACTCTTTCTCCATTGCAATTCCCCTGTCTTGATAAATCAGCTCTGTCTAAGCAGGGCACAAGGTGAACCCATTGGGCAGTTACACAGTCTGTTGGTGATTTCCAATAGTGAATTTTTCAATTGAGCTGTTGTATTCCTTAGCTTCAGAGTTTCTGTATGGTTCCTTTTTTTTTTTTTTTTTTTTTAGTTTCTATCTCTTTGTTAATATTTTCATTTTGTTCATGAATTATTTCCTGCTTTCATTTAGTTATCTATTTCTGTTGTCACTGGGCTTCATTAAGAGAGTTAATTTGGATTCTTTGTCAGGTAACTCATTTATCTATTTCTTTAGGATTGGTTTCTGGAGATTTATTTTGCTCCTTTAATTTAGTCATCAGGTTTCTCTGTTTCTTCTTATGCCTGTTATTTTTTATTTTTTTATTTTTTACTTATTTTTGCCAAGATTTGGACGTTTGAAAAAACTGCCACTGCTCCCAGTTTTTATCAGCTGGCTTCATACGGAAGACCTTTACCTGAATCAGCATGGCTATAGGTTCTAGCAGCCTCTCAAACCTTTTCTGGGAATGCATCTTCTTTGGGTTTATACATTGCAACATCCCAAGTAGAGGTTTGCCAGTTTCTTTTTCTGGAGCTGTTGTTCTCTCTGGTATCTGTCTGTGGCACTGCAGGTTCCCTGGTGCTGCATCATCTCTGACCTCTCCTTTATTCCCAGTGGCTCCCACGCATCCAAAGTATGCCAGTTGGGTGTCAAGTTAGAGAGAGAGAGAGAGCTTCAGGTAACCTCATAAAACTATTCCGTTCCAGTCTTCTCTTTCCCTGCTAATGGAGAAGCTGCAAGTTGAGTGCTTCCCAGCCACACCAACCTGTTCCAGCTTGGGGAAGGGGTATCATGAGTATAATGCAACAGCTTTTCTTATTTGTTCAATGCCACTATTCTTGGCTTTGCACTTGTCTGTGCTACTACAGCTTCTTAATGGTTTATGGAACTCCATAAAGGCTTTTAGACCATATATTGTTGTTCAGTTGGTATCTTTATGGAGAATCAAGGTTTGGAGCTCCCCATTCCACCATCTGGCTGACATCTCTCTGTTTATATTATTTTTTATTTTTATTGTATTTTATTTTCTTGAGACAGGATCTTGCTCTGTCAGCCAGGCTGGAGTGCAGCCTCAAACTCCTGAGCTCAAGGGACCTCCTCCCTCAGCCTACTGAGTACTTGGACTATAGGCACACACCACATACCGGGCTAGTTTTTTATTTTCTTGTAAAGATGGGGTTTCACTCTGTTGCCCAAGCTGGTCTCAAACTCTTGGGCTCAAGCAATCCTTCTGCCTTGGCCTCCCAAAGTGCTAGGATTAAAGGTGTGAGCCCACCATGCCCTGCCTGTTATATTTAGTAGAAAATATGTCTAAAAATATACTTACTTACTATATTGAATCCACTACCCAGAGCTTAACTGAACTATTTTTGTGACTCATTTTGTTTTTTTATTTTTTGTTTTTTACTTATTACAATGAACTACAAGTATGGATATATTAATATTAATGAATATAAAATATACTGGAATCTTTTGTATTTTTTTTCCTTTTTTCTTCACCAAAAGCAGATACTTAAATATACTGAAATCTTAATTGACCCTTGAATGTTTCTAGGACTGACCCTGGAACAAAATTTTTTATGTTGTTATTACATTGTTCTTTTCATGTTAAAATCATTTGTTTCTTTTTCATATAGTACATGAAAGAAGAATTGTTAATATAGCCCTTAACAGCCATATGCTAAGTGCCACAAGTGTTTCGGTCTCTCTCCATTCTTGTACCTCACTTAGTCTTTTTTTTTTTTTCTTTTGGAGGTGTGGCCTCCGTCTTTCACCCAGGCTGGAGTGTGGTGTCACGATCTCAGCTCACTGCAAACTCTGCCTCCCGGGTTCAAGTGATTCTCCTCCCTCAGCCTCCCGAGTACCTGGGACCACAGGTGTGTGCCACCATGCCCAGCTAATTTTTGTATTTTTAGTAGAGATGGGGTTTCATTATGTTGGCCAGGCTGGTCTTGAACTCCTGACCTCAAGTAATCCACCCTCCTCAGCCTCCCAAAGCACTGGGATTACAGGCGTGAGCCACTGTGCCTGGACTACCTCACTCTGTCTTTTAAGTTGGCTATGTAAGGGGAGCATCTTGTGCTTGTTAAGTCTTTGTTTTCTGGCCTATTTACATAATGGACATTTCTGAGTTGTGTGTATATATTAAATTATTTGAGAGTATATATTTAACGTACTAAATAGATCTACATGTTTTCATATATGTCACTATAAAAAGACCATTTGCATATATTTGTTCTATAAAATGCTTACTTTTCTTCATGAACCACCTAGATTTGCTTTTCTGATGTGTAGTGTATGTGAAGATACTTCTTTGTGAATTTTTTTTTATTGTGTGCCCCTACAGGTGGTATACTTAATAACGCCATAGCCTCTATAAGGAACGTATGTATTAGTCTGCTGGCAGGAATTGTTTTGGGATTTTTTGTTCGATATTTTCCAAGTGAAGACCAGGTAAATACAAAATCTATTTTATAGAAGTATAGTATTAGACATTTTTTTCAAAATATTAAACTTTGGTAAGGTCGATGAAATTTAATACTTAATTCTATTTCTCTAAAACTAGCCTCCAATGCCTACTCTGTACTTAAAACTGAGCACAGCAGTGATTGATACAGGTCAATGGCTTTGATTAAAGTCTCTGCTTCTTAATTTGGCAAATAAGGAATATCAAAAAATATACTTAATGCAGAGTATCCCTCTGAATTATACTTTCCCTTTCTCTACTAAACTGCCTACTGATGTTTGATAATTTCCCCCAAATTTTCCCTTAAACATTTTAGGGGGAAATAGGTCCCCATTTATTTCTGCATATTTTCTGACTGAAATTCACTCCTGCTCTCCTTTGACAAAGGCAACACTCAAATTTAGCCATTTCCTGCCTTAAAGGAAAACATGCCATTACTTTTGTATTTCTGTAATTTCCATCCAAATTTAGCTGTAACATATTGACCAAAGAGATATTCAAATATTTTTTAAGAATTCATTGGATATGTTATATGAAACTGGAGATTTTATGGGTCTCTTTTCTTCTTCACTTATAGTAATACTTTAACCATATTACTGATACTAGTATCAGAGATATGGCAGAAGATGAAACGTGACTAATTGCAAATTTTGTTACTTGGTAGTAAGTCTGCTAAAATATATGGTGAGAAAGAAAATCAAAATTTTAGACATTTAATATAACATTTAAAGACATAATATCAGAGGGTCAAAAATATATAATAGATAATGTCAAATCTTATATTATATATTTAATATAAACTAATTTCTAAATATCTATCTAATTCTAGAAAAAACTTACATTGAAGAGAGGATTCCTTGTTTTGACTATGTGTGTTTCTGCCGTCTTAGGCAGCCAACGTATTGGTTTACATGGATCTGGAGGATTATGCACACTAGTGTTGAGTTTCATTGCAGGGACAAAATGGTCCCAAGAAAAGGTGAATATTTTTAATATGCTATATTTTAAAAGCTAAAACAACTGAATTTTTTACATATATTTAGGAAATCCCCTCATTCTGGTTGGAAAATGTTCCAAAAGGTTTTCTGTCCTCAAGAAAGTGTATGAATCAATCGAGGAAAGAAAATATTTAGGAAAAGCACCTGGAAATATACTAATATGGAATCAGAAGTTGAGTTAATCACATCAGGCTTCTCTTTTTCCCAAGTTTTATATAATATTATTATATTACCTTTATCAATCTAATTATTTTATTCATTGAAATTTTAATTATACAATTAATCCATGAAAAATGTTTGTAAAAGGCCGGGGACGGTGGCTCATGCCTGTAATCCCAGAACTTTGGGAGGTGGAGGCGGACAGATCGCGTGGGGTCAGGAGTTTGAGACCAGTGTGGCCAACATGGTGAAACCCCATCTCTACTAAAAATACAAAAATTAGCTGGGCATGGTGGTGTGGTGGTGGGCACCTGTAATCCCAGCTACTCAGGAGGCTGAGGCAGGAGCATCACTTGAACCCAGGAGCCAAGATCATGCCATTGCACTCCAGCCTGGGCAACAAGTGCAAAACTCCATCACAAAAAAATAAATAAATAATAAACAAACAAATAATAAAAATAGAAATGCTTGTAAAAGAATAAAACATATAGAATAAAATGTAAAAGATTTCTTTATTCCCCACCACTGTCAAATATCAAACCCCCTTACATTTTTTTAAGTAACCAGTATTCTATTTATAGACATTAAGATCGTTTCCACTTTTTGTTATTTACAAACAGTGCTGTCATAAACAGTGTTGTTCATGTCTTTTTTTTTGAGACACAGTTTCACTCTTGTCACCCAGGCTGGAGTGCAGTAGCATAATCTTGGCTCACTGCAAACTCCACCTCCTGGATTCAAGTGATTCTTCTGTTTCAGCCTCCCTAGTAGCTGGGATTACAGGCGCACACCACCACACCCAGCAAATTTTTGTATTTTTAGTAGAGACGGGGTTTCACCATGTTGGCCAGGCAGGTCTTAAACTCCTGACCTCAGGTGATACTCCTGCCTCGGCCTCCCAAAATGTTGGGATTGCAGGTACATCTATAGGGATAGAGTCCTAGAAATGACTTTTTTTTTTTTTGAGACAGAGTCTCTCTATGTTGCCCAGGCTGGTCTTAAAATCCTGAGCTGAAGGGATCCTCCCAACTTGACATCGCAAAGTGCTAGGATTACAAGCATGAGCTACCACACCTAGCTGGAAATGATCTGTGTTTTATTTTGATGGACACTGCTAAATTATCCCTTCAAAAGATTTTGGTTATTTACACTCTGCCAACAGTGCACAAAAATATCTAATTCCTTAACTCATCAACAGCACTTGATATTATCACTAGTTCTATTCTTTTTACTATTAGATGACCTCACCATCCAATTCTTGTAGTTTCTTACAATTATGTGATGTTGTTATTCTTTATTTACATTTCTCTGATTAGTAGTATAGTAAGCTTCTCTTCATATATTCTTTTTAAAATACCTATGATCTTCTTTGACCATTTTTATTGGGTTATTTATTTTTTTGTTTCTAATTTATAGTTTCTCTTAGGGCTACTGATCCTTTGTTATGTATATATTGCATATAATTTTTGCTTATCTTCAACTTTGTTTATGGTGTCTGGTGTATGAAAGTAAAATTTCCTATGACCAAACCTATTGGGTTTTCCTTTTTTGGTTTTGGATTCTGCATCTCATTTAAGAAGGACTTTCTCACTGAAGATTATAACATATAAACGTTACAAAGATATACTATTTTGTATATTATCATTTAATATTTTGGTAGTTTTTGTTTGTTTAATTTGTTTTTTTCATTTAGTCTTTTAATCTATCTGGAATTTATCTTTGTGAATGCTGTGAGGTAAGGTTATACATATATACATATGTGTATCTTACAAACTATTTATATATATACACACACACATACAGTTTGTAAGTTAACTGAACAGAGATAGAACTACATCATGCCTGATGTGTGTGTATGTATATATATATATCTATACACACACACATAAATATACATATATATTCAGACACACATATGTACTTGCATGTGATGAATATGTACATACAGATATATGCACATAAACTAGACAGTCATTTTTTGCCAAATTGTTTATTTATTGACCAATTCATTAATAATTCAGTTTTTTAACATGAACTAAATTCTCCCATATATATTAATTCTGAAGTCTATTTAATCCTACTTCTCTATTTCTATGCCAACACCACTGTTTTAAATCACTGCAGTTTTATGTGTCAAAATCTAATATAGATTATACTTCTTTTTAAAGTATTTTTTGGCTGTTCCTACACATATTCTTTCTTAGATAAATTTTAGAATCAGCTTGAGAAGTTCCCCAACCAAAAATCATAGTGACATTTTGTTTAGTATTCTTATATAATCATAATGATAAAAGAAATGAAATGAATGAAATGCAAATCAATAAATAAAATTAAAACTGCTAGAATTTTTTTAAATGGTAAAAGAAACAGAACTAAAACAAGTTTTAAAGATTAAAAGTAACAAATAGGATAATTATGCTGTAAAGAATAGTAACATTGTTTTTCTTTGTTTTTCTTTTTTTAAACTATAATAAGTGGGGATCAGAAAACACAGTCATAAGGGAAATAGTTATGAAGATAGTTTATGCCTCAAGGAAGAGACATCAAAGTTCTTATGTATCTTCTGTTTAAAAAAAAAAATGTTAAACCCAGACTGAGACTGAAATCTCTTCATCCAAATTCCTGGAGAAGAGCCAGAGTAATGTAGGCCAATAGGGGCCTTTCCTGTAACGTTTTAATTGGGGAAGTAGCACTGGGAGGCATTCGTTTCCAGAAAGGGAAGCTGGGTAGGCAGTTAAATGAGAATCTAATATATGTTTTGGTTTTGTTTTAAGGAAAAAGTAACTTTAAAATATTCAACATGGGTTCTTTGGAAGCAGGCCTAGCAGACTTCCAAATTGTTTTTCCTAGTAGTATATGCTATATATATCAGGATTCACTTTAATGGGATTGAGTTCCAGGATGGTTGTTAGTGGAGGGCTTCCCAACCCCCTTTTGAGAACCCAAATGTTTGCATGAACTGGGTATGTTCTCATCAGGCATGATGTAGTTATATCTCTGTTCAGTTACTTTACAGACAAAATCTGGAACTCATACGAAACATGGCTAGAACCCTAAGGACATCACTTATTCTGTGACAAAATGGCCAAATAGTATTATTTTATTGCTTTGTGAGTTTATTTTAATCAAATTCTACCTAAGTGTTTGAATAAAACTATTGAAGTGCTCAGTTTTTATTAAGTTTAACATTTTTATTAAAATAAAGTGTCTTAAATTTATTAAATGTTAAATGACTTTAGGCCAGGCATGGTGGCTCATGCCTATAATGCCAGTGCTTTGGGACGCCACAGCCAGAGACCACTTGAGGACAGGAGTTCTAGACCATCCTGGGCAACATAGCAAGACTCCATCTCTATAAACAATTTAAAAATTAGCCCAGCATGGTGGTACACACCTGTAGTTCTACTTGGGAGACTGCGAGAGGATCACTTGAGCCCAGGAGTTCAAGGCTACAGTGAGCTATGATTATGCCACTACACTCCAGCCTGGGCAACAGAGCAAGACCCCATCTCTAAAATACTTAAAAAATGAAAAAAAAAAGGGGGGGGAAGACTTTAAGTTTCTGAAATATATTTATGTGCCAAAATCATTATAAATGTATTTCTCTTTTCTATAGATGAAAGTCCAAAAGATTATTACGACTGTATGGGATATTTTTCAACCACTTCTTTTTGGTTTAGTTGGAGCAGAAGTATCTGTTTCATCGCTTGAATCAAATATTGTTGGTAAGAATAATTAGAGCACAAAAAATATGAAATTCAAAAATATTTAAGAAAATTATAAATACATTTATTTTTATTTACAATATATCTTTGGCTACAACGACCTTCTTCAGAAACACATGTTGATACAGTGTCATATTTTCATATTGCTCTTCCTTTACACTGGGTGCTCTTTTTTTTTTATAAACCAAGGACAGCCCTGAATATATTCCCTGAGTTATCTGAAGAAATAAATATAAGATTTCTTTCCTGAGGGAACATATTTGATACGATCAGCGCTTTTTGAGTACTTTCATTTAAAACTATTGGCTGGGCGTGGTGGCTCATGTCTGTAATCTTACTTTGGGAGGCCGAAGCGGGCAGATTTCTTGAAGTTAGGAGTTCGAGACCTGCCTGGCTAACATGGGGAACCCCCTCTCTCCTAAAAATACAAAAATTAGCCAGGTGTGGTAGTGCGCGTCTGTAATCCCAGCTACTCGGGAGGCTGAGGCAGGAGAATCGCGTGAACCCGGGAGTCGGAAGTTGCAGTGAGTTGAGATTGTACCACTGCACTCCAGCCTGGGTGACAGAGCAAGAATCCTTCTCAAAAAATAAATTATTATTATTAATAATAAAAGTATTCAAAAGAAGTCTATTAGTTCAGAATTGTATAAATGTCATCTGTCTTATTTTTCATGGTACTTCCACCATCAGATACTCTCTTGCACTTTACAGAGAATCCTCCATCATATTCATTTTTTATAATCATTGTTTTTATGTAAAAAATAAGCACATGAAGAGACAATAGCCTTAAAATGTTTTCAAAAGTTTTAGAAATCATATTCCTGGGCATGAAGAACACTTCTTCACAAATATTTTGTTATTTATGTTTGTTTTCATCTGTTGTAGGCATATCTGTTGCCACTCTAAGTTTGGCATTATGTGTTCGAATTTTAACCACATATCTATTGATGTGCTTTGCTGGTTTTAGTTTTAAGGAGAAAATATTTATTGCTTTAGCATGGATGCCCAAAGCTACAGTACAGGTAAGAACATATTAAGCCTGTTGCTTAATGCTTTCATTTTGATGCTTTTAAAATTTAAAATGAAAAATGTTACTCTAGTCACAAAATATGAGCTATTATCCTTACTTTTTAAATGTTTGATTGATCATAACTATTCATTAAAATTAACGTAACCAGTCCTGGCTACTCAGGAGGCTGAGATGGGAGAATCGCTTGAACCCAGGAGGCGGAGGTTGCAGTAAGCTGAGATGGCACCACTGTATTCCAGTCTGGGCGACAGAGTGACTCCATCTCAAAAAAATAAATAAATAAATAAATAAATAAACAAAAACAAAGAACCTTAATGTAATCTTTTTCTATTTTTATTTTTATTTTCATTTTGAGACCAGGTCTCACTCTGTCACCCAGACTGGAGTGCAGTCGCATGATCACAGCTCACTGCAGCCTCAACCTCCTGGGCGCAAACAATTCTCTCACATCAGCCTCCTGAGTAGCTAGGATCACAGGCACCTGCCACCACACCCAACTGCTTTTTTATTGTTTTTTTTTTTGAGACAGAGTCTCACTCTGTTGCCCAGGCTGGAGTGCAGTGGCATGATCTCGGCTCACTGCAACCTCCACCTCCCAGGTTCAAGCGATTCTCCTGCCTCAGCCTTCTGAGTAGCTGGGATTATACAGGTGCACACTACCACACCCAGCTAATTTTTGTATTTTTAGTAGAGATGGGGTCTCACCACGTTGGCCAGGCTAGTCTCAAACTCCTGACCTCAAGTGATCCACCCGCCTCAGCCTCCCAAAGTGCTGGGATCACAGGCATGAGCCACTGCGCCTGGTCTTTTTTTTCTGATTTTTTTGTAGAGAAGAGGTCTTGCTATGTTGCCCAGGCTGGTCTTGAACTCTTAGGTTCAAGTGATCTTCCTGCCTCAGCCTCCTAAAGTTCTGGGATTATGAGCATAACCCACTGGGCCCAGCCAATGTAACCTTTTTAAATCTCAGTTTTAAAAGCAATTCTTTTGAAATTAAAAAGTATTCTTTCAATAAGTACTTCCTAAGTTTATGAAAATGTTTTTTATTTTCCTAAAATATATAATAAGAATATATCTGAAAATTGGAGTTTTTATATTTTGCTGAATATAACAAAGCTAAATGTTATGATTTTAAAAAGTAGAGACACAGGCCAGGCATGGTAGCTCATGCCTGGAATCCTAGCACTTCGGGAGGCTGAGGCAGGCAGATCACTTGAGCTCAGGAGTTCAAGACCAGCCTGAGCAACATGGTAAAACCTCGTCTCTACAAAAAATACAAAAAAATTAGTCAGGTGTGTTGGCACGCACTTGTAGTCACAGCTACTTGGGGGCTGAGGCAGGAGGATTGCTTGAACTCAGGAGGTTGAGGCTGCAATGAGCTGAGGTCACACCACTTCACTCCAGCTTGGGTGACAAAATGAGACCCTGTCTCCAAAAAAAAAAAAAGTAAAGTAAAATAGAGACACATTGATTTTTTAAAAAATACTTTTCCTACCTTGCCACTCACTCCATCACACAAATGCACATTTATTGTTTTTAATTACACATTTATTTGTATTCTATTTGGTTAATGGCTAAATCCCTGCCCCTGCCCCCTTGATAGACTACGTAAGGACAGGGACAGTGTCTGGTTGTTGCAGTTGTTTTTCATTATTTCTCCCTGGCACTTAACACAGTGCCTGACATGCAGGAGCCAAATGTGTATTGCATGCCTGCAAGAATGAATGAACAGAAAGGGAAACCTTGTAATTTTGCCCTCTTATTCAAGGATATTCTCCTCCTCCTAAAATATATTGCTACTTATTGTTAGACTGTTTAACTTGGCAGCATAATATACCTTAATTTCCTGTGGCTCTTTTCTTAGTTGTTATTCCAAAACAGAAGCTCCTAAATTTTCATGCAAAAAAAACCTCTATTATCATGTTAGAAAAGCAGGTTCATAGGGCCTGACTACCTGTTTTGAATACCATGTTACTTGCCTATAACCTCAGGAAAATTATTTTCTAATCTCTCAGTCCTTCAGTGTTCTCATCTTACAATGAAGTCTATGACTGTATCTGTTTCTTAGCAGTGTTGTCAGGATTCAATGAGATAATCCACGTAAAGTGCTTAGCACTCTCTCTGGCATATGGTGGTGCTCAATTAACAATGTTGTTATTTTATCTTACCTTCAAGTAATATAAATAATAACTTTTTATTTTTAATGTCTACTGTAGGGAATAATAAATCTACAAAAGGAGTATCTGTTCTCTCTCCTTCCAACAATACTCTCGCAATTTTGTTTTATTATTTCATAATTTTCATAAAGCAGGGAAAAAAGAAAAGCAGGTATGAGGAAAGAGACCACTCACTCGAGTCCTGCAGTATTATTCTGCTTCTGCCTATTCCTGTCTGCTGGCTTCAGGCTAGCTTCTACACAAAGAATATCAAGCTGGTTCCAGGAACTGGCAAGACATAAAAAATTAATTATTTATACAAGTAGAGTCACAACAGCAATAATAGATAACGATAATGTCACAAGTAAATAAGATCAACAAATATTTAAATTTCAATTTTAAATTATTTTCACCTTTATCCTCTTCCACCGTTCTCTGCTGCTAACATAAAATTGGCTAAGGTTCAGCTCTTTCTCTTGTTCTTCAGTTTCGAGTTACTGATAAAAATTAGAGTGGAAAAATGAAGCTATTAGGAGAGTAAATAAATAATTTAGTTTACAAATGTAAGATCAGCTTGGCAATTGGATTCTTTTAAAGAAATAATATTAAATCTCAGTCACTAGGAGGAAATCATTTATCATCTAATAAAGTCCTCACATAATAAGGTTGTCGTAAGAATTAAATGAATTGATAAATGGAAAGCTTTAAGAATGATACCTGCCATATGATGAATGCCATATAACTATATAAATATTATTTCTAGTTTCACCATTATCATAATCATCTCTTAAAAGTCAATGGGTTTGGTTTTTGTTTTTTGTTTTTTCTGTTGGAAGTTCTTTTATGTTCAAATCCTCTTCTAAACTGTAAGATTCTTTCAAGTTGGTTTTCTGCATGATTATCTTTTTCTCCCTAGCATCCTCCAGCACACTGGCTCACGTTCAGTACATTAAAAGTTACGATATAAAAATGATACCATTTTAAATTATTGATTTAGGATATAGAAATTGATCTTAAATTGAGGGGTTCTTTTGCCATAATGTTCCATATCAGAGGTAATGTTTCCACCATTATGTTGTTACTTTGCAACTCCATAGAAAATATGTTATATATTGGTATTTAATTCCCCAAAATTTTAAGGCAATTTCATGCCTAGATTATTAAACACAAAGAAAGAGGGTTAGCAAGAAATTTGCTTTATGTTATTAAAAATAATGTGGTAGAAGGTGACTAGGGAAAAAAACTTGTGACCCAGTACAGTCATTCTAAAACGAAAACTTCAAAGGAACTCATTCTCTGACCTGGCAGGGCATGAGGAGTGAGGGAGAGAGAAACTTACTACTATCTGAATACCTACTGTGTGCCAGCTGTTCTTTGCATTCTCATATTTAATTTTCACAACCATTCAGTAAGATAAGTATTTTGTTCTTCATTTTACACATAAGTAAGTAGAAGGTTAGAGAGTGTGAGTCATTTGTACAAGGTCACTAGCCTGGTTGCAGCAAAAATAGAATTCAAACCCGGTTTGCTAGATTCCAAGCCTGCTGTCAGTTCTGCTATAACACAGTGCCCCCTGAATAGGGAGAACAATGAGAAGAAGGGCAACAAATCCTAGAGAACCATAAGAAACCTTAGTATTTTATGTTGTCTTGTTGTAGTCAAGAACCACTTGCACACGGTAAAGGCAACTAAGCAAAACTGGTTTCGTTAGAACTCCTGGTGTTATGAGGGCAACATGAACACTCAAAAGAGATATTCGAATAGAGGAACACTGAGAGGACAAGAGTGCAAAATCAGCCCAAAAATGTTTGCCTGCTGATTTGTCACTATTGTACTCTTCCTCCACATATATTTGCTAGGAAGAACATGGAACTGATGAGTAACTTATGAAAATTACTGAGTACTTTTTTTTTCTAATAGTCTAGTACTAGATTTTGTTTATTTTAACAGAGCCATTTACATTATATATCAACTCAGTTTAATATTTTTCTTTATGCCCCATTTTTACCCCTAAATGCAGGCTGTGTTAGGTCCTCTGGCTCTAGAAACAGCAAGAGTCTCCGCACCCCACTTGGAACCATATGCGAAGGATGTGATGACAGTAGCATTTTTAGCCATCTTGATCACAGCTCCAAATGGAGCTCTACTTATGGGCATTCTGGGGCCTAAAATGCTTACACGCCATTATGATCCAAGCAAAATAAAACTGCAGTTGTCAACATTAGAACATCATTAAAAAGTTTACCTGTCATCATCTGCCTGCTTCTTTTAATGAATTATTTCACATGACAGAAGAATTTTAAAGTAGAAATATGTGGGGACTGTACAGAGAATCCAGGATTTAGTAAACATGTGATTTCAGTACAGGGCTTTTCTTGGACTTTTTACTCCAAAGTTAATTTAATAAAAATAATATTAAATGGAATGCTCTCTTGGTATTTACATACTGTAAGAACAAATTAAATCTGTAAATACCCTAGGAAAGTTTAAAGTAATCCCTCAGGCTGAATTTGATATCATAATACAAACTGAGCTTAATATAAAATTAAACAAACTTAATGGCAGAAAGAAAAACTTTGAATATTGAACTTGGTAAGATAGCCTAAGTTTCCAAATAGAAGGAGTAGAACTCCCATGATGTCCAGTAATTCAGTTAAAAAGATCACCACAAAAAGAAAGAAAAGGAATAAAACACATCAACTTTAAATGGGTTAACTAAATAGATTTTAAATTCTGGTTTTGGTGACTACCTGAGTAAATAATATGTTCAGTAATAGAACCAAGTTAGTCTTTCCTTACTTCTGCCATGCCCTTAAAATGAAAGTCTGGTTTAGCAGTTTTTAGATGAAACACTATCTATATTTTTATTTATAGAAATAAAATTAAATCACAAATGGAAGTAAACTATATTTTTTTCAATTAGTATTTTAAAATCTAGGCATAAAAGGCAGCCTCCAAAAATGAAAGATTTGGAGACTGCTGTCATGTGGCAGTTTCTTCTCCTTAGTAATATAGAATTACCTTTTAATTCTGGCTGATTAAATCTGCCATGTTAATGTAGAACCCATCACAAGCAAAGTGAGTTTTAATTAACTTCAAGACTCTTTATTTTAAAGTTATAAGAGTCATATAAACGATTCTAAAATGGCCTTATTGAATGGCATCTTAGAAATTGTTTAGACTTCTTTGGCAAAAGCTCAATGCAAGGACTGAATATTACTTTCATTCCTCTTTTTCCTCTTCTCCACAAGCAAGGTATTAAAATACCACAGAATATGACATTTACACATAAATTTGCCAAGTGAAGCAATTAAAATTTAAGGCAATCAAAACTATGTGTTATTCCTATTAAGACTAAGGGCTTTTACAGAATATATCACCGAAACTGCCAGAAGTTCTAAAACCTTCTGGGAAATAACTCTTAGAAAATACACTCTGGGAGAATAACTCTGGGAAAAGATAAAATAGCTACTATTTTAGTGACATTTTCTCCTTATAGTTTTACAACAAAGTACAGACTCCATTTTCAAATATTGTAATTCTAGTACTCAAATTCTAAAAATTTAAACTGTGCCAGTGTTTTGACTACTATTTAAATCATGAGGGCATCTCATTGTCACTTACAAGAAAATAAAAATATAAGCAGGGTGTTGTGGCTCATGCCTGTAATCCCAGCACTTTGGGAGGCCGACATGGGCAGATCACGAGGTCAGGAGTTCGAGACCAACCTGACCAACATGGTGAAACCCCGTCTCTACTAAAAATACAAAAATTTGTCAGGTGTGGTGGCGCACACCTGTAATCCCAGCTACTCAGAAGGCTAAGGCAGGAGAATCGCTTGAACCCAGGAGGCAGAGGTTGCAGTGAGCTGAGATCGCACCACTGCACTCCAGCCTGGGAGACAGAGCAAGACTCTGTCTCAAAAAATAATAATAATAAAATATATATATATATATTTACAAGATAGTATTTTACATTCACAAGAGGATTAGATTTCAAAGTAGAAAGTTTATTTTAATAAAAGAGAGATAAATAATTTTCAAAATGAGGAATTGTGTTATTGATTAGGAGGAAAATTGTTGTAACTATTCTTTTTATTCTTTATTTATTGAACTTTCTCTAAGTGTCTGTGATATATGTTTATTATACTGAAATAGTCGCCCTTTTAAGGTGGTGTGGCAGATGTTGTTATTTATTTGAAATTTTAAGTTTTTTATTTATAAAAAGTTTTTATAAAAATTTATTAATATAATTTAAAAATTACAACCAGTTAACCATGTGTATGATATTAGTGTTTATAGTATTTAAACAAATAAGGCTGGGCACAGTGGCTCACACCATCCCAGCACTTTGGGAGGCCAAGGCGGGTGGATCATGAGGTCAGGGGAGGGAGACCATCCTGGCTAACATGGTGAAATACAAAAATACAAATAACAAAAAAAATAAAAATACAAAAAACTAGCCAGGCGTGGTGGCAGGTGCCTGTAGTCCCGGCTACTCGGGAGGCTGAGGCAGGAGAATCACTTGAACCTGGGAGGCAAAGGTTGCAGTGAGCCAAGATCACGCCACTGCACTCCGGCCTGGGTGACAGAGCGAGACTCCGTCTCAAAAAAATAAAATAACAAATAAATACAAGATTGTTGTTTCTTATCAACTTTTTGTATCTTTGCCTATTTTTTTCACTGTTTAAGGAATTTTTATTAAAGCAAAATTTTATAATCCAAATTACCTTTCCTTGCTCAGTTATCAATTCTGTTACTTAAAACAGAAGTGACATTCTGAGCTATTCCACACTAACGAATTACAAAATTAAAGGAATGCTTTAAATTTTTATACTTTGCTGAAAATTATTTATCACAGAGTCTGAAAAGCATTGCAGCATTTTTATATTTTATTATTTTGGGAGGATTTTTTGTTTTCAAATCAGTAAGTAATCTAGGACTATCATTGCATTTGTTAGATCTGACGTTTGCTTGGTATGTAAAGTTCAAAGTTTCCTTTTTAAATTTATTTTATACTTTACAAATTTTTTCCATAGTATTTAAGGTTTTTGATATTGAGATTTTTTCTTCAGTGATGCGCAAGTTTCTTTCTGTGGTCCCTGATCAGTTTTAAATAATTGGAACACCAGTGGCACCATTAACTGCTTTCTGGGCAGCCTCTTTAGCTTGGTGGTCTTGTGGTACAGCTATACCTTTGTCAACCTTAGTACAGCGAGGCTCTGGAGATTCAAGCATATGAAGAAGTTCTAAATAACCAATCTCCAACAACATGCCAATGATTTTACCAGCACGACTAGGGCATGGCTTGAAGAAGAGGAAAGAGCCATTCACTCGTTTGCTTTTGCTTTTGAGGAGGAGCAGATGCCATCATGGAAGTCAAAGGTTCTTGACCTTCTACATGAACAGCAGGCTGCTGCACGGTAACTTGGGGCTGTGCATGAAACTGCCATTGAGGATTGTGAACTTCCATAGCATATTTATACTGTGAAATGGTGCAAACAGCAGGAGTATCTGTAGTAGCAGTAGCGGCAACTGCAGAATGTGCTCCTATTGTCTGTGTTGATGTGTTACAACAGCTGTGTTGACATGACTCGTGGAAGCTGTGAAGAAGCTGGTCTCTTACTACTAAATGTAGTGAGCTAGGAGTGGCTTGGGCATATTTTTCAATGGATGAGGTCTGGCACCCTGAGCAATTTAGGGAGGATTTGATCTTAGTTGAGCAGTTTGGCTAGGAGAATACTTTGCAGCATGGCTGTCAGTCTGTGGGATAACTACCATGAAGTAAATTGAAGAAGGTGCTGGCTGATAGAGGCTGATTCCCAGGTTGAGCATAGTTTTTACACTTGCCATTCTTTGCACATACTGTACTGGTTAATGAGCTGAGCCTGGTGCTCTTCATTGCTCTTCTTCCCATGGAGTTAATGCTATATACAATGGCTCAGTGCCCACAATTCTACCATTCATTTCTGAAAGTGCTTTAGTTGCTTCCTCTGGAGAGGAGAAACATACACAAATCAAACCCTTTGTTGTGACAACCATCCTTCATAACCTTTGCATTAGTGATTGTACCAAGTGGAGAAAGTTCTTTCCAGAGACATTCATCAATACCATCAAGATTTTTTGCATAAATGTTAACACTTTGTTATCTGGTGATCCTATACTGCTTGATCTTTTCAAATTTGCACACAAGTTCCATCTGCCATTCTACTTCTTTCTGAGCTTGACCAACATCAATTTGTTTTCCATTGAGCTTCTTTCTGTTCATCTCATCTGCGCATCTTTATGCCTTTCAAAGCTGACAAATCCAAAACCTTTGGGTTTTCCACTTTCATTAACCACTACTTTCACACTTAAGACAGATCCCAACTTGCCAAAGAGATCTTTAAGGCACCTACCATCCATGTCTTCTCCAAAAATCTTCCTGTAAACATTGGTGAACTTTTTAACTCTGAGTTCTGCTTCTCATTGTTTACAAGACTTAATCCAACAAAGACTTTGCTGTCATTTAGAAGCATCCATTTCATTTTTTAATAGAACTTTCAGCTGCTTCTGTGTCTCAATATGTACAATGCCATCACCCTTGAAACCATTTTCACCACAAAGCACCTAATGTGAAAGTGATAGAGACAGGAGGCAACCAAGGGTCCCCCGGTAAAACCCCACCTTCAAGACTAAAACAGCCTGAAGGCTGTTAGATAAACTGGACTGCGGGTCCTGGTTGAAGCCGCCCTTTCCCCACTGATTCTGAATAATGCCCACCTGTGCACTGGGATTACGGGGTGGAGCCTCGGGAAGTTTGTGCAGTGTTTATTTTTTCAATTACTAAAAATGAATTGTTAAAATCTCTCACTATGTTTGTGGATTTTTTTATTGCTCTTTCCAGTTCTAATTTTGGCTTTATTTATTTTGAGACTACATTATTAGGTATCCACAATTTTATAAAAATTAAGAAAAAATTAGAAAAGTTTAGAAAAAAGTGAGAAAAATATAGAAAAAGATGTGACAGAAGCACACATGGGCTTTATCTGGATGATCTCGTCAGGTTTGTATCCTGGGGAAGGCCTTCACAGCAAGAGATGGACCAGAGGATTGAGGCAAGGGGGCCACCACTCAGAAGGGGAGGAGGGCAAAGGAACTCCTGAGGGAGGAAAGGATCAGAGAGGAGGCTTTCATGTCTCAGTGATATCACTCAGCAGCATGGCATGGAGTCTATAGTTCACAGAGTTCCAAAGAGCAGAAGCAGCCTGGGGTCTTTACAGCCTAGGGTTTATCTGTGGCAGGCAGATTTTGGACACAGTTTCCCAGGGCATGTAAATCAGGCAGGCTCTAAATGCCTACAAATCTGCATGTCTGGGCAATGTTTAACACAATTGGATGTTTAAAAATTTGAGTTTGCTGCCAGTTGGCTTTTGAGCTAATGGGTCTCAGCTTGCTGTGAAGAAATAACCTAGGCACCAATACACAGAGGCCATCCTTGTCTCATTTACATTATATGTAGTGACTCTATCCTTTTTTGCTCACAATTGTTTTACTCATTTCTTTTAGATTTGTTTACTGAGATTATTTGGTAGGTAAGATTTCAGTTTATTATAGTTTGCTAATTCATTATTCAAAGTGCTCTACTAAAAATTTTGCTCCATCCTTAGTCCCCATTTAAACAAAACTGCTGTGGGTAAGGTCATCATTGGCCTTCGTGTTATCAAATCTGTTTTATTAACAAAATTTTAATGTTTAAAATTTTCTTATGTGTACACATTTAATTTATGTAATTTTAAAATGGGGTATCATACATGGAATTTGGTAGTTTTCTTTCCTTTTTTTGTTCACTACTCTGTTTCTTAATGCTTTATTATAACCCACAAGGCAATGTCCCCAATATTTATTATGTATAACTGATATTCACATAAAACATATTTTGTCATTAAGTGTTACCTTTTTCCACATAGGTGTTCCTGTTCTTTAGTCTTCTATTTTCTTTCTCTTCTGCTTCTCTCCCACCCTTCCTGTCTCCATTTATGTACGTATTTAAATCATTTAAAAAATCATTTTATGTGTCACTTCAAAGCCTTCAGTGTAAATTGAGGGTCCAATTTTGTTTTCTTTGAATTGTTTATTTTCATATATTAATTTTTCATCTACATGTAGATTCTCAATTTTTTACCACTCTTGCTTATTCTTAATACAATTGTTTTTCTTAATTGATCAATTCCAATAGTTCTATAGTAGGTGCTGATATCTGCTGAGAAAAGTTCCTCTCAATAGTCTTTTTTTTGGAACAATTTTCTGACTATTCTTCTACATGAACTTTAAGATAATTTAATCCAATTTTAAAATGCTTTTGTGATTCTAATGTGAATTTAATTGAATTTATATATAATTTTAGATTTATGTTTTTACAAGAGTTTTGTTTGTTTTTTTGAGACAGGGTCTTACTTTGTCACCCAGGCTGGAGTGCAGTGGTGGGATCTCAGCTCACTGAAGCCCCAACCTCCCACCTCAGCCTCCCAAGTACCTGGTTCTATAAGCATGCGCCAAGCCCAACTAGCTTTTTGTTTTGGTTAGAGATAGCGTTTCACAATTTGCCCAAGCTGGTTTTGAACTCCTGGGCTCAAGCAGTCCTCCTGCCTCAGCCTCCCAAAGTGCTGAGATTACAGGTATGAGCCACTGCGCCTAGCCTCATGTGTTTCTTATTCAGTAGCTTTTGGTAACATTTTTATAGTTTTTTTCTTATAGATCTTCTACCTTTCTTGGTAAATTTATTTTACCTTTATTATTTTTGTTATTGTGAATATTTTTACCACTAGCATTTCAAGGTGCTTATTGCTAATATATTTTGTATTATCATCTTATTTCCAAATAACTTACCAATATTCCTCTTTAAAATATTTGAAATTTCTGTTTTTCCTAATCTCTATGATTTCCTAGGCATATAATCATATCCACAAAAAGTTTTCTATATATTTATACTGATTATTTCATTTAAAAATCTTGTTACATTCATGGATCCTCCAAGATAATCTTTAATAACAAATAATGACAGCAGCTATTCCTACTGGTTCCTTGTTTTAATTGAAACGTTGTTTCATGATTTAAAATACTTGTTTTGTAGGCGTTTCATAAATAACGGTTATGTTTAGACACTTTCCTTCAATTTCTATTTTACTCAAGAATCTTCATTAGGAGTGGATGTTTAATCTTAACAATAGCCCTCTCAGCATTTATTGATATAATCACATTTTTCTCTTCTTTGATGTCATTTATGTAATTGTGTTAATATACTTAACTGATATTGAAATACCCATGAATTCCTGAAATACAGTGCTCTTTGCATACTGTATTACTCTTTTTTGTTGTTGCAATTATTGATAACAGTGCTGGGTTTTTATTTAGAATATTCATTCATATGTATGTCAGATTGGTCTATAGTTTTGGTTTTTTTGTTTGTTTTTTTGTTTTGAGATGGAGACTTGCTCTGTCACCCAGGCTGGAGTGCAGTGGCGTGATCTCGGCTCACTGCAACCTCTGCCTCCTGGGTTCAAGCTGGGATTACAGGCATGCACCACCATGCCAGGCTAATTTTTGTATTTTTAGTAGAGATGGGGTTTCGCCATATTGTCCAGGCTGGTCTTGAACTCCTGACCTTAAGTGATCCACCCACCTTGGCTTCCCAAAGTGCTGGGATTACAGGTGTAAGCCACTGCACCTGGCCTACAGTTTTGTCTTATGTTTATCAGGTTTTCATATTAATGCTGCACTGCCTATGTGAAATGAATTGGTTTTTCTTTTTAAAAAAAATTTGGGATACTTTAAATAACATTGGAATTATCCTTCTTGCAACCCTAGTACTTTTTAAATTATGGATTTTAAAAAATCACTTTACATTCTCTTCTTTGTAACTGGTCTATTAACATTTTAAATTTCTTCTTGGATTAGTTTTGGTCATTTATATTTTTCCAGAAAATTACCCATTTTCTCTAGATTTTCCAATGTGTTGCTAAATAGTTGCATGCAGCATTTCAAAGTGAATCTTTCTTTTTTCTTTTTCTTTTTTTTTTTTTTTTTTTTTTTTGAGATGGAGTCTTGCTCTGTGGCCCAGGCTGGAATGCAATGGCACAACCTTGGCGCACTGCAACCTCTGCCTCCTGGATTCAAGCGATTCTTCCACCTCAGCCTCCCGAGTAGCTGGGATTACAGGCATCCGCCATCATGCCCAGCTAATTTTTATATTTTTGTAGAGACGAGTTTTCACGATGTTGGCCAGGCTGGTCTTGAACTCCTGACCTTAGGCGATCTGCCCGCCTTGGCCTCCCAAAGTGCTGGAATTAATTACAGGTGTGAGCCACCGCACCTGGCCCTCAAAGAGAATCTTTCTACCTTCATCTTATTTTACTTCTTGGTAGCATTCTATAGGGTTGAAGATTGTACTTGTGAGTTTTGAGTTTCTTAATTTGTTGAATGGATGTGATTAATTTATATCTTTAGTGTGATCATGCAGAGAAATTTATGAGGGATAGTAATGGAAAAATTACAGGAAATCTGAAAATTTAATAAACTTGACATTTTTATTTTCTCACTAGTACAGGGTTATCTCTAATTATGAAATGTACTACCCTTTTCTCCTTTTCTGTATTATTTTGGAAAATTACAGCCTTATAATAGAGATCAGAAATGTGTTAACATTATGGCTGATCTATCTGACAACAGTGTTCTAAGAAAACAGTATCACAAATATACTTTCTCACCATAGTTGTTCAAAACAGAAGTTTTGTAAGCGAAGAATCAAGCATTTAAACCAAAGGAAAGTTAGAGTGATGTCATCTCTGGTTGAAAAACATAGTCTTTCTGAACAGATTTTCAATGTCCTTCAAGACCATAACTAATATAAAATTAAACAGTACAATTGCTAATAATATAAGCTGTACACTTTTTATATTAAAGTGATGCTTGCTACAACATGACTTTACTAAATTGGATTTCTGCAAAAGATAAAACACCAGGCATGGTTGCTCATGCCTGCAATCCCAGCACTTTGGGAGTGCTGAGGCAGGGAGGATCACTTGAGTCCAGGACTTCGAGACCAGCCTGGGTAACACAGTGAGACTCTGTCTCTTAGAAAAATAAAAAATTAGCCGGGCATGATGAAGCATGACTGTAGTCTCAGCTACTTGGGAGGCTGAGGTGGGAGGATCGCTTGAGCACAAGAGGCTGAGGCTGCAGTGAGCTACGATCATGCCCCCGCACTCCAGCCTGGGTGACAGGGCCAGACTTTGTCTCAAAATATATGAAAGTAGATAAAATTAGTTTACTTGCTGAACATGATCAAATATAGCAAGTTTCCAGTAAAAGACTATTAGGACAAACTATGTTAACACAACCTCAGATGATGAAGCATAGTTAAAACAAAACAAAACAGCTTTGGGCATATTCTATACTCCAACCTCTGTGGTGCAAAGGGACTATATGGCCAACCGGATGTTGAGGGAGTCACAGAACTGCTGCACATGTGGTTTTTAAACATGATTTTTAATTCCCCCTAAAGTGGAAGAAGTCATCTAACAAAATTTATTATGACTTAAATTGCTACTGCTTTATTTAGTTTTCCTCAAACTTTAACAAAATAAATAATTATGTAGTAAATTATAGTCATTAAGCTTGAAAAATGTTTCAATTGAATGGGAAAACTTCCTGTGATAAAGCCTCCAATCATCGAGTAAGTCAATATATTTTACATATAAATTTTCCAACATGTTAAGCACTAAGCTTTTAACTAAATAGCTAAGGGGAAATTGTTACCACCAAATGCAACACATATCCTGCCTTTTTGAATAACACATACTACTTATCTTGATTCCAATTCATCACTAAACATCACTTGTATAATTTGATCACAGTGATGTCCTCAGAGACAGTTGTATGCAGAATCCTATAAATTGTCTCAAGCTGCTATGCCTTTAATGTTCACCTTAAATTTATTTTTGTTCCCCTGACTTGCTGTCAGCTGTCACATTTTGTAGTTCACCCCTTCTGCAAGACCCTTTTGATACTTGTGATTTGTTAAGAAGCAGAAATCAGATAACCAAACTTGTTAGAATTCAATGTGAAGTAAGAATAAGTAGACTCTGGGTAGCTGCTGCCTCTACCATTAAAAATTTTTTAAAAAGAAGACTTTTTCAATTACCACTTAATTTGAACTTGACTTACCTAGACTACTATTAGTCGATATTAGTTTAACAGAGGGAAAATTGTTAATAAAGTAGATGTAATATGTAAACACATACATCATTTCCTTGTTCTGGATCTATCAATGATTTCATACTTTGACTATATCTAAATTATCTGCTTTTCCCAGCCTTCAAAGTGGTCTTTAATTCACCCCTGCTTTCCATGGGTTAAATTTCCTACAATGCTGAGATATTTATATTGGTTTCCTCCTGTCCTACGAACTTCGTACTGATTTCTGCCACAATAAATTTGATTAGATGAAAAAAAAAAAAGACTTTTTTTTTTTTTAAGATAGGGTTTCACTTCTGTTGCCCAGGCTGGAGTGCAGTGGCACAATCTTGGCTCACTGCAACCTTGGCCTCCTCAACTCAAGAGATTCTTGTGCCTCAGCCTCCCGAGTAACTGGGACTACTGGTGCGCCACTGTGCCCGGCTAATTTTTGCATTTTTCTGTAGAGATGAGATCTCACCACGTTGCCCAAGCTGGTATGGTACTCCTGAGATCAAGTACTCCACCCACCTCAGCCTCCCAAAGTGCTGAGATTACAGGTGTGTCGTCACTGCACCAAGCCAATGAGGCACTCATTTCTGAATAAAGTACAAGCATTAGTAACATCTCCCCTGGTCTCTCCAGATTGGTTATGCTGCCACAACTGAATTCTAAATGGGTTAAGTATTATACAATTACTTAGGCTTCTTTGGTAGGTATCAAATAAAACATCCACCTAAATTCTTAAGAACCTTGTTAAATAGTGGCATTTACAAACTCTCTATACAGATTCTGACAGCACATTTCTATTGGAAGACTATGGAATCACAATGAGGAAGGTAGTACTATATAGATCAGCAGCTGGCTTAATTGGCTTCCTGTAACTTACTTATTAACAAATTAGGTTACAAAATACAAAGTCAACTTAATGAATCATCGTATTTGGCATTGAACTCAAAGCTGAATTGTGTGAATTGTGAGGTGCTTTCCATAATTCAACTTGCTTAATTACCCATATGAATGAATCATTCATACCTCAAGCCTGCTAACACTTTTGGATACCTGATGTTTATGTAATAGTGATGTTCATTTGCTGAGTAAGGCATGAGTAGTTTCCTAGGTAAGCAGAAGCAGTCCTCAAAACAATCATGTGACGCAGTAACAACAGGGCTGTATTTTGAAGGCTCTAGAAACCGAAGACATGTATTTCAAGAGCCAAGTTACTTTTTTTTTTCTTTTACCACTTATCCTCAAGTTCTACAAGTTACTTACACTGCATCAATTCAAATACATTTGGTTATTAGATGTCTATTTTTTAAAGATGGACAAGATAAAATTGTGTAAATTTACAAGAAGTAATGCAAACTGCTAATAATGCTTATTTAAAGGAGTTATTAAAGCAACAGCTTACTACCAACCCTACGCTTCTGAAAAATGTGCACAGGTGGGAAAAGATATGGGCATAGCTCTTAGCATATTTTAACAACTGAAAATGTGGCAGGGAAAAAGTCTTTATTCTGAGAGTACAACCATCTTACTTTTGGGGTATTAAAATTACCTTTTATGAGATAATTCATTTTCAATGTTATTTGACAAAATTCAAAGTTGGTCATTCATTTTAGTCTCCTCATTTTTAGTAAATTTGCCTCCTGTAAAATCTAAGTTATGGGAACCACTAGAACATGTGTGAAAACAAGTTGCTGTGAGATGCAGTGATAGATTTTACAAAAAGAAGAGCATTTCATGAACACAGATCAGGATATCCAAAATTTTGGTGAGGTGGATTTTTTCCAAAGTCTGGTGACCAACTGTGGAAAAATAATTGGTTAATCTGACAGTGAGGCCCCTTAACAGTGTTGAAGAAAATGTATCCGAAAAAGCACCCAGAGTCAAAGAAGTGAGAGCAATGCTGTATTTATCCCCCACTGACATGTGAGGAAAGAACAATTTTGGACATACACCTTGTAAAACTTCTCAAAAACCAGACTACATTTCTAACTCTAAAATACATGCTGCTGGTCATGAAGATGTTACGATCATATAATTGAACCTACTGACATTACATGTAATAAATTAAAAACCCAAGTACCATGCTTAGTGTAGTGTCTGGTACATACAAGTGCCCAATAACAATTAGTTTTATTTCTAGAAGGATTACCTCTGTCTGCCTCTTGTACATTCTTATAAAAAGAAAGCAAAGTGAACTGAATAAACTGTATCTTAAATAGACTAAAGAAAAGCTTTTGTATTTGTCTTTTCTCAACTAAGCAGTTTCCAGAGTGCCTAGCAAGGTCTCAGAAACGCACTCAGTGAAGGGAGTTAAATGGTAACTCTTTTACAACAGAAAGGATTCCCTACAGAGCCCAGCAGAGGCGGAGCACTAGGTTGCCCAGCCTGGCCTTGAACTCCTGGGCTCTTGTACTGCAGCCATCCTCCCACCTCAATCTTCCCAGCAGTTGGGACTACAGGCCTGTGCCATGGCACCTGGCTAAGGATAGCTATTATGAGAGTAGTAATGTAAGATGAAACTAAAAAGATTCATAATAGTAGGATTAAAAAGCACAAAAATTTTAAAGATTCTCCAGTACGTTTATTTCACAAACTTTTTTGTACAGTTGACCCTTACACACGGGTTTGAACTGGGTGGGTACAATTACGCGCATACTTTTTTCAATCAAATGCAGGTGAGGTCACACAGATCAGCATTTGTGCATGGGATGTGAAACTCATGTGTACGGAGGGTCAACTGGAGGGCCAACTTTTCTACATATGGGTTCTGCAAGACTTTCTGTGGGACTTGAGTATGGGCAGATTTTGGTATATGTGTGGCCCTGGAACCAGTCCCTAGCGTATACAAGGGATGACTGTATTTTAATGGTTTATAGTGTTAAAAAGAGAAAAATATCCACATAAACACAATTTTGAACACTGAACTATTTTAATATGAATTAATGTCTTATGTTTATTACCAATTATCTTCAAATTGCAGCAGCCCATGAGTTTGGTTGTAAGTGTTCTTGCCATTCCACCCCAGCTGTCACTGAGTCAGTTTAAAATACACACACACACACACACACACACACACAGACACAAGCCTTTTGTAAAGTAAACAAATCTTTTATACTGTAAATAACTGTTCCTCAATGGAACTTTTTGTATCCAGTTTACTTCTTTTCTAAAGCTGGGATATTCATATTAAATACACAACAATCTCTATAAAGCAAAGAGTCTATCTCTGTGAAAACACAAGTAATTCTTGATGGCAATATTTTTCTTAATTCACCTAACCAAATGCAGTTTGGAAGGCCAAAACGAGAAAAAAACACTTCAGATTATCAAAACCAAAAGAGATATGAAAAAATAACATATTTAACAATGTAGGTGGGAATTTTAAATACAAGATCCTGTTGAAAATATTGATATTCAAAGAAACAAACAGCTTTGGATCCATAGCCACAATTTAGGTTTTCCTAGATTAAAATCAGAAGTGATTTTATTGTTGGAAGATACATTAATTCTTTGAAGTCAGAATAAGAGGCTTGACAATTTAATTTCTAATTAAGTGACTGAATAGACAAAGGATCAAATACAAACAGTAGTGCAGGAAGAAAATAAATTGGAAGAAATAATTGTTCAACCAGTAGTAATAATTAAGACCACCATTTTAAAATTTTCTATACACAAAGAATGAGAAAATATTGTTATTATTATTATACTTCTTTCTTCTTCAGTATTAGTGGACCCACATTATCTCCTGTCAATTCATTGTGTTTATTATGTGAACCATCGCAGGCAGGAAACTAAAAAGAAAAAAGAATTACAAGTGTTATTTTTAAAATATGATTCATTAGGTAGAAACATTTGTGAAATGCTCTCAGAAAGAAAGCATATCACTTGCTAAAAAAAATCAGATCGTTTTCCTGAGTAATAGTTACATTCTACATCCAACTGAACCATATTCAAAATCTAACAATTTAAACAGTTACTTCATTATTTGGTTTAGATTTTAAATAAAAACCTATGAATGAGTCCATATGAGTGATTAAAATAGACAACAGGTTTAAAAGGGAATCGAATAAGTTCTTGGTCATTTGTGGAGCTTAAAATTCGAGCTCACCTATTGCTTAATTTTAAAACAATGGAATTTAATTCAAAATAAATTATAATTTTTTCTTGCTATAAAACTCATGCATACCACACAATTTTTGAAAACAAAAATATATTTTAGGCTGGTGCGGTAGTTTACGCCTGTAATCCCAACACTTTCAGAGGCAGAGGTAGACAAATCACTTGACATCAGGAGTTCAAGACTAGTCTGGCCAACATGGTAAAACGCCATCTCTAACTAAAAATACAAAAGTTAGCTGGGCGTGGTGCATACGCCTGTGTCTCGGGTACTTGGGAGGCTGAGGTGGGAGAATTCCTTGAACCCAGGAGGTGGAGGTTGCAGTGAGCTGAGATCATGCCATCACACTTCAGCCTGAGTGACAGAGCAAGACTCTGTCCCCCGCAAAAATAAATAAAGAATAAATAAAAATAAATTTTAAAAAATTCACTCATAACCCATCCAGATACACATAATAATAATTAACAGTTTGGTATATTTTTTCCTATGCATTTATTGTGTGTATTCTTTTTTTTCTTTTTTTTGTGAGACAGTCTCACCTTGTCGCCCAGGCTGGAGTGCAGTGGCGTGATCTTGGCTCACTGCAACCTCTGCCTCCTGGGTTCAAGTGATTTTCCTGCCTCAGCCTCCTGAGTAGCTGGGACTACAGGTGCATGCCACCACGCCTGGCTAATTTTTTTTGTATTTTTTAGTAGAGACGGGGTTTCACCATGTTGGTCAGGCTGTTCTTGAACCCCTGACCTGGTGATCCACCTGCCTCGGCCTCCCAAAGTGCTGGGATTACAGGCGTGAGCCACCGCGCCTGGCCTGCGTGTATTCGTTTTTTAAACAAAATTGGGATCACACTGTAATATGCTTTCTTACTCATATCAGGATCTCATGTCATTATATATCCTTTAAAAACATGATCATTCCCTTTTTATCAGATATTTAGTTTATAAAAATTTTGCTATTACAAAGGATGCTGTGATGAGCAATACTGTATTAAAAACCTCAAATAATCTATGATCAAGTACAAGAAACAGATTTTGTCAACTACTTATAGTACTTATCACTCCAAACTCCTTCCCACATTAAAAATCATCTATAATTGAGGCTATCATTTACTACCTCATATTATTAAAGCAGTTTACATATATCATCTCACTTCTCAAAGATATGTAATGTGGATGTATCAGGTTAAAACAAACCCTGAAGATTAGAGATTAAAAATTAAGTAACTTGTCCAACCAAACTCATACTGTGACAAGTATATTTGACCACTATTTACTATGACACCAAAGCTTTTTTCCATTAAACCTTAGGTCCTCTCTCAAAGAATGTGTATTTTAAAATACATGTTACTCTACATAAATGCCAAACATTGCGAAGGCATTAGATTTTTATTCTTCTTTGCTGCTCCAACTTTTCTAATGTAGGTAGTATCTATCATGACATGAAAACTTCAATTTAGGAATATGGTCTTTCAATACCAAATATTACAGAAAATTCTCTCATCTTAAAGAACTTCAAAACTGGGGATTTAAGAGGCGAAACAATCCTAGCACTGCAAAATTTTAGTGTACACGTAAACAGACATCTTACCGTTTTAGAACGCCAACACCTACAATAAGCTGCTTTAGTAAGACACAAATCTTCAATGTTTATTTCATTCACTACTTTCGGATTTTCCTTTTGTATTTTAAGATTAATCAAGCTATCCTTCTGTTGTTTCTTCTTCGGGAGGAATGGACGAACTGCAAGGTAGCCAAGAAGTGCGAGTACACCAAGGAAAGGCAATAACCGAAGCCATTCTGAAACTAAACATGTAGATGTGTCAGAATCTGCAGTGCTCTTGGAAAAGAATTCAAAATAGCATGTCTAGTTTCATCCTTGAGCTTATTCTTTGTTACTTTTTACATTAATTCCTTTTTAATGGATCCATAAAACTGTGAATAAATAACACAATAAAGCCAGCTCTACCAAAGACCACCTTACTTTATTTATAATTTGAGACCAGTGAAACTAGAAACCTAACTTTTCAGAAATAGGTTCCATTTCAAATATCCTATCTCATTGTCTACATCAAGTCTATTTGTGTTTGTCTATTTTTATTTTAGGAGTTATGATCACTATAACTATAAACAAAATTCAATGTATATTTTATAAGTTAAGAAAACATTTTATCTCCTTAATACTATGTCAAAATCATACAACAGAATATCTGCAGAATTTTTACCACTGATTCATAATATCAGAGAGAACATGTCCTCTGATGCTTTAAGGTACATTTTTGGTAAATGTTGCTAAAGAACACTGAAATTTTGTGTAAAAGCTACTATTTTAAAGAACAAATTGAAACCTTCTATGTTGAATGTTCTCATTTTAAGATATATCTAATTCCATAAACTTCATTTAAAGCCTTTTGGAGTACCTAGCCTGTCTTAAGGGGACAGGGAATATAAGTGATACAAATGAAACAGTCCCTATGCATGTGGACACAAAAATACCAGGAAACCAAGATAAACATTTCAACATACATTTATCAAATGTCTGCTAGCACCCTGCCTCTGCTGGGCTCTTTTCTGTTCTTATAGAATTACCAGTTAACTTCCTTCACTGAATGCCGAATCTGATACCTTGCTAGGCACTATGTGGAAATAGCTTAGTTGAGAAAAGAGAAAAACAGAAAATAATATGCTAACTCATGCTAATAAACATTAAAGATAAATGAACAGGTTATGCTAAGAGTATAAGGGCACTAGCTCATTTAACACTATGTTAGCTTAAACAACTATATGTGGTAGGTATCATTATTATCCCCATTTTACATGTGAGAAAACTGTAGCCTAAGCAGGTTTAGTCCAGGACACCCTAAATCCAAA
The DNA here is from genome assembly GCF_000001405.40 of Homo sapiens. NCBI lineage: Eukaryota > Metazoa > Chordata > Mammalia > Primates > Hominidae > Homo > Homo sapiens. The sequence goes on along the minus strand of NC_000004.12, from coordinate 102,884,150 downwards.
GCCTGTTGTCAGTTATCATGAATCAAACCCAATAGATCTAAAATTAAAATCTGTGCCTATCTTGGTAAAACTACTCTCAGGAGATAATAGTACTATTTAACTATTGAAAGAAAGACAATATGAACTCTTCCAAAATGGAATTATTTTTGATATAACATCATGCCAAAGAAATCTAAATGAAAAAACCTATTTATCTACCATTTTCATAGATAGCACCTATAAGAGTGGCTGGCAAAAAAGACACAATAAATGGTAGCTTTTATTCAGAGATTATAGAGATTGGTGAGGAAGTACTAGCAACTCCTTTGAAAAAAATATTTTGCCAAATAACTTGACAATGCTATATGGGCAAAAATCTTCAGGAATATAATCTTGTAGTTACCAGAATAAAACTCTGTAAAAGTATGAACTTTGTCTGCCATGCTGGCTGTTACATTCTCATAACCAAAGTGGAGACACTCCAAATAGGTTCTTTGAGTGAATTAAAGCTCTGGAGATAACACAGAACTGTTTTTGCGGGGAGAAGGAGGCCTAGGTATAAGATCTGTGCTATTCAATATGGGCACCACTAGCCATACTGTTTAGATTTGTACCCAACAGACTTGTAGAAACTGTCTTGAAATAACAGTTTATTACTTATAGTTCCCAAGAGGAGAGGATACACTATGCAATGCAGGGCCACATGAGAGGTACTAGGGTTGATCAGGAGGAAGAAAGAGGAAAGGGAAAAAGCATGGGCACAGGCCTTTACTGTGGTTTCCATGGAAAAGGCAAGGCAGGAAACTGTTCAGGACTGGCTAGCTTGAATAATTTCAGTGGGTTCTGGGCAAAAGTAGTGGTCCCTAGTCGTCTCCTACCTGTCCCTGGGGTGACTTAGGGCAGGAGAAATATTGACTGGAGAAATACTGACTTCATGTGTAAGGGTTAGATAAAGGAGGTGGTTGGGGGCATGGGCTTTGGATTGGTTGGTTTGCATATGAAAGGCATGCTCACAGGCAAGTTATTTAGTATCTCTAGGAATTAAATTGTCTCCACAGCCAACAAGGCTCCTAAGATATTAAAGCATAATAAAATACAGAAAATTGAAAACACGGTTAATATACACATGTGGGCGTGGTGGCTCATGCCTATAATCCCAACACTTTGGGAGGCTGAGGAGGGCAGATCACGAGGTTAGGAGTTCAAGACCAGCCTGGCCAACATGGCGAAACCCCGTCTCTAATAAAAATACAAAAAATTATCCAGGCGTGGTGGCAGGCGCCTGTAATTCCAGCTACCTGGGAGGCTGAGGCAGGAGAATCGCTTGAATTCAGGAGGCAGGGGTTGCAGTGAGCCGAGATCATGCCATTGCACTCCAGCCTGGGTGACAAGAGCAAGACTCTGTCTCAAAAACAAAACAAAACAAAACAAACACATGTGGCTATTCACATGTAAATAAATTAAAATTAAGTAAAATGTAAAATGCTGTTTCTAAGACACACTGGTAACCTTTCAGAGGCTCAATAGCTAGCTACATGTGACTACTGACTACCATATTGAACAGTACAGAGAACATTTCCATTACCACAAAGTTTTACTGGACAATGCTACTATAGATCATTGGCTCTATAAGGTGCCATCTCCAAAGAATGGCAAGGCTACCTTTCCAGCTTCAACTTCCACAAACATGGTCTCTTCATGTACCTGAGGCCAGCGAAAGCTACTGTCTAGTAAGCAGCCTTTTTGAGTTCTTTGCATATGGAGTTCCTTCTGTTTTATCTGACTAATTATCTTAGCTTGCAATTGGCCCCAGCATCCAGTATGTAACTCGAAATAGCAGTCATTAAATGTTTGTTCAATGTAGAATAACATTAAGTATTATTGTACATATTACAATATTTTAGAAGTCATAAGAGCTTAAATTTATCAAAAAGCGAGTGAATGGGAACGCAAAGATGAAAATCTTATTTATTTATTTTTGAGACAGGGTTTCACTTCCATTGCCCAGGCTGGAGTGCAGTGGTGTGCTCTTGGTCACTACCACCTCCACCTCCCGGGCACAAGCTATCCTCCTGCCTCAGCCTCCCAAGTAACTAAAACTGCAGGAGCACACCACAACGTCTGGCTAATTTTTGTATTTTTAGTAGAGATGGGGTTTCACCATGTTGGCCAGGCTGGTCTCAAACTCCTGACCTCAAGTGATCCGCCTGCCTCAGCCCCACGAAGTCCTGGGATTACAGGTGTGAGCCACCATGCCTGGTTGAAAACCTTAATGTTAGACTCTTAAATATAGCATTTCCTATCTTAACCCACAAACCTCAAGAACAAATGGTATTACTACTGTTTTAAAATCCACTTCAGAAAATATTCTTTTGAACACTTAATTCCTTGGTAAAACACTATGCTTAAAAATACAGTGATGAGAGGTACTATTACCTCCTACAACAAAGTAATAACTTACCAAAGTCTTAACATAATCTACTTTTTAAAGATAACCAACTACAATTTAACTACTGAAAAACTTTATACATGAAAGCAATACAGCTTGAAAAGCTCAATTCAAATGACTGTAAGTACATTTATTCAGGCTGTTTTTGTACTGATACATAATAACTGTACATATTTATGGGGTACAAGTGATATTTTGCTACATGCATACATGCATATGATGTGCAATGATCAACTCAGTGTAACTGGGATATTCGTCACCTCATTTATCATTTATTTATATTGAGAACATTCCAAATTTTCTCTCCTATTTTGAAATATACACTAAAATTACTGATAACAATAGTCACCCTATTATGCTATTGAATACTAGAACTTTTTCTATATAACCGTACTATAGTGCCCATTAACCAACCTCTCTTCATTCTCTCCCTCCCTACCCTTCCTGGCCTCTGGTAACTACCATTTGACTATCTCCATGAGATCAACTTTTTTAGTTCCCACATATGAATGAGTACATAGAATATTTCTCTGTCAATTAAGGCTGATTTTATATGAAGAAAGATAAAATACAGAAGAATCAAACAAGAAACTTAAAAAAAATTTTACATGTGCTAGTCTCTATAGATCTGTTTGATATATGTTCAGCTATTACAGATATTTTAGATACTTTGAAAGGAAAATATTACTAACTGTAAATAATGTGCAAAAAAAATTTTTTTTTTTTTTTTTTGAGACAGCGTCTCGCTCTGTTTCCCAGGCTGGAGTGTGTGTCGTGTTAGCTCACTGCAATCTCCACTGCCCGGGTTCAAGCGATTCTCGTGCCTCAGTGACCTCCCGAGTAGCTGGGATTATAGGCGCACGCCACCACACCCAGCTAATTTTTGTATTTTAGTAGAGATGGGGTTTCACCGTGTTGGTCAGGTTGGTCTCAAGCTCCTGACCTCAGGTGATCCACCCACCTTGGCCTCTCAAAGTGCTGGGATTACAGGCGTGAGCCACCGTGCCTGACCAAATAAAATAATTTAAAATATATTTTTTTTTTAATGAGATAGTCTCACTCTGTCACCCAGGCTGATGTGCAGTGGCATGATCTTGGCTCACTGCAACCTCTGCCTCCCAGGTTCAAGTGATTCTTGTGCCTCCGCCACCCAAATAGCTGGGATTATGGACGTGCGCCACCACACCAAGCAAATTTTTGTATAAAATAATGTATTTTATTCAGCATATTATTTATTTTTGTCTTAGGATTATAAAAAATAACATTTATGTATTTATTTGGTAAATGTATCTCTTTTTTGGTATGTAAATACATAGGCTGTAAATGCTTAAAAAATAAGGCTATATTGCATTTTTCACTTAATGGTATGTCAGATTATTATATTATTTCCCCAACTCCTTAATATCAGTTGGAAACATAAATTTTAATGGCTGCATCTACCTATCATGTTCCCCACTCACAATATAAGAGATACAAGGGGGCTGGGCGTGGTGGCTTACGCCTGTAATTCCAGCACTAAGGGAGGCTGAGGTGGGCAGATCACTTGAGGTCAGGAGTTCGTGACCAGCCTGGCCAACATGGTGAAATCCCAACTCTACTAAAAATACAGAAAATTAGCTGGGCATGGTGGCACACGCCTGTAATCCCAGCTACTCAGGAGGCTGAGGCAGGAGAATCACTTAAATCCCGGAAGTGGAGGTGGCAGTGAGGTAAGATCTCACCACTGCACTCCAGCCTGGGAGACAGAGAAGAGACTCTATCTCAAAAAAATAAAAAAAATAAAAAATAAAAGAAAAAGAGAGATACAAGGGCAGGGACCTTATTTGTCTGATCATCTGTGTCCCCAGTGTCTATATAACGTCTGGCTCAATTTATTTAACTTACTTTTGTTTGAAGTGTTTAATTTACAGTTCAGTTTATTGAGCTTTGTGCTTTTTGTTTGTTTGTTTTTGAGATGGAGTCTCGCTCTGTCGCCCAAGCTGGAGTGCAGTGGCATGATCTTGGCTCACTGCAACCTCTGCCTCCCGGGTTCAAGCGATTCTCCTGCCTCAGCCTTCTGAGTCACTAGGATTACAGGTGCCTGCCAAAACGCCCTGCTAATTTTTATATTTTTAGTAGAGATGGGGTTTCACCATGTTGGCCAGGCTGGTCTCAAACTCCCATCTGCCTGCCTCAGCCTCCCAAAGTGCTGAGATTACAGGCATTAGCCACCGCACCTGGCCAAGCTTTGTGTTTGTGAAGCGCTCAGTTTGATGAGTTTTGTAACTATATGGACCTATAAACACCACCTAAGACAAAATACATTTCCATTGCCCCAGAAAGTTTGCTCTTGTAGTACTTTCCCAATCAATCCCCCCCTTCTGATTTTTATTAAGTGCTTACTAAACATTTTCTGAAAGAATAAATCAATTTCTCATTGTTAAACAAATTTTTACTATATAATTATTACTATAAAAATTAAATATTTACTATATAATTATTAAGTATCTACTAATATGGTTTGGCTCTGTGTCCCCATCCAAATCTCATCTCAAATTGTAATCCCATAATCCCCACGTCAAGGGAGGAACCTGGTGGTTGGTGATTAAATCATCAAGGCAATCTCCCCCATGCTGTTCTCCTGATAGTGAGTTCTCATGAGATCTGGTTTTAAAATGGGCTCTTCCTGCTTTGCTCTTCACTCTTCTCTCCTGCCTCGTGAAAAAGGTGCCCCTTCCACCATAATTGTAAGTTTCCTGAGGCCTCCCTAGTCATGCGTAACTGTGAGTCAATTAAACTTATTTCTTTTATAAATTACCCAGTTTGGGGTAGTATTTTTATTTTATGTTTTTATTTCTTTTATAGCAGTGTGAAAGCTAATACAGTAAATTGCTACAACAGAGAGTTGGGTACTGCTATAAAGATACCTGAAAATGTGGAAGCAATTTTGGAACTGGGTAACTGGCAGAGGTTGGAACACTTTGGAGGGCTCAGAAGACAGTAAGATGTGGGAAAGTCTGGAACTTCCTAGAGACTTATTGAATGGTTTTGACCAAAATGCTGACAGTGATATGGACAATAACATCCAGGCTGACGTGGTCTCAGCTGGAGATGAGGAACTTACTGGGAAATGGAGCAAAGGTCACTCTTGCTATGCTTTAGCAAACAGACTGGTGGCATTTTGCCCCTGCCCAAGAGACTGATGAAACTTGAGAGAGAGATGACCTGAAATCGGAACTTAGGTTTAAAAGGGAAGCAGAGCATAAAAGTTTGGAAAATTTGCAGTCTGATGATGCAACAGAAAAGAAAAACCCAGCTGGGTGCTGGTGGCCCATGCCTGTAATCCTAGCACTTTGGGAGGCTGAGGCGGGCAGATCATGAGGTCAAGACATCGAGACCGTCCTGGCCAACATGGTGAAACCCCGTCTCTACTAAAAATACAAAATTAGCTGGGCATGGTGGTGCACACCTGTAGTTCTACTCGGGAGGCTGAGGCAGGAGAATCACTTGAACCCAGGAGGCGGAGGTTGCAGCAAGCTGAGATTGTGTCACTGCACTCCAGCTTGGGTGACAGTGTGAGACTCTGTCCCCCTCCTTCCCCCCGCCCCCCCAAAAAAAAGAAAAACCCATTTTCTGGGGAGAAATTCAAGCTGGCTGCAGAAATTTGCATAAGTAACAAGGAGCCAAATATTAATTGCCAAGACAATGGGGAAAATGTCTCCAGGACATGTCAGAGGTCTTCACAGCAGGCCCTTCCATCACAGGCCCAGAGGCCTAGAAGGAAAAAATGGTTTTGTGGGCCAGGCCCAGGGCTTTGCTGCTTTGTGCAGTATTGGGACTTGATGCCCTGTGTCCCAGCCATGGCTAAAAGGGGCCAACATACAGCTTGAGCCACTGCTTCAGAGGGAGCAAGCCACAAGCCTTGGTGGCTTCCATGTGGTGTTGGGCCTGTGGGTGCATAGAAGTCTAGAATTGAGGTTTGGGAACTTCACCCTAGATTTCAAAGGATGTATGGAAACACCTGGATGTCCAGGCAGAAGTCTACTGCAGGGGTGGAGCCTTCATGGAGAACCTCTGCTAGGGCAGTGCAAAGGGGAAATGTGGGGTTGGAGCCCTCACACAGAGTCCCCACTGTGTCACTGCCTGGCAGAGCCATGAGAAGGCGGCTACCTGCTCCAGACCCCAGAATGGTATATCTAACAACAGCTTGCACCATGCATCTGGAAAAGCCGCAGGCACTCGATGCCAGCCCTTGAAGGAGCTGCCCAAGGCCATGGGAGCCTACCCCTGGCATCAGTGTTCTCCAGATGTGACATGGGGTCAAGGAGAACATTTTGGAGCTTTATGATTTAATGACTGCCCCACTGGATTTCAGACTTGCATGGGCCCTGTGGCCCTTCTGTTTTGGCCAATTTTGCCCATTTGGAATAGGTGTATTTACCCAGTGCCTGTACTGCCATTGTATCTTAAAAGGAACTAACTTATGTTTTATTTTACTGGCTCATAGGTGGAAGGGACTTGCCTTGTTTCAGATGAGACTCTGTACTGTGGACTTTTGAGTTAATGATGAAATGAATTAAGACTCTGGAGGACTGTTGGGAAGGCATGATTGATTTTGAAATGCAAAATGAATGTGAAATTTGGGAGGAGCCAGGGGTGGAATAATATGGCTTGGCTCTGTGTCCCCACCCAAATCTCACCTCTTATAATCCCCATAATTTCCACATGTTGAGGGAGGAAACTGGTGGGAGGTGATTGGATCATGGGAGTGGTTTTCCCCATGCTGTTCGCATGAGATCTGGTTTTATAAGGGGCTCTTGCCCTTTCACTCCTCACTCTTCTCTCTCCAGCCTCCTTGTGAAGAAGGTGTCTGCGCTCCCTTCTACCATGACCGTAAGTTTCCTAAGGCCTACCTAGCCATGCAGAACTGTGAGTCAACTAAACCTCTTTCCTTTATAAATTACCCATTCTTGGGTATTATCTTTTTTTTTTTTCCAGATGGAGTCTTACTCTGTCACCACGCTGGAGTGCAGTGGCATGATCTTGGCTCACTGCAATCTCCACCTCAGGGGTTCAAGTGATTCTCCTGCCTCAGCCTCCTGAGTAGCTGGGATTACAGGTGTGCATCACCAAACCCAGCTAATTTTTTTGTATTTTTAGTACAGATGGGGTTTCACCATGTTGACCAGGATGGTCTCGATCTCCTGACCTCATGATCTGCCCACCTTGGCCTCTCAAAGTACTGGGATTACAGGCATGAGCCACAGCACCTGGCCTCTTGAGTAGTTACCTTTATAGCAGTGTGAAAACAGACTAATACACCTACTATGTAGAGATACTGTGCTAAATGCAAATACAGTAGCTGTCTTATTTATATCTATGTAACCAGTGCTTAGTAATTTGCACATAACAGGACTTCAGTAAACAACTAATTCAGTTTATCTGTGGTATAAATCCAGATTTTCATATACTTGGAACCAGGTTTCTTTTGTCTGTAAAGCAGGAATAACAACTGTAAGCTCATTTGTTCAACAATATTTACTTAGTACCTACCACACTCCACAAACTGCACTATGTGGGGATACAGGCTAATAGATAAGGTCCCTTCTCTCATAGGGTATATATTTCAGAGGACAGAGACTATAAACAAGTGAACAAATAAACAAGATGATCACAGACTATAGTAACTGTTATAAAGGAAATAAAGGATGACATAAGAGAAAAACTAACCTGGGGCAAAGCAGTAGGGTGGCTGCAATTTTAGGTAAGGGGTCAGGGAAGGTTTCTGAAAAAAGAACCTTTAAGCAGAGACCTAACGAATGAGAAGCCAGGAGCTCAAGCACTTGAGCGCAGAATTTTCAAGGCACAAAGAAAAGTAAAGAGTCTTCTAACTTCATAGGATTGCTGGGAGAAACGAATGAAGTAGGAACCCACTCAGTAAAAACTACAGAACACAATTCAAACTATTAATGCATTCTGCCTTAAAACTATATAGTTAGGTAAATATTTGTCTCCTCCCCAACTAAACAAAAAATCCCTAACTCCCTACCCTTTAACAGAGACTTACATAAACCAAGACCTCAGTAAGTTTTAGCCTAATTGAGTTTGTACTCCAATAAACTGGCATTTGAGATAATTCCTACAAGGTCTGTACTTACTTGTCTTTGTTCATGGCTTATGAATAATGACAGTGTAAGTTAAAATACAGGAAGACTACTTAAAATATTTAAGAAAAAAACTTTCAGCACCTTCTAAAATTGTAATACCTCACTCACATGTATCAGGTGGTGGGACAGGTACTGAAGATACAAAAATTATAAAACACACTCCCTGTTAGAAAGGAGCTTGCCATTTAGTATGGAAGACAGACCTATAAAAGACGATCATAATACTGTGTACTATCAGCAATAATACAGAAGCAACGCAGAGGTACAAGTTATTCACTTTTTACTGGCATGAGCAAAAACTGTACAGGTTTTGATACTTAAATAGGTTTCTGAAAGATGAAGAGTACAGAAGTTCATGGGAATATGGGAGGAGGAGCTTCATTCCATGCAGAGGAAGCTGCATAGGCAAAGGTACGGAGATATGACATGCATTAAGTGTCTGGGAAACTAAGCACCATAGTATTGTTAGAATTTAATGAAAGGGAGCTGTAGAACTGAGCAGGTGCCGTATGATGACAAACTCTGATATTCAACAGGTAAGTAAGAATCTAACCTGTGCATAATAGGAAACCACTGAAATATTTGAATATTAGCCTAACTAGGAAATTGTTCACCTATGAAGTCACTCTGGTATCAGATGGAAGATGGATTAGAGGGCCACAGGAATAGCAGAGAGGGCTAGTGGAAGAAGACAAGGCAAGACAACCTGTTGAAAATCCATGGAAATGGTCTGGAAGAAAATAGTTTGAGATAAAACTAAGGTAGTGGCCATTAAAGCAGAGAAGAGAGAACAAATGTGAGCAGTAGTCTCTACTAGGATTCCCTAAACTGCAGAGAACAATGTGTTCGTGCTTGCATTTTCGTTTTCTTTTTTAGCTTAAAACAACAGAAACGTATTCACTCACAGTTCTAGTGGCGAGAAGTCCAAAATCAAGGTGTCAGCATGGTTGATTCTTTCTGGAGGATCTGAGGGAGAAGCTGTGGTGTCCCTTAGCTTGTAGGTCTATCACCCCAATCTCTGCCTCCATCTTCACATGGTGTTCTCCCTTTGTGTGTGCCCAAATTTCCTTTTTAAAATATTTTAATATAATTTCGACTTTTATTTTAGGTTGAGGAGGTAAATGTGCAGGTTTGTCATATGGGTATATTGTGTGATGCTGAGGTTTGGGATATGGCTGATCCTCCCACCTAGGTAGTGAGGATAGTACCCAATAGTCTTCAACCCTTGACCTCCTGCCTCCCTCCCCTTTAGCAGTTCCCAGTGTCTACTGTTGCCATCTTCATGTCCATGAATACACAATGTTTAGCTCCCAGTTGTAAGAATATGTGTTATTTGGTTTTCTGTTTCTGTGTTAATCTCCTTAGGATAATGGTCTCCAGCTGCATCCATATTGCTGCAAAGGATAAGATTTTGTTCATTTTTCTGTTTTGCCAATTTTTTTTTTTTTTTGAAGACAGAGTCTTACTCTGTTGCCCAGGCTGGAGTGCAGTGGCACGATCTCAGCTTACTGTGACCTCTGCCTCCTGGGTTCAAGCGATTCTCCTGCCTTGGCCTCCTGAGTAGCTGAGAATACAAGTGTGCACTACCACACCCGGCTAATTTTTGCATTTTTAGTAGAGACGGGGTTTCACCATGTTGGCCAGGCTAGTTTCGTACTCCCAACCTCAAGTGATCTGCCTGCCTCAGCCTTCCAAAGCGGTGGGATTAAAGGCATGAGCCACACCGTACCTGGCCTGTTTTGCCAATTTTTAAATGTGAGTTGTTCATCTTCTTATTGAGCTCAATACTGAGCAAGGACCTAATATACATATTGACTTTTACATCCCTTTTTTTTTTTTTTTTTTTTTGAGACGGTTTCGCTCTGCTGCCTAGGCTGGAATGTAGTGCCACGACTCAAGCAATTCTCTTGCCTCAGCCTTCCACGTATCCCACTATTAAGATAAATAACAGGACCAAAAAGGAAGAATGAAAGAACCAGCACCATCAGAGAAACAAAATCTAGGCCACTCACAGTGCCTCACACCTATAATTTCAGCACTTTGGGAGGCTGAGGTGAGTGGATAGCTTAAGCTCAGGAGCTCAAGACCAGCCTGGGCAACATGGCAAAACCCCGTCTCTAAAATAAGATACAAAAAAATGAGCCAGGTGTGGTAGCGTGCACCTGTAGTACCAGCTACTCAAGAGGTTGAGGTGGGAGGATGGCTTGAGCTTGTGAAGTCAAGGCTGCAATGAGTGGGTAGAGATCATGCCACCTGCACTCCAGCCTGGGCAACAGAGTGAAACCCTTTCTCACAAAAGAAAACCAAAATCTAGTCAGAAAAGAAAATTTCAAAGCAACTTGAATAGCTGATTTGGTCAGGCTTTGTGTCCCCACTGAAATCTCATCTTGAATTATAATCCCCATAATCTCGTGCCAAGGGAAAGACCAGGTGGAGGTAATTGGATTATGGGTGTGGTATCCCCCATGCTGTTCTGGTGATAGTGAGTGAGTTCTCATGATATCTGATGGTTTTATAAGGGGCTCTTCCTCCTTTGCTCGGCACTACTTCCTGCCATGATGTGAAGAAGGTGCCTTGTTTCCCCTTCGCCTTCCGCCATGATTGTACGTTTCCTAAGGCCTCCCCAGCCATGCTGAACTGTGAGTGGATTAAACCTCTTTCCTTTATAAATTACCCAGTCTTGCGTAGTTCTTTATAGCAGTATGAAAACGGAATAATACGGTAGCTACCAATTTTAGCATAAATTTTCTGAAAGTTTAGACATTGTCAAAATGAAGTATCTTCTTTGGGAAACAAAATTAGGTTTAACCTTTTATTATATATAGTGACACAGGCTAGCTATGACACCTATTCCTTATGACATATAAATACTATTATTAAAACATTTTTTAATAATAGCTAAAAATGACATAAAATGACATAAAAATGACATAGACAAACTCCGATCTTAATGAGGAATTACATTCCACAGAACTAGAACAGAATTTTTCCATTTCAAATTTTCAAACATCTACATATAATATAGCCATATCATCTTATGATACCATAAAAATAATACTGGCAGCTTGGTTGCTAGTTATTTTATAACATATTTTCTCATTTATCATATGTAGCTAAACACAGAAATTATTTCTATTTCTTAACTGTAGAAAAGATAAAATATTTTCAATGCATGAGTTTACTATTACCACTTAAAACCTAAGGTAGGGCTGGGCGCAGTGGCTCACACCTGTAATCCCAGCACTTTGGGCGGCCGAGGCAGACGGATTACCTGAGGTCAGGAGTTCAAGACCAGACTGGCCAACATGGTGAAACTCCGTCTCTACTAAAAATACAAAAAATTAGCCAGGCATGGTGGCACATGCCTGTAGTCCCGGCTACTTAGGAGGCTGAGGCATAAGCATCGCTTGAACCCAGGAGGCAGAGGTTGCAGTGAGCCGACACTGCACTCCAGTGTGGGCAAAAGAGACTCCCTCTCAAAAAACAAAACAAAACAAAAACCTAAGTTAAACATAAATTAGATAATCACAGTAATTTATCTTGAACGCCTCACTCTTGAAAATGTGACATAAACAAAGATAGTTAAGTTGTTTCTGATAGGTGAGAACTGCCTGTATTTAACTAGTATATGGTCATTAAAGATCTCCATGTGGTTTCTAAGAATGCAGAGTCATCATAAGAGAGTCAATAGCTTTAAAAAACAGCTAGATTTAAATAGGGAAGGAAATGTAGGCAATAATAATGTGAACTGTATTGTTTTTTGCTCTAATTTTCATAGAAGAAAATGGAAATATTTTTTGGTCTCCTAGACATTTTAAACAATTGCTAAAAAGTTGTCTTCCAGGTTTTTATTTTAACAAAAGTGTACATTATGGATTCTACAAGTAACTCATTTAAGAAAGCCAAATGTCATTAACTGTTACAATCTATTCAGAATGGGAGACCGAGAGTGGAAAATAGCCACTGAAATTTTTCTTCTATAGTACTCCAAAATAAACCCTGCAATTGTTTTGTCCAATCCAAAAAGGGCTATCTCATGTTTTTCATAAACCAGTTATTACAAGCATGTTCATGTTTCCTAAATAAACCAGCAATAAAATGAGAACTATTAACTATAGCCACACTGTAATGGGACTTAAGTTAAATGTATGTTATTAAAATACTTCTCAGAATGGTCATTATTTCTGAGAATCAGTCTTCATATTAAATATTTAACAACTTTTAAGAGGAAGTTACTATATATTCTTAAGAGAGAAAAGGTTTTGGTTGAGTTTTCTTAATGTCTTTAATAGGAATTAAATATTTGTTGACACTAGGGATCCTCAAGAAAAGAAAGCATACTTCTAAAATCTAGCCATTAAATCTAGTTTCATACTTTCTAATTTTCTTCAATTATACTTGATTTACAGAGAATCGAAACTAATACAAATGCAGCCACCATCTGGAAAAAACATAGGTAATTCATTGGACATTTTCCTTTCTTGACTGTTAAAAATTCCTCAACAGTTAACTTATGCAAATTAGTAAGAAGGTACAAATGTCAAAATGACAAAAGGGTACAAAAGTCACAATATGATCATACCGTTTTGGCCTGGTATTGCTATTTAAGTGAAGACATCCAAAAGGGAGAAATATGACAACTGGTATTTGCTTACTTGCCAATGAACTATTACATAATGAATTTTAAAAAATAGAAACATTTCTAATTTCCAGTTGTAAGGGAATGAATGGTTAGGCCCATTGTGATGTTAAAACTAAAATAAGTATTTAGTTGTTAGGGAAAAAATGAGGATTATATTAAAATATGTAAAGTACTTAAGTAAAAGAAGTGGGGAAAGCCAAAATTTTATGGAATTGCTGCAATTCTGTCAGAGTAAACTGGTAGGATCAAAAGATCTGATGTTTATAAACACTTGATGTGAAACGTTTTTCATTTTATTTTACTTTTGCATTGCTTCTGATGTTTAATGTTCCTTTTTAATGTTTATTATTGTTACCATGCTTTCTATTCAATTGCATGTTTTCTACTAAAACTCTTAATATTTAAAAAATATTAAAATCTCACAATCCACTCAACAGAGCGTCTGTCTGACCATAATTCAATGAATCTCTAGATTTGGAAGAGAATTTGTCATCTAGTTTATCCCTTCTAAATCTATCGACCACCCACCACCAGAGTCTTTTTGTTTGTTTTTTTCATCTTTGAGAGGGGCTATCACTGAAGCACCACATTTGTTTGGGGAAAGCATTCTTTAATTTAAAAAAAAATCTTCCTTAGACTGAAATTCACCTCCCAATAACCTTCACTAATTTGGTTAATTTGTTATCAGTTCTATATTTTAGTCTACACAAATCTTATTTTTCTTCTACCAGACAGCTGTGCGATTGCTGTATTTTAGGTCAGGTACTACAGATCTTTAGAACGTTCCCGGCGAAGCAACCCTATTTACCTCAGAATTATCTTAATTCATGTTTGCACTCCCTGATAACCTAGGACATAGGAGTTCAATACTTGCTGATTCCTTCACCATCCTACTCGGTCTGAGTTCCGTTTAGAAATATCCCCCTTACAATGAAATGCTCATAACTCAACACAATCTCCCAAGTGTTGACTGCATTCTGGAGATTTTCATCCTTTAGATGTGAAATCCTCATGAGTTGTGTGGGTTAAGTGAGGGTCCTTAAGTATAGAACGTTACATATATTCACTAAATTTCATTTTCTAAGATTTCACTCCTCATACCGGCCTTCGAATACTTTCTTGGGTAAGGTATCTTTCTTCCAACTTAAGTTACCGCAGCGGGCCCCGGGACCGTAGAAACGGAGATGACCTCAAATGCCACCTATGATAGGTCAATTCTAACCTGAGGGAATGGAGGTTATCTCCTAATTTCGTTACTAAATAAAACGGTCATATACGTGTTACGTGTAAGTCTATATTTCTCTCCCACACACTCCCACCCACATGCTGAGGGTACAACCCAGCCGGTAGCTGGGGCTGCCTGTTACATGAGGCCTTAGATAACGACGACTTAGCCCGCTTTAAAATAAACAAGTACGCTACAGAGAGCGATGAGCAGGACAGGAGATGAAAGAGACTGGCCTGTTCCCAACTCAGCACCTTCTCTGCAAAAACCTGGTATCTTGCCACGGAATGACACCGGAGACAACTCCGAGGACAAAAGACCCTGGGGCATCAAGCACCCGGAGACTGCCTCACAGGCGTTCCCCAGGCAGCTGCGTCGGCGCGCGCCCACCTTCCTCTGCGCGCGGGGATCACGTGCCAGGCGCCGAGCTCCGTCCCGCCCCTTGGCCCTAGGATTTTTACGCCTCCTTCCCCCGCTTGGCGAACGTGCAAGGATGGGGACTGGCTGATGGGGGAGGATTACCTGTGAGCCTAGCGAACCCGGTAATGCTTTCAGGGACTGGGAGCCGCTTCAGATATGCAGGGAGCTGCACCTTCACGATACGGGCCACGCTCTCCAGCACCATCCTGGCCAGCGGCGTCCACTCCTCTCCCGAGCCCCCTCCGCTCTGGCCAAGCTGCCGCGCCTGCGCCGGGAGCGGAAGCGGCCGGCGGGCACTGGCGGCCTCGGCCTGGGCGGCGGGCGGGGCGGCGGGCCCTGGGAGGAGAGGTGACCTGCCGGGCGCCGATTGGCGGCGGGCGAGTGACGTACGCTCGCGGCGGACTGCCGAGGCGCGGGAACTGGCGGGTAGCGAGGCCCTCCTCGGAATCTCGTGTGAAGGTGGCCCTCCTCTTGGGCCTTTAACGTCTGTAGATGCTGGAGACCAGCAGAAAGGATACTGTGTGCGATGAGATAAGCATGTGAGAATGCTTTCTAACCGAAAGTGCCTTTCAAAAGTGAGTCTCTTGCTGTCTCTACTTCGTCCCCTCTCGCCCCGCCTCTTCCCCTACAGTTTGGGTGCTGTGGCCCTAGGGTTGCATACTCGCCCATGAGTATCCTCCCCCTACCCAGACCCCAGTGCCTAATTTTACTCCTTCACCCAAAGGCCAGGCTTAAAAAAATAAAAATTAAAATATTTTAACTAAACCAGGAACTGTTTACATCTCTGCCCCTTGGCAACTTAACTGCAGCCCTAGCTCCAAAAACCTCTGGTTTTTGCCACTCAGAGAAGATTCGTAGTAGTCCTTCCTTAGATATTTTCAGTTCCTTTTCCTTCGGGAAAGTGGTAAAAGAATCCAAAGCTGGCCGGGCGCGGTGGCTCACGTCTGTAATCCCAGCACTTAGGGAGGCCGAGGCGGGTGGATCACGAGGTCAGGAGTTCGAGGCCAGCCAGGTCAAGATGGTGAAACCCCGTCTCTACTAAAAATAGAAAAATTAGCCGGGCGCGGTGGCAGGTGCCTGTCCCAGCTACTCGGGAGACTGAGGCAGGAGAATCGCTTGAACCAGGGAGGCGGAGGTTGCAGTGAGCCGAGAATGTGCCACTGCACTCTAGCCTGGGAGACAGAGCAAGACTCCGTCACAAAAAAAAAAAAAAAAAAGAATCTAAAGCCTTATGTATGGTTTTCTTTATGTTACAAGGCTTCTGCTGAAGTCTAGCGCAGGGGGTCCTTATGGCTTCCCTAGGCCACACTGGAAGAAGAATTGTCTTGGGCCACACATAAATACACTAACACTAATGGTAGCTAATGAGCTAAAAAAAAATTTTTTTTCATAAAGTTTTAAGAAAGTTTACAGATTTGCATTGAGTGGCATTCAAAGCCATCCTGTTGGGCAAGCTTGATCTTGAAGGTTTTAATTTTGTTGTTGTTGTTGTTGTTACAAGGTTTCGCTCTATCGCCCAGGCTGTAGTGCAGTGGTCAGATCATAGCTCACCGCAGACTCTAACTCCGGCTTAAGGGATCCTTCTGCCTCAGCCTTCCAAGTAGCTGGGTTTACAGGCGTGTGCTGCCACACCCAACGAATTTTAAAAATTTTTGTGTGTATGTAGATGGAGTCCCATTATATCGCCCAGGCTGGATAGTTGTTTTTATTAATATCTCTAAAAGATTTGAAGGGTAAGAGGAGAAAATTTCACTCCCTTGAAATAACTTTCTTGCTATGACTTTGTTTCATATTTTGGCTGAAGTCAAAATGTCCGAAGTTGTGCACTTGCTGATTGGATAATGTGTGTGATATCTTAATAATATGCCTCATTATTTACAGTTCTACACTTAACAACATATAATAACGAACTGCTAATGGTCCAGTATTTCATTGTGTATGACAGTGTAACAGCCAGTTATAATAAATACTTTCCATTTTTCCCCTTGGTATTTTTATTTTACAGTGAGAAAAGGAAGGAATTTTTTAAAGCAATCTTTCATTCTCTGGACTGTATAAATTTAGTGTTTGTGATTGTCCTTCACTAAAAAAGAATATCAGTAATAGAGTTGACCAAAATCTAGATTAAATAATTTTCTATCATTATAATTGTTCAAAATTGTTAAAGTAAAACTTACAATGGAAATTCTACAAACACGTTTAGATACAGGTTCATGTTTTTGAGCTAGGGCAGTATAGAAGATGGTGTATACAAAGTGATGTTTAAAAGGTTGATGGGATTTCCTTTAGAGAGAGTTTGGAGGTAAACCCTGGAGCTTTTTTATCCTGAAGATGATGGAACTTGAATATCCTTGTCCTCTGGACTATTCTGTTAACTGTTATCTTTAATCTCTGTGGATCTAATGTAGAAGCACCCTTGGGTACAACTAGATACCCTAGTTGAGGTAGGGGTAGGTTGGAAGTGGGGTACATTAGGAAAAGAAAATCTGGAAAAGGCCATTACCTATTCGTTTCTTCTCTTAGAGGATCTGTCATCTTGACAAGGGCAAGACGTGCTGTGTTGAGTTTAATTTTTCCCCTTGGTATTTTAAAGTGAGAAAAGGAAAGAATTTTTTTAAAGCAACTTTACATTCTCTGGACTGTATAAATTTAATGTTTGTGATTGTTGTGCATTAAGAATAAGACCTCCAAGCAGTTTTTCTTTAAAGAATTAAAAAATACATACCTCAATTTAAAGATATAGTAAAATGCTCAAATGCCAAATGTACAGTTCCAGGTAACCACCACCCACATCAATATACAGAATGTTCAATAGAGGCGTTTTTAAAAAGCGACCCTTCCAACCACATCCACCACCATTACTACTATTCTGTATTGCTGTGCATGTTTTTGACCCTCACATATAAGTAATTTTACAGTATGTAATTTTTTATGGTTGGCTTACTTCCTCTTAGCAGTTTATGTGAATAGCTGGTTTGCTATTTTCAAGTAGAAAAAATGTAGTGAATGCAAGTCTATATGGATAAAACTTTTTTGGGAGGCCTTGAAATTCAGAGAAAAGGTGTGGATCATATATTAGGTATTCTGATGCATTACATGAGCTATGCGAATGTGTAATAGGAGATAATTCCTAACTCCACCAATTTAAAAATCCTTATTATCCACTTAAAAGGAATATTTTCTTAAATTCCCTTTACTTAAAATTTAAATCCTGTTTTCATTTATATTTGTATTTCATTTCCACAACCCTGCCTTCTTGGCTGCACATGAAACATGGTCTAAAGATAATATTGCTCTAAATAGATGTAATAGGCTTATCTGACCACCTTATGCGATAGTGTTTTTAGACTCCATCTTTAAAAGACATAAAGAAACTGTGGTCAGAAAACTCAAGATAAATATGTAAATACAGTTAAAGGAGTCATTATTTACTTTCAAGCACTTGAGCTTGGATCACTCATCTTCTGCCTGTCCTAGCTAGGCCCAAGACTTTTATTTCTTTCATGTTTTTTTCCCATTAGGTCATCCAGTGCCCCAAATTCAAATATGATCGTTAAGATATAGCCCAAATCTCTATTTCCAGCCCAGATTTCTTTAGGCTAATCTTAATTCTAGGAGTCTAATTCCAAATGCCTACTAGTCTGCTCTTGACATCTTTGCCCACTGTGCTATTGGTTTGTTCATCAGTTTCACTGGTACATGTTTTCTGGAAAATATTACCTTGTTGGTTACATTGGTTGCTTATCTTTTCCTGTTGCTTATCTTCTCCTAGTGTATGTCTTTTTTTTTTTTTTTTTTGGTTGAGACAGAGTCTCTGTTGCCCAGGCTGGAGTGCAATGGCGCGATCTCAGCTCACTACAACCTCTGCCTCCCAGGTTCAAGTGATCCTCCTGCCTCAGCCTTCCATGTAGCTGGGACTACAGGCGCCCGCCACCACTCCCGGCTAATTTTTGTATTTTTAGTAGAGACGAGGTTTCACCATATTTGCCAGGCTGGTCTTGAACTCCTGACCTCATGATCCACCTGCCTCTGCCTCCCAAAGTGCTGGGATTACAGGCGTGAGCCACCGTGCCTGGCCGTGTATGTCTGTTTTTATACTGAAATTTGGTTTGGGTGTAGTCAAATTTATTCATCTTTTTCTTTACAATTTGTGTTCTGGGAGTCTTGTTTAAGAAATCTTTTTCTACCCCTAAATCACAAAGGTATTCACCTGTGTTTTTGCTAAAAGTTTTAAACTTATATTCTTCATATTAGGGCTTTACTCAACCCAGTACTTACTTTTTGTGCATGAGAAAGGGATCTACTCTCATTTGTTATTATTTTACATACAGACAACTATGTTCTAGCACCATTTATTGAAGAGTTAAACTTGTTTTTGTGGTTTGTAATGTCACTTATCTCAAATCAGGTTTCCACACATCCTGGGTTGCTTATTCTCTTCCATTGCTGTATTTGTATAACCTCTATAACAATACCATACTGTCATAATTGCTACAACTATATAAGTAAGTGTTAATATCTAGCAAGATAAGCTTCCCCACCTGTTTTCTTCAAATTGCATTGTGAATGCCTGGCCTTGTTACTACTCTATGAATTTCAGAGTCCTCTTGTCAAGTTGTATGAAAAACTTAACTTTTTACTGAAAATTAATTAGGGCCTCAGTTTTCTTCTCTTTGATATGGTGATACCAGTGGTTATGACTAGATACAATTAATTTTGTAATATACTCAATGAATGGTTATTATCATTATCGTCTTTACCATCAATGAATGACCCTTTACTCTGGCTTTCAGACCTTAAATTCAGCAATTTTACTGGTGACCACAATCTCACATTCTGGTACATTTTTACTGCCACTAAACATCCTTTGATTTAGTTTTGAAACCCTGTCTTTTTCTGCTCTGTCAGCCCATTCCTGGATAAATTGGGAAGTCAAGATAGGTTTGCCAATTTTTTATTTGGTCAAGAAAGGGCATTTAATAACAATATAACAAAACACTACTACTGTCTACTTACTGCAAGGAATTACATACAGCATTATAGTTAAGACTGTAGACTCTTGGAGCCACACTGTTTAGACTACAATTCTGATTCTACTAGGATAAATTATATAACCTGTAAAAATGTAGGTAATACCTACATCTTAAGGTTGTGTTGTGTATATTCACTGAATTAAGACATAGATAGCAATTAAAACAGTACCTGGCACATATACATGCATAGTTAGTATGATATTTCATCTTCATCATTTTTTTTACCTCATTATCAACTCATCTTTTTTATTATTAGCTGCACCTTGTTTTTTTCACAGTGGTTGGTCTAGATCTACATGATCAATGTAATTATGTAATGTGTCAATACTAATAACATGGCTATTGAGTATGTAAGATTGTTACTAATATAAAATGCTTAAGGAACCCCATGCAGATTTCTGGAGCTCTTTCTCTAGATGTGGTTTGTTTGACCCCTCCAAGTCTCATATTGAAATTTGATCCCAGCTGGGCACGGTGACCCACGTCTGTAATCCCAGCACTTTGGGAGGCTGAGCTGGGCAGATCACTTGAGACCAGGAGTTCAAGACCAGCCTGGCCAACATGGTGAAACCCCATCTCTACTAAAAATACAAAAATTAGCCAGGTGTGGTAGCACATACCTGTAACCCCAGCTACTCAGGTGGCTGAGGCATGAGAATCACTTGAACCCGGGAGATGGAGGTTGCAGTGAGCTGAGATTGTACCACTGCAACCAGCCTGGGTCACAGAGTGAGACTGTCTCAAAAAAGAAAAAGAAATTTGATCCCCAATGTTGTTGGTAGGGCCTAGTGGGAGGTGTTTGGGTCATAGGGGTGGTTCCCTCCTGAATGGTTTGGTATAGTCCTTGTGATAATTAGTTCTTACTCTGTTCGCTCCTGTGAGAGGTAGTTGTTAAAAAGAGCCTGGGGCCGGGCTCGGTGGCTCACGCCTGTAATCCCGGCACTTTGGGAGGCCAAGGTGGGTGGCTCACCTGACGTCAGGAGTTCGAGACCAGACTGGCCAACATAGTGAAACCCCATCTCTACTAAAAATACAAAAATTAGCTGGGTGTGGTGGCACACACCTGTAATCCCAGCTACTTGGGAGGCTGAGGCAGGAGAATCGCTTGATCCTGGGAGACGGAGGTTGCTATGAGCCAAGATTGTGCCACTGCACTCCAGCATGGGCCACAGAGTGAGACTCTGTCTCAAAAAAAGAAAAAAAAAACAAAGAAAAACAAAGAAGCCTGGGCATACCCATACCCCTCACTTCTGGCCTTTCTCTCTCACCATGTGAACTGTGTATTCATGGGTTCCTCTTGCCTTCTGCCCTCAGTGTAAGCAGTCTGAAGATTTCACAAGAAGCAGATACTGGCATCATGCTTCTTGTACAGCCTGCAGAACCATGAGCCAAATAAACCTCTTATTTAAATAAATGACCCAACCTCAGGTATTCCTTTACAGCAACCCAAACAGACTGAGACACATACTACAAAAGTTAAATGTACTGGACTTCTTAACAGTAGCTCTGGTAGTTAAAGGGCAATTCTTAAAATATCTGAAGAAAAACTACCTATAATTTAGAATTCTATACCAATCCAAACCAAGAACCCATTGTGAAACTACAATAAACTCATTTTCAAACCTAAAAGGTTTAAAAAATACACAATCTACGCATTCTCTTCTCAGAAAGCTAATAGAGGATGTGTTCCACCTAAATGAGGAATAAACTAAGAAAAAGTAGGACATTTGATCAAGGTATAAGAAACCCAAAATAAGAGAAAGGTAAAAGGAATCACAGATTGATGGATTGGAAAAGTAGATGAAATTAATGGAACAACTAATATGCTTTAACAAATTAAAAGGATACTTACAGTGGACTATAGGTTGGGGTTAAAATAATGATTATCATATGAGAAACTAATCAATTTTTTTAAAAAAAGAATTATTATTAAATCTGTCTATTCAACATTTTAAAGAGATAAACTTTTTTTATTAGAACATTTTGATTTTGGTGTTTGGTGTTCTTACTTCCCCTTTGTGTATGAGGAACTACATTTGGAACTGCCTTGCCTTAACCCCACAGTTTTAAGAGGAAGTCCAGCAAACTAGAAATAAATGGAAAACTAAAGAAACAAAACTGGGATCTATAAATCAATAACATGGCGAAACTATTTTGAAATCACCTTCCATAACACTTTGTGGTACTAAAAACTAACAGTATATAGAATTATCTATATAGCCAAGGTGGGAGGATCACCTCAGGCCAGGAGTTTAAGGTTACAGTGAGGTATGATTATGCCTCTGCACCCCAGCCTGAGCAACAGAGTGAGACCCTGTCAGTCAATCCATAATAAATAAATAAACAAGCAAACACATGATAGAATAGAGTGAGCTCTGAAGAAAGCTTCTCTTTTCTATAATTCTGTAAGTGTATACTGACATACCACTTTTGCAGTCATTGACTAGACAAAAGATTATGGTTACAAAGCACATATATGATATACATAATTGTATATGCATATGTGCATAATTAAAAGCTTAATTCCATAGATCTTTGAAGTTTCTTTTGCTATTTTGGAAGCCATCTTTTTTGCCTTAGAAATTCCATGGTTACTGTAATCTATAAATATAGTCATTAAATAATAAAATAACAAGGCAGATTCTTATTACCTCAGAAGTTTATGGAACTAGCTACTCCAAGCACCGATGAACTAGGCATGAAGAAGGAACCTGCATAATGCTTTGCGATATTGTAGTTGTGCACAGAATAAATGTGAGATTTAATAATGTTACTTTATATATTTAACTGTTTATATTTTGCCTCTGAGCTACTAAACTCAGAGATAGCATTCTGTGTGAAATAATACTATTCAGATTAAAGGCACCCTGACTGACATCAGCAAGTTGGTGGATTAGTAGGTTCCAGCCCTCAAACCCCTGCAGAAATACCAAATACCATTTTGGGAGCCTGGGAGACCTGCTAAGAGGTTCCAGCACCCCAGTAGAATGAAAAACTCAAGAATAGACACATTGAAGAGGGTAAGAAAAACAGTTTCACTTTACCTACATCCTTCTCCTCCAAGGCAGCAGAGTTCAGTGCCAAGAGAGGCCCTTTTGGCCCATGAGTTCTCCCAGGAAGGAAAGTAAGAGTCAAGTGAGTGCCCAGCTTCCCTAGCCTTGCGTGTTGCCGCCCAAAAGGCTCACTTCTGTTTTTCCCTATCCAGAATACTGAGGGACTCTTCACAGATGAATAGTCTAGGAATATCTAGGAGAAGGGAAAAGAAGCAGAGGCTTATAGCAACCAACACATGATTCTTCAGAGCTAGATGTGGAGTCTCCTAACTGGCTTGCAGACTCCACCATAGGCTCACCCATGAGCCCTACAGGACACTTCACCTGCAGAACCCCTCAACTGACAAGCACACCCAGCACTCCATGCACCCACCCACTAGCCAGCAGCCCAACCTCCCCTGCAGATAGTGTATGCAGGCCCCAGCAGATAGCACACAGATATCAGCAACTGGCTCCTGCTGGATTGGAAGAAAGCACACAACCTTGAACACTCTGAGGCACTGCACTAGAGAAAATAAAAGGAGGTTCTCAGCACATAGTCTAGCTTTGTGAGATTGAAAGAAAGCACACAATCCTAAGACTTCCCCTCCCAAGACAGAACAAGAGGAATGGAATGGGCATATCATAGAAAAGGTCTGAGAGACCTTCAGAATCTCTAGTCAGGCTGACTGGTGAACGTCTTTCCCTTCTGAAGCTAGTCAGTAAAGACTGGAGGAAGTGACTCTTTCTTCAGATGCAAAGTTAGAAGACAAGGCTTAAAAGAACACACACACACACACATACACACACACACACACACCAGGAAAACATGACAACCAAAGGAATAAATTAAAGTTCTAGCAGTTGAACACACACACACACACACCAAGAAAACATGACAACCAAAGGAACAAATTAAAGTTCTAGCAGTTGACCCCAAAGAAACAGAGACCTATAAATTACCTGATAAAGAATTCAGAACACTCACCTTGAATCTCAGTGAGCTAAACGAAATCAGGAAAACAATACATGAACAAATGAGAATTTCAACAAAGAAACCACTAAACAATCAAATTCTGGCTGGGCGCGGTGGCTCACGCCTGTAATCCCAGTGCTTTGGGAGGCCGAGGCGTGTGGATCATGAGGTTAGGAGATCGAGACCATCCTGGCTAACATGGTGAAACGCCGTCTCTACTAAAATTACAAAAAAAATTAGCCAGGAGTGGTGGTGGGTGCCTGTAGTCCCAGCTACTCAGGAGGCTGAGGCAGGAGAATGGTGTGAACCCGGGAGGCAGAGCTTGCAGTGAGCTGAGATCACGCCACTGCACTCCAGCCTGGGTGACAGAGCGAGACTCCATATCAAAAAAAAAAAACAAATCAAATTCTGAAACTAAAGAACACAATAACTGAACTGAAAAATTCAAAAGTGAGCTTCAGTGGCAGATTGAATCAAGCAGAAGGAAGAATCAATGAACTTGAAGACAGATCATTTGATATTATCCAGTCAAAGGAACAAAGAGGAAAAATAATAAAGTAAGCCTACAGGACTCTAAACCAATATGCGCATTATAGAAGTGGTAGAGCAAGCAGAGAAAGAGAAAGGAGGCAGATTGCTTATTTAAAGAAATAATAGCAGAAAACTGCCCAAATCTGGGGAGGAAAATGAACATCCAGATCCACAATTCCCAAAGAATTCCATGTAGGTTGAACATAAAGATGTCTTCATTGATCTTTTTGTGGTTCATAAGCATGATGATTGGGTTTTCATACCATTGTGTAAGATGTGCCTTTCTCAGACCTTGCCAAAACACTGGCACATTACCTGTCTGATATGAAAATTTTTTCACTGAGACACATTATGATCAAATTTTCAAAAGTTAATGACAAAGAATTTGAAAGCAGCAGAGGAAAGCAACTTGTCATGTACAAGGGAGCTCCTATAAGACTTTCAGCAGGTTTTTCAGCAAACCTTGCAAGCCAGAAGAGAATGGGATGATATACTCAAAATACTGAAAGAAAAGAAAAGCCTCCCAACTAAGAATAATTTACCCACAAAGCTGTCATTCAGAAAAGGAAAGATGAAGACTTTTCCACAAAAACAAAAGCTGAGGGAGTTCATCACCACTAGACCTGCCTCACAAGAAATGCTAAAACTGAAACTAAAGTTGAAGTACTTCAAGTGGAAACTAAAGGATGCTAATTAGCAACATGAAAACGTGAAAGTATGAAACTCCCTGGTAAAGGGAAGTATAGAGTTACATTCAGAATACTGTAATGTAATGGTGATACATAAAATCATTTTTAACTCTGAGTTAAAAGTATTAAAAATAACTATAGCTACAGTAATTTGTTAATTGATGCACAATATAAAAATGTAAATTTTGACATCGATAACAATGTGGGAGAGGATAGATGAGTTAAAGTGTCGAGTTTTTGTATGAGATCTAAGTTGTTATTATCATAAATGATTAGAATGTATCCCCAAACTAATTGTATTATATACAATATATACAGCTTTACATGTCAATCATACCTAAAGTAGTTATTTTTTTAAATTAACATGCTCTTTCCAGAACCATTACTTTATAGTAACTTGGAAGCTTTTACTACATTATTAATGGATATCAATAGAATATTTTTTAAAGTCGAAAATGACTTTAAACTTTAAACGACACCTTGTGTCGTTTCTGAACATCTTCATTTGATACTCCTAGAGATGCCAAACCTATTTCTTGTGAAAACTGAGCAAGGAAATACCAGGATCCCCAAGTAGTGGAACATGTCCCAAGAGTTCATCACACGTGTCTCTGACAAGAAAAACATCACAAAGAACCGTTATACAAGAAGCCTTAAACTACCACTGGTGGTAGAACAAAACTTAAAATCCCAAATATAACCTTGTTACTATAATAAAAATACTTTTAAGTCTGAATTTCAGATTCATCTTATCAGCATTTTGAGCTGTATGATAACACACTATTTTAATAAAATAGCCACTACTATTTTCAAGTGCTTACTATATGCCAAATCATGGTGTTTTATTTGTACATTATGTGTTTTAATTCTCAAGACAACCTTAAAGAATTAAAGTAACTTATTAGTGCAAGATCCTATAGAGCAGACCACTGCCTGTTTTTATAAATAAATTTTTATTGGAATATGGATACACTAACAAAAGAGATTAAAGGCATCCAATAATAACTTGGTAATGGCTGATCTTTTAAGAAAATACAGGCCGGGCACGGTGGCTCATGCCTGTAACCCCAGCACTTTGGGAGGCCAAGGCAGGTGGATCACGAGGTCAGGAGTTCGAGATCAGCCTGGCCAACATGGTGAAACCCTGTCTCTACTAAATACAAAAAAATTAGCCAGGCATGGTGGTGCATGCCTGTAATCCTAGCTACTCAGGAGGCTGAGGCAGAAGAATTGCTTGAACCCGGGAGGCAGAGGTTGTAATAAGCTGAGATCGCAGCACTGCACTCCAGCCTAGGCGAGGGAGTGATACTCCATCACACACACACACAAAATAAAATTGAATTTAAAAATATATATACATGTTACAGAAATCTGGAAATAAACAATTTAAGAACATAAATAAAACTAAATGCAGTAGACGCATTTCCTGGTTCCTCTGTGTCATGTTAACTTTAAAAAGAAACAACATATTCAACATGTTATGGCTATTAGCATCTTTTCAGCCACATTTCCTTTTGTTCTCATAATTTTTATGCATATTGTTTTTTCCTATTTTTGATTAACACTATGTTTGACACATGATTTCTTTATATTAGAAACTTTAAATTCCACTCAATTTCTAATGTGAAATTTTCTTAGGTATTAGCAAACCTATTCAAAGTAATTTTATTTGCTACCATAGTATAGTCCTTTATTATTTTATGTTTGGGCCATAGCAACAGTCTACCAGATATGTGACCTCTAGCCTCCAATTTTAAAATATTCTATACAAAGCTTTAAGAATAGTTTTTCTAAATGAAGTTTTTTCAAAGACTTTTTAAAGAATAGCTTTAAATTTACAGAAGAACAGGGCAGAAAATACAGATTCCCATATGTCACCCTCTAACCCAACACACACCATTTCTCCTATTAATATCCTGCATTAGTGTGGTACATTTGTCACAACTGATGAACCAGTACTGCTACATTATTAACTAAAATCCATAGTTAACATTAGGGGTCACTCTGTGCTGTATAGTTCTATCAATTTTGACAACTGCATAGTGTCATGTGTCCACCATAATAGTAGCATACATAATCATTTTATTACCCTATAAGTGCCCTATGCTCCACCTATTTACCCCTACCTACCTTATACCCCTGGGTAACCAATTATCTTTTGTCTCTGTAGTTTTGCCTTCTAAATAAAATTCTTCCTGATATTTAAAACCTCAATCTCTGGAGTAGGGCCATATGTGTGAATGAAAAAAGCAAATTGTAGAAAGTATGTATAGTATCCTATTTATAAATTTTAAAAATTACATGTATTTGATTATACATAGAACATTTCTAGAAGGATACCTAGAAAAATGATAACTTCTGAGGAAAGGAGGAGAGACAGTAGATGAGGCCTTTTACTTTCTAGTATCTTATTTTGTTTGAATTTCTTTCCATATACGAATATTATGATTTTAAATATTTTAATTATCAACCTAAAAATATCTCTGGATAAAAAGGTTTTTTCAAAGCATGAAAGCACTAGAAAGCACAAAGGAAAAGTTCTAGAGATTTTAACTGCACAAAAATATTAAAATTCTGTATCTCAAAAGCATCATAAGATCCAATCCACCTGCTATTTATCTATGATGTTCTTTATTTTTTAATTTTTTATTCATTATTATTTTTGAGACCGTCTTGCTCTGTTGCCCAGACGGGAGTGCAGTGGCGCAATCTCAGCTCACTGCAGCCTCTGCCTCCCAGTTGCAAGAAATTTTTGGTGCCTCAGCCTTCCGAGTAGCTGGGATCACAGGCTTGCGCCACCATGCCTGGCTAATTTTTGTATTTTTAGTAGAGACAGAGTTTTGCCATGTTAGCGAGGCTGGTCTTGAACTCCTGGCCTTAAGTGATTTGCCTGCCTAGGCCTTTCACAATGCTGGGAGTACAGGCATGAGCCACCATGCCCAGCTATGATCCTTATTTTAGCTCATATTTTTCCACACCTAATAATCTCATATGGCTTTATGGTTTCTTGTTCACTCTTCACATATTACCAGCCTCACCGCAACCCTGCATCTTTGTGGCTCCTATTTTAGGATGGGTTTCATTTTAAAATGGCAACCCTTTCATCAGTCCCAATCTACCTACTCTGCATTGTTTTGGTAGTAAATATTACCTTCCAAAATTGTTTATTATTTAGTTAATTTGTATCTTTTTGTCTCTGTCCCCCTTGCCATGTCCCACATGAACAAAATTATTTACCTATCTTGTTGACTGATGAATCCTTAGTACCTGACACTTGGTAGGTGTTCAGTAAAAAACTGCTGAATGAACTGGGCACAACGGCTCATGCTTGTAATCACAGCACTTCAGGAGGCCAAGGCAGGATGATTGCTTGAGGCCAGGTGTTTGAAGCAGCCTGGGAAACGTTGCAAGACCTCGTCTCTATAAACAATATTCTAAAAATTAGGTGGGTGTGGTGGCACACACCTGTAATCCCAGCTAGCAAGAAGGCTGAGGCAGGAGGATTGCTTGAGCCCAAGAGTTCAAGGCTGCATGAAGTGAACTATGATTGCTCCAGCTTGGGCAACAGAGTGAGACCCTGTATCTTTACAAATTGTGTTGAATGAATAATTGAGTTATTAAAAGTATTGGTATATCCTATTATTCTACTTCTGTTGGTACATGTTGTAGAATTTGTTGTGTTTGATAGTGATCATACTCCTCAGGTGTCTAGATATTTTGGTTCACAAGCCATGTTCTCCTAGTGTTATCTACTACCCCTTCTAATAATGGATAGAAAGGTAGAGCAAAATGGCAGACCCTCGTTTTTATCCCTTCCCACAAGTTTAAGGAGCAGAAAGCAAGAGCTGTAGGCAACCACAGAACTGATGCTCTCTCTTTGCTACTGTTTCTCTAGTAAGGATCTGTGTTGAAATCCACAATCCAGCAGCAGAAGGCTGTTATAATTTATCAAAATTCTGGCAGCAGGGAAGGAGTGGAGGGGTGAATGCCCCAATATTCTATAGTATCTGGTCAGCCCCACTTTTTCATTGGCAACTCACTTCAACAGACCCTTTATCTAATCCTACAGGAAGCCTGATCTGTTGCTGGTGATTTCTGTAGCAATCAGTAGTTTGGCACTGATTGTCCCAAAGCAAAGTGGGGCATGGCAAAACAGTATTTCAGAACTTACTCCTAACACTAACTATGGTTTCCTCTTAAGTTTTTGATCTTATTCCTCAAGCTTTTGCTTCCTTCTTGTTTCTGTTGTTACTCAGGGTTGATTTGGAGGGAGGAAGACAACAGCCTTTACTAGTTTTTCATTTTTTCAGGAACCATATGTAAGAAACTCACTTTAAATATAAAGACATAGATAGGTGAAAAGTAAATAAAGAAAGATCTGCCATGCTAAAACTAATAAAAAGAAAGCTGGAGTTGCTATATTGTCAGACAAAGCAGATTTCAGAAAAAGGAAAACTGTCAGGGATAGAGAGAAGCATTACGTAAGTATAGAGGTAAATTCTCCAAAAAGATAAAACAATCTTTAACATATATGCACCTAACAGCATTAAAATGTGTAAGGCAAAAACTGATAGAACCACGAAGAGAAATAGACAAATCCAGTATCACAGAGACTTCAATATCTCTCTTTCAATAATTCATCCAGCAGGCAGAAAATCAGTAAAAATTGAACTGTAGTATCATTAATCTACTGGATCTAGTTGACATTTATAGAATACTTCATGTAAGAACAGCAGAATATACATTATCCTTAAAAAATATACACATTTGTCAATATAAAAATAACATTTGTTTGCAAAAAAAATCTAAACGAAATTAATAGATACACAACAAATTTAGAAAAATATTTGCAAGGAGGTTTAATCAGGGAACTCAGAAATTCACATCAAGGGAACAAGCAATTCAACAGAAGAATGGATGGGCAAATAATATGAATTCAGAGAATAATAAATCCAAATATGAAAAGAGGCTCAGAATCAGGAGAAATCAGGAAAATGAAAATTAAAATAATAAGATGCCAGTTAGTCTAACAGACTGACAATTTTTTTTTAATTCAACTAACATTTACTGAGTGCCTAATATGGACAGACACTGAGCTAAGCACACCTCTAATTTAGTGTTCAGAAAGTACTTTGAAGTGGATCTTATCCCTTTTATTCAGTTGATGAAAGTGAGGATCATAAAACTCACAGTAGGCGAAATTGAATTCACTCTATAGGAGCTATTTTTCTTTCCTTTTTGAATAGATAGTTCATTCAGATACTGTATGTGTAGAGAGAGACAGATGTTTTGCGTTTCAGTCTCCCATGATCTCCTGTTCACCAATTTCTCATAACACCACCACCTATCCCATTAATACTTTTATTAGTTTTTTGCATACCTTCCCAGATATTTTACAGAAAAATACAAATTTATATTATTCTCCATTTTAAAAATAAAGATAACAATATATACACTGTCCTACATATATTAGTTTACAATATATCTTAGAATTATTTATGTAACTCCATAATGAGATTCCTTATCTTTTAATGGCTGCTTAGTATTCCACTACATGAATGCCAGAACTTATTTTACTAGACCTTATGATGGACATGGACATTGTTTTCAGTCTTCAGCTTTTAAAAACAGTATCATTGAATAATAATGTACATAATTTTGTCTCACATGTTCAAGATATCTGCTGGATAAATTCACAGAAAAGAGATTGCTAAGTTAAAGATGTGTGTGTAGTGGCGGGCGCCTGTAGTCCCAGCTACTCGGGAGGCTGAGGCAGGAGAATGGCGTGAACCCGGGAGGCGGAGCTTGCAGTGAGCCGAGATCCCGCCACTGCACTCCAGCCTGGGCGACAGAGCGAAACTCCGTCTCAAAAAAAAAAAAAAAAAAAAAAAAATGTGTGTGTTTGTGTGTAATTTTGACAGATATTGCCAAATTTCTCTCCATAGGTGCTGTATAAACAGATGAGAGTGCCCCCACAGCATTGTTATTAGAGTATGTTATTCAAACTGTTGGATTTGGGACTAATAAGCAGAAATGTTTAATCTCAGTAAAATTTTACTATGCATTTCTCTTGTCACAAGTGAGGTGAAACATCTTTTCAGACTGGGAAAAATGTTAAATGACCAATAGCAACTATGGCTGGTGAGGGGTCCAAGTAAAAGGGTATTGTTATAGATAGCTGGCATAAATGTGAAATTTTTCAACTTATTCGTAAAACAGTCTGACAACCTGTATTAAAATTTTTTAAGCTACAGATATCTTTTGTCCTTGCTGTACCATTCTTGGGAATCTGTTCTATAGAAATACATAAGGTTCTATTCACAAAAATATTCATAGTGGAAAAAAGGGTAACAAAATGAAAGCTAATCAGTAGGAAAACAGCAGAATGAATTACAACTCCTGCATCCTATAAAATATTATACAGCTATCAAAAGGAATGAATTCAAGTTGTATGAGTTGTCATTTCCAGATATTGCTAAATGAGAAAAAGATGGAGAAAAGTGCAGGATCTCAATCTGTAAAACAAAATACACCAATACCTATAGAGATGTTTACATATTTGTGTGTGCACATATGGATATTTATATTTGTAAATGTATATATATACATGAACATATATATACGAGGGAATGTGAAAAACACATATTACTTGGGATTATAGGTTTGCTTGCTCTCAGGTCAAAACAGTAATGACATAAGATGTAAATTTCTTTTTCTCTCATAGTCCAAGGATAATCGGTTCAGGACTGATAGAGCAGCTCTGGATATTAGGTACTCAAGCTACTTTTAGCTTTTTAATCTGATCTACTCAATATGTGAATATGTGGCTTCTATTTCATGGCCTAAGGTGGTAGTTCCAGCTCCTGCCATGATACATTTGAGAACAGGAAATAGTAAAAGAGTATACCTCTTCTTTCTAAGGGCGTATCATAGAAGTTGGAGCCACCATTTCCACTTACGACCCATGGGCCAATAGTTACATGGCCAAACTTTCAAGAGAGTTAGGAAATTATAGTCACTATCCATGTAGCAATGTACCCAGCTAACATATGGGGGTTCTGCCGGGCACGGTGGCTCACGCCTGTAATCCCAGCACTTTGGGAGGCTGAGGTGGGTGGATCACCTGAGGGTCAGGAGTTCGAGACCAGCCTGACCAATACTGTGAAACCCCGTCTCTACTAAAAATACAAAAAAATTAGCCAGGTGTGGTGGCGTGCACCTGTAGTCCCAGCTACTTGGGAGGCTGAGACAGGAGAATTGCTTGAACCCAGGCAGCAGAGGTTGCAGTGAGCTGAGATCACACCATTGCACTCCAGCCTGGGAGACAGAGCAAGACTCCGTCTCAAAAAAAAAAAACAAAAAACAAAACAAAACAAAAAAAAATGGGGGTTCTAATATTAAAGGAAGAAGAGGAGAAAGGACATTGGGAAATAATTGTATTCTCTGCCACAACAGAGTAAATAGGTGAGCTAGGTAATGGAAAAGGGACTCTGTTTCCTACAAATTATCTACTTCTGCATTACACATGCATTCCAAAACAGTGGCTTAAAACAACATGATTTATTCTCTCTCACCACACTGTGATTTGGCCAGAAAGTTCTGTTAGTCTCCCCTGTGTTCACTCCTGTGGCTGCCTTTACACTGTCTTTCACTCCCAGATTTATAACATAGTGGTCTCAGTGCAGTGTTCCAAACGGTGAAAAAAGCTGTGAAGCTTCTCTAGACCTAGTCTAAGAAGTTGTACAAAGTCACATCTATTTGCATTCTGTGGTCAAAGCAAGTCACAAAGATAGCTAGATTCAAGGGGTAAGGAAATAAAGCCTTTGATGGGAAAAGTGGCAAAAGCACATTGCAAAGATGCATGAACAAAGTAGGCATGATTTATTGAGGGCAAATATTGTAACAATCTCACAAATTACACATTTTATGTATTTTTAAATTTTTATTTCAATAGTTTGTGGGGAACAGGTGGGTTTTGGTTACATGGATAAGTTCTTTAGTGATGATTTCTGAGATTCTGGTGCACCTGTCACCTGAGCAATGTACACTGTAGCCAATGCGTAGTCTTTTATCCCTCACCCCCCTCTCACCCGCCCCCAACAAAGTTCCCAAGTCCACTGTATCATTCTTAAGCCTTTGCATCTTCATAGCTTAGCTCCCACTTATAAGTGAGAACATAATGATGTTTGGTTTTCCATTCCTGAGTTACTTCACTTAGAATAATGGTCTCCAACTCCATCCAAGTTGCTGTGAATGCCATTATTTCATTTCTTTTTATGGCTGAGTAGTATTCCGTGGTATAAAAGCTATATATTTATATTTAATATATGTGTATAAATTTTCATATTTGTTCACAGAGAAATATAAGTAAAATTGGTTAAATTTGTGGTAGGTAGATACAAGTCTGACCGAGTCACTCTTCTGCTCTTTATTGCCACACAGATTAAAGTCCAAGTTCCTTAGCCTATACTATTTCCACTATATTACACTACCTCCCAGAGAACATGGCATAAAAACCAGGAAGAAAGAGAAATTCCTTCTGGCTGAAATGGTTGGGAAAGGCTTCATGTAAGGTGTGGGATCTGAACTGGAAGAAATATTTGAATTGATGGAGAGGGGCAAGGTGGTAAACCCTAAATCATAATCTTTTAAGGACCACCCTTTTAAAAAATTGAAATATAGCATATATGCAAAAATGAGTGATTTATCACAGAGTGTCCCTGTATCCAGCACCCAGGAAATAGAAACCTTCTTATGAGAGCTCCCAGTAACTATCCTGTCACTGTTCCCCAAATGTAACCACTCTTCTGATTTCTAACCATACATCATTTTTGCCTAGTTTTGAGTCTTACATGAATGAAATTATGTAATGTATATTTTCACCATTATATTTCTGAAAATGATCTGTGGTGTTTATCGTTTGTTCATATTCACTTCTATATTCTATTAAATGGATAAAATATATTTATCCATTTTATTGTTGATATTTCAGTGGGCTGTTTCCACTTTAAAGCTATTAACCAATTATGGTGCATTCTTCTGTATGTCTCTTCACATGCAAGTGAAGACATTTCTGTTGAGTATATACTTAGGATTAAAGTTGCTTAGTCATTGATGTATTTTCAAATTTTGTAAAGAATGACAGTTTTCCAAGTTTATGGAAACTTTACCCAATCCCTGTCCCCCGTCCCCTGTCACTGCTCCACAACAGTGTGACAAAGTTTCACTTTCTCCACACTGTGGTCAACACGTGGTATTGTCAATCTTTTTAATTTGGTCATTCTGATGCGAATGTAGTGGTATCTCATTTTGACATTAACCTTTTACTTGATGACCATTGAAGTTGAGCACCATTTTATGGTACTTAACATTTGGAGATGTTTTTGTTTTTCACAAAAATGGCCTTCAGAGACATTTTGGAGATCTTTTCTGTAGTGCCTGTTAAAGTCACTTGCCCATATTTCTGTTGGGTTGTCATTCTTTTTCTTACTGATTTTTAGGAATCATTTATATATTCTGGATATGAGTTCTTGGTCAAATATATGTGTGGCCAGTATCTTTTCTTACATTGTGGTTAGTCTTTTTGTAATGGTGCCTTGATAAACAGAATTATTAATGTAATACATTTTACCAGTATATTTCCTTTTTTTTTTTTTTTTTTTTTGAGACAGGGGTCTCACTCTGTCACCCAAGTTGCAGTGTAGTGGCACAACCAGGGCTCACTGCAGCCTCAACCTCCTGGGCTCAGGCGATCCTCCTACCTTAGCCTCCCAAGTACCTGGGACTACAGGTGTGTGCCACCACACCCAGCTAGTTTTTTTTTTGTAGAAGTGGGGTTTTGCCATGTTGTCCCGGCTAGTCTCAAACTCCTGGGCTCAAGCCATCCTCTTGCCTCAGCTTCTCAAAGTGCTGGGATTACATGCATGAGCCACCATGCCAAGCCTTCTTAAATTATTTTTAATCTGTCCTCTATTTCTTCTTAAGACTCTAAAGATATGGTGATTTGCAACAGAAGTTATTACAGGAAATGGACCCTTAAGTAAGATTTTGAGATTGGGTTGGACACACACACACACACACACACACACACACACACACACACACACAGGCACACATAAAATCAATCAGAGGAATAACCTCGTTCCTATAAGGAAAGAGACTACAGACTACAGGTAATCCATGGCTTACAATATTTAGTTTACTTTTTTTTGAGACAAGGTCTCACTCTATTGCCCAGAATGGAGTGCAGTGGTGCGACCATAGCTCACTGCAGCCTCAACCTCCTAGGCTCAAACAATCCTCCTGCCTCAGCCTCCTAAATAGCTGGGACTATAGGCGTGCACTACCATACCCAGCCTATTTATTTATTTTTTATTCATTTATGAGATGGAGTTTCGCTCTTGTCACCCAGGCTTGAGTGCAATGGTGTGATCTCGGCTCACTGCATCCTCCGCCTCCCAGGTTCATGCGATTCTCCTGTCTCAGCCTCCCCAGTAACTGGGATAACAGGCACCCACCACCACGCCCAGCTAATTTTTGTATTTTTAGTAGAGATAGAGTTTCACCACGTTGGCGAGGCTGGTCTTGAACTCCTGACCTCAGGTGACCCACCCACCTCGGCCTCCCAAAGTGCTAGGATTACAGGTGTGAGCCACCATGCCCGGCCTATTTTTCTTTTTTTGTAGAGACAGAGTCTCACTATATTGTCCAGGCTGGTCTTGAACTCCTGAGCTCCAATGATCCTCCTGCCTTTGCCTCCCAAAGTGCTGGGATTACAGGAAGGAGTCACTGTGCCCAGCCAGTTTGCAGTTGTATTAGGATTACCAGTAACAACATGAAATCAAGTGAAGCAGGTGAGGAGTGTATCACCATGATAACCATAGTAATTATAAAGATTATAGATCCATCTGGCTTTTCTTATGGTCCGAAACAGAAAGTACTTAACCCGTTTATGCCAGAGGTTGCAATTTTTTGAATTTTTGCATGAGTGAAAAATCAGACCTTGGCGATGACCTTGAGCAGTAGGCTATAAATAATTCCCACATGCTTAGCGTTCCAATAATGGAACGCTAGGCATACGTGGGTTAAGGGGCATGGTGGCTAATACCTGTAGTCCCCTATTTGGGAGGCTACGGTGGGAGGATCTCTTGAAGCCAGGAGTTTGAGGCCAGCCTGGGCAACACTGCAAGACCCCATCTCTAAAAAAATTTTTTTTTAATTAGCTGCGCATGGTGGCACACACCTGTTATCCCAGCAACTCAGGAGGCTGAGGCAGGAGGGTTGTCTAAGCCCAGGAGTTTGAGGCTGCCGTAAGCTATGATCATGCCACTGCACTCCAGCCTGGGTGATAGAGTGGGACCCTATCTCTAACGAAAAGAAAAGAAAAGAAAAATACATAAGAAAAAGAAAAACATAAAAACTACAATTAAGACTGTATGTGGTGACCAGGTGCGGTGGCTCACACCTGTAATCCCAGCACTTTGGGAGGCTGAGGTGGGTAGATCACTTGAGGCCAGGAGTTCAAGACCAGCCTGACTAACATGGTAAAACCCCATCTCTATGAAAAAATACAAAAATTAGCTGGGTGTGGTGGCGCACACCTGTAGTCCTAGCTACTTGGGAGGCTGAGGCATGAGAATCGCTTGAACCTGGGAGGTGGAGGTTGCAGTGAGCCTTGATTGCACAACTGCACTCCAGCCTGGGCGACGGAGTGAGACACTATCATAAACAACAACAAAAAGAAAATGACTGTATGTGGAGCATGAGAACTCTATTACAGGTCTGAAGGAGTTGATTATCTTCTGTAATCACTGGGCAGATATGGTAGATTTGTAGTATCAATTACATGCTTAATTCTTCCCCTTTCCTATTCTAATGCTGGAACATTGGTGGGGAGAGGAGTCCTAAGACATACGATAGGGACATTTGAGCAGAGAAAAATGAAGCTGAAAACTCTGAACATCAATCTTCCCCTAAATCTCTTTCTGAGGAAACCAGGCTCCTATGCATAGAGGCTTTCAGTGATTGCACTTGGGCAAGCTCCTTCACAAGCTGATACATGCTCTCCTCAGAATTTACCGGCTGGGGCTAGGCATGGTAGCTCATGCCTGTAATCCCAGCCCTTTGGGAGGCTGAGGTGGGAGGACTGCTTGAGCCCAGGAGTTCAAGACTAGCCTAGGCAACACAGCAAGGCTCTGTCTCTAAAAAAAAAAAAAAATTTAATTAGCCATGCATGGTGGTTTGCGCCTGTAGTCCCAGCTACTCAGAAGGTTGAGGTGGGAGGATCACTTGAGCCCAGGAGTTCAAAGTTGCAATGAGCCATGATCACACCACTGCACTCCAGTCTGAACAAAGCAAGACCCTCCCTGTCTCCAAAAATAATAAAATAAAGAATTTACCCTACTACCTATTAGTGCCTCCAGTTATATCCCAACATAGCCTAGTCAGAGAATTGAGGCCTTCTCTGGAGAGAGAAAACCTATGTAGGAGAACTAAAGGCCTTGCCATTTTAATCAGCAGAAACTTGGACAGCATATATGAGAATACATTTAAGGTTAGATCATGGCAAATTTATTGGCATGGGTGCACTCACCTAAGAATCAAGAGTTAATATTTTGGCATTAATAATTTGGTAGGATGAGGCTTAAATTCAGTAATAGCCTATAAATAAGATGGCCAAAATGCCAGAAATTCCTGGGCATATTGTAGAGGAGAAAACACAAAGGCTCCTTAGCCATTGTTAATTTTCACCATGTCATTAAGGAATGCAATGATGATGGGAGCACCACTATTTCCTAGGAGCTCTGAAGTGGCTGTCTTTGTTTGCGAGAGATGATGGTGGTAAACACTGTAGTGGAACTGAGTTAGCTGATCTTAGTGGGAACATTAGAATCCTAAGGCAGTAGAGGCCACATAATGGCATATAAATATCAGAGACAAGACAGACACAGTGGCTCACGTCTGTAATCACAGCACTTTGGGAGGCCAACGCAGGCAGATCACTTGAGGCCAGGAGTCCGAGACCAGCCTGGCCAACAGGGTGAAACCCCATCTCTAGTAAAAATACAAAAATTAGCTGGGTGTGATGGTGCATGCCTGTGGTCTCAGCTACTCAGGAGACTGAGGCAAGAGAATGGCTTGAGCCTGGGAAGTGGAGGTTGCAGTGAGCCGAGATCACACCACTGCACTCAGCCTGGGCAACAGAGCAAGACTCTGTCTCAAAAAACATAAAAATATAAATAAATAAATATCAGAGACAAAGTAGGCACAATTACCAAAATAAGTCAAAGGAGAGAACGTTAACCAGAGTAGTTTGACCCACAGGGAAAAGTGATAATGGCTAAATGATCATGAGGTCCCTGGAAATATAATAAAGTAACCTACCAAGGTGCTGCTTGACATATATAGGTGGAAAAATTCTTGTGGTTTTGTAGTAAAATTTGAAGCATCTCATCTAGCTCCCAGACTTGGTACTCCTTCACTGATGGAAAGAGACTGGATCCTTTGACGAAAGGGGCAATGCAATCACAGCTGTATACAACGAATTGTTCCCTAATCCAGTGGGGTTCTCAAACTTGTCTGTACATTAGAACACCTTAGGATTCTAAAGCCCAGGCCACAACCCAAACTAATTAAATAGTAATCTCAGGGAAGACCCAGGCATCAGTATTTTTTCAAGTTCCCCAGATACTTCCAGTGAGCAGATATGTTGGGGGAATCATTGCCCTAAGCCTTTTCCATAGGGACCAGTGACCATTCACTAGAGAAAGGAAAATATCCAAAATTCTTTGTTTTGTTTTGTTTTGTTTTTGAGACAAGGTCTTGCTCTGTTGTCACCCAGGCTGGAGTGCAGTGGCATAATCTCAGCTCACTGCAACCTCTACCTCCCAAATAGCTGGGACTGCAGGCATGCACCATCACTCCCAGCTAGTTTCTGTGTTTTTGGTAGAGATGGGGTTTCGTCATATTGGCCAGGCTGGGTAGAATTCTTTTTTTTTTTTTTTTTTTGAGATGGAGTCTTGCTCTGTCGCCCAGGCTGGAGTGCAGTGGCGCGATCTCGGCTCACTGCAAGCCCCGCCTCCCAGGTTCACGCCATTCTCCTGCCTCAGCCTCCCAAGTAGCTGGGACTACAGGCGCCCACCACCATGCCTAGGTAAATTTTTTTGTATTTTTAGTAGAGACAGGGTTTCACCATGTTATCCAGGATGGTCTCGATCTGCTGACCTCGTGATCCACCCACCTCGGCCTCCCAAAGTGCTGAGATTACAGGCGTGACCCACCGCCCGGCCCAGGCTGGCTAGAATTCTTAAGGCACTGTCTCTTAACTTGTACTAATACTAGAAACCCAAAACTCTACCCTGGACAACTGGTCAGAATAGGGAACCTAAGGAAGTCAAGTGATGGAATCTTGGCCTGGCTGTGGCTAACAGTAGATCCAGAAGGACCCATACTGTGGCTATTTCTCCAGTCCCAGATGTGTAGTGGTAATATGTATCTTTTAACAACAATCTTTATTTTGGTTTCCTGATCAATGGAGGGATTGCTATTATGGTAGAAAGTGCTACACAGCAGCTTAGGTCTGCTTTCTACCACTCCTCATTAAGATAGTAAAGGAAAAGCAGGGCTATATCCCTGAGGAAATTGCAGAGATTGGCCAGGCACAGTGGCTCATGCCTGTAACCCCAGCACTTAGGGGGACCAAGGCAGGAGGATTGCTTGACACCAGGAGTTTGAGACCAGCCTATATAACATGGCAAGACTGCATTTCTACAAAACATAAAAAAGCAAAATAGAAAAACCAAAAGAATTGCAGAGATTAGTGCCACCATGCTGCCATGGTGATTCATACCACATTCCCATTTAAATTTCCTGTGGCCACCAGATGCATCATAGAGAATGACAATATAAAAACCAGATGGCTAGTGAAGAATGACAGTGGACTGCAAACTTTAATTAGGTAGGGATGCCAATTATGGTTGCTGTTCTAGGTGTGGTATCTTCTTCGGAAGAAATTAATACCCATGTTGACATGATACTGATCTGATATTGATCTGGAAATGTCCCCCCACCCCCATTCTAAGGAGAATCAGAAACAGACTACGTTTAAATAGGAGGGATAACAGTAAGTCCTTACTGTCTTGTCTCAGGCTACATCAACTCTCCTGTTCTCTATATGGTATGAAGGGACCTTGATGGTCTTTTGTTATTCCATAGAACATCACACTGATTTATCAGAGTAATGAAATTATATTAAATGAAACTGAAGAGCAGAAGTAGGCAGCATTCTACATGCTTTGGTACGACATATGCATGCTAGAAGGTGCAAGATGAACCTTGAAAAACTTCCAGGACTTGCCACAGGTTTCTAGGGGTCCAATGGCCAGAAATATGTTAGGATATCCATAACATCCATACTTTTTTCTCTTCCATTAACTGGTCAGAGGGAACTCATTATGATGACAGTTTATGTGGGTTGAGGGAGAAGTGCTGAAGGAGTAGAGGCAGGTACTATAGGAGTCTGAGTCACCTGCTCATTCATGGTTCCAGTCCCATATGTAGTGCACTGCTCCTGTGTTCATCCAGTTGTACAGTTTGATGAGTCAAATAACAACAATTCATGATGGGCAGTTTGATTCACACAGTCACTTGATGTCCCATGGTCAGGTGTTACATCTCTTCCAGGTACCAGTAGCAAGTCAAGAGGTACTTTTCAAATAAAAAAAAAAAAATGAAACAAAATCATGGCTAAGGAAGATATGGCCTTACTCCTAAACCTTAAGGGTCTATGTTGTAATTCTTGCACTGAAACTTGCCAGAGGCTTCATATAACATCTCTCCTACATTAACTTCTAATATCATTGGGTCTACAGGATCATAAAGCCTAAGTCTGGGCCCTACCCCACTCAAAACTGGTAATTTTGAGACGGAGTCTTATTCTGTTGCCCACGCTGGAGTGCAGTGGCAAGATCTCGGCTCATTGCAACCTCTGCCTCCCAGGTTCAAGCGATTCTCCTGCCTCAGCCTCCTGAGTAGCTGGGATTACAAGCATGCACCACCACTTCCAGCTAATTTTTGTATTTTTAGTAGAGACGGGGTTTCACCACGTTGGCCAGGCTGGTCTTGAACTCCTGACCTCAGGTGATCCACCCACCTCAGCCTCCCGAAGTGCTGGGATTACAGGCGTGAGCCACCACGCCTGGCCAAAACTGGTAGTCTTACAGTTACAGTTAAGCCTCTAAGAACAGCTTACCCAATTGTACTATGTTTTGTTGTCTCCAAATCTAAAGACGCCTGCCACATATTTTGCCTTTTTCTTTGTTGTGATAGTGGAAAATACAACTTGTCACTAACAAGTGCCTTTAAACAGGGGTGTTTGTTTGGTTTTGGTCTAGCTTTTTTAATTGTTCACAGCAGAAGTATGATCAAAACCACTGAGTTCTTAATTATCAGAAGTGAAACTCGAGGTTTTTTTTTTTTTAAGACAGGCTTTCTGTCACTCAGGCTAGAGTGCACTGGCCTCATCATAGCTCACTGCAACTTTGAACTCCTGGCCTCAATTGATTCTCCTACCTCAGCCTCCTTGAGTAGCTGAGATTACAGGCATGCACCACCATGCCCAGCGTTTGTTTGTTTTTTGTTTTGGTAGAAACAGGTTCCCACTATGTTGCCCAGGCTGGTCTCAAACTCCTGGTCTCAAGTGATTCTCCTGCTTTGGCATCCCAAAGCAATGGGATTACAGGCATGAGGCACCTCACCCAGCAAAGAGGACTCTTTTTTTTTTTTTTTTAGTATCAAAACTTTACTCCCTCAGTCAAAATACACAAGGTAGTTGTGCATATATGTAGTCTATAGATAATGCTTGGTACATAAATATCTAGATCTACGGTAATAACTATTACTTAGGGACTTGAAACTCAAAGAAGGTTAAACTGCTAAAAGCAAAGGCATACTCTTAGAAAAGTAAAAGTATGTTCAAAAGAATATGAGGATCACAGTTTAATAGAGATATCCTGTAAAAAGTAGAGATAAAGTTTTTCTCCTCTATACAATAGGAAACCATTGAAAAGTTCTTTATTGTGCTACATTATAATGAAAGCTGTGTTTAATTTAATGGTGATGTGCAAGATAGTCTGGAGAAGGAAAAGTAGAGGCAGAGAAGCCCACTATGAATTTATAGTAATGGACCAAATATGAGTTGAGAGGCATCATAGTGTAATGAAAAGAATGCTGATATTAGAAT
This sequence comes from Homo sapiens, assembly GCF_000001405.40. Classification (NCBI taxonomy): domain Eukaryota; kingdom Metazoa; phylum Chordata; class Mammalia; order Primates; family Hominidae; genus Homo; species Homo sapiens. Next base: position 102,841,789 of record NC_000004.12, on the reverse strand, counting down.
CATAAGACTGGTAATAATCACTGATCCTGTCACCTTGGGCAAGTCATTTGACCTGCCTGATTCTGCATCCTTATTTATATGTCACTCACCTTGTAGTGACCTTGTAGGCCCTCAATAAATACTTGAGTGATGAAATGTTAATCACTTCTGCTTAACTCAGAGGGATTACATAATGATGAAAATCTTTTAAAATGTATAAACTGTTATACAATTTAAGGTGTAATATGCATTGAAGGCCTAAATAAGTAGAAATGGACACTCATAAGGAAAGGGAAGGGTGAAAGACAAAGATGACTCCATTATACTGAATCTTAGTCTTGATGACTGGAAAAATATATTCACTTAAGTAGACTGGTTAGGAGAGTAACTGAGTTTTAGAAATCTGGACAAGGTTAGGGAAAAAATAGTGATTTATTTAAATAGTCAAGATGTTCAGCAGTAACTAAAAACTGAACAACTAAGTTACCATTAATATATGTAATAGCTTCCTATTACATATATTAGTTTCATATATTCTTAGGTATTTTTCATATGAGAATGTTCTGTCTCCTACATAAAACTTTATGTTCTTAGAGAAAGAGGTTATCTCCTGGGGAATTTGTATTCCCTCCTCATTTAAAAATAAACCACCTGTATCCACTAAAGTTCCATCTGTTCTGTCCAATTTATTGGTAAACAAGTTACATAGGGCATTGACTGGTTTAAAGATTATTTGTTAGGTCCTTTGGTCCTTCCAGTTTAATACCAAATTGCTATACTTTTTTTTTTTTTTAAAAGAGTCTTGTTCTGTCACCCAGACTGGAGTGCAGTGGCATGATCTCAGCTCACTGCAGCAACCTCTGCCTCCTGGGTTCAAGCGATTCTCCTGCCTCAGCCTCCTGAGTAGCTGGGACTACAGGCGCCTGCCACCGTGCCCAGCTAATTTTTGTAACAAACTGCTATACTTTTAAAAAAATCGATATATAATAGTTTACATATTTATGAGGTATATGGGCTATTTTGTTACCTTGACTGGGGTATCCATCACCTCGAATATTTCTCATTTCTAAGTGCTGGGAACATTTCAAGTCTTCTCTCCTAGCTACTTTAAAATACAAAAAGCATTCACTGTTACTAGCTATAGTTACCCTACTCTGCTATTAAACATTCCTTTGTTCCATATCTCACTGTATGTTTGTACCCATTCACCAACGTCTCTTCATCCCCCCTCCCACCCAGACACCTTTCCCAGCTTCTGGTAACCATCATTCTACTCTCTGCCTCCATGAGATCAACATGTTTAGCTTCCACATGAATGAGAGAACATGTGATATTTGTCATTCTGTGCCTGGCTTATTTCACTTAACACAATAATCTCCAGTACCTTCCATGTTTCTGCAGAGGAAATGATTTCATTCTTTTTTGTGGCCAATAGTATTCATTGTGCATAGGTAACACATTTTCTTTATCCATTCATCTGTTGACGGACACGTAAGTTGATTCTGTTCTTTGCCACTGTGAATAGTGCTGCATTGAACTGATTTCTTTTCCTTTGAATAAATACCCATTAGTGGGATTGACAGATCATATGGCAGTTCTTTTAGTTTTTTGAGAAATACTGTGTTTCCATAGAGGCTGTATTAATTTACAATCCCACTGACAGTATAAAAGAATTTCTTCTGCATCCTTACCAGCATCTGTTATTTTCGTAATAACCACTCTGTCATAGGTGATACCTTACTGTGGTTTTCATTTGCATCTTTCTGATGATTAGTGATATTACACATTTTTCATATACTTATTGGGCATTTGTGTCTTCTTCTGAGAAATGTCTATTCACATCGCTTGACCACTTTTAATGGGGTTATTTTTGTTTTACTTTTAAGTTCCTTGTATACTCTCAACATTAGTCCCTTGTTGGATTAATAGTTTGTAAATATTTTCTTCCATACAACAGGTTATCTCTTCACTCTGCTGTTTCCTTTGCTGAGCTTTTTAGTTTAATATAGTCCAATTTGGCTATTTTTGTCTTTGCTGTTTGTGCTTTTGAGGTCTTAGCCATAAAATCTTTGCCTAGACCCAATGTCCTGAAGTGGTTTACCTGTTTTCTTCTAGTAGTTTTATAGCTTCAGGTCTTACATTTGTGTCTGAACTGTTCTTTATGTACATCACTCTAAACAGTTTTTACTACTAGTACCTTGTAAAGCATAAAGCAAATGCCTTATTCAAAATCATATGAGGCCGGGTGCAGTAGCTCACACTGTAATCATGGCACTTTGGGAAGCCGAGGCGGGCAGGTTGCTTGATCCCAGGAGTTCAAGACAAGCCTGGGCAATATGGTGAAACCCTGTTTCTACAAAAGATAAAAAAAATTAGCTGGGTGTGGCGGCAAGCGGCTGTAGTCCTAGCTCTTTGGTGGTGGTGGCTGAGGTGGGAGGATCACTTGAGCCTGTGAGGTTGAGGCTGTAGTGAGCCATGATGGCGCCATTGCATTCCAGCCTAGGTGACAGAGTGAGACCCTGTCTCAAAAAAGTAAGAAAGAAGAAGAAAGTCATATGATATATTTCTTTCTTTTACATTTTAAATGTATATGCCTTTCATTTAGACCCTAAAGTGTAAGACAGTTTCTATTCCATTTGAAATCCTTAGTCAGTTTCTCCTAGTTTTAAAAAAATTTAATTGTAACAGCCATTCAACCTTAGCTGTAGATTTATCTTTTATACTTAGAATTTCCCTTCCCTCCCTCTCCCTGCAAGTTTATTTGGTTTTCTCTGGACTGCTATAGTATTTTACTGAATCTGTCTGGGAACTTAAATTCCTAACAACATCCAGAAGCTTCAGTAACTCTGGACAAAAAGAGCTTCATCCATTAAAAAGCTGATTTGGGGGTCAGAAGAAACTCTCCTCTTGTATCATCTTTTGCTCCCTCACATGAATAGAATTTTGGTTAGATAGAGCTATTTGCCTTTCCTTTTCCTCTTTTTTTTTTTTTTTTTTTTTTTTGCCCAGCACAGTTTTGTTTAGCATCCTTTCTAGTTCTACTTCAAATGTAATATTTTACGCTTTTACTTGAGACCACAGAACTACTGTATTAGTATCCCCCCTTATCCAGTAGTCAGACTTTACCTTTCTCTACCTTAGAGAATTTGGAAGTAAGGAAAACATTGAACACCAAGAAAACTAGGTGTTACAAGCTTTATTCTGTAACAAAAATATTTCTTTTTGAGAGTTAAGTGTTTCACAAAGGTAAACTCTCCATCTAACTGATGCCTCGATTATTCATTACTGACAGAAGTCAGTCAACTTGAAGGGTCATGTCATCACAAGTGTGCTGGTAAAGTTTAACAACTAGCCTGAAGTAGGGAGCAGCAGGCAGAGATCTGATCTGTGGTGTTTTCAAATTTCCCTGGGGAAAGTACTCCTATGTGGTACTGTGTCATGTTCCAAAGAACATCACTGAACACAGAGCTGGGAAGAGGTGCACACTATCAAACTGTAATACTTCCACCATGCAGATACAATAGACATAACCACAAAAACACGGAACACAGTAAAAGGTATAGCATACCTCAGAGATACTGTGGGTTTAGTTCGCGTGAATTTTTCCATTTCCTAGTGCATATGAAAGTTATGTTTACACTATTTAAATGTGCAATAGCATTATGTCTAAAACAAGTGTACACAGTTTTTTTTGAGACAGAGTCTTGCTCTGTCACCAGGTAGGAGTGCAGCAGCAAGACCATGGCTCACAGCAGCCTCAACCTCCCAGGTTTCAGCAATCCTCCCACCTCAGCCTCCCAAATAGCTGAGACTACAGCTATTTTAGAAAATTTTAGAAAAATATGTATATATTTTTTGAGACAGAGTCTCACTCTGCCACCCAGGCTTGAGTGCAGTGGCGCAATCTCGGCTCACTGCAAGCTCCGCCTCCCGGGTTCACACCATTCTTCTGCCTCAGCCTCTCCCGAGTAGCTGGGACTACAGGTGCCTGCCACCACGCCTGGCTAATTTTTTTGTATTTTTAGTAGAGATGGGTTTTCACCATGTTAGCCAGGATGGTCTCGATCTCCTGACCTCGTGATCCGCCCGCCTTGGCCTCCCAAAGTGCTGGGATTACAGGCGTGAGCCACTGCGCCCAGCCGAAAAATTTTTTGTAGAGACAGGATCACTGTGTTGCCTAAGCTTGTCTCAAACTCCTGGGCCCAAGCGATCCTCCCACCTCAGCCTCCCAAAATGCTGGGATTACAGGCATGAGCCATTGCACCTGGCCTGTGTACATACTTTAATTAAAAAATACTTTATTGCTAAAACATACTAACAAAGTAGGCACATGCTGTTGGAAAAATGGCACCACAAACTTGCACAATATGGGCTGCCACAAACTTACAACTTGTAAAATATACCATATCCATGAAGTTCAATAAAATTAGGTATGTCTATAGTAAAATAACTAGGAAGTGAGTTTTGAGTATTTATTATTGAGCTTTATTTAACAGATTTTAATATAATTGTCAGTTTCTATAATTTTTAATAATGGCTGTGTTTAACAATCAGCCTGCAAAATTCCTACAATTTTTAAATTGACCCTTGTAAGCTGTTACAAGCCAGTTCTATCACACTACTGCCTATACTCTTAATTGTGGAAGTGACTTAGGGACTAGTCAATATGAGTTGAGGTGGTTCTGCTAGCTAATAATTTAAAAAATAGACATAGTGTGACTGCTCTTTTAGAATCTGTCTAGCAGGTTTCACCCAAAAACCCACAAAAAAAATTGACCTAGTACTCAGATTTATATAGTGAAATCTTAAATTTTGCTATCTCGCAAAGTAAAGTTTGTCATGCTTTTTCATATTCCTCCAGGTATATGTTACCTTGTTATGACTTTATTAGTTAAAAAACATTTAAGGCCACTCCCATATGTGTCACCTATAAATAAATACTGACAAAAGGAATACAATGAACAATGGGGAAAAATACAGACAGGCATTTCAGCAAAGAAGATATGTGGATGACAAAGAAGCACATGAAAAAATGCCAATATCATTGGTCACTAGGAAAATGCAAATTAAAATGACAATGAAATACCACTACACACCTATTACAATGGCTAAAATTGAAAAGACTAATCCTAACCAGTCAGGAGAAATTGGAACACTCATACATAGCTTGTGGGACCATAAAGTGGTAAAAAACACTTGGGAAAGTTTGGCAGTTTCTTAAAAAGTTAAACACATATCTACCATATAATCTAGCTATTCCACTCCTAAGCTACTTACTCAAGAGAAATGAAAACATATGTCCATATAAACACTGTAAAGAATGTTCATAGTAGCCCTATTTGTAATAAGACAAAAATTGGAAGAGGCTAGGCGGAGTGCCTCACTCTTATAATCCCAGCACTTTGGGAGGCTGAGCTGAGTGGATCACCTGAGGTCAGGAGTTCGAGACCAGCCTGGCCAACATGGTGAAACCCCGTCTCTACTAAAAAATAAAAAAATTAGCCGGCGTGGTGGCGAGTGCCTATAGTCCCAGCTACTCAGGAGGCTGAGACAGGAGAATCATTTGAACCCAGGAGGCAGAGGTTACAGTAAGCCAAGATTGCGCCACTGCACTCCAGCCTGGGTGACAGAGTGAGACTCAGTCACAAAAAAAAAAAAAAAAAAAAAAATGGAAACAAACCAAATGTCCACTGACTGGTGAATGGATAAATTGTGGCAAATACATACAATGGAATATTATTTAGCAATAAAAGATAATGAACTACTGAGAGACAACAATATAGGTAAGTCTCAAAATAATTATGCTAAGTGAAAAAAGGCAGACAAGAAGTTGTATTGTGATTCAACTTCAATACAGCTCTAGAAAATGCAAACTAATTTACCGTGACAGAAAATAGATCAGAGGTGTCCTGTGGGTTAAGAAGACAGAGGGGTGGGGGAAGAACAAGAGAAAGGATTTATAAAAGAGCATAAGGAAACTTGTGGTGAAGTTCATTATCTTGATTTTGGTGAGCTTCATGGGTATATATATATGTTAGCTTATCAAACTGTTTATTTAGGTATGTATAATTTATTGTATGTCAATTATATTTCAATAAAGCTGTTAAAAACATAACAATGTAGCTGTGGTCTAACTGGTAGAGATGAGGAAGAGGTAACTGCTTTATGCTAGACAACATAGTTCCTTTCTTTCAGGGTTAAACTGAAATAGTTTCTTTGGGCAGCCAAAAAGCACATATCTCTGGCTTACAGAGATGTCAGGCAACTGAAATTCTCATGTTTTTATTACATGTCTGCTGGTAAGCCACTCCTCTGAGTGCCTGTCTTTATATGTTTATCTCTAATATACTTCATATTATAGTCATCCTCCAGTATCCATGAGGGATTGTTTCCAGAACCACTCTCAGATACCAAAATCCAAGGATGCTTAAATCCATGATATAAAATGCCATAATATTTGCATATAACTTATACACATCCTCCTTAGATTGCTTATAATACTTAGTACAATGTAAACACTGTAAATATACTGTATTGTCTAGGGAACAGTAACAAGAAAAAAGTATGTATGTTCAGAAAATATGCAATTAAAAATGTGTATTTTGGATCCGTGGTTGGTTGAATCCATGGATGTGGAACTCACAGATCTGGAGGGCTGATTGTATTTGCTTCACATGTTACTATTACTCATAATGAGGCTTCTTCATTATAATTTAAAATATTTTATATTCATTAGACTGGTGGTTCTGTAGACTGTGATAAGTGAACACTAAGGATACCCACAGAGCCATCAGGGTATCCTGAGAGAGTGGGGATTGGAGATGGATGGAAAAGGGGAAAGAATCTGTGTGGGCAAGTTCAAAAATTAGCTGGGCCTAGTGGCATATGCCTGTAGTCCCAGCTACTCAGGAGGCTGAGGTGGGAGGACTCCTTGAGCCCTGGAGGCAGAGGCTTCAGTGAGCCAAGATGGTGCCACTGCACTCCAACTTGGGTAACAGAGAGACCCTGTCTCAAAACAAACAAAAGACAAAAAAAAAAAAAGTTGAATCTTTTTTTTTTTTCCAGACAGGGTCTCACTCTGTCATCCAGGCTGGAGGGCAGTGGCCTGATCACAGCTCACTGCAGCCTTGACCTCCTGGGCCCAAGTAATCCTCCCACCTCAGCCTCCCTAGTATGTGGGACTACTGGTGCATACCACCACGCCATGCTGATTTTTTATTTTCTGTACAGACAGGGTTTTGCCATGTTGCCCAAGATGGTCTCTAACTCCTGGGTTTAAGCAATCCACCCTGCCTTGACCTCCCAAAGTGCTGGGATTACAGCTATGTACCACCACACCCGGCCCTCAATCTTGTGACTTTTTCTATTGGGTCTAATTTGTTAGGCAGGGATTGGGGGCTGAAGTGGTGGTAGGAGGGAAACCAGGATCAAATGAGAGTTTTTTAATCCTTTACCCATGGTTTCCCTGCTAGCTGCCTGCTTATAATCATATATAAACACTAAAGTCATACTTGCAGAAATAAAAACCCTTATGAAAACTTAACAGAGTGTGTATCTGTTTTAGGAACAAAAGTATAAGAAAAGTTGAATCTTGTGAAACTGCTCTTCTCTGTAGAAAAGGGGGAAAAAGAAAGCTTACTGGTTTCTGTTAGGAAGCAATTGATAATGGCAGTGGAGAGGAATGTAAATTAATGGATCTGGCACTAAAAAAGAAAAGTATCCCAGCACTAACCCAAAACATACAGTGACATTCAAGAAGTCTGAATGTACAGATTTCTTAACCACCATTCTCCAACTTTTCAAAGCTTTCAACCAACCACTCAACATGATTTACCCTCAGTCAATTCTTCCTATTCGGCTTCAGTACTTGCCCTGAGCCACGGGAATTCTGGCGGGCAGAGGGGTAGGTCGGTCCTCCTGTTATCAATTTGGAATTCTATGGAGCATTTTCTCATAGGTGTAATATATACAGGGAGGGTGGGTTTTAAAGCCTTTTGTGGATTGATCTGCAGGCACAACTACTTTTCTATAAGAAATTATGTCCTGAGATCCAGAATGAGAATGAATCTTAAAATGCTTCTAACATCTTTAAAGCCCTTTTACTTCCATTTCAGAATCAGGTTTATTAATTTATCTGTTCTACCTGCCTAGCATTTCTTGACTCAAAAGTCACAAGGTCAAACTCAACAAATTCCACTTTAGGTATGTGACAAAAGGATTGTTATAATCTCTATCTACATCAAACTAAATTCTTTGAATTCTCTACATGAACTTTTTTCCATTTTGTGATTTTAGTAATCTATAATTACTGTAAGCACAGTCTCAGTCACCTTGATACCCACTTATACTAAGTACTGCCATGTGATTTTAGAACCTCTGTTTTATTTAGGTTTATGATCTTGTTGGCAACACATAATAGTATTTTGTCTGAGGCAGATGGAACAGAAATAGATAATGAATTCTTTTTCCTGGCCACTTGAAAGCCAAATGATATCAGTCAAAGAATGAACAAAAGTCTCCCAAAGGTTCTAGTAAAGTGGTAAGAGAACTGAGACATGGATCACAGCAGTTAGTACAGACATGGCCAAATTTAAAAGAAATGAAATTGTGGCAGTTAGTCCTACATTTGAGTTTCAAGAGGAGATTTGATTTGCAAAAAAAAAAAACATGTAGCACATGTTTCCAATGTTATGTAAACTTTAGTTTCGTAGTTCTTTAAGAGCTAAAAACATAGGAAGTTCATACTATTGTTTCAAGTTATTTTATTAGAATATCATATTTTGTTTTTCTATAAACATTTTTTTTTTTTTTTGAGAGACAGGGTCTCACTCTGTCACCTAGGCTAGAGTGCACTGCTGCAACATGGCTCACTGCAACCTTGACCTTCTGGGCTCAAGGGATCCTCCCACCTCAGCTTCCAGAGCAGCTGGGACCACAGGCACATGCCACTATGCCTAATTTTTTTGTAGAGACACAGTTTCATCATGTTGCACAGGCTGATCTCAAACTCTTGGACTCAAGCAATCCTCCTGCTTTGGCCTCCCAAAGTGCTGGAATTACAGGCATAAGCCACTGTGCCTGGCTTGATTTTATTGTAACATTCTAATAAAGGTAACTGGAGGGAGAATTCCCCCCGCCCCCAAATATTTTTTAGGCAAGCTTGACCCAGTAAATAAACTAAGTTTACTTCCTGTACTCTCTCTTATTAGTGCAACTATTTCAGATCTTTCTCACATTTCTTCAGGATTATTTCATTAACATCCTGTTTTTCTTGCCTCTAGTCTCCATCCCAATACATACTTTGGGCACATGCTTCAACATTGCTATCACAGTTACCTTTTTGCCATCAAATCTGATCAGGCCATTTTTGTTAAAAATTCAATTTCTCCATTCTATCCCATCCCCTTCAAAATAAAAGGCCCTCAAGATCTCCAGTCATGTCTTTCAAATCTATCTTGTCTCCTCATCTTTTCTGTCTTCTCATTCTCTCCTTGCCGCTCCCCCCGCCACCTCAACCTCGCAATACTGCAGCCAAAGTTTTTCTAGTTTTAAAAACTTATCAAGTCATCTCTGAGACTTTGCATGCTGTTTCCTCTTCCTAGGAGCCTCCCTCACAATTTTTTTCCAACTTTGCCTTGCTCCCTTTTTTTCATTTGTTTTAATACAACTCTCTTCCTCAGAGAAACTTTCCCTGACCACCGCCAGCTGAGTTCAGTACATTAATAGTGCTCTGTGCACACATTTATGTCACTGAACCCACTCTATGATGTTGTCTGATGCTTACTGGTCTCCTCAAGAGACTTTCTTATAGATGACATCTGTGTCTTTTATGTATCTTCAGTGTCTAGCACCTAATAGTAATTCGATGTTTTTTAAATAAATAGAAAACTAGGAGTGACTCTATCAACAGATCTCTACTACATTAACATTCTTTGTCCTAAACCTGAAAGACTCCCACTTGCCTATTCAGACCTAAGTATCACTGATTGACAAACCGAATGAAAGTCTCTTTATCGTGCCTCACCCTACACCAAAAGCAGTATTACAAATATATATTTTTTTAACCTGTGTTTGTAAGTAAACCAGCTTTTTGGAAGACAGAATGCACTATTGTGGTCATTTCACATAAACAGAATCAAACAGTATGTGGCCTTTTGTGTCTGGCTCTTTCACTTGACAGAATGTTTTAAGGCTTCAAGATACATTTTGTAACATGTATTAGTACTTTGTTCCTTATAATAATAATAATATTCCATTATACACATATATCACATCTTCTTTATCCATTCATCAGCTGATGGACATTTGAGTTGTTTCTACTAAAAAGTAGAATAGCCCTACTCTGAACATTTGTGTATATATATGTTTTTGTGTGGAAAAATGCTCTATTTTTATCTCAAAGATTTGTGCATGCTTCATTACATGCCAAAAGCCTTATTAAGGCCAAAATGACATCTTAGCATGAAATAAAGTACACTTTCTTAAACCATATTAATTTGACTTAATGAGATTCTGAATTGTTAAGTATAGAAATCAATTTGATTTTTGTGCAAACAATGTAAAATAACATTTGGTTGACCTGGGCTCCAAATTACTTGGTCCAGGCAGAATATGTAAATGAGCATTCTGAATATAAAATCTGGACCGTAGCATTTACAATTTAATTAAACTAATAAAATGGTATACACTGTACTAGAGCCAGTGTCTTTGGCAAGTTATAATATTCTGTAACAAAATTAAAGATACATGAAAACATAGATACAATATTAAGTACATATATATAAAATCTGTTAATTATGTTTATTCATCAATACATTCTAATTAACCCCTTACTCTCAAGTTATTATAATAACGTGGCCTCACTGAAAAATTCATGTAATAAGACCCTGGCACACCACCATTATTCAGATTGGTAGATTAATTGCCCATTTACTAGTAATTTTCTCTGAGACAGGGTCTTGCTCCATCACAGGCTTGAGTATAGTGGCACAATCACAGCTCACTGCAGCCTCAACCTCCCAGGCTGAGGCAATCCTCCCACCTCAGCCTCCCAAGTAGCTGGGACCATAGGCGTGTACCACCATGCTCAGCTAATTGTTTTATTATTTTTGTAGAGACTGGGTCACCCTATGTTATCCAGGCTGGTCTCAAACTCCTGGGCTCAAGTGATCGTTCCACCTTGGCCTCACAAAGTGCTGGGATTACAGGCGTAAGCCACCAGCCCAGCTTTAATTTTCTTGATCCTTTCTATTTTCTCATGTTTTATGTCAATTCATGCAAGATAATCTGATCTACTATATTTACAAAGTTTTTAGGACTTCAAAATAGTATTTATTAAGGAAGGGATTATTTTTAGTTAATTAAATTTTCAACATTTTTGTACCTTTATTAATTTCTAAATGTAAATTTTTCTTTCAGTATTTACAGCCATAATTTTTTTCTTGTTAGCATTATTTCCGACTGCAATATAAAAAACATGATTATTTTCCTTTCTTGTTTCAAATGAGGACATCTCTACCATTGTAATTCAAGTAAGTTAAATGAATGAAAATGTTTTAACTTTATTTGCAACTGTAAAGTGGGCTCTCTGTAACAACAGGTACATGAATAATGTTTTAAAATTTAACTTAATCTTAGCCTGCTTTATCCTAAGGCATCAAAATGCTTCTAGGCTATGTTTCTTTTGATTTTAACCATGGCAAAATATAAGCAGAAATGTAAGTCCACTTATGCAAATACAAACTTGTAAACAGAAAGCCCAATCAACCAATGAATTTACTTCACTGCCTAACAATAATGAGTTTGTGATTACACAATCACTTGCCTTTATAAGCATGGATAATCTAGAACTCCATATATATTAGTTTTGTTTTTTGTTCTTGTTTTTTTTTGAGACAGGGTCTCACTCTGTCGCAGTGATCTTGGCCCACCGCAACCTCCGCCTTCCAGGCTCAAGCGATTCTCCGGCCTCAGCCTCCCAAGCAGCTGGGATTACAGGCGCCCGCCACTACGCCCAGCTAATTTTTTGTATTTTTAGTAGAGATGGGGTTTCACTGTTTTGGCCAGGCTGGTCTCGAACTCCTGATCTCATATGATCCACCCGTCTCAGCCTCCCAAAGTGCTGGGATTACAGGCGTGGCCACTATTACTACTATACATTTGTTTCACACTATGGCCAGTTAATGTCTGACTGGTTACTTTAATAACTGACATTTATACAGCACTGTAGAGTCTCCAGTGTCCTTTCACATATATTATGACACTTTAACCACACAATCACCCTGTGAGAAAGGACAGTCATTATTACTTACTTTAGCGGTGAAGAAACGGGGTTAGAAGATAACTAACCAGGCCAATATCAAGCAAATGGGAAGCAATAACTAATCTGGGTTCCTCCCTCCATCTTCATGCCTAGTCCTGTGCTTTTAGTATATCTGGCTAGCTATGAGAGAGAACACAGATTATTCAGGGAGGAGGGAGGGGCCAGAGGTGTTACTGAGGTGAGCCTCATGAGCAGTTAGGCCATGAGGTAAGCACTTCAGTGCTTTGCTACTCACGGGGTGGTTCAGACGAGAAAAATCTGTATCACCTGGGAGCTAGTTAGAAATGTAGGCTCTCAGGCTCCACCACTGCCCTACCAAATCAAAGTCGCATTTTCAACAAAACCCCAGGTGGTTCCTATGGACACTAGTTTGAGAAGCACTGCTTCACTAGTGACACTACATGGTCACTTGAACAGTATACATTAGACTACTTATATTCATCATTGTTGACGTGTTAAGTTTTTATTAGGTAAAACTTTCTGCAACAGTTTTCAAATTAAGTGTATTTTTAAAACAAGTTTATTTTTCCAAGTAATTGAAGATCTCCACTTCGGTAACTGGGGTCATTAAGGAATGTTAAAAAACCTTAAGCTGGTCAGTGCTTACCCACTTTTAAATTCCTCATAAAAATTAAGGTCTTTCTTTTGCCTGAAGGATACACTAGAGAGCATAACTGCCGTCTCCATACTTTAAACCCTTGACTAAAACAGGCCAATCCTACTGAGGTAAATCCCACCTCCCAACTTGGATATTTCAGGAAGTATTGTATTGTTTTTCTGACTCTAAACTCTACCTAATTAACTAATTAGTCTCAACACTTTCTGGCTCAAGAACTGAAACACAGCAACAGAAGCTAAAGTTTGAGAATTTAAGCTTGTTCCCACATCTACACCTTGGCGGACGGCAGCGACTGATTACGGAGACCAGTGAAAACCCTGCCCCTAACTCTCTCTGTCCTAGCCCCATCCACTCAATTGAGCTTGACTCAGCCTGCTCCCTGCTGTTCTCAGTATTGCTCCCTTAGGGTCAGACGTGCACTAGACTTCAGCACGTGGGAGCGCTGATGAGCGGCCAACCTGGGTCTATTTAAAACTACTATTCCCATCTCGAGGGGCGCCTCCTCCCACAGCATAACCAGCCCAGGAGGGCAGGCGAGTAAATACTGCTCACCTGCTCCACCGGAAACCTCAAAATCCCGGCCCGAGCTAGACTAAAGGTATCTGGTAATTAATCCTTGGCACCTCCCACCACACGCTCCTGATTGGGCGCGTGAGACAAGGCTGTGTCTGCGCGCGCTCTTACCAGTCTGGGGAATTCCATTTCCTCTACCAACCACCGGCATAAGCATTCAGGGGCGTTGCTTTCCTGGCAGTGGCCCGCCCCAGTTCGAGCCGGTGCCTTACTGCGTCTCGCGAGAACTTATGCATTTTGGAGGCGGAACCCCGTCAGGAAAAGCGCACAAAACTGCTCTTAAGTCATTGCAGAGCTACCGCTTCGGTTAGCCAGCCACGAAGTTCTCGCGAGAGTCGTCTCCTCGATACCAAGTGAGGAAACTGGGGGACGCTGTGGGGAGGGGCGTGGGGCTGGATCGCGCAGCGGCTGCTTCCTTTACCTTCCTCCCATGGTCTCCTTCCGGTTCTCGATGCTTCTCTGAGCCTAAGGGTTTCCGCCACTCGTTCACCCTCCCCCCAGCTCATGATCCTCCTCCCTCCCCCGCCCTCCTGGTCCAATCTCCGATCTGTTTAGTAAGAAGGTGCTGTTCCGAGAAGAAGGAAAAGGGCTTGACACGTATTCACTCGGCCCCGGACGTGGGAAGCAAGCCGTCTGGCTTCGGCCTCACATCGGTCTTGTGCTCGGGACGGCGGCGTTGGCGGACTGATCCGCGGCGGTGAAGAGGCAGGAGGAGGGGGAGGGGCGGAGCGTGGCAGCTGGCAGTAGTTCCGTCAGAGCGGACATCTTGTGGCTGTGTCGTGCGCGTGAGCCCCGTAGGGCCGGGGAGGCACCAGCTGCCGCGCGGGGAGGAGGCCGAGGCCGCAGCTTGAGGGAGGCCCCGGCCCCTCTGTACGCGTGGGTGTGGACGGCTAGGGCAGGGAAGGGAGGCCGGCCCAGTGGCCGGCCGGGTAAGAGGGGCAGTGCGGGACCTGGGCGGCTTGAGCGGCCAGCCTATTGGGTGCGGTGGGTTAGGGTGGGAAGGTTGGGGAAGCCGCGGCCTCTCCTGCTGGAGGAGGAGGGGGAATGGGCGCGTCCTCGCGCCTAAGCCGGAGCCTCAGGGACAGCGCGGGCGCGTGGTGGAGGTGGCTGGGCGGGCGCGCGCGGGAGCGCGCTGGAAGGCGGAGTGAGTGTACGGTGGCGTCAGGGGTGACACAGAATAGCTCGCTGCGAGGATAGCAATACACATCAAGTCTCCCTTCCTTTATTTCCTTCCTTTTCCCGGCCGCACCTTTGGACAGAAACCGAAAGCAGCCCGGCGTCCGTCCGGAGTCTTATGCTTCCCCCTCCCCCCTTGCCTTTCTTTGCCCTAGTGACGCCGGTATAGCGCCGACTAGGCCCCGGCTCCTCCTCTGCTGGGCTCCGGACCCTGCCCCGCACCCACCCCTTTCTCCTACGCCTCTTCCTCTCCCACCCGGGTCTCTTCCTTTCTAGAGGCCGGGAAGTTAAACTTGTAGCCACCACCTCCGCTCTTCCCGTCACCCTCGCCCCCACTTCGGGCCGAAAGCACGGTACAGAGGCTGTTGGTGGCTTTGCCACGCCACCCCACCCACCCCGGATCGCGGCTGTCTTAAGGGACCTGGATTCATCAGGGGCTCTTCGGGGCCTGTGCGAGTGCTGATCTGCTCCGTTTTTGCAAAAGGCGCCTGTGTCTGGCAGAGCTGGTGTGAGACGAGACAATCCTGCCCCGCCGCCGGGATAATCAAGAGTTTTGGCCGGACCTTTGAGCATACACCGAGAGAGTGAGGAGCCAGACGACAAGCACACACTATGGCGCTGAAACGGATTAATAAGGTAACCCGCGGGGACAAGGGCATGGGGTGGTAGGAGAAAAGGAAGGCTCGGGCCAAGAGGAAAGCGTGGGGGTGGGAAGGAAGCATAATTCTGAAAATACCTCTTGGATCACTTCTTCCATGGGGGGATGGAGAACGCAGATATACTTCTTGAAGAAATGAAGTTTAAAGCTAGGAAACGGAGAACACTTGTGGCAAGTGAGGTGTTATCCTGAGTGCTTCAGTGGAATCGGTGCAAATTAGGGGTGGAGGAGAGTGACTTAAGGCGCCTTTATTATTTTATTTTTTTGCTGCTTAAGAAGGAGTTTTTTTGGGGGTCCGAATTGCGGAGAGACGCTCCAGCAGATGTCATGGCGCTTCCTATTCTTGGTGCTTGAAAACTTAGTTTAGTTGTGAGATCAAGGTTATCTAGGCCTTCTAGGGGTAAGAAAGAAAACTCGGAGGAGAGAAAAAAAATCTGGCGAGTCCCGAACTTGACTGAGGGTCGGGTAGAAGAAGTCTTGCGTATTGAAGGTCAGTCAGTGAGTCTAGTAGAAACTCTTAGTCGACTCTGGGCAGGTTACACCGAATAAGTGGGTTTGGGAGGAGATGGAATGACACAGTGTTGCCACTTCCTGTATTTTGTAGTTGCAGCTTTTCACCCGAAGCTATTTATCCGAGGGACACCGGGAACTGATGTAAAAGGCATTCTGGAAGCTCCCTTTTCCTTTTGGCTGGAGAGTGGGGGTGGATAAGGGGTGCGATGGCAGTAAGGGAAAGCTAATGTACCTATTTTTGCCTCATTCTATTTAATAACACCCTTGTTTCGTTACTTGAAATGTGGTTTGATAGTATATTATCGATTTAAGTTGAAAAAAAACTAGGATTTTTCGGAGCTCTGGGAGTGAGCGGAACCTCCACCTCCGGTGGTTTAGTCTCATTTTCTTGCTCTAACTTCTATCCCGCATTTTAAGATGGCGGCTGCTTTAACTGGTTCAGGCTCTTTCCGGCATCTCCTTTCGTAATAATGTGAATTAATATGATTTGTTAAATGTTAACTTTTATATCGCGTTGTGCACTGCTCTAAGATCCTCTGCTCAAAACTTACCTAAATTCAAACTCTTAAACTGTATTTCCCTTTTTTGTGACTTGTATTTGTGTGATGTGTTTGGTTGTTGCACAATCGAAGAGGGTGGAGTGTTTACAGCTAACTTGAAAAAAATGTCATGGAATAAATTCAGCCTTACTAGAAAAATTGTGGAGTGTCGGTGAGTGTTAGAAACTTTGGTTTTAATAGATTACTTTTTTAAAAAGAGTTCTGAGAGGAATGGCAAGAATTTGCCTTTACTAAAATAGACCTGATACTACATTTGCCTGTATTTAATTATGACTGGAGTTTATTTGGCAAGATTGGTGTTTCATGAAAGAGGAAGGTTTAAATCTTCACTCTTAGTATGTATTGATATGAAATCGTGAATTTTGTTTTGGGCCTTCATAACATCGTCATTTTGGGTTATGCGAAATACAAATTTAAATCTTTGTGAAATGAAAGAAAAGAGGAAGAAACGCTTTTTAGGAGTTAAGGATTAAAGTAAAAATTATTTTGAAATAATTACCTCTTTTTGTGACCACTTTAAAGGCCAGGAACATATTGGAGAAGCCTAGTTGTATGTTACAGTGTGGTTTACACAAAGAGCATAACATTCAGTACAAATAAAAATCTTTTCTGTTGGAATTAGTTCAGGCCACTAAAATGTGGAATAGTACCAGATCCATAGCTTTTTGTGCATGTGGAACAGAACACGTTAAAGGAAGGCCTCTGATTTTTTTTCTCTTACAGGTCATACCCAGCTGCTGTGACACCACTTAAATGATTTAAAAGCTTTAGAGAGACAATATAACAGTGGTTAAGAGTGTAAACATTGGAGCAGAAATGCTCCAGTTAGAATTCTAGCTCTGGGCAAGTTTATGTGCCTCTATAAGAAGGGTATCTGTTGTAATATGAACAATAAATGACTGTGTGCCTAATATGTACCAGGCACTGTTTTAGACATTGGGGTGGCAGCAGTGAACAAAACAAATTTTAAGTTCCTAGATTTGTTTTGACGATTAAATGGATTAATGTGCAAATTTGAACAGGCTCTTGGCACATGACACTCCTAGTTATTACTGCTATTTTAATATCACAATTTATAATTTTTAAAAATCGTTTTTGTTTAAGAACTTTGATTTCTAGTTTAGTACTCTTAGTTAACCAGGTTGTCTCCTTTTGTAAATATTTTGAAGATTTATGTAATATAGACACAACATAAAAACTTGGCATATTGGAAAAACCAGTGTTTATGTGAACATTATTGATTCAACTTACAGAAACTTTGACGTGTGCATGTGGTTTGGTTTTTCAGCTGTTAATGTTAAAATCACATGAGGCAACTTTCAAACATTCCACATCCAACAATTTTAGTGAGTGGACAGCTCTGAACTGGAATGCTCTTCGGTTTAGGCACCTCTTCTAGAAATATGGGGTCAAGTAGCCATTGATGTCAGTATGGTATGCTTGTGTTACGTACCTATTTCGAATTTATTCTTGTCTGAAGGTCCCACATTTCAAGTATTATGATATATCTGTATTCCTCGTTAATATTTTACTGAAATGATTATTGGAATAGTTTTAACCTTTAGTCCATTTGATCGAGCTTTTGAATTTATACTTTGCTTCAGCTGTGTTCTTGGAGTAAGTTTTTTGACTGTTAGACCAATCAACTTTTTTCCTGTATTCTTTATTTGAACGAGCTGTAATATGGTCTTAAATAGGGCTATTAAACAACAGGAGTTAAAAGTGGCACTCCAAGTTGATTGGTATTGAGAGCTGTAGACAATTTTACCACTCCCATTAAACAGGGACTACAATATATGTGTTTTAGGGACGTTTGAAGATAAATATGTGAACCAAGCCTAAAAGAATAGCTCATGTTTTCATTGTATACACCCTGTTAAGTTTTCGTAAGGGTTTTTATTTCTGGAAGTATGACTTTAGTGTTTATATATGATTATAAGCAAGCGGCTAGCAGGGAAACCATGGGTAAAGGGTTAAAAAACTCT
The DNA here is from genome assembly GCF_000001405.40 of Homo sapiens. Lineage (NCBI taxonomy): Eukaryota > Metazoa > Chordata > Mammalia > Primates > Hominidae > Homo > Homo sapiens. The sequence continues at coordinate 102,823,404 of NC_000004.12, read as the reverse complement.
CATTTGATCTTCGTTTCCCTCCTACCACCACTTCCACTGAGATAATTTCAAGATTATCTCCATCTCGAAATTGAAAAACTTAGGCATAGAGGTTAAGAAGATGACCCAGGTTCATGTTGTGACAGTTGGGATTAGAACCTAGGCAGCCTGGTCCAGAGTATGTGCTCTTAACAACTACAGTTTGATATCATCCTTTAGTTTTTTTTTGTCATTCAGAACGGTTTACTTTTGCATATAGTATTATCTATTACAGTAGTTAAGACAATGCAGTCTCATCTAAACCCTAACTCATTTAATCCTCAAGACAACCATGTGGGATAGATGTGAGAATTTTATAGATGAAGTAACAGGCTCAGAGAAATAGTCGTCTAGTCACACAACTAGTAAGTGACTGGGATTCAAATCAGATAGGCACCAAAAGCTCAAGCTCTTTTTTGAACCATTTCAATTCCTTTTTTTGTTGTTGTTGGAGACGGAGTCTCACTGTGTTACCCAGGCTGGAGTGCAGTGGCGCGATCTCAGCTCACTGCAAGCTCTGCCTTCTGGGTTCACGCCATTCTCCTGCCTCAGCCTCCTGAGTAGCTGGGACTACAGGCGCCCACCACCACCCCCGGCTAATTTTTTTGTTTTTTTAGTAGAGGCAGGGTTTCACCGTGTTAACCAGGATGGTCTTGATCTCCTGACCTCGTGATCCACCCGCCTCAGCCTCCCAAAGTGCTGGGATTACAGGCGTGAGCCACCACGTGGCCTGGCCCTTCAATTCCTGTTTTATAATGTATGTGATTTTAGTTTGTTACCTGAAATAAGCTGCTTTGCTCTCCCACTTATACATCTAAGTAATTGGGAGTTAGCTTTACTCTTAGGTTATAGCTAATTTGTGAGTTAAGATTTTGGCTAATAATATTTTGAAAGTAGAAGTGGATTTAATTCTTTTGGGGTAGTCTCTTCAAGCACTGAAAACTAACATGTGCCAGTTAACTGCTTAGGATGTCTTAGAGTGAACAAAATATATTTATTGTCCCCAACTAGTATATAGGCTGGGTAAACTGTCTTGCATGTGTTTCATATATGGTCCTCAAAGCTTGTTGATAGCCAGCTCACTTTCTGTGTAGGATAGTTGTGACTGAAGGATGCTGATAATAATAGGACCTCAGTATTTGTTTAATTTGAAAAAGGATGCATTACTGACACTGCATACTTTTCTTTCATCATGCTCATCTGCAGTGTTGATTCTAGTTTTTGTTATTTATACAAATAAAAAGTTGAATGCTCCATCACTGGGATGAACTACTGTGTCACTAGATTGCTCTGTCAAACTTTGCCCCTGAGTTTAGGTGACCCTTTTTATCCAAGACAGGCAATCTTTGAGGATTCTCCACAGCATGTTGCTATAATCTATCTATTAAAAAAGAAACTAGGTTCGTAACACTGAGATAAAAAAATGTTTCAGATTAAAATCTCAAACCTAGGTTGGTTTTTGCATTCTTTTTTTAAATAGCAGTTTTCTTGTATCTGTTAGCGTATAGAAGAGCTTACTGAATATTATATATTGTTGGGTGTGACATGAATTACATTTATATTCCAGAACATTTGGAGTTTTTAAAAAAATTTTGTGGGTACATAGTTGGTGTATATATTTATGGGTTGCATGAAATATTTTGATACAGGTATGCAATGCATAATCACATCAGGGTAAATGGGGTATATACCTCGAGCATTTATCCTTTGTGTTACAATCCAGTTATACTTGTTTACTTATTTTTAAATGTCAGATTGTTTAGAATTTAAAAAAAAAAATACAGCTGCATGGGGGTCTTAGACTTACTAAATCATTTTCCCTGGAAACACATAATTTTGAAAATTTTCTAGGTGATTCTGAAGCTCCTCTCTGATTAAGAACCACAGATACAAGGGAGTAAAGGTCCTAATCTGCATTAGACGTAGTATTCTAGTCCCAGGGAATAAATGAGGAAGATGGTCCTTATCTATGGTAATCTCTGCGTTCAGTGGTGAAAATAAGCATGTAAACACATGAATAGTTGTTTGTCACTTTGTAATTTACCTTTCAAGAATATTAGATCTAGTAGGGGAGGTATTTAAAATAAATTTTCTATACTGTATTTTTTGTACTAGTATTATTACAATGTGATTTGTCTTTTATTATAATGACTTAATTCCCCTTGCCAAAACCAGTATTTTGAAATTAATGAAATAAAACTCTCCATTCTTGGAAATGTTGTGGTCTTGAGCTTGCTACCATAGCAGTGTTATTTCATAATTAAAAATGAATGCATTCACCAAATATCTTACTGCCCAGTTTCTCTTATTAGATAAGATTTATTCAGAATTGTATCCTCAACCTTGTTATGTAGGGAAGGGAAAAGTTTAGGGAAGTATTTTTATACTTTGTTGAAACATCTGATTTTTATCTCCTAATGATACTTTCAACATAATCTATTGTAAAAGAGACCTTCAACTTTTCATAGCTGAATTTGTCGTATTTAAATGTTTGTCAATTGTGAATCATGATTTCTTGTACCTTTTTCAGTATGAAATACTTACATTAATCCTAACCTTGCTGTAATTTCATGGCTAATGTGTAATTGAATGTTTTCTACTACTGGGCAGCTGTTTGGCTGTTAATCTTTGTTTTTTTTGTTTGTTTGTTTGTTTTGTTTGTTTTAATGTCCATAAAACACCCTTCTTGCTTTCATGGAGCAGAGCTTCAAATCTAAATTTGGGTTTCTTTGCCCATTTTTAAATAATGCTTACAAAAGAATGGCTTTGAATAATGTTAAGTGACTTTACCTTCAGTGGTGATCGAAAGAAAATTAGTAATATTCAATCCATTCTTAGTACCTTGTGTAATGAACACGCATGCTTGTTTCACCTATAATTACGACTAAACAGGAAGTTAATACCTTGTCAGTGATGCAGTGAGATACTGTGCAGTGCCTACTGTTAAACCTTAAGATAAAAAAGGATTTCTCAGAAGAAATTTCAAATTAAAATGTGTTTTAAAGGGACTATTTGGAGTTTTGTGAAATTGTTCATATCTTTTTGCCAAGCATCCTTCTCTTGAAATAACCATGTTTCTGAAGTTTGTTGTTCCCTGCCTTGATATTCGCATCTACATATTTTATACAGACATTTCATAACATTAAAGTTAATAAAACTTTATAGTAAACCAGATCTTTATATGAACAGTTACAGTAGTTACTGTCTGCCTGATGGACAGCTAATTGCACTGCACTTCGACCTCTATTGTTGGTTCGCACCTTTGTATTTTTCTAGGTTGGTTGTAAAGTCTTCTTGAGGATGATTCTTAAAATTTCTTAAGGCACTTACTCCCTTTGTTTCCCACCTCATTTTATCATCTCTTCCAGTCCCCAAAGCAGTGTTTTGTGTTGCTCAGTATAGGTTTTTGAGGCAAGGGCTGTTTTTATAATGCTGATTCACAGTCATACAAATCTTGTCTTTTGAGTCATGTAAATCTTGTCTTTAGTTCTGAAAGAAATAGACTCTCAAATAGAATACAAGAAATTAACCTTTAGTAATGGCATAAGCTTTTAGTTTTCCGGAAAGTGCTGAGAGGAAATGTATCTATACTACTGCGTTCTGTCCTCTGTATGACCTTTGTGTGATGACGTGCAAAATAGATGGTAGAGATTGGGATAACAAATGATTTGTGGAACATCGTGGTGATAATTTTACTGTCTTAAAGGTAGAATCCATGAACTTGGCCTTGCCACTATATAGGCTTTTGAATTTTGACAAGCCTTGGGGGGATGAAACCTAGAATAAGTTATTTATGGCGTTACGCTTTAATAGGGTTGACACTTAAAACCTTGTTTTCATAAATGCTACCTTTTGGTTATGTTGATCTGATGAACAGATACTGGCTGTCATTGAAAGAAAGTTAACCGAATGTTCAGATACTTATTGGGCTCCTGGAACATGGCTGCTCTGTAGCTTCATGAATATTCATAATATTCATAAATATTTGTGAATAAATATTTTTAGTATTTCCAATTTATAAGCTCTTTGAAAGGAGGGAATTTTTTTTTTTTTTTTTGAGGCGGAGTCTTGGTCAGCTGCCCAGGCTAGAGTGCAGTGGCGCAACTGCGGCTTACTGCAACCACCGTCTCCTGGGTTCAAGCAATTCTCCTGTCTCAGCCTCTCGAGTAGCTGGGATTACAGGCACCCGCCATCATGCCCGGCTAATTTTTATATTTTAGTAGAGATGGGATTTCACGATGTTGGCCAGGCTGGTCTTGAATTCCTGACCTCAGGTGATCCGCCTGCCTTGGCTTCCCAAAGTGCTAGGATTACAAGCGTGAGCCACCACGCCCAGCAAGGGAGGGGACATTCTTATGTTTCTCCTAGCATCCTTTCAGGTCTTTAATGTTTTCAATACCTTGGCCTACTGTTCTTTGTAGCCTGTGGTTGGTCACCACTGCTAGTACCACTTATCATTGAATGAGGAAGATAGAGAATAGAGAAGCAGAAAGCATAGTTTAACATCTCCAACAATCAACTGTTAAATCCCATATCCCATAGTGACTACAGTAAAGGTCTTCCTCAAGATAAACCATTTGCAGGCTTTGTATTAAAAATCTCATGTAAGGAATGTTTCAGAATAAAAAAAAAAATAGTGACCAAACCCATTACTGCTTAAATCATGTACTTCCAGATGAGAACACTCACCAGTGGCTTAAGCTGTACCTGTTGGTTGCCTTTTAGAGAGATTTTTTTGGTGAAAAAAATCCTGCCCTATTTTCTACCATGGTGCCCACCAGGTCTTCAGGAAATAGGCAAACAACTCAGTTGTGTAAAGTCTGTTGCTGTCTCAAATTTCTTTGTAGTGTTTTAACTAATGAGGCGAACTAGACCATGTGAGAGCTTTGAGAGGGTCTCATTTACCTAGCTTAGAAAGAAGGCAGAGGGGTCTCCTTGACTTCTTTTCCTATAGGTTTTTTAAGGCTTTTAAATACAAGTATTTTTTCCAGTGAGAAGGTCTGGATTCTCACACTAGCCAAGTGTGCAGAAAGTTTGAGGAGAAGCAGCTCAGAGGAAGATGACACTAAAAGGAGAAAGTTTCCTAAAAGAGCACTCTGTGGAAAAGAAATGTCCAACCTTTTGTTCTTTTTATAGCTAGTACAGTTTCTTAGTGTTGTACCCTGATTGTATGTGCTTGATCTTAGTGTCCCTTCAACGTGAGTGGAACCTTGAGCAATTCCTAAAGTAAGTCAGTGTCCCCAACCAAACATTTTCCTGTTTCAGTGGCCTTAATAGTTGAGTAATGCTGTTCCCCTTAGGTGAGGGGTAGTCAGCACAGTATAAAAAAATTTTACAGGTGCCGTGTGAGAGCTGTTCCTTCTGGTTCTTGGCACTGTTCCTCTTCCTCTAGACTGCTAGGAAGGAATAAGCTGAAAATTTCAATTGTGTAATTTTTTAGTGTTTTTGTCCCTGAAGCCTGTGAAACTTTAGGCTCTAAAAACATTTTGTTAGGTGACTATCGTAGACAAAATTACTTTTAAAAATGCTGAGTATGGGTGTCGTTGGAAATTGATTTCCAGTCCAGTAAATAGTCTTGCTGTGGGATAGAATCATTTTCTCAGGCCATGTAACTTGAAAAATAGTACTGGATTCACACTACGTACGAATAATGAGATACAGACTAACGGTGGATGGTTATGCGGAAATAAATACTAAGGAAAACATTAGTTTTCCATATCGTGTTCATTCTGGAGCATTGAGTAATAGTTTGGTGCAGTTGAGAATTTTTTTCCCTCAGTTTGCCAAACATTAAATTATCTTTGCAAGGACACCCTGTTGAGAAAGGAACCTTTTTGAAACTTACCCCTAGTCCAAATTTTTAAGTTGTTAGTAGGTACACTTAGTTCACCTATCCTAAAGCTGAACATGTTCTATGCTTGAATGTAATCATTTCTTTCCCCTCTCTTAAGGGACTCAACTGTAAAACAGAGAAGATGAGCTCTATTTCCGTAAAGTGGTTATAAGAGTACAGTTAAACACTTGTGGTGTACGACTGCTAGTATATTTAAAAATCAAAACTCATTTGTCTTCTATTTCGAAACCATCAGTGATTTCCCATTGCCTTTGGAATAGTCTGACTAAATTCAAGGGCTCTTTTAAAAGATCAAGTCATAACCTGCCTTTTTAGCTAAATCTGCCACTCTCCTGGTGTACTCTGTCTGGTATACCAAACTCTGCAGTATTTGTTCTGGCAAATTTTTATGCCCTGTGTTCTTTGACACTCCTGACTTTGAGTTTCTCTACCTAGAATGCTTCTCTCACTCCTTGTTCTTGGTAAATGCCTGCTTATTTTTCCATCAAGAGCCAGCTCAAATGGCACTCCTCTAAACCCAGGAAAAGTTAGTGGTTGGTTTTTCAGGATTCTCAGAGCATTTGAGTCCCTTTATTTTAAGCATGTAGGTTGTTAAAGTATAATTTTTGTTTTGTCTTGCACCTGCTTTCTGTTAGCTGAGTCTGAGGAGGCATTTCTATCTTAATTATCTTGGTGTTTTTATACCTAACATGCATGGCACCAAAAAGGCAATGTTCCTATGAATGAATGAATGTTTTGATGGTGAAATTAACATTACATTTTCATTTTAGAAATGGATTTAAATTAACCTCCAGTGTGAAAGTTAACCTTGTTACTCCTAATTCAATTTTAAGACTTAGCTTCATTTAGATTTCTTACATGTTTTTCAGCAAAACTCAAAAACTAAATTGTGTTTGAAGTGGCATAAAATCTACATAATTGGTATTCAGATTTGGTCTCTCACTACTGCTGTATATATTTTTTAACTCCTTAATATAATCCAGATTAAATAAGGGATTTATTAGAAGGAAACTGGGATAGTTAACAATGAATGGAATAGGTGTAGGAACCAGAGCAAGCTACAACCTCAGGAACCAAAATTGCACATCTGTATGGAAAGTCAGCTCTTTGTTATTGCTGCTGTTGAATATGGTCTCTTTAGCTTTTGACTTTACCATGTAAGTCCATGACACGTGCCTGTCAACAGCTATGGGTCACATTCTTATAGCTCTTGATTATAGAAGGAAGAATGTCCCTTTGATTTGGAAACTCTTAGGTTGGGATGGACAATGGACTAATAGTTGGGTCCCAGCTGAGGGAACAAAATTCTGTGGTTAGTCATGTCCAAATAATTGGTTAATGATGGCTGACCCAGGACTACAGTCACATGATTTGGAGTAAGGGAAAAGGAATTCATGAGTAAGATGGTTTATTGAGTAGACAAAATGTCTGCTAGCTACAAAGAGCATCTGCTATGACTTACTCTTTTCTCACTTTTTTTTCCTACGATACTGTCTTGCTCATTCTGTGGGCATATAATGTTACAAAAATTATTTGGTAGCTCAAAGGTAAGTGCTTGTGCATGGTTTTGTTACTATTGGGTACTAAGTGGTACTTTAAATAGTAATATTAGATACTATTTAAATGGCAAGAAAGAAAGTGGTGAAATAAGAACAGCATTTTTATCTTTAAAAAAGACCTTTGTTTTGATTGTTAAAATACTTAGGTCATTTTTCTATATTGAATTTAAAGTAGGTAAGTGTATTGGGCTGATTTTATCTCTTTGATTATTACTAAAGAGATGTCTTGGTGATGGAGAACTTCGAAAGTAAGGCATTTAGAAATGTTAGGAGAGTAACAAGAACCTGAAATTACAGGAGTGAAGAGCTGAAACCCAGTGTTAACTAGCTGAAATTATACCTTCACTCTAAAAGGATGATAATGCTAGCATTTAAAGGCTTAGTGATGGATAAATATCAGTGTGCCGAAAACTCATTTATTCTATAAGAAATACTTTCTTACTTTCTTTGTAATTGAAATGTGTAATGTTGAAGTAGTATGGTGTTTATATTCTAGGTCAACTTCATAGTTTTCTGACCTTTAGTTTTATTTATAATGAAGTATTCCAACATTATTGGGTATTGTGTTTAGAACAACCATGATTACATTGATTTTTATTTTAAAATTAAAATATTTTATCTTAATATTTATTCTGGCCAGGCACGGTGGCTCACGCCTGTAATCCCAGCACTTTGGGAGGCCAAGGTGATCACCTGAGGTCAGGAGTTTGAGACCAGTGTGGCCAACATGGTGAAACCCCGTCTCTACTAAAAATACAAAAAATTAGCCGGGTGTGGTGGCGCACATCTCTAGTTCCAGTTACTCGGAAGGCTGAGGCAGGAGAATCACTTGAACCCAGGAGGCAGAGGTTGCAGTGAGCCAAGATTGTGCCATTGTACTCCACCATGGGCGACAAGAGTGAAACTCCATCTCCAAAAAAAAGAAAATTACGCTAAATATTTTTGTTCAGACATTTTAACATATATTAAATGTAAAATCTAGTATGTTTATTGAGTTAATTATGAGTAAATAAATGTAAAACTTGGATTGTGTTGTCAGCTTTTTAAACTCTTATTTCAGTATTAGGTATATTCAGATGCTTACAAAGACATTTTTAGACAACTGAGCATCAGGATTTATCACATAGGTCAAAAATTTAAATAAACAAGTGGCTATATTATGTGGCCCATGTGTGGAGCAGTTTTGCTTTTGTTCAGTAACAGATGAATTAAGAGCCTTGCCCAGGAATCTTGGTTCAGGATGGGTGGTCTACACATGGTCTGCTTGTTAAGTACCAGTCCATTATGTGCCAGGTAGTGATTCCTATTTCAGAGATGAGAAGAGAACCATGAGAAAAAGTAGGCCTGTGTAAGATTAAAAGTAAGACTGCAGGCCTGGTGCAGTGGTTCACACCTGTATTCCTAGCACTTTGGGAGGCCGAGGCAGGCGGATCACTTGAGGTCAGGATTTCGAGATCAGCCTGGCCATGGTGAAACCCCATCTCTAGTAAAACTACAAAAAAAAAAAAAAAAAAAAGAATAGCCAGGTGTGGTGGCATGTGCCTGTAATTCCAGCTACTCAGGAGGCTGAGGCAGGAGAGTCACTTGAACCTGGGAGGAGGAGGTTGCAGTGAACCAAGATCACACCACTGCACTCCAGCCTGGATGACAGAGGGAGACTCCATCTCAAAAAAAAAAGTCATTTTCTTAATAGTGGATAATTTAAGTTGCAAAAAAAAAAAAGCTTCTGAAATACTGATTTGGTTCAGTTAATATTTTCTGTTACAATTTTTTGAAGGCCAAAAGCCATGTAGTTTCTTTTACAGATTGTTGAACTGCGATATGAATTTCTGTAATTCCCACTGATCAGAATCAATAGTATTTGGAATGAATTTTCTTCCATTTCTGAATATGTGGAAGACATGAGGGTATATCTATACAGACAAGCATATAAAGGGTGTGTGATATACAGTCTTAAAATTGTGAATCTTGGGATCTCTGGCAACCTTGTAAGTAGTTGTGATGAGTTTCCAAAGTGAATTGGCACAGCATATCAGGACAATTCTCCTTGTCTACTCTATTTTTGTTGTTTGTTTTATGGCATTAATCTAGACTGACCATTCCCGAACAACTGGCCATTTTCTGAAGTGTATTTTGAATATAAGAGGCAAATATTTGCCTCTTAATTTTCCTGCAGTGTTGTTTATTGTGACAAAGCCTTTCTTCACATTCTTTATTTCTTTTTAACTTTTCAGGTTACTGGCCAAGGTTCCCTTTCTTAGCGTTAAATTAGTCCAGTGTTAACTCCTAGGACCTTCTGTTCCAGGAGTGCTCTCACCAAGTTGAATGGCTATAAACATCATTTGTTTATTAATGATACTTTGTATTTGTTCCCAGCCTGTTCTCAACTTGTATATATACTTTTCAAATTGAGTCTTTACTTACATTATCCTATTTTACTTACTTTATCTCTACATCTGCCCACAAGCTTCACCTGTAAGTTGACCATTTTACTTAATGCCAATCTCATGCTTTGCTCAGGCCAAAAATCTTAGCGTCACCTTTTCTTCCCACATGGAGTCAATCAACAAAATTCATTGTTTAATTTTACAATTAAAAATGTACATTTATTGTTCAACAAATTGCTGTACATAGTGATGCGTACCTGCAACTCCAGCTGCTTAAGAGGCTGAGGCAAGAGGATCCCTTGAGCCCAGGAGTTCTGGGCTATAGTGCCTTATGATTGTGATTCCGCCTGTGAATAGCCACTGTAGTCCGGCTTGGGCAACATAGTGAGATTCCCATCACTTTTTTAAAAGGGGAGAGGATTGGTGGACTTTTAACTAAACAACTTTAATCAAAACTTCATTTTTTAAAAAAGATACTATTAGAGCAGTTAAAACTTTGTGTTGATCATCTTAACATTTTTAAAGGTAGTACAATTATTCTTAGTCCGTATTTGTGTACTCTAGTTTCCTAGCCCTGTTTCTCAGTGCTGTTTTGCTAATATCTCTAATAGTCTTACTTAATCTTGTTGAAAGTAGCACTTTTGAGGTTAATAAGGTTTAAATTAATAACCCCCATTGACTGTAGTCTATAATACTATAATTTTTTAAATGGCAAAATGCCCTCTGGGAGCTAAGGTGTCTTAAAAGCTTAGAGCAAATCCTGTTAAATGGGACAAAGTCTCAATTCTTTTTTAATAAGACAAAAACACTTTATGTAGTCTCTTTTCTTTTTCAGTGTTTCTCGAAATTTCAATTTTATTCCATGCTGCTACAGAATACAAACTTACCCAATAAAAATAGCAGCTCCATTGAAAGAGCTTTCCCACAAATTGAAATATTTAAAGCACAGTTACAGGCTTGTGTACTGTTGGTGCATACATTGTTTGATTTGTTCAGTTCCTCAGTTTTGCAGGGAAAGATGTCAACATTATCTGATTTTTCAAGCTATCTATTCAATGATTCTAATTTTCTAAAAGACTTGGAAGCTGGGTTGTTTTTTGTTCTGGCCCCTCAGTTTGTTGAGAGCCTATTTTAAAGATTTCCAGTGGATTTAACAAAATGAACAAAATTTAGAGGACTCATTTATTTCCCCCAACCAAGTCAGTGCCATAGTGGGACCCTTACATAAATTTGTCACTGTGTTTAAATTTGATGTAGTGAATGAAAATAATCATCTGAAGCCAGTATAAAATAGGCATTAAACATTGTTGTCCAAGCTAGAGTGCAGTGGCTCTCCACCAGCATGATCATTTAACACACAAAAACCTGAAACACCTGGGCTTAATCCTGCCTCAGCCTTCCGAGTAGCTGGGACTACAGGCACATGCCACTATGCCTTGTTAAATTAAGATTTGTAGCTCTTCTTCCCATTCCCTGCACCCTTCTGAGAGAGCTTATACTGAAAGTTCTGCATTTTGTGTCCTTGATTTTGCACAGGAAGGCAAAAGATCACAGTTGAGGAAAAAAAGTTACCCACTTTGAAAATCTGTTTCCATTTTTAAATTCCTGTAGTTATAGGGAATAAGTTGTTCTAGTAGACCAAAAGAAGATTAATGTTTTTAGTTATACACGGATGCATTGATATTGTGGTAGACAGTTGATACTGGCTTTATCGTAATTTTTTTTTCTTTTTATGGAGAATGGGGTCTCACTATGTTATCCAAGCTGGTCTCGAACTCCTGCGCTCAAGCTGTCCTCTCGCCTCTGCTTCTCTGTTGTATCTTTTTTATTTAGGCATCCTTTCTTTTGCTTTCTAGTACTTGGTCTTTTGTATATGAGTACGTTCAGCTTTTCTGGGGTTTTTTTTTTGTTGTTTTTGAGACAGTCTCACTCTTTTCCCCAGGCTGGAGTGCAGTGGCGCGATCTGCAGCCTCTCCCTCCCAGGTTCAAGTGATTCTCCTGTATCATCCTCCCGAGTAGCTGGGATTACAGGCGTGTGCACTATGCGTGGCTAATTTTTGTGATGTTAGTAGAGATGGGGTTTTACCATGTTAGCAGCACTGGTCTTGAACTCCTGACCTTAGGTGATCCACCCTTCTCAGCCTCCCAAAGTGCTGGGATTACGGGCGTGAGCCACTGTGCCCAGTCTAGCTTTTTTGGTCTTGTTTTTTTGTTTCTGAGACAGGATTTTGTGTTTTTTTTCTGTCTCAAGACAGCTCTGTTGCCCAGACTGGAGTGCAGTGGCATGATCACAGCTCACTGCAGCCTTGACTTGTTGGGCTCAAGTGATCCTCCCACCTCAGTCTTCTGAGTAGCTAGGACCCCAGGCATGCACCACCATGCCTAGCTAACATTTTCGAAGAGACGGGGGTCTCCCTTTGTTGTTCAGGCTGGTCTCAGTCAAACTCCTGGGCTCAAGCGATCCCTGTCTTTGCCTCCCAGGGTGTTAGGATTACAGGCATGAGCCACGTACCTAGTGGTCTTCTGCTGTTCAAATGGAATCCCAAACCTTACCCTTCTGTGTTATTTCCGTGTTTATATGAGAAAGGGGATATAGAAGATATAGTAGTCCCTAGACTTAATGGGTGTACTGACTTATGCCATAGACTAAACTTAAGAGAAACTGTTAGTTTGAAAATGTTGAAGGCAGTAATGTATTAACATTGGTTCTATTTATTGTCTTTTTTTTTTAACTTGTGATTATTAGACATTGGTTATATCATTGGTAAGATGGAGCTGTACCATCTTAAAAATATTCTAATAAACTATATTTTCATAGTAGATAATTCATATTGTTATGCACAAGTCATGGAACAGTGAACTACATACTTGTTGGAAATAAAACGTTCATATTGAATTGTGCAGACTATATGTTAAGAGCAAACGTCTTTCTACTTACAGAAGTACGCTCTTCAGGGTCAGAATTTCAATCACGAGGTCAGGAGATCGAGACCCATCCTGGTTAACACAGTGAAATCCCGTCTCTACTAAAAAATACAAAAAATTAGCCTGGCATGGTGGCGGGCACCTGAGGCAGGAGAATGGCGTGAACCTGGGAGGTGGAGCTTGCAGTGACCCCAGATTGCGCCACTGCACTGCAGCCTGGAGACTCCGTCTCAAAAAAAAAAAAAATTTCAATAGTTAAAAATGGATGCTGAGTTTAAAAAAAAAAAAAAAGGTTGAGTTGAGAGAATAAGGAGATTAGAAAACAAAAAAGGTACTTAGCCCCATGAGAGTTTTTTTGGTTTGTTTTCAGGTAGAAAATAGAGTTAGTGGATTGGGGAGGAAGGATGGTTCAGGAAGAACAAAGAATTTAAGACAGTTGAGGGCCTCTGAAAGTGGTCTTGGAAGTTCAACAAATAACGTGAATGTTGAGCTCTCTCTGGTCTAAGCTCTTAAACTATGAGAATATCTAATTATAGCTATTTCGGTTTGTAAGAGATTGGCTTTTATGTAAATAAAAAATTTTGTATCAATGTGTTTGCATATATATTTTTACGAACTCTAGCTAAGATGATTGTCTCAGCATATGTTCAGGCATGTTCTCTCTCCTAATGGAATATATTATTTATGTGAATTGTGATGGAGTGTGCCTTTAAAAATAGGGTGAAAGTAACTGAAAGCAGTGGACTCATTTGCTTGTTTTCTTAAATTAAGCTTATGTGACTCACCCATTTTCTGTCTTGGTGTAGGAACTTAGTGATTTGGCCCGTGACCCTCCAGCACAATGTTCTGCAGGTCCAGTTGGGGATGATAGTAAGTAACTTGCAAGTTGATTTTTATGCCTAATTTTTTTTTAAGCTTGTGCATTTTTAGATAACCAGAGTTTTTTTTCTTTTTCTAGTGTTTCATTGGCAAGCCACAATTATGGGACCTGTAAGTATTAAGAATTTTTAAATTTAGTTTTAAGTGAAAATCCAGCATTGATTTGGTTGTAATTTTTAACTTGGTCTGTAGGTTTATTTTATCATATAGTTAATTCTATTTTGGATATTCCATAGTTGTACTGCATTTGAAAGAAAAAACATAATGAGTTAGTCATTTGTTACGTGTACTTTGTGTCTATCCCTGTGTTCACGTTCTAGAGTATAGCCATCTCTATGACCTACCAAACATCTCTGTATCTCAGTTCAGTTTTTCTACATAGCACTGTGTAAAGCATTGTCATGGAACTTCCTGTTATTTATAGAGACAAAGTTACTGGCTCTGATATGCCATGCGTTGTGTTACTCAGAGATCTTATTCTGTTACTGCAGCTGCCAATAATCTAGCTTAATTGTATTTTGATATTTGATTCTTTATAGAACTTCAGTTTATGCAAAATTTGAATATATTTAGGCAGAAAGTGATATTTTGAATATAGCAAAATTCCTTTCTATCCTGGGTAGATAAGCAACTATATGCTGGATAATTGAATATTCAGAATTATGGATACCATCTAAGAATTTCAGAGAATTAGAGCGCACTAAAACATCCTGGGGTAAGACTGTATCTTACACAAATATTTAACTTTTTTTTTTTTTTTAACTTGCTAAGGCGCTTAAGGATTTGTTTTCTAAGTTACATGTGTATCTTCCTGAAAACTGTCTTCCCTTTTTGGTGGTTTTATAAGCAACATAAAGAGCAATAATGTACTAGGTGAGATAATGGTCAGTAAGTAATATTTAGAATTCTAAAGGAAAAAATGCTCTTAGAGTTAGTAGATGAGTCGAATCAACAAGTATTTATTTAGTAATTCTGATTCTAACTTTAGTCATTTTTCTGTCTCAAATGTGAGTACATACTGTGTGCCAGGTAATAAGGATACAAATTGAACATAATAAACATCCCTGTCGATCTTATAGGGAACTTACACTGTATTAGAGGAGACAGATACCTAAAACAAGTGCTGAAGTGTGACAAGATGGAAAATAAGTGATTGGTGAATGAAGTGCTGAGTAGGATAAATTAATGGGAAATTGAAGCAGGGAGGATTAATTTAGAGTAATTAAAATGTTAGTGCCCTAAAGGTAGAAAAACTAAATCAAAGTAAGACATGGCAGGGGTGCAAATATTAAGTTTAATACTTTGAAACGTCCTGGATCATTTTAAAACAAAGTAACATTTAAAACAGTAAAAATAGTCCTGTAATAACGAAATGCACAATCCTGGCTTTGTAGTTATTAAAAGTACTTACTTTTATCTAATTTGGTAGCAATATTGTTTAATTTTAATACACGCAGTTAAATGTTGAGTTACCCAGTTTGGCCCACACGATATTTTTGAAAGTTGGCAGTCTTCAAATAAAAGCCTTCTGAGTAGGCCCACATTCCATAAGCAGTAATGGCTTGGGATGGAATGACAGCTGCCTCCCTTTTTTAGATGGGATATGTGTTTACCACAGTGCCTACTAGGTCAATTCCATATTATCTGCCTAGTGTTTTGTAAAGCAGTTGCTTTTGCAACCTCTAGAATTTTCCCATTTTGGATTACCAGTTTTCAAAGAATGCTATAAAATGCCTTAAAATAAAGCTCATCTTTGATTCAGAGGGTAGTTGATAGTTTCATTATAAAAATTGTCAATACTAAGAAAGCACAGAAGCGTTGGTAATTAAAACTTCTAATTGGATGGTGTGCAGAATAAACTAACTCTTTAAAACTAGTTGGTTTTTCTGCTTGACAGTTTAGACTTTGTTATTTTGAACAACACACTAGTTTTTCCCAAAAGGCAAGGAACATACCTATAGACAATCAAAAGGAAACATGAATGATGAGTGTATGGTAGTAATTTTTTTAGAGAATGGTGTTGCTTATTCTGACAGATTTTTTAGCAGTTTACTTAATTTGCTGTTATTTTGAGAAAACATTTACCTTTTTTCATTTTTTAAATATATATTTCAGGTGATGGCTATTCCTTGCTGAACTTTTTCAGCAACCTTTTAATATAATGACTAGCAGTTTTCTGCTTTTACAAACAGAAGCATGTGATTTTCAGAACCATTTAAATATTAACCTGATTAACCACAACTGCTGGGTTTTGCTTTGGTAGCAGTACTCACTGAAATATGTTTTCAGTTAAAAAGGTTAGTTCTCACTGTTGGTTGGGTAAATTTCAAGAAGGAGTCAAAGATTATAAAAATCCACCCAAAGTACGGGTATTGTCTTGTACATAAGTAAGCACATAATTTAGATGCCAGCTTTAAATAGTTAACTATATGCTTACTGTGGAGTGCACCAATGAAACAACTCATTTTGTTCTTTTGGCTTCTCAATACTTCTTTGTGACAAAGCATCACTGTATAAGATAAATAGTAGCTTATTTTGTGAGTATGGTTGCTCTATGTAGCAAGCAGTTGTGACCTAAAGCAACCCATAAATTACAGATTTAGTGGGAGAACTGGACAGTTAACAACGTCACTTTTGCTTTGGACTACTACTTAGGTCCCTTAAAGTGGTGCCAGTGCCACAGAACTGAAGATTCCTGACTGTAGGGAATATACCATCTAATTTTGAGTTTCAATAGAGTAACTTTGATTTTAGTGAGTTGTTGGGAAATCCTTTAGATCATTAGTTATGCAGCAAAATTGCTTGGCTTTAATAATCATATGTACTGGCTTATTCTTTCTGAAGGTAAGCTACTTCGGAAGCACAACTATTGACTAAAAACTAAACCTTCGAAAGAAATGACAGCATTGCTAGTTTTTTGTGTGCGTGGGTTTTTTTGGGGAGGGGGGCGTGGGGTACTGTATTAAGGTTAGTTTCCAACAAGAATTGATGTAATTAGAAGAAATTGACTTCCTTACCTATTGCCTCTGATATTTACTTGCTTAAATTTTTTTTTATTGGAAATCCAGAAAAAGTGGATTTAGAGAACAACACTAACTCCCACCTAATCTATGACAGAGATGTAGAAGAGAGTACCTGTGAAAAATGTGAAAGTATCTGAAAAATGTAACCTTTGGCAGCCTGAGCATAGTCAACCAGAAAAACTATCTGAATTAAAATAATTGGTCCATAGGTACTATTTTATTTGGTCCATAAGGATTATTTTTTCAACTTTTTTTTCAAGTGTATTATTATGTCATTTCCCACGTAGGTTACTGATACCTGAAGACTTTTTCCACCTTTAACCTTACTCGTTGAGGAGCTTTGTAGTCTAATAAAAGAGAAATATAAGTAAATGTTAGATATATGGGTGGATAATGGTAACTATGTGCTTAAAGAGGTATAAAAGAAGGGTAGGGAGCAGATAAGACAAAGGAAGGGCTATATTATAAGGAAGAATATTCCAAGTAGGGAAGAGAAAAAGATATGTTATCCATATAATATTTTATGTGCAGTAGAGAACATGTTCTATAGAAGAGACAGAAGATGAAACTAGATGGGCACCCAGATCATAAAGCACCGTATGTACTTAGGAGTTGGAATTATCTTAAAAACTATCATAGATTTCAAGCAGGGGAGTAACATTTTTAAAAGACCACTTTATCATTAGGATGGAGGGATAATCATTAGTAAGCTATTGCCATAATCTAGGCTGAAGATAACATCATGAACTAAGATGGTAGTGACAGTGGGCATAAAGGAGAAGCTAATTCAAGAAATTTTAAAGATCTTACTTGATAACTATCTTGATTCTGAGATAAGAGAGGAAGAAGTTGATGATGAGATCCTGGTTTATGGCTTTCAGTTATGGCTTGCTATTAATAAACAGGAAAAAAGGGATTGAGACAAGTTTCAGTTTTGGACGCATGACATGAGATATCCAAGTAGAGATATCCAAGTAGAAATATCAGTAGGCATTTGAATATATGCCCTGGAATGAATAACTGACCAGAGATATATTTTGCAACTCAAATTTTTATGGGTCAGCAGTTAAGAGTAGAAAATCAACCTATAAGAATACCAGCATTTTTAGCTGGGTGTAGTGGCACATGCCTGTAATTCCAGCTTCTTTGGAGGCTGAGGCCCGAGAATTTACTTGAACCTGGGAGGTGGAGGTTGCAGTGAGCCGAGATCACACCACTGCACTCCAGCCTGGGCGACAGCACCACTTTAAAAAAAAAAAAAAAAGAATACCAACGTTTTATTGCCACAGAAGAGCTGAGGCACTGTGAGGGAGCAACTTTGCACTGATGAGAGCAAAAGAAGTAGAAGGTTTCTGAAAAAATCTAACATAAATTCTGGACTTGTACGATTTGAGTCGATTTGCTGATCACAGTGTTCCTTATTCTTTGGGGATTTTGTTTCTTTTTGGTGTAGTTTGCTGCTGATTCATAATAGAATTTAAATATCATAGGGTCTCAATTTTTTATATTGCCTAGTTTCATTATCTCTGAACCTCGTAGTTCTTCCTCTTTTGGCATGGCAGAACTTTAGTGTTAAATTGTAACATTGAAATATTTTGCCTTCTTTATAAAGTTCTTTTTTCGAACAAACGAAACGAAATTTGGCTTTGCCTAAATCCCATCAGCAGATTGCCTTTATTCAGAAGCAGTCATAGACAGCATTTGATTTTATGAAAATTGAAATGAAAGCTTACAAAGAACTTCTGGAATTAGGTTATTAAAACTTCAATGTTTGGGGCCGGGCATGGTGGCTCACGACTGTAATCCCAACACTTTGGGAGGCCAAGGTGGGTGGATCACTGGAACTCAGCAGTTTGAGACCAGCCTCTCAACTAAAAAGACAACAAAAACTCCGTCTCTACTAAAAAGACAAAAAAAATTAGCCAACTGTGGTGGTTCACTCCTGTAGTTCCAGCTACTCGGGAGGGTGAGGTGGGAGAATCACTTGATCCCAGGAGGCAGAGGGTTGCAGTGAGCCAAGATCGTGCCACTGCACTCCAGTCTGGGCGACAGAGCAAGACCCTGTCTCAAAAAAAACAAAAACAACTTTAGTGTTTGGGATTACCTTTAAATTGTTAATTTTACACAGAAAAAACATATCTTGTATAGTATTGGATCAGGTGAAAGTATATGCTATTTGAAGCATCTATTCAAAATTAATATAACTATTTAATAAAGACATGTTAATCTAATAAACTCAGGTCACATTCTAAGTGACCTGAGTGTTTTTCTAGTTCCATATTTTGTAGAAAATATGAAAAAGGACTGGGCACGGTGGCTGATACCTGTAATCCCAGCACTTTGGGAGGCTGAGGCAGGCGGATCACCTGGGGTCAGGAGTTAAGAGTTCAGCCAACATGGTGAAGCCCCATCTCTACTAAAAATAAAAAATTAGCTGGGCACGTTGGTGCACACCTGTAATCCAAGCTACTGAGGCAGCTGAAGCAGGAGAATCTCTTGAACCTGGGGAGGCGGCGCTTGCAGTGAGCTGAGGTTGCACCATTTTACTCGAGCTTGGGCAACAAACAGCAAGATGATATTCTGCGTCTTGTTTGTCCCCCTTCCCGTTCCCATTCCCCCCGCCCTCCACCCCTACAAAAAAAAAGGGGGAAGACTTGGGAGATGGAGAAGGACTCACTTTAAATAAGCTCTGGCTGGGTACAGTAGCTCACACCTATAATCAGCACATTTTGGGAGGCCGAGATGGGTGGATCACAAGGTCAGGAGGCCGCAAGACTAGCCTGGCCAACATGGTGAAACTCAGTCTCTACTAAAAATACAAAAATTAGCTGGGTGTGGTGGTGCATATGTGTAATCCCAGCTACTTGGGAGGCTGAGGCAGGAGAGTTGCTTGAACCCAGGAGGCAGAGGTCGCAGTGAGCTGAGATCGTGCCACTGCGCTTAAGCCTGAGCGACAGAGTGAGACTCCGTCTCAAATAAATAAAAGCTCTTCCATTTACTAGTTGTATATTTCTTTGAACCTGATTCTTCATTAATAAATTGACCTTTCTTCTTTGAACTCGTGTCCCTTGTTCATATTTCATGATACCTATAACATTTCATTGCAGTTACTTTACATGTCTATCAGTGTAAGCTCATCAAGATAAAAAAAATTGTTCTTTGGATCCCTTAACACACATACAGTATATAGCAAGGGGTTAGATTAATTGAATTAATGTTTATTTATTTTACAGAAGGGTAGGAATTAGATGAGCTGTGTTAGTGTCAGGCCTGTTTTTTATGTGCCTGACATCCAGAATGGGCATAGTGAAAGGCTCATATATAGCTGTATATACAAAGCCTTTCTAATAGAGGGGAGTCAGTGTTGGTAAAAACCCAGTTCATGTAAGTTGTAAAACATGTCTTCGGATTGGTTCTTTGCATACCCAGAAGCAGTTAGGCATTCCACATTTTAACTTTAAATTCCTGAGTAGGTCAGTATCTTTGATCATTAAGTGGTCTTCAAAAGACTTGTGTTTGAATCTTGGTTCTATCATTTACCATTTGTACACTAGACTAAGTTCTTTAAGCCTCATTTTTCTCATGCATAAAATAGGGGCAATGCATGTATTTTCTGGTATTGATTAAAATGAGAAGCTTAGGCTTTTCTCTGTTCTCCTCTTGAAGGTGGTGTGTGTGTGTTACCTGGAATAGCTAACATTTGGTTTGCCAGTGGGCAGAATGGACTGTTGTGAAGCCATTTGTACACATCTGGCTATTGGAAGAAATAATCTACATGTGTAAAATTTTGTTTACAGATTATTCTGAAACATGATTATGTAGGCTTTATTGCTGTGTTGTACTTTTGAGAATTGAGATCTAGAATACTTGCGTTTCTGGATAACTTTTTAAAAAAACATTTTGGTGACGTGTAAAATGACTAGATAAATTAGGGTTTATTACTGTATAAGTTTTAAGTTTTTTTCTATTACTATAGACTGAATTTTCATGGAATAGATTATTTATTGCAGTGTAAATAGGTGATTTGGGTTCATTATTAGAGAAATGCTTGGAAACAAATGTTACGGAATATTTAGCAATAATATTTTAAATTTGAGTTAAGCATACTTTTCTTTTTACAGAATGACAGCCCATATCAAGGCGGTGTATTCTTTTTGACAATTCATTTTCCTACAGACTACCCCTTCAAACCACCTAAGGCAAGTATTTTCCCTCAAAATCTGTTAGTATAGATTTATGCTTTATTTCAAAGGAATAGAGCATTCTTGGAAGATAGGGTTCTGTGTAGGCTGTATATATATGTTGAATTGCACTCATGTATAGATGCTGACTCTTAACCTTTGGTTTAAAGAGCTAGACCTCAGTTTGAGCTTTGTAAATAGGAATAAGGTTTGCCTTTTCTTTAATGTTGCAAGATTCAGACCATGTGGAAGCTTCCGCCCTCATCTGTATTATTGTTACACAGATTCTGATTTTTGGGCTTTTGTTGTCTTGTAAGCATCAAATGTCCAACTTCAATTTATATTTGCACGTATTGTTACAGCATATGCTTATTATGCTTATAGTTTTGTATACGTAAGTGTAAATTTGTGAAAACTTAGAGTTGCTTAGTGCACTGGTTTATAGGTATTAAAAGCATATTATCCTTCACTTTTCAGTCATTAACATAAATTCAACCTGTATGAATAACTAGAAAAGGTAATATACAAAGGTCATAAACATGTCACTATAACAATCTCTAGTAATGTTATAGGTGCAATGTGATGGTTTCCATTTTTGTGATTCAAGTTTATGTTTTATGTACGGTGGAAATGCAGACTCAGGTGTACCTGTGTAACTTAATGAAACTTTAAATGAGATGGTCTACAAATTTTGGTTACATCCAAAAGTTAGGGCTTTTATAAATGAATGTGTTAAATACCTTTAAATTGCCCTTTGATTCATGATATGGTAGGGCCACAGTAACCTTTAGAACTTTACATCATATGAGTAATGAAATTTTTATCCAAAAGTTTAGGTTTCTGTTGTAAAAAGAGGAGGCAGGGGGTTGTGGTCAGATTGTAAAAATCAGTTTCTATAATATTTAGAACTTCTATGCTAATAGATGACATTTTTAACATTGTGGCTTGATTATTTTAAGTTTTGCTTTAAAAGATGTTTGTTTTTATTTGAATAAAATACTTAAAAGTTTTTGTTTTAGGTTGCATTTACAACAAGAATTTATCATCCAAATATTAACAGTAATGGCAGCATTTGTCTCGATATTCTAAGATCACAGTGGTCGCCTGCTTTAACAATTTCTAAAGGTAAATATTTCTAGTGAAATAAGCTGTTCTCATTGTCTAATAAAGCTTCATTCTTAGATCTACTTATCTGAGTATTTTTATTATGGCAGCTTTTTGGTAAGAGATGGGGAAGCAATAAAGTTACTTTTATAATTTTTGTTCTTTTAGTGGTGTTGATTAAAGATACTTTGTGAGAAGTTGTTAAAATTCAAATTGTGGTGAGTAGGCATTATTTGCCTAATGAGTTACCTTCATCTCATCTTATAATAGCAAAATTTATTTTAATAGACTTCTGTATTTTTCAATCCCAAACCACTTGGACATCTCACACTAACTTGCGGCCTTTTTACCAAGAATGGTATGATATACCTAAACTTAATAGAGCTTTTGAATCCTGAGGTTTCCACTCTAGGAAAATTCTGATTTTGCTTTCCTGGGTTAATTTTTAGACAAATCTTCAGTCATGTTTTATGTAACCATGATAGGTTGTTTCTACCTAATGACAGTCTAAAATTATATAATCTTCGAAAGATCTGTAGATCAATTCTGGTCTCTTAATAGGTATCTGTTACGTTATATGTAACAAGTTTTCCGGTCTCCGCATGAATATCCCAGGTGAAGTTGTAATAATTAACACTATTTCACCATTAATTGTTTTTTGATTTTATGAGTTCAGTAAGTACAAAAAAGCTTTTTCAAAAGGCAAGGCATTGTATAAAAGTTTCATATGTGTATATACTGCACTTGAATCTCATGGAGAGAGACTGTAGCAGTAGCATTTCCCAAACTTTATTGAGTAGAATCACTTAAGGGAGAAAAAGAAACAACTTAGGCAGATGCTGCCATAATTCGAGTGTTTTTAAAATTTTACACCTGTTTTTCACCTTCTTGGATGCTTTCTAATTTCTTTTCAAATCATGCTACATACCTAAATATCAGTTTCCAAGTTTTTCTACTACTGCTGGGAGTGTACAGTAACACTGAAAACTGTTTTTGTAAGGGCAGATTGAATTGGTATTGTTTTGTCGTTAAAGCAACTTACTTTTTTGGCAGCCATACTTTGCTAACTTATTAAACTAGCAGTCACAACTGAAGCTACCTTTTTTCTGTGAGTTATTGTATAGCCAAGTCTCCTATATTAGGTAATTTTATATTCTGCTGTATTTGGGGTTTGAAATTAAATTTGCTGTAGTCAATAAATATGTGACAGTGTTGTCTTTTTTATACTATTGCTTTTTTTAAAAAAAAATCGGTCAGAACCATTTCAAGCATTTATATCTTAACATTTTATAACAGCACCACCATATATGGTGACTGGCACATAGCAGGCACTCAAAGTGAATGCGATCTATGTTCCTTAATGCTTGACATCTTATACATCAGTATGTTGAACTGGTTAAGGTAAAAACTAGAGCTGATGACTCACTTAGTACTAAAGAGATTTTGGCATTGTATTTAACTAGTACTCTTGGGAATATGGTTTCTTGCTTACAAGTTCAAGGAGACATTTAGTGGAGCACTTGAGGGTTTTTCTCAGAAATTGCCAAGACAACGGCTAAGAATGGATTTTTCATCATGCCTAATGGCTATGAATATGGCATGAGTGTTACCTGCATATTCTTGCTAAAGTCCCCCCCCCCCCAGCCACTGAGTACCAAGAAACTCAAGTTCTAATATCATTTATGCCTATTTAAAATATATATATTAATATGGCATCAGTTGCCTATCTTAGAAACTATTTTTATGGCTAGTCTGCAGTGAATTTCATGCCACAAAACCCTGTTTTTAGCACTTCTTACTTACCAGGAGCTTGTCTTCTGTGAAACAAAATCTCTGTAAAACTGTGTCTCATTGAGATAAAGATACAAACTAATAAAAGTCTTTTGAGGATTGAGTTTTGTAATACACGGTTTAGAAAAATTTATTTATCCAAACTCCTGAAACTGGGTAACAGATGTTTTTGTTTTCTTGCAGTTCTTTTATCCATTTGTTCACTGCTATGTGATCCAAACCCAGATGACCCCCTAGTGCCAGAGATTGCACGGATCTATAAAACAGACAGAGATAAGTAAGTATGTTAAAAAGTTATTATAAAAGTGGTTTTACTTAATGAGTTAGGCTTATACTTTGCTTGTGACAGTGCCAAGAAGACTTGATATTTAGTAAGATAATAGTTAAAATATGGAGAAAGCTATTGAAATGTGGTTATTTAAAAAAACTTAACTAGGCTTTAGCTTATGTGACAGTGAATGCTCCCCTCTAAAATGTTTTATTGTTGTTTTTTTTTTCCTAGCGTGTTAAACAGTATCACTTTATTCTCAACTTTTGGGGAAGAAAGCAAATTTTTCTTTACCCCAAGCATGTTTTTCCAAAAATGTTAGTACTATTGTAAAAATTTGGTCTAAATTTCTCAAATATTTGAATTATATTTATGTTCAACTTAACCATTATAACTTTCATATGTTATAATTAATGCTAAGTGTACTTGTTCAATTAGGTACAATAGGTTAGCAAGAGAGTGGACAGAGAAATACGCTATGTTGTAGGGTAAGAGGATCTGCACTCTATGGTGCGCTTATTATGGTACTGCCAGCACTTGAGTGCTGCATGCGTTAAGGCACTGTATTAACTAACAAAAGGTAACAAATATGGCAGTCTTCTGAAAACTGTACATTTAACTGCTTGGTCTCTGTTTAACGTGAAAGTAAATATCTGGTAGCCGTTATTGCTTGAAAGTACTGCATGGCAAAGCAGTTACAATAGCACTAGTAAGAAATGGGAATTTATGTAGTATCTTTTTTTTTTTTCAAACTATCATGGTGTTTAAATTTTAGCTTGAGACTTTGTACCAATCCTATACAGAATGTGGTGGTTTAGTTCAAATTTTGCCGGGAGATAGTAATGTAAGGGAAAAACACTTTTAAGCCTAAGCATCTAAACTAAATGTTCATTACTGACAAGCATGCATTAGCGTCAGCTGTACTTTGTGGCTCCCTGTATGCTAAATAAAGCCTTTGTTTTAAAGTGCTGGCTTTTTGAGAGAGTATCCTTAGGAGATGACAATGAATTGGTAGAAAGAACTTTTTAAAAAGTTTAGGAAAGTTGTTGGACCATATTTGGTTCTTGGTTTGAAATAAAGCTAGTTAATATTTAAACAATATAAAAATTCTCCTGTGCATATATATATATATATATTCATTTCTTAAGGTTATCACTGTTTTTTGTTGTTGTAAGTAGTCTATGGCATGAGTATAATCCAGGGGGAAGCTGATAGTATTTATCAATGTTAGTAGTCTTCCTGAGTAATAACCTTGCTTGTGTGTGAATTACCTGTTGATCTTTTTAAACGAAGATGCCCTTGTTGTACTCAACAGGTCTCAGTGGTGCTTATTAGCCTCAGTTACCACACTTATTAAAAGTAACACGTGATTCTGATGAACACAACCACTCACACACACACCCCTTTTGAAAATTACTGCCCTTTGTCATTCTGCCCAGTGTCATCTTCCCCTTCTGCCTCTACCTAAGTCCCAAAGCCATTTTTTCTTGTAATATCCAGGACCAAGTAATTTCCCAAACTCTAGGATTCAGATAAAATTGTTCTAGTAAAAGCCTAGTTCTGGCCTTGGTGGAAATTTCTGTGGATAGATAGAATGTGTATACTATTTTAACATTTGTCCATAATGAACTGTAAAAATTTCTTCACGTTAAAATTAGAGCATGAGCTCGGTGGTAGAGAAAGAAAGGGTCTTTTGATTTTTGTTAGCCTCCCAATTTTCAGTGCTGCTTTCTTAGTTGTTTTTAAAATACTACTTTCAGAGCATCAGGCTCTCATTTCCCACATTGCTTTGAGTACCAGTGCTATTTCTCCCTTGTTGGCTTTTATTCTAATCATAGTCATTAGAGATGACTTCATGATGAGTCTGGAGATGATAAAATGGAAATCTTTCCCTTCCATTTAAAGTATTAGGAATTCTTTATTTTAACTTTTAAAAATAACATCTTTATTTACAGGTACAACAGAATATCTCGGGAATGGACTCAGAAGTATGCCATGTGATGCTACCTTAAAGTCAGAATAACCTGCATTATAGCTGGAATAAACTTTAAATTACTGTTCCTTTTTTGATTTTCTTATCCGGCTGCTCCCCTATCAGACCTCATCTTTTTTAATTTTATTTTTTGTTTACCTCCCTCCATTCATTCACATGCTCATCTGAGAAGACTTAAGTTCTTCCAGCTTTGGACAATAACTGCTTTTAGAAACTGTAAAGTAGTTACAAGAGAACAGTTGCCCAAGACTCAGAATTTTTAAAAAAAAAAATGGAGCATGTGTATTATGTGGCCAATGTCTTCACTCTAACTTGGTTATGAGACTAAAACCATTCCTCACTGCTCTAACATGCTGAAGAAATCATCTGAGGGGGAGGGAGATGGATGCTCAGTTGTCACATCAAAGGATACAGCATTATTCTAGCAGCATCCATTCTTGTTTAAGC
Organism: Homo sapiens; assembly: GCF_000001405.40. Classification (NCBI taxonomy): domain Eukaryota; kingdom Metazoa; phylum Chordata; class Mammalia; order Primates; family Hominidae; genus Homo; species Homo sapiens. Next base: position 102,796,975 of record NC_000004.12, on the reverse strand, counting down.
CTTCCACTGTTAGAGATTTGAGGTTACATGATATGCTTTATGCTCATAACTGATGTGGCTGGAGAATTGGTATTGAATTTATAGCATCAGCAGAACAGAAAATGTGATGTATTTTATGCATGTCAATAAAGGAATGACCTGTTCTTGTTCTACAGAGAATGGAAATTGGAAGTCAAACACCCTTTGTATTCCAAAATAGGGTCTCAAACATTTTGTAATTTTCATTTAAATTGTTAGGAGGCTTGGAGCTATTAGTTAATCTATCTTCCAATACACTGTTTAATATAGCACTGAATAAATGATGCAAGTTGTCAATGGATGAGTGATCAACTAATAGCTCTGCTAGTAATTGATTTATTTTTCTTCAATAAAGTTGCATAAACCAATGAGTTAGCTGCCTGGATTAATCAGTATGGGAAACAATCTTTTGTAAATGCAAAGCTGTTTTTTGTATATACTGTTGGGATTTGCTTCATTGTTTGACATCAAATGATGATGTAAAGTTCGAAAGAGTGAATATTTTGCCATGTTCAGTTAAAGTGCACAGTCTGTTACAGGTTGACACATTGCTTGACCTGATTTATGCAGAATTAATAAGCTATTTGGATAGTGTAGCTTTAATGTGCTGCACATGATACTGGCAGCCCTAGAGTTCATAGATGGACTTTTGGGACCCAGCAGTTTTGAAATGTGTTTATGGAGTTTAAGAAATTTATTTTCCAGGTGCAGCCCCTGTCTAACTGAAATTTCTCTTCACCTTGTACACTTGACAGCTGAAAAAAAACAACATGGGAGTAATAATGGGTCAAAATTTGCAAAATAAAGTACTGTTTTGGTGTGGGAGTTGTCATGAGGCTGTGTTGAAGTGACTTATCTATGTGGGATATTGAGTATCCATTGAAATGGATTTGTTCAGCCATTTACATTAATGAGCATTTAAATGCAACAGATATCATTTCAGGTGACTTAACATGAATGAATAAAAGTCAATGCTATTGGATTGTTTTTTGTTTGACAAGTGCTATCTGTGCCACTGATTTAACTTCTGTAGTAACAAGGGCATTACCATTCTTCACCTTTCCTAATTCTGATCCCATAGTTTTACATTTTTCCTGTTTATTTTGATTTTGTTCACTGCTTTATTTCTTAAAGTTCTAGCACATCTGTGACTCCTCCACTTCCACATTTTTGCACTGCTTACACTTACGTGCAATCTTATTCCTTGTCTGCACACACATGTGGAAAGCTAGAAATAAATGTTAAAACTTACTTTTTATAAACATTTTAATATGTAGTTTGGACATGATTTATTGACTTAAGGTTCTTCTCTAAACTGGAAGTGAAATGCATGCCTTCTGAAGATGTTCTGGCTTTGTTAATTCTGTAATCATTTCATTGGGGAAAAAACCAGCTACGCAGTTTTTCCAATGAGTGAATTTTTTCATTTTGTGTTTTGCTTAAAACGGCTCCTTCAGGGTAGATGTCATACTGCATAACTTTTTTGGATTCAAATTATGAATGAGAAATTAGTTAACATTCTGCTCCACAAGGTAAGAAAAACTGCTCTTTGGCTCTATTTTCAAAATTACTTCTGAGATGCATATAGTCTCAAAATAACAGCTTTAGTAGGCATATCACTTCTTGAAAGCCAAACATGAGTGTAAGACACTTTTATGAAACACGGTGGATCCCTAACTGGCTTTCAAATTGACCTTTATAGCCTTAGACAACCCTTAGGTATTTACGGAGATGACTTCTTTGATTGTCATAACAATTAGTGGATGTGTCCAGTTCTCTGTATCTTTGACTTGATGCTTTATACATCATTTCATTTGTTGCTTCTAAGGGAATAAGCCATAGAGGCTTCTCCAGGTTTAAAAGAACAGTAAAGTACCTGGAAAACCAACATTTTTGAATGTATGGACACTGGACATGAGATATGTACAATGAAATCTTAAAAGAATCTAAGAATTTGCCCTCTTTGCCCCACTCCACCCAGTAATTTGACATTACTAGTGCCATGTATAGGACCCAACTGAGTATTAGAATCAGTTTTGACTATGTCTTTGTATTTCCTAAATCTTTTAATGCATAAACCGAATTAGGGTCCAGTTGGCCTGTTAATGGTAAATTTACATTTTAAATGACTCAGTTTGTTTTTCCTGGGCGAGTTTGCAATGTGATAATCAGATTTTTTAAAACTGATTAATTTGCTTTCTTGTGTGGGTGTACTCACATTTTAAAGTATGAACCACAGTTAACTAGTGGTCTCAGGGGTAGTGAAACACTCACTTTTTTTTTTGTTTGTTTTTTTTTGTTTGTTGAAATGGCTTAGTTGAAGTATACTTAAGGTACTGATCATGCTGTGTTAGTAATTTGGGCGGGGAGGGGGGTAACTCAGCCATGTTTTGTGTTGGCATAACAAAACTGTTAATGATTGTTGATTACACTTTTAAGTGAATTTGTCTTTTATGAGGAACCCAGTGCAAGTCACTAAATATTGTCTAATAGTGACATCTGCATAAGACTTGTAATAGCTGAAGTTAATTGAGCTTAAAGGAATTGTTACCATTAAAGTCTGTGTTTAAAGACACTTTGGTCTTACTCGGTAATTCCAGCTAACATGAAATCCACACTTGAGCTTAATGTGTGTGAGCTCGATTTTTAATTTTATACAGTTTATGAATAAGGTGGTTCTCAAAATGTTTCTTGAGATAACAATCTCAGCATCATTTAGGAAATTCTTTGTAATATAAGTTGTCAGGCCCCATCCCAGTCCTGAGTCAAACTGGCATGGAGCCCAGTCACCTATATTAAAACACCCTCCAAGTGATTCTGATGAATAGTGAAGATTGAGAACCGTTTTCAGAAGTCTGTTCGTAGCATTCCCTTGTAACAGACTACAACCAGTAATCCTTTGACTCTACAGCTATTTTTTTATAGCTGTTTTTGGCTTTAGAGAATGTGTTTAAGTATTACGTTTCTGATACCTGACAATTTCCTAGTACTTTGAATTGTAATACAGTACATTGATTTCCACATTTACACTTGGAATATTAAAATACATTAACGTCCTACAGTTGGCTAATTTGAATAACCATACTGGCATGGAATTCAACCAATCGTCAAGTATTTAAAAGTAATCAGGTGCAAAGATCTACCTAAGTATTGTGTTGGCTAGCTGAACAAATTTGAACCCAGATCCCATTCTGTGGCCTGACACTAGGCAATTTTTCCAAGTGGAAATGATGCTATGTTAAGGGTGTTTGCAGTGTTTGACAGATATTAAAGGTACCCTAAGGTGACTATTAAGATTTCTCGTGCTGTCCCATTGTAATGGAAAAATCAACGGTTAAAGGTATTTGGAAATGGCTTCAAAACATGACAGTGCCACCCCCTGCCAAAAAAACTTGAGGAACCATTTTAACAAAAAGACTTAAATATATTGAAGTTCGCCGAATGTCTTAAGTCCCTAGAAATTATTACTGTGTTGCATTATTTGTTGCTACCTTATAACTACTTGCTCATTTCTGGCCTCAGGTTTGAAAAATTTTATATGATTCAGGTATACAAGATGTTTCTGACAATTGTTCTTTTACTTGGGATGCTTCCATTAAAGTCCCATTATCAGTATCTAGATCTTCCCAAACTGTATGCTATTTATGAATGAGATTTTTTAAGAGCCCTCTTTTCTGTATTGTAAAAAATATTATGAAATTTACATTTTTACGTACTACTGTCTGATCCTCTATAGAACTTGATTTCTCATTTACCGTATCAAATTTGTAGTCAAGGCTAAACAATGAACTTTCATGTCATACTATCTTAGGAGCCCAGTTAACCACCGTCATTTACTAACCTTCAAGCTATTTCTCCTGAGCTCCCATATAGCTTCTATTCATTATCCACATGACAAGCTAAAGGGCGTCTTTTAAAATGTCTAAAACTGGACATATGTCTATAAAGACATACACATATACATATACTATTACCCCATGCTCAGTAAATGTCAACATTAAATTGCAATGGCCTAAAACCTAGGCACCATCTTTGACTTTTCACACTCCACCTTCAATCAGACTTAACAGCAGCCTTTAGAATCTGCCCATTTATCATGTTGACTGTTAGCACTATGATCTAAAGCTATATCATTTCTTATTTGGATTATTGGAGTAGCCTCCTGAGTGATCTCCCCACGTTGCAGCAATCTGTCTGTCCCACACACAACCCCTTTAAACCTTATCAGATGGCATGGCTTTCCTCCAAACCTAATGGTTTCCCATCTCATTCGGAGTAAAAACACAAGGTATTAAAAGTAATCTACAAGGCTGTAGATAACTTTCTTCCCTACCTTTGCCTCAGCTTAATCCCCAATTCCTTGCTTGTCTCACCACCATTCCAACTCTCTCAGCTCAGTCACATGGGACTGCTGAGACTTGCAAAGATGTGTGAAGATGTTTACTCTTGTTCTTACCTTTGCCTAGGATGATCTTACCCCACATACCATACAGCTTCCTTTTCCCTAACTAGGTCTCTATTCAAATACCTTATCAGAGTGGTTTTTCTTGACTATTCTATAAATACACCAACACAGCATCACCTCTATAGAGTACATCATGGCATATTCAGTATTATCTATCTTATAGGTAATAATTGTCTCACCCTCAGCGCCACCCCAGTTCTATGAGGACAGATTTTTTTTCTCTTATTTATCAATGACGAGATGACTACTTGCAACATTTTAGGTGATCAAATATTTAACACAAATGACTGGGCCAAATGGTAGTCTGTCAAAGGTACATGTACTTACTCGTCATTTGTATATCTTCTTAGGGAAAATGTTTAATCTTTTGCTTGCTTCATTTCTAACTCCAAAAGAACAAAGAAAACTAATATACTATTAAAAATTTGTTAATCAGACCTTCTTTATTGTAAGTAAAATAATGCAGTTCAGATTCTGTCAGCCTGGATGATTACCCTGATAAATCCTTTGAAAAAGCAACCACTTGCTGGGGGAAAACTTTTTTTTTTTTTTTCGATGTGTCAATGTTCTATCAAGAAAGGAAGGAGTACTCTCACCAAAACCAAACTGAAACCAAGAACCCAGAAGAAAACAGAACATACCCAGAACCAGCTTGCATTGCATTTTGAAAACACTTGAAGTACCTACCCCAAGTGAACTTTTTTCATTTTTTCTACAAGACAGGGTCTTGCTGTATCACCCAGGCTGGAGTGCAGTGATACACCCCTCGACCTCCTGGACTCAAGCAATCCTCCCACCTCAGCCTCCTGAGTAGTTGGGGCTACTCGCCATGTTGCCCAGACTGTTCTTGAACTCCTGGGCTCAAGACCATTCGCCACGGCCTCCCAAAGTGCTGGGGTTACAGGCGTGAACCATCATGCCCAGCTGACCTTTAATTTTCATGACTCTGGCAAAGCCCAGGATGCACCCAAAAGTGGTGTCAAATACGAGAAACCCATTCCTAGTACAACTAGGACTCTACCTATCTTGAAACTTGGTGCTCTGTGACAGGAGAATATTGCGAGAATTTGTAATAACAGTTTGGGCTTTGTGAAGATTTGCAGGCTTAGGTGGTCCCAGGAAATTCAAGCAGAGGATTTAATTTTTAGAGTGATTCCAAATTAGTAAAACAACCAGCTACTGGCAGAAGCAAACACTGTAGGAATTGCATAATAGCTCACATTTTAAAACCAGCAAGAAAAAGTACAAGGTAATGTAGCACCATGAGTTGCCAACCAATTTGCAAGAATCAAAACATTAAATATCAATATTTTAAAAATATTAGTCAAATTGTAAAGGAAGACTAAATAAGTGACATCTTGTATATGGAAAATCCTAAATCATAAAAACCACTTAGCGCTCATAGAATTAGGCAAATTTGCAGGATACAAGATTGGCACAGAGAAATCAGTTGTATTTCTGTAAATAATTATTAATTCTAAGCAATCCATAAATGATGTTAAGAAAGTTCCATATACAATAGCATCAAAAAGAATAGGGGCCCAGTGCAGTGGCTCACACCTATAATCCCAGCACTTTCGGAGGTCGAGGCGTGCAGATCACGAGGTCAGCAGTTTGAGACCAGCCTGGCCAACTTGGTGAAACCCCATCTCCACTAAAAATACAAAAAAAATAAAATAGCTGGGTGTGGTGACGTGCACCTGTAGTCCCAGCTACTCGGGAGGCTGAGCCAGGAGAATTGCTTAAACCTGGGAGGCAGAGGTTGCAGTCAGCCGACATCATGCCACTGCACTCCAGCCTGGGTGACAGAGTGAGACTCTATTTCAAAAAAAGAAAAAATTAATAAGGGAAATGCAAAAACATGTACACTGAAAACTATCAAACTTCTGAAAGAGAAGTCCTGAATAAATGAAAAGACATCCTGTGTTCATGGATTTGAAGATTTAATATGCTGAAATGACAGTGATTCTCAAAGCAATCTACACATTCAATGCAACCCCTATCAAAATCCCAATGACTGTTTTGCAGAAATGATAAAGTGTAAAAATTCATACGGAATTGCAAAGGACTGCAAGGAGCTAAACAATCTTTAAAAAGAATGAAAGTAAGGAACTCATACTTCCCTATTTCAAAAGTTAATACAAAGCTACAGTAATCAAAATAGCATACACAGGAACACATAGACTCATGGAATAGAATTGAGAGGCCAGAAATTGTCATACATTTACGGTCAGTTGATGTTTGACAAAGATGACAAGACCATTCAATGGGAAACAATAGTCTCTTTAACAATATGGTGTAGAGACAACCAGATATCTACATGCAAAAGAATGAATTTGGACCCCTACCTCACATCTTATGCAAAAATTAAAATGGATCAAAGTCACAAATGTAAGAGCTACTAAAACCATAAAACTCTTAGAAGAAAATGAGAGTGTATCTTTGTGTTCTTAGATTTGGCAATACTTAGAGATGACACCAAAAGCACAAACAACCAAAGGAAAAAGATAAATTGGACTTCATTAAGATTATAAACGTGTGTCAAAAGACATTATAAAAATGAAAGGATAACCTACAGAATGGACACAAATTTTCAAATCATCTATGATTAGGCTCTAGTATTCAGAATAAAGAATTTTTAAAACTCAACAAGAAGATGACCCTATTTAAAAACAGGCAAAAGATTTAAACATTTTCCCAAATAAGATAAACAGATGGCCAGTAAGTAAATGAAAAGATGTTCAACATACTAGTTATTAGAGAAATGCAAGTCCAAACCACAATGATGTATCACTTTTTACCCCATAGAATAGCTGTAAAATTTTAAAATAGAAAATGTGCTGGTGAGGATTTTGTGAAACTGGAAACCTGGTACAATGCTGGTGGGAATGTAAGATGGTGCAGCTTCTGTGGAAAGCAGTTTGGCAGTTCCCCAAAAAGTTGAACATAGAATTATTGTATGACTCAGCAATTTCATTCCTGGTTACGTACCCAAAACAACTGAAAACAGGTATTCAAACAAATACTTGTAAATGAATGTTCATAGCAGCACTCACTATTCACAATAGCCAAAAGATGGAAACAATGAAACAAATTGTGGTATTTCCGTACGATGGTATATTATTCAGCCACATGAAAGATTGTAGTATTGATGCATGCTATAATGTGGATGGGCCTTAAAAACATTTTGCTAAAAGAAAGGAGCAAAACATAAAAGGTCACATATTGTATAATTTCATTTATATGAATATCCAGAATAGTTCTATAGAGACAGAAAGCAGATTCAGCTACTAGGAAGATAGGGAAATGGGGAATGACTGCTTGATGGGTATGTAGTCTCTTGTGGGTGGTGAAAATGTCTTGGAACTAGAAGTTATGGCTATACAACATTGTGAACACATGAAATTACACTGAATTGTGCATTTTACAATAGTTAATATGTGAATTTCACCTTAAAATATCAGTGACAAAAGATAGTAATAACCAACATTTATGTAATACTTTTAAGTGTCAAGCACTTTTCTAAATTCTTCAGACACGCACGTGCGCGCGCACACACACACACACACACACAGATATTTTATTTATTTTTTGAGACGGAGTTTCGCTGCTGTTGCCCAGGCTGGAGTGCAATGGTATGATCTCGGCTCACTGCAACCTCTGCCTCCCAGGTTCAAGCGATTCTCCTGCCTCAGCCTCCCAAGTAGCTGGGATTACAGGTGCTTGCCACCACGCCTGGCTAATTTTTTGTATTTTTAGTAGAAATGGGGTTTCACCATGTTAGCCAGGCTGGTCTCAAACTCCTGACCTCAGGTGACCCGCCCCCCTCGGCCTCCCAAAGTGCTGGGATTACAGGCAGGAGCCACTGCACCCGGCCAATTCTTTACATAATATTAACTCTTAATTCTGATAACAAACTTGTGTACTTATTTAAATGCTTATATTATTTCTATTTTATAGATGAAGCAACTGAGGAAAAGAGGTTATTATTTGCCCAAAGTTACTCATCTAATGGTAGAGGTTGGGATTTAAATCTAGATAATCAGATTCCAGAATCTTACCTCTCTATCATTATGGGTGAAATAAAATAAGTTTAAAATATGAATAAAGAGCAAGAGGCTATTAAAATGATCAATCAGATTTGAAAAATAACCAAAAGCAGTACTTCCAGAATTTAGAAAACAAACTAATTAAAACTTAAGGATAGGTTTAATAGCCTAGTTGACACAGCTAAGTAAAGAATTAGAGGAATGAAAGATATGAGAAAATCATTCTGAATGTAGCACGAAGATGAAGATGAAAGTAACAGCTTAAGAACCATGGAAAAATAACTTGGTCTAACACATGGCTAATTGGAGCTTGAATTCGAATTCAATTTACTGCTTCCAGGCTCCAAATGCGCCTTTCAATAAAGTAGTTCCTCATTATCCTTGGGAGATACATTGCAAGACCCCTAGTAGATAATTGAAACCACAGATAGAACTAAACCCACTATACACTATGTTTTTTCCTATATATATATATGATAAAGTTTATAAGTTAGCCACAGAGATTAATAATAAAATACAGCAATTATAACAATATACTGTAATAAGATGAATGTGAACTCTCAATACATCTTATTGTACTGTACTAACCCTTCTTGTGATTATATGAGATAAAATGCCTAAATGAAGTGAATGACATAAGCATGATGACATAAATGAATAATTCCAGAAATAAACAATTCATGTTTTAAATTGCACTGTGTTCTCAGTAACATGATGAAATCTCATGCCATCCCACTCCTTCCTGCTCAGATTTCTGTTAGTCACTTAGTAGCCATCTTGGTAATCACATGGACTATCACAGTATTACAGTGCTGTGTTCAAATAACTTTTTTTACTTAATAATGTTCCCAAAGCACAAGAGTAGAGACGTAATATTTTCACACCATGGTGAATCATGGGTAAGAAAAACTGTAGAAAATGAAACCATAGATAAAGGGATACTACAGATGGTGTTTGACTTACAATGGTTCGACTTACAATTTTTTGACTTCATGATGATGCAAAATGATACGCATTCAGTAAAAGCCATACTTTTGAGTAGCCATACAATTTTTCTGTTTTTTCCTTTTCTTTTTTTTTTTCTTGTTTGAAACACTCTGTCACCCAGGCCGGAGTGCAGTGGTGCGATCATGGCTCACTGCAGACTTCACCTCCTGGGCTCAAGCAGTCTTCCCACCTCACCCTCCCGAGTAGCCGGGACCACAAGCACATGCACTGCACCCAACTAATTTTTGTTTTTATATTTTTTGTAGAGACAGTGTCTCCCAATGTTGCCTAGGCTGGTCTTGAACTCCTGGGCTCAAACAAGTCTCCTGCCTCAGTCTCCAAAAGTGCTAGGATTACAGGTATGAGCCACAGCACCCGGCCCTGTTTTCCATTTTCAATGTAGTATTCGATAAATTACATGAGGCAGTCAACACTTTACTATAAAATAGCCTACAGTAAGATAAAATAATCCAAAACAAGTCTAATGTTAAGTGTTCAGAGCACATTTAAAGTAGGCTAGGCTAAGCTATGATGTTTGGTAGCTTAAGTGTATTAAATGCATTTTTGACTTATGATATTTTGTATTTACAATGAGTTCATTGAAATGTAACCCCATCATAAGTCAAGGAACATCTGTTACTGTATATCTTCTGTGATAGGCAACTGAATTTTTTTCAGAGTCCCTCCTTTAACGTGGGCACGATGTTAATCTTTCTAAGTAAAGGGCATTGGAGGAATACTACAGAGGAAGAGGTTCTCCTGCTATTCCTGTTATGGGCTGAGGGTTGGCTAGTGTGAGTATGAAGACAACCAGTAAATATCCACAGGCCCAAAACACAATCTGTCTGTGACCTTGCAGCTTTGGCCTGCTGATAACCTTTTTGCACCCCTCTTCACAAGGAAACCAAAGCTCTTGCATGGCCTGCACTGACGTTTGTGGCCTGGAGACTCACACATCTGAAGTCACTCTTTACCAGCCTCTGCACAACCTGTGCATAGCTCACCTGTGGCCCAGTGCTCTACACAGATCTACCAGTCCCTCTGCAACTTCCTGTGCAGCCTAAATGCTCTGGATGCATTCCACCCTATGAGTGGTAGATTATTTAATAATATTATTTCAGTGTTGGTTAATTACATTTGATTATTCTATGAATATGTAATATGTTGATATTAGGGGAATCTGGTCAGTGTGTATAGGGGAAATTTCTGTACTAATTTTGTGGATTCTTCTATAAGTCCGAAATTATCTCAAAATAAAAAGCCTTTTAAAATGTAGGGTAAACACAAAAAATAGAAAAGGTGCATAATTTCTAAATTAGAAGAGAAGAAATCAATAGACAAAGGAGAAAAAAAGGCAAATGAGAGAGATCTAGAGATGGCAGGACAAGTAGAAGGCACAATATGGTAGGTAAAATTCCAAATTGTATAAGTAATTATTCAAAAAGTAATTGGGGCCAGGTGCGGTTGTTCACACCTGTAATCCCAGCACTTTGGAAGTCCGAGGCTGGAGGATTGCTTAAGCCTGGGAGTTTGAGACAAGCCTGGGCAACATAGAGAAACCCCATCTCTACAAAAAAATACAGAAATATTAGCCAGGCATGGTAGCATGCACCTGTGGTCCCAGCTACTTGGGCTGAAGTGGGAGCATCACCTGAGCCTGGGGAGGTTGAGGCTGCAGTGAGTCATGATTGCACTACTGCACTACTGCACTCCAGCCTAGGCGACAGGGTGAGACCCTGCCAATAAATAAACATAATAAATAAATGTAACTGGATTAAATTATCCAATCAAAGTACAAAGATTTTCAGACTCAATAAAAATTCAAAATACAGCTCTATGTTGTTTTTTAAGTAAATAAAATATAAGTAGACAGAAAACTTGAGGCCCAAGGGGAGAGGGATTTTTCTCTTGCTTTGTTTACTGCTGAATCTCTGTTGCCTACAGCTGTGCTTTCCAGTATGAGGGTCACTAGCCTTATATGGCTACTGAGCACTTGAAATGTGGCTAGTGTCACATTTTAAAATTAAAAACTGAAGAAAAGTAGCATGTTTTCCATGAAACCCAACTTTACAGTTTGGTTAGGGCAACATTTCACTTTAACCATTGCATCATATAAGACATTGTTATACAGTGTATGTTGAGCATGTAGGTCAACTCTAGTATTACATATAAATATATCATCAATATTGTCAGTTACAGGTTTTTCAATTTGGATGTTTTGTTCCTATGCACTGATTTATTTAAATATTTTTGCAGACAGTGAAAGTTACAAAGATATAAATTTTAATTGGTAATAAAATTTAAATACTTATTTTAATTATATCATCAAATTATTTTCTCTAGCTTAAAAAATAGGCCAGGCATGGTGGCTCACTCCTATAATCCCAACACCTTGGGAGGCCAAGGCGGGCAAACCACCTAAGGTCAGGAGTTCGAGAGCAGCCTGGCCAACATCTACTAAAAATAAAAAAAAATAGCCAGGCGTGGTGGCACGTGCCTGTAGTCCCAGCTACTAGGGAGGCTGAGGCAGGAGAATTGCTTGAACCTGGGAGGCAGAGGTTGCAGTGAGCCAAGAGCATGCCACTGCACTCCAGCCTGGACAACAGACTGAGACTCTGTCTCCAAAAAATAATAATAATACGAAGAAGAAGAAGGAGGAGGAGGAGGAGGAGGTTGGGGTGGGGGGAGGAGGTGGAGGAGGAGGAGGTGGTGGAGGCTGGGTGTGGTGGCTCACGTCTGTAATTCCAGCACTTTGGGAGGCCGTGGCAGGCGGATCACCTGAGATCAGGAGTTCAAGACTAGCCTGCCCAACATGGCAAAACCCCATCTCTACTAAAAATACAAAAAATGAGCCGGGTGTGGTGTTAGGTGTCTGTAATCCCAGCTACTCAGGAGGCTGAGGCCAGAGAATCACTTGAACCCAGGAGGTGGAGGTTACAGTGAGCTGACATCGCCACTCCACTCCAGCCTGGGCGACAAGAGTGAAACTCCGTCTCATAAAAAAAAAAAAAAAGAAGAGGAAGAACAAATTTTTACATTTAAATTGGATTCAGTGGAGATGTCAAAGGTACTACTATGACTGGAATGAATAAACGGTCTGGAAGAGGGTATGTTACAAAATTCACAATGAATGGCAATTGCAATTTATTAGGGCAGAGCAAAATGAAAAGACTTTTTATCTGTTGTATAACAATATTAAGATTATAAAATACACAGTCATGAGAGACATTTTTAGCAAAAACATAGTAAATATCATAAGAACTTTCCTCTCAGCAGTCAAAAAGAATTGATCAAATTAATTGCCTGAATTCAGAATTAAAAGTACAACAAAAAAATTTAAATGATATCTGACAGGATCCAAGTTTGTAAATATGGCCAGTTATAAAAGGTCTTGGATTCTTACACACACACACACACACACACACACCCTCTAACAATTTTTTTAGATGGAGAGATTGTAAAATAAACTATTATATCATTTATGGAAATGTTAGAAAATTATGAAGAAATGGCTAAAAACAATATTTTTAAAAAGTAAAAGATTTTCAATTAAATTATCAAACAAGTGTCTGTAGAATGCAGTATCTTTTTAACTATCAAAAATCAATTGATTCAAAATTTAAAATGTTGCAAATAGGTTTCTTTAGCTATAGACAAATCAGGTAATATAAGAAATACTGCCCATATTTGGGTATGTTGTGTCTCAAAGAACTTCCAAATTTACAGAGAAATATCAATTCATGGCCTAAGAATCAAACTCATGATGCGGTTTGTTTATTTGTTTGTTTGTTTTTGAGACGGAGTCTCACTCTGTCACCTAGGCTGAAGTGCAGTGGCGGGATCTTGGCTTACTACAGCCTCTGCCTCCCAGGTTCAAGCAATTCTCCCGCCTCAGCCTCCCTAGTAGCTGGGACTACAGGCACGCACCACCATGCCCAGCTAAGTTTTGTATTTTTAGTAGAGGTGGAGTTTCACCATGTTGGCCAGGCTGGTCTCGAACTGCTGACCTCAAGTGATCTGCCTGCCTCTGCCTCCCAAAGTGCTGGGATTACAGGCATGAGTCACCGCACCCAGCCAATTCTTTTTTTTTTTTTATTTTTACAGTTGTTGGAAAATAATTTAAAGGAAAAAAAGTTAATTTATATCATCAGAGACAAAGCTCTAGCTAAGTTAGGTCAAAATCTAAATTTATTGGCATTTTGAAATAAGTGACTCATGATTTCTTATTGCTTCATTCCACTGTATGATAGATATTAAAAATATCTGGGCTCAATTTTCTGAAGCAAACTCTATGAAGAGGTAATGGATATAGTTATTGAAATTATTCCGTGTATCCATGCAAATTCTGTGAGTCATTGCCAGTTTATGAAACAATTGAAAGAAATAGAAGAGAATGAATTTAGCTATCTTGTGTTCTTTCTCAATATTCATTGGTTGAGTTATGGAAGAGTTCTATAAACATTACAAAGTTGTACAAATATTCCATAATCAAAGAGAAAAATACAGCCGTGTGATTTATGCTTTCTTATCAATATCACAGTGCATGTGAACAAACTAAATTTGAAACTCCAAGAAAATCAAAAGCTCGTGACCTATTTAGACAAGTACAAGGATTTATATTGAAATTTAAACTTTTGGTAATACAAACCAATAATAATGATTTTACGCATTTTTAAAAGAGTTTACATTTTCTAACAAATCAGTATGCAGGAGATTTTAATTAAATCAAAAGTATTATATAAATTAACAGTAAGAACTACAAGAAAAATTTGAACACTATTGATATTGAGAGAAATTTCAAGTTGCTTTTCAATTTATGAAATACTCTTTTTGAATTCAATATCAATACCACTGAGTCAACGTAAGATTTAGTGAATGTACTTTACTTGAACACATAGTTTTGAAATTGATATGCTTTTGCTTTCAAAGTCAAATCAATTATTTTCTAAAAAATATGAGGCAGTTTTTTTTTTAATATGGATGTGACTGTTAAAGGAAAGTGATTTTTTTTTTCTGGTACTCAATTTAGGTTACTGGAAAACTTTCAAGTATTTTTGTGTCAAGAACTGTAAGTGGTCTGAGATTGTACCCTGCTTATAAGATAAATCAACCTTCCACAGTTTTATAGATACTGGTAAAAAGGCACAGAACCCCTGGGTTCAAGACAAAGGAGTATTATTAATCACAGCAATAGCAATAGTCAGAGAATCAGTATTTCTTTGAACCAATTTCTGCCTGATTCCTACAGAGCAATACAAAGAGGGTCAAATGACATCTGTATACACAGCTGATTGTCTTATAGGTAAGGAATCCTTAGTTCAGGGAACCTAAATATTTTACAATGGTGGTAAACAATGCAAAGCAGCTTCACTGTACACTGGTTACCAACTTACCTGAGTTAAGAAATAACACACTCATATGCCACTAGTTACATGAAATGATTTATTAATTGCAGATAGGCAGCAAGAGACAAAAGAAGCCCAGGATCCATTGTGAGCCAGTCCTTGAAAGCTCTATTTACCTAGGGCAAATAGAGTCTCAACAATGTGTGCCCTACTTGCACCACAGCTGAGGGACCCTGAAAGGCAGCCCACCTTGGGTTATATACTTTGGGGTCATAACACACAGGGCCAGAGCTTTGAAGGACATCCTGTTCTGAGGGCTAGGGAAGAGAGACTATAATAGAGCCTACACAGTCCCTCCTCATCTTAGAGTGTTGCATTCCCAGTACATTCTACAGTCACTTTTTGAGGACTACAAGCCAGAAAGGAGGAGGAACTGGGTGGCATAACGCTACCTGGAGAACTGTCCTGCAAGCACAGCTGCACATTAACTTTATGATCTGGACAATAAGCATACCTACCTCATGCTTCAGAGGGAGACACTATGTCAGTCTTCCAAGGCTATTTGATATACAGACATCCTTTAAAGATAGTTCAGAACAAAGACAACCAGTGCCTCTGCTCACAAGATGTTCGGAAATATGAGAGACCCATGGAGAATTGTCTCCCAATATTTTGGAACAACTTGGGAATGTGAATCTTTTTTATTGTAAAATTTATGAAATCTAATATAAATCAAGTATTTCCAATGATAAGTTAACATTCAAATTGAGATATACTGTAAGTATAAAATTCACAATAGACTTTGAAACCTTAATATAAAAAAACTATTTCATTATTATATTAAATATGTGTTGAAATGACAACATATTAGGTATATTGGTTTAAGTAAAATTAATTTCACCTGTTTACTTTTTAAAATGTGACTACTAGAAATTTAAAAATTTTATATGACACTCATATTGTTTCTATTGAACAGCTCAGCCTCAGGCTGTCTAATTTTTACTGGACAGCCCTAGAATGATTGAATGACTAAAGACTAGAAGTTGGAAGGGGCCTTTGCCTGAGTCCTCTGGAAAATAGAGACTCAAACAAAGCTTAATTGTTAATATTTTGGGGGGCGAGGTTCCATCTCAGAATAGTAAGAGTGTAAGAAAAGGGAAGTGAGGCTGAGAAAGAGGGGAAGAACATTTGGGCAGTTACTGGAAAAGCCCGATCCCATTTGCTGTGGCATGGAACTTCATCTGAGTCTGTAATTTCCCGACGACAATTAACACTGGGCATGGAAATGGTAAGAGATGCTCCACTGACTCCCTTCGGTTCCAGACATATCCTCCCTGCTTTAATTAGGTAGTAGTAACTCTAGCTCAGAGTTCATTACCCTAGCCAGTGCATTAACTCCATTTTTCACCTGTTTGCTCAATAGAATGAGTAACCCAAAGTGACTCCACTTGTTACACTTATTAGTCATAACTTCTAATTGGGTGGAACTCTATACCTCCTAACCTAGCCTAGTCAGCAGTTTCAGGGTCAGGATTATCTCCAGCAGTAGCAGATCTGCTGATGTCATGACACAAGTGTTTGAACAGCTTGCATGATTGTCTTGACCTGCTTGTAGTTCTGGTCCCCACTCAAAGTATATAGTATTTGCTTTCTCCAAAATCCAAAGAAACCCAGAAACCATTATGCCTCTTTCTTTTTCTTTCTTTCCCTCCCCTCTCCTCTTCCCTCCCCTCCCCTCCCCTCCTCTTCTTCCCTTTCCTTCTTTTTTTTTTTAAGACAGGGTCTTGCTTTGTCACCCAGGCTGGAGTGCAAGTGCAATCACAGCTCACTGCTCACTGCAAACTACACTTCCCAGGCTTAAGCAATCCTTCCACCTCAGCCTCCCAAGTAGCTGGGACTACAGGTGCACACTACCATGCCTGGCAAATTTTTGTATTTTTTGTGGAGACAGAGTTTTGCCATGTTGTCCAGGCTAGTCTTAAACTCCTACGCTCAAGTGAGTTTAAGTCTTAAACTCCTACTCCTCCAGCCTTGGCCTCCCAAAGTGCTGGGATTACAGGTGTGAGCCACCATGCTTGGCCTATGCCTCTTTATTTATCATAGATGGCGCAATATTCTACCACCCGTCTTTACCTTATAACACATGTATTGGATTGTTGTATTCTTCAAAATTTCAACAATATGGTAGGCCTCTGAATCTCTATGGAATTATTTCTCACTATGTACTTACTTGGGCATGTAGGGTATTTGCCACTTCTTGCTCATAAGTCACATTAGCATCATGCCACTCATGTAGTCGACCAGAATTATGTTTTGCAGAATGTCAAGATGAAGTTACCTGAAAATGATGACGGAACAAGAGAAGGAGAAAGCAGCCTGGATCACATATCGGCTTTGGCCTGCTTCTTTCCTGTTCTATGGCTGTGACCTGTACCCTCCCGGAACCCTCCTTGGAAGGAACAACTTGGCTAACCTGATTAATGCTTAGCTGCCAAAAGATTGAGTTCTCAATGAAAATCATATGGTAATTTTAGTAATACCTTTGTGTATGACCTTGAAAAATACAGACACAAATTTCTAATGCATTTGAGGAAGTAATAAAGTTTTAAAGAGTTAGAGGGTGAGGGAAGGAAGCAGCTTTTTTTATCTGAAACTTGGCTGTCAATGATACAGAAGGGCTGGGCTCCCAGCTAAACCCCACCCATATGCCTGAAACTGCGGCCCCAAGTGAAAACAGCTGACCCCGTTTTTCTGCCCAAATGTTACCTTTTTGGCCTGCCATGCTCCTATCCTGTGCCCATAGAAGACTTCAGCTGGCAGAGCAACACAAGTGGCTGAGCAGCGAGCAGAGAAGCAACTGAACGTTGGAGACTATGGATAGATGTGGCTAACTTCAGACAGGGCTGCTTCAGAGAGGGGCAGCCGGGCTTCAGGGAGAGAGAGATCATTTTCCCGACCGCTTTTCAGTCTCCTTTTCTGCTGAGAGCCAACCACTGCTCAATAAAGTCTTCTGCATTCATCAACCTCTCAAACAGTTCATGTGACTTGATTCTTCCTGGATGCTGGACAAGAACCTGGGTGCTGAGAGGTCAGAGGCTGCCACCTTGACCCTCCAGTGAGCTGGTTGGCACTCCCCTGTCCCTGGACGGCTGATCTGACAGAGTATTGGTCATAACATGCTTGGACTCTGGCCAGTTCCAGTGTTTGTTCGCTTCAGTTCCTGCACTTGCTCGCTCGCACCCTCCCTCCTGAGCGGAGGAGTGGCCAGCGGTGGGCAGAGTGAAAGAACCACTCCAGTTCCTGCCTGCGAAGGGGGTAAACAAAGTATCCCATCACATCAAGATACCTCTGAATATGAACAGCTAGGAATCTGATGGCTGCAAAGATGACTATTACCCAAATTGTGAAGAAGAGAAAGAGAAGGAAAACCAGAACCCTGAAGATAGACAAAATTATTATGTGCAAGTAGCCAATGACATGAGGCAGCAGGAATTTGACACTTTTGATAATGAGGCATACCAGTGGTCATCATCCCAACCTACAGGAGTTCAAGGGCATCCTAAACAAGTACATAGCCATATTAGTCTTAATGCTACTATAGGAAATTATATAGGAAAGAAAAATCTTTTCAATAAATGGTGCTGGAAAAATTAGATGGACATATGGAAAAAGATTAGTCTCAATCCTTACCTCATGCTACACAAAAAACTAATTTTGAGATGCATCATGGACCTAAACTCAAAAGCTAAAACTAAAAGGCTTCTAGAGAAAAACAGAAGAATATCTTCATGACTGTGGGGTTGGCAAAGATTTTTTTCCATGAGACCGAAAAGTACCAACCTCAAAAAAACTAACACATTGGGTTTAATCAAAATGTAAAACCATAAGAGACACCGTTAAGCAAATGAATAAACAAGCCAGGACCAAAAGAAAATATTTGTAATACATACATCTGACAAAGGATGTGTATCTAGGGGATGGAAAGAATTCTTACAACTCAGTAATAAAGATAACTCAGTTTTAAAATTTGTCAAAGTGACATTTGTAAGCAAAAAAAAGAAGCTCAACTTAAAACGCATACTTTATGCAAAAATTAACTCATGAACTTATATGTAAAATATAAAACCATAAAATGTTTAGGAAAAAATAGAAATTTCAGGACTTAGGACTAGCAAATAATTCTTTGACGTGACATACATCTTCCTCTTGCACAATCTGTAAAAGAAAAAATTGACAAATTGGATCCACTGTAAATGAGAAAGAGACTTAGGCAAACATTTTAGAAAAGAAAAAAATACAAATGACCAAAAAGCACATGAAATGGTAGTTACACAAGTATGTACATTTGCTAAAACTCATCAAATTGTACACTTAAGATGTGTGAATTTCAATGTATATAAACTAGTCTTCAATAAAAATAAATTTTAAAAAAGAATATTTTTATAAGTTGAACAGAGAAGCAATATTCATGTTGATAAAGATCAATTATTTCCCTTCCTACCTAACACTCACTGTCAGAATCATAACTGTGAGATTCAGAAAAACAAAGATAAAGAGGACACTCTAAAAGTTTCCAGGAAGAATTTCTAGTTCTTCTTAAAAAAAGAAAAGAAGGAAGGAAGGAGGGAAAGAAAAATAAGCAAATAAAGAAAGGGGGAAAAAATCAGACATCTCATCAGCCATAATGAAAGCTAGAATATGGTAGGGTAAAGGTCTTCAAGGTTTAAAAAAAAATAATTCCTCTTGAACCTAGAATTATTTACTCAGTCAAACTATCAACAAAGTGTAGTGTCAAAATAAATTCATTTTAAGACATAAAGGGATTCCTGAAATCTACATTACTCGTACCTTAAAATAATTTTTTCAAATTAAGATATAATTCACATACCATGAAGTCTACCATTTTAAAGGGTACAATTCAGTCGATGTTAATATATTCACGAGGTTGGGCAATCATCTCCAGTATCTCTTTCCAAAACATTTCATCACATTATAAACACCGTACCAATTAGCAGCCATTCCCATTCCTCCAATACCCAACCACTGGCAAGCACTTATCTCTTTTCTGTTTCTATGGATTTGCTTATTCTGTACATTTCCTATAAATGGAATCATACAATATGATGTCATTATCAGCATTCTATTTCTTTTAATGGCTGAATAATATTCCATTGCATGCATATATCACATTTTGTTTATACATGAGCCAATTAATAGACATTTGGGCTGTTTCTACTTTTTGGCTATTATAAATAATACTGCTGTGAAGATCTGTGCGCAACTTGTTGTGTGAGCCTATATGTTTAATTCTTTTGGGTATATATGTAGGATTGAAAGTTCTGGGTCATATAGTAACTCCACATTTAATTTTTTGAGGAACCACCAACCTCTTTTGCACAAAAGCCATACCATTTTACATTTCTACCAGTGATGTACAAGAATTCTAGTTTTTCTACATCCTCGCAAACACCTGTTATTGACCATATTTTTTATTATAGCCATCCTAGTGGGTGTGAAATGGTATGTCATTGTGGTTTTGATTGGCATTTCCCTAATGTTATGATCTGCTCCCACTCCCTGACCCCAATATTAATATGTTGAAATTCTAATACCTAAGGTGGTATTATTAGGGGTTGGAAAGCCTTTGAGATATGATTAGGTTATGAGGGCTCTACCCTATGAATGGTAATAGCGCCCTTATAAAGGAAGCCTGAGAAGTGCTCCTTTGTCCCCTCCATCATGTGAGGACACCATAAGAAGGTGCCATCGATGAAGCAGAAAGTGGGCTCTCACCACCCACTGAATCTGCTGGTGCCTTGATCTTAGACTTCCCACACTCCAGAACTGTGAGAAATAAATTTCTTTTGTTTATAAGCTATCCAGTTTATGGTATTTTGTTATAGCAGCCTGAATGGACCAAGGAGCCTAATAACTAATAATGTTGAGCATCTTTTTATGTGCTTAGTAGCCATGTATATGTTTTCTTTGGATAAATATTTATCCAAATCATTTGCTCATTTAAAAAAAAACTTTATAGAGCAATCTTAGATTCCCAGCAAAACTGAGTGGATAGTACATAATTCCAGTACACACCCTGCTCAGCACATGCAGACTCTGCTCCCCCACCGCCTGCTTCTTAATCAACATCCTTAGCAGAGTAATACATGTGTTACAATTTATGAACCTGCATTGATGTATCATTATCACCCAAAGTCCATAGTTAACATTAGATTTCTCTCTTGGTGTTTTACATTCTATGGATTTGGACAAATTATAATGACATGTATCCACCATTCTAGTATCACAGAGTATTTTCACTTCCCTAAAAATCCTCTGTGCTCCACCTGTTCATCCCTTCCTCCCTGCAATTTTTGGCAACTACTGATGTTTTTATTGTCTCCCATAGTTTTGCCTTTCCCAGATTGTCATATAGTTGGAATCATACAGTATGTAGACTTTCAGATAGGCTGCTTTCACTTAGTAATATGCACTTAAAGCCGGAGTGTAGTGGTGCAATCTTGGGTCACTGCAACCTCTGCCTCCCAGGTTCAAGCAATTCTCCCGCCTCAGCTTCCAAAGTAGCTGCAACTACAGGCATGGGCCACCACGCCTGGATAGCCCTCTTTTTTTTTTTTTTTTTTTTTTTTTGAGATGGAGTCTTGCTCTGTCACCCAGTCTGGAGTGCAGTGGCGCAATCTCGGCTCACTGCAACCTTCGTCTCCCGGGTTCAAGCAATTCTTCTGTCTCATCCTTCCAAGTAGCTGGGATTACAGCATGCATCACCACACCTGGCTAATTTTTGTATTTTTAGTAGAGATGAGGTTTCGCTATGTTGGTCAGATTGGTCTCAAACTCCTGACCTCAGGTGATCTGCCTGTCTCAGACTCCCAAAGTGCTGGGATTACAGGTGTGAGCGACTGAGCCCATTTTTTAAGTGCTGAATAATATTCCATTGTCTGGATGTACCAGACACCTGGTTTATCCATTCACCTACTGAAGGAAATCTTGGTTGCTTCCAGATTTTGGCAATTATGGCTAAAGCTCTTATAAACATCCATGTGCAGGTTTTTGGATGGATATATATTTTCAGCTCCTTTGTGTAAATACCAAGGAATCCAAATACTGGATCATATGGCATATTAGTCAAGATTCTCCAGAGAAACAGAACCAGTAGGATGTATATACATTATAAAGAGATTTATTATAAGAAATTAGCTCACACAATTACAGAGGTGGTAAGTCCAAAATCTGTAGAGCTAATGTTCCAGTTTGAGTCCAAAGGCTGGCAGGCTGCTGTAGAACCAGGAAGAGACAGTATTCCAGTCTGAAGCCTGTCAGGCAGAAGAGTTGTCTCTTCCTTCAGAGAGGGTCAATCTTTTGCTCTATTCAGGTCTTCAACTGATTGGATGAGGCCTATCCACATTACGGAGGGCAATCTGCTTTACTTGGTCTACCAACTTAAATAGTACCCTCATCCCAAAACACCTTCACAGAAACACCCAGAATAATGTTTGACTAAATATCTGGTCAACCCATGACCGAGTCAAGTTGATACATAAAACTAATGATCACATGTGCTAAGAGTATGCTTAGGTTTTGTAAAGAAGTGCCAAACTGTCTTCCGAAGTGGCTTTATCATTTGGCATTCCCACCAGCAATGAATGACAGTTTCTGTTCCTCCACATCCTCACCAGCATTTGCTGTTGACAGCCTTTGGGATAATGGCCATTCTAATAGGTATGTAGTGGTATCTCATTTTGTTTTCATTTGCAATTTCTCTTATGATGTATGCTTATTTTTATATAATTATTTGCCACCTGTATATCTTCTTTAGTGAGGTGTCTGTTGAGATTTTTTTGTTCATTTTCTTATGGCTTAGTTTTAAGTGTTCTTTGTATATTTTGGATACCTGTCGCCCATAAACACTGTAGACTTAGGGTATATTAAATTTATGAAAAATATTTTTTGTTTCTTCAATAATAAATTAACCTTAGCTTACTGTAACATTTTAACTTTATAAATGTTTTAATTTTTCAACTTGTTAACTCTCTTGTAAATAACAATTAGCTTAAAACACAAACACACTGTATAGCTATACAAAAATATTTTCTTTAAACTCATATTCTATACGATATTTTCTATTTTTTTAAATTTTTGTTTTATTTTTTCTTTTTAAAGATGTTATTTAAAACTAAGACACAAACACAAGCATTAACCTACATAGTTAGTTCTGCATAGTTCTAGTTCTACATAGGGCCAGGATCATCGATATCACTGTCTCCCACCTCCACATCTTGTTCCACTGTAAGGTCTTCAAGTGCAATAACACACCTGGAGCTGTCATCTCCTGTGATAACAATGCCTTCTTCTGGAATACCTCCTGAAGGACCTGCCTGAGACTGTTTTATAGTTAACTTTCTTTAAAAAAGTAAGTAGAGGCTGGGCGCGGTGGCTCACGCCTGTAATCCCAGCACTTTTGGAGGCCGAGGCGGGCGGATCACAAGGTCAGGAGATCGAGACCATCCTGGCTAACACGGTGAAACCCTGTCTCTACTAAAAAAAATACAAAAAATTAGGCGGGTGTGGTGGCGGGCGCCTGTAGTCCCAGCTACTTGGGAGGCTGAGGCGGGAGAATGGCGTGAACTCGGGAGGCAGAGCTTGCAGTGAGCCAAGATCACCCCACTGCACTCCAGCCTGGGCGACAAAGCAATACTCCATCTCAAAAAAAAAAAAAAAAAAAAAAGTAAATAGAAGTAGTACACCGTAAAATAATGATAAAAAGTATAGTATAGCAAATACATAAACCAATAGCATAGTCATTTATTAGTAAGTATTATGCACTGTATATAACTGAGTGCTATACTTTTATATGCATGGCAGCACAGTAGGTTTGTTTACACCAGCATCACCATAAACATGAGTAATGTGTTGCACTATGACATTACAGTCGCTACAACCTCACTAGGCAATAGGAGTTTTTCTTCCCCATTGCAATTTTATGGAACCACCGTTGTATATGTAATCTGTCATTGACTGAAAAGTTGTCAAGTGGCACATGACTGTATTTCCTTTCCTAGTCTTTGTGCATTAGCTAGGGTTTCCAGTACGATGGTGAAAAGGAGTTGTGATAGGACACATCTTGCCCTGTTTGTGATCTTAGCAATAAAGTTTTCTAGCTTCTCGCCATTAAATATGATGTTAGTTGTAGTTTTTTTATTTTACTTCTTATAATCAAGTTGAGGAGGTTCACTTCCATTTCTAGTTTGCTGAGAGTTTTTGTCATGAATGGCTGTTGGATTTTGTCAAATGCTTTTTCTTTATTTTCTTCATCTATTGATATGATCATGTGTTTTTTTTCTTCTTTAGCCTGTTGGTGTGATGAGTTGATTTTCAGATGTTGAACTAGCCTTGTATACCCAGAATGAATCCCACTTGGTCATAGTGTATAATTCTTTTTATATATTGTTGGATTCAATTTGCTAATTTTTTGTTGAGAAATTTTTCATGTATGTTCATGAGAGATATTGCTCTGGGTGAGTCTGTGGTTTTGTTTTGTTTTCTTTTTTTTTTTTTTTTTTTGAGATGGAGTCTCGTTCTTTCGCCCAGGCTGTAGTGCAGTGGCGCGATCTCGGCTCACTGCAAGCTCCGCCTCCCGGGTTCACGCCATTCTCCTGCCTCAGCCTCCCAACTAGCTGGGACCACAGGTGCCCGCCACCACGCCCGGCTAATTTCTTTGTATTTTTAGTAGAGACGGGGTTTCACCGTGTTAGCCAGGATAGTCTCAGTCTCCTGACCTCGTGATCTGCCCGCCTCGGCCTTCCAAAGTGTTGGGATTACAGGCGTGAGCCACTGTGCCCGGCTGTAGTTTTATTTTCATGTAATGTCTTTGTTTTATAATATGAGGGTAATATTGGCCCCATAGAATGAGTTAGCAAATATTCCCTCTGCTTCTGTCTTCTGGAAGAAATTGTAGAGAATTGGTATAATTTCTTCCTTAAATGTTTGGTAGAATTGTCTAGCAAACCATCTGGCCTGGTGCTTTCTGTTTTGCAAGATTATTGATTATTGACTCAATTTCTTTAATAGATATAGGCCTATTAAGATCGTCTATTTCTTCTTGTGTAACTTTTCAGCAGATTGTATCTTTCAAGGAATTGGCTATTTCATCTATGCTATCAAATGTGTGAACATAAATTTGCTCATAGTATTTCTTTTTTATCATTTTAATGTCTGATTGGGATCTGTAATGATGTTCCCTCTTTCATTTGTTATATGAATAATTTGTGTCTTCTCTCTTATTTTCTTAGCCTGGCTAGAGGCTTATCAATTTTACTGATCTTTTAAAAAAAACCAGCATTTGGTTTTGTTGATTTTCTCTATTGATTTCCTATTTTCTTGTAAAAATTTTTATTGAGGTAAAATATACATATGTAATTTACCATCTTTACCATTTTTAAGTGTAAAAGTCAGTAGTAATAAATGCATTCATATTTTTTTCTTACCCCCTCCTCCCTGATTTCCTTGAAAAATTTCATTATTTCTGCTTTAATTTTTATCGTTCCTTTCCTTCTGCTTACTTTGGATTTAATTGGTCTTTTCTAGCTTCCCAAGGTGAATGTTTTGATTACTGATTTTAGATCTTTCTTTTTTCCTAATACATGACTTTAATGCTGTAAATTTCTAAGCACTGCTTTGCGGGTCCCACACATTTTGATAAAATTGTTTTTTAATTAATGTATTAAAAATGTTTTAATTTATCTTGAGATTTCTTTGTTGACTTGTGTGTTATTTGGAATTGTGCTGTTTAATCATCCAGTATTTTGAGGTTTTCCAGCTTTCATTCTGTTATTGCTTTCTAGTTTAATTCCACATTTTGTAATTTATATTCTTTTAAATTTGTTAAGGTGTAATTTATGGCCCAAAGTATGGTCTATCTCAGTGAATGTTCTATGTGACCTACAGAAGAATGTGTATTCTGTTGTTGTTGGATGAAATGGTCTACAGCTGTCAACTATACCCAGTTGATTGATGGTATTGTTGAGTTCAACTTTGTCCTTACTGATTTTTTTGCCTGCTAGATCTCTCTATTACTGATGGAGGGCTGCTGAAGTCTCCAAATATATTAGTAGATTTATCTTTCTCTTCTTACAGTTCTCTCTGTTTTTGATTAATGTATTTTGATGTTCTGTTATTAATTAAGCACATACACATTATGGATTGTAAGGTCTTTTGGGAGAACTGACCCACTTATCATTATGTAATGTCCCTCTGTATCCTGATAATTTTCTTTGCTCTGAAGTGTGCTTTCTCTGAAATTAATATAGCTACTCACTTTTTAAAAAATTAATGTAAGTGTGGTATATCTTTGTCCTTCTTTTAAGTTTTAATCTAGATGTGTCTTTATAATGAAAATAGGTCACTTATAGACAACATATAGCTGGGTCTTATTGTTTTCATCTACTCCGACAATTGTCCTTTAACTGGTGTATTTAGACCATTGATAGAGTTGGATTAATATCTATAACATCTGACAATAACCACATTTGTTACTGTCTTTTTATTTCAATACTTTTTGGGGAACAGGTGATTTTTGGTTACATGGATAAGTTCTCTAGCAGTGATTTCTGAGATTTTGGTGCAACCATCACCCTGTTACTCTTTTCTGTTTGTTGCCCTTGTTCTTTGTTCTATCTTTGTCTTCCACTCTTCCTCTGCCTTTTGTGGTTTTAACTGAACATTTTATATAATCATATTTCTTAGCACATCAGTTGCATTCCTTTAAATTTTTTTTTCACTGGTTGCCCTAGAGTTTGCAGTATACATTTAGAGTGACTCCAAGTTCACTTAAACACATTTTTTCACTTTTATTTTAGATTCAGGAGGTATATGTGCAGGTTTGTTACAAGGGTATATTGTGTGATGTTGAGGTTTGGGCTTCTATTGATCCCATCACCCAGATAGTGAGCAGTGTATCCAATAGGAAGTTTTTCAACCGTTGATACCCTCCCTTCTTCCCTCATTTTGGAGTCTGCATTGTCTATTATTCCCATCTTAATGTCTGTGTGAACTCAAGACTTAGCTCCCACTTATAAGTGAGAACATGTAACATTTGGTTTTCTGTTTCTGCATGAATTCACTTAGAGTAACTGCCTCCAACTGTATCCAAGTGCTGCAAAGGACATGAGTTCATTTTTTTTATGGCTGCATAGTATTCCATGGAGTATATGTCACATTTTCTTTTTTTGAGACAGGGTCTTACTCTGTCACCCAGGCTGGAGTGTAGTGACATGATCTTGGTTCACTGCAACTTCTGCCACCCAGGCTCAAGCGATCTGCCCACCTCAGCCTCTCAAGTAGCTGGGACTACAGGCACACACCAGCATGCCCAGCTAATTAAAAACAATTTTTTTTTTTGGTAGAGATTGGGTTTTACCATGTTCCCCAGGCTGGTCTCAAACTCCTGAGCTCAAGCGATCAACCCGCCTCGGCCTCCCAAAGTGCTGGGGTCACAGGCGTGAGCCATAGCACCCAGCCTTATGTACCACATTTTCTTTATCCAATCCACTGTTGGTAACCACTGTTGATGTTGATGGGCATTGATTCCATGTCTTTGCTATTGTGAATAGTGCTGGAATGAATACATGAGTGCATGTGTCTTTTTGGTAGAAAACTTTATTTTCCTTTGGGTATATACTCAGTAATGGAATTATTGGGTCAAATGGTAGTTCTGTTTTTAGTTCTTTGATACATCTCCAAACAGCTTTCCACAGAGGCTGCACTAATTTGCAATCCCTCCAACAGTGTATAAGCATTGCCTTTTCTCTGCCTCCTCACCAACATCTGTTATTTTTTTGACTTTTTAATAATAGCCACTCTGATTGGTGTGAGATGGTATCTCATTGTGGCTTTGATTTACATCTTTCTGGTGATTAGTTATGTTCAGCATTTTTTCATGTTTCTTGGCCACTTTTATAACTTCTTTTGAGAAGTGCCTGTCCATGTTCTTTGCCCATTTTTTAATGGGGTTTTTTGTTTTCTTGTTGATTTGTTTAAATTCCTTATAGACTCTGATATTAGTCCTTTTCAGAGATATAGTTTGCAAATTTTTTTCTAATTCTGTAGGCTATTTGTTTAGTCTGTTGAGAGTTTCTTTTGCTGAAGTTCTTCATTTTAATTAAGTCTAATTTGTCTATTTTTTAATTTTGTTGCATTTGCTTTTGGGGTCTTCATCATATAGATTATTTGCCAGGATCAATGTCTAGAAGAGTATTTTCTAGGCCTTCTTCTAGCATTTTTTTTAATAGACATGAGGTCTCACCATGTTGCCCAGGGTGGTCTCAAACTCCTGGGCTCAAGCATTCCACCTGCCCTGGCCTCCAAAGTGCTGAGATTATAGGCATGAGCCACCACGCCTGGCCTCTTCTAGAATTTTTATAGTTTGAGGTCTTACATTTAAGTCTTTAATCCATCTCGAGTTAATTTTTATATGTAATGGGAAGTGTGGGTACAGTTTCATTCATCTGCATATAGTTAGCCAATTTTCCTAGCAACATTTATTGAATTGGGTGTCCTCTCCTCGTTATTTAGCTTTGTCAATTTTGTTAAAGATCAGTTGTTTGTAGGTGTGTGGCTTTCAGGGGTCTCTATTCTGTTCCATTGGTCTATGTGTCTATTTTTGTACCAGTACCCTGCTGTTTTGTTTATTGTAGCCTTTTAGTATAGCTTGAAGTCAGGTACTGTTATACCTCTGGCTTTGTTCTTTTGGGTTAGGATTGCCTTGGCTATTCAGGTACTTTTTTGGGTTTTATTTTATTTTATTATTTATTTATTTATTTTTCGAGACGGAGTCTTGCTCCATTGCCCAGGCTGGAGTGCAGTGGCAGTGGCATGATCTTGGCTCACTGCAAGCTCCACCTCCCGGGTTCATGCCATTCTCCTGCCTCAGCCTCCCAAGTAGCTGGGACTACAGGAGCGTGCCACCACGCCCAGCTACTTCTTTTTTGTTTTGTATTTTCAGTAGAGACAGGGTTTCACCGAATTAGCCAGGATGGTCTCGATCTCCTGACCTTGTGATCCGCCCACCTCGGCCTCCCAAAGTGCTGGGATTACAGGTGTGAGCCACCACGCCTGGCCTTATTTTATTTTTTGAGACATAGTTTCACTCTTGTTGCCCAGGCTGGAGTGCAATGGCGTGATCTCGGCTCACCGCAACCTCTGCCTCCTGGGTTCAAGCAATTCTCCTGCCACAGCCTCCTGAGTAACTGGGATTACAGGCATGTGCCACCACACCTGGCTAATTTTGTATTTTTAGTAGAGACAGGGTTTCTCCATGTTGGTCAGGCTGGTCTCGAACTCCTGACCTCAGGAGATCTGCCTGCCTCAGTCTCCCAAAGTGCTGGGATTACAGGTGTGAGCCATTGTGCCTGGCCTCATATGAGTTTTAGAATCATTTTTTCTTATTCTGTGAAAAATGAAGTTGGTAATCTGATAGGAATAGCATTGAATTTGCAGATTGCTTTGGGCAGTATGGTCAAGTCTACTTTTTAATTAATTAATTTTAATTTTAATTTTTTGTTTTGAGACAGGGTGTCACTCTGTCATCCAGGCCAGAGTGCAATGGCACAATCATGGCTCACTACAGCCTCAATCTCCTGGGCTATCCTCCCTCCTCAGCCTCCCCAGTAGCTGGGACCACAAGCACGCACCACCATGCCTAGCTAATTTTTTTAATTTCTATTTTTTGTAGAGATGGGGTCTCACGTTGTTGCCCAAGATGGTCTTGAACTCCTAGGCTCAAGTAGTCCTCCCAGCTCAGCTTCCCAAAATGTTGGGATTACAGGCATGGGCCACTGCACCTGGCCCTAAATCCGCTTTTATTTATTTATTTGTTTGTTTATTTATACATGGGCCACTGCACCTGGCTGTAAATCAGCATTTATTTATTTATTTATTGAGACGGAATTTCGTTCTTTTTGCCCAGGCTGGAGTGCAATGGCGCTATCTCAGCTCACTGCAACCTCCGCCTCCCGAGTTTAAGCAATTCTCCTGCCTCAGCCTCCTGTGCAGCTGGGATTACAGGCACATGCTGCCACGCTTTACTAATTTTGTATGTTTAGTAGAGACTAAACACCATGTTGGCCAGGATGGTCTTGAACTCCTGACCTCAGGTGATCCACCTGCCTCAGCCTCCCAAAGTGCTGGGATTACAGGCACGAGCCACCGCGCCCAGCATAAATCTGCTTTTAAATAGCACTGTACTGCTTCATTACTTTATAATAATAAAATATTCCTAATTTTTGTCTCATACCCCTTGTGTTATTGCTATCATTCATTTCACTTATACATAGATTTGATAATTAAACACATTGTTGCTATTACTATTTTGAGCATGCTGTTATAGGTTAGGTCAATAAATGATAAGAAGAATAAAAGTTCCTTTTTCTTTTCTTTCTTTCTTTCTTTTTTTTTTTGTAGAGACAGGGTCTTGTTTTGTTGCCTAGGTTGGTCTCAAACTCCTGGCTTCAAATGATCCTCCTGCTTTGGCCTCCCGAAGTGTTGGGGTTACAGGCATGAACCAGCATGCCTTGGCAAAAATAAGAGTTTTTGTTTGACCTTCACTTATTCCTTCTCTAATGCTCTTCTTTTCTTCATGTGGATCTGATTTTCTAATTTTCTATATTATTTTTCTTCTCTTGGAAGAACTTCTTTTAACATTCTTCTCAAGGCAGATCTACTGGCAATAAATTATTTAAATTTTTGTTTGTCTGAGAAAGTCTTTAATTCTCCTTCACTTTTGAGAAATAATTCTGCAGAGCACAGAATTGTAGGTTGGTGCACTTTTTCCTTGCAAGTCTTTAAATATCTTACTCTACTCTCATCTTGTTTGCATGGCTTCTGAGGAGAAGTTGGATATAATTCTTATCTTTGCTCCTCTATAGGTAAGTTGCTTTTTTCCCTCTGGCCTCTTTCAAGATTTTTTTAAATCTTTGATTTGAATATGATATGCCCAGGTGTAGTTTTTTGGGCACTTATCCTGCTGATGTACCTGGAACTTCCTGGATCTGTGACTTTGTGTCTGACATTAATTTTGGGGAAATTCTCAGTCATTATTACTTCAAATGTGTCTTCTGTTCCTTTCTGTCTTCTCCTTCTAGTAGTCTCTATTCATGTATATTATATTGTAAACCAAAAATAAAATTCTTAGCCATGCAATTGACTGATGGACCCTCCCCTCAGCCAAGGGCATTCCAAAGTTAACCTGAAAAGCTAGTTCAGGCCCTGATGGAAGTGGGGGTCAGACATGCCTCATTATACCCCTCTTCCTTTGGAATTCAGGCATACCTGCCAGCATTAACATTAAAACAGAGAACTTAAGACTCATAGAAAACTCTTTAAGTCAGATAAGAAACAGTCCCTTCTATTGATTCTGTCTGCATAATGAGAACCTTGGTCTCCACAACCTCTTATCTTAACCCAGACATTACCCTTTATTAATTATAGATTTTTAGACAATAACTTAACTCCTTCAACCGATTGCTGATGAACAAAATTCTTGAATCCATCTATGACCTGGAAGCCCCCACTTCAAATTTTCTTACCTTTCTGGACCAAACCAATGTACATCTTACATGTATTGATTGATGTCTTATGTCTCCCTAAAATAAATAAAACCAAGCTGTGTAGCCTTGGGCAACCTTGGGCACATGCTCTCAGGATCTCCTGGGGCTGTGTCTCAGGCCATTGGTCATTCATATTTGGCTCAGAATAAATCTCTTCAAATATTTATAGAGTTTGACTCTTTTCATTGACAATATCTTTTGTAGTTGTCCCCCAGTTCTTGGATATTCTGTTCATTTCTTGCATACATTTTTCTCTGCTTTTTGGTTTTGAAAGTTTCTGTTGACATACCCTCAAGCTCAGAGATTCTTTTCTCAGCCGTGTTCCATCTACTAATACGCCATTCTTCATTTCTGTTATGGTGCTTTTCATCTCTAGCATTTTTTATTATTTTTTAGAATTTCCATGTCTCTGCTTACGTTACCCATCTGTTTTTGTATGTTGTGTAAATTTTCCATTAGAGCTCTCAGCATATTAATCATAGTTATTTTAAATTCCTGGACTGATAATTCTGACATTCCTCCCATATGTGAGTTTGGTTTTGGCATTTGCTTTGTCTTTCCAAGTTGTATCTTTGGCTTTGTAAATTTTTGTTGAAAGCCATACATGACATCCTGGGTGAAAGGAATTGCCATAAATAGGCCTTCAGTGATGTGTTGGGAAGGTGTTGGGAGAGGGAAAATGGTCTATTTTCCTCTGATTAGGTCTCAGTCATCTAGTGAGCCCAGTCCCCTGGACTGTGAACTTCACAGTGCTTCTCAGCTATGTTTCACCCCCTTAGATGGGGCAGAATGTCTATGGGGGGCTGGAGTTGGGTATTTTCCTTCTCCCAGGCTGGCGAGACTCTGATAAAACCCCAGTTGGTTCAGCTCTGGTAAAATTGTTTCTTTTGAGAGTGGGTCTTGTTAAGAAGCACAGAATCTCTGGCACATTCAGAATAGTTACTTTCCTCCTCCCTTGCAGGAAACACGAGAGGATTTTTCTTCAATCTTCACTATGAGAGCTTTGTGGAGCTCCTGGAGGCAAACTTACAAAAGCACAGCTGCTCCCCTAAGACTGGGCCCCCTTGGAGTTTTTAACTCTCAAATTTGTGCATATTGGTCCTCCAGTAATTTGTCAATTATAGTCCAGGTCTTCCTACTCTGTACTGGTTCCCACTGAGATTTCAGCTATGGGACAACGGTTGTGGGGTAGTGTGTGTGGTCTACTCAGTTAAGTTGTAATTGCCTGTATCTACCTGTCTACATCTCTAATTTTGGGGCAGCAGTCTGCCCTGTGACCTCACTTCTTTGACTCATCTAAGAAGAGTTGTCTATTTTCAATTTGTGCAGCTTTTTACTTGCTTTTTAGGATAGAGTGATGACTTCCAAGGTCCTTACATGCCAGGCCAGAAATTGGAAATCTATTATTGTTTTGACCCATGCATTATTTAGGAATATAATATATTATATTCCTAATTATATAATTATATTATATAATATAATTATATTATATATTTTTATATATTTATATTATTATATAAATTATATATATTTAAAATATATATTTGTATATGTATGTATATATGTATATATACAGTATATGTATGTATGTATATATACAGTATATGTATATATATACGTATATGTATATATGTATATATACAGTATATGTATATATATACACAGTTTGCTGACATAGGCCATGTGTCCTCTAGTTGACTTCTTGGACTCTCTTGGGTAGAATCCCATTATACTGGCTCAAGCCTGGTTACTTCCTACGGTGTCCTCTTGGTTTATAGGAAACTCATGCATATGCATCCTTGACACACCAAATTCTAGTGGTGTACATAGTTTCCACTACCTTCTCTCTTTGTTCTAACATTTGGGGCTTCAAACTCTGGGGAAGTATGTCAAACCTTTGGGCAGGATACTTATGGGCTATTATCCCCAGTCCTGGGGTTTAATCAGACACTATGAGTCTAAAGGCAAATGTCCACTCCACATCTGATTACTCTTTCATTTTCTTTCCCTTATTATAACTTCTGTAATATATCATGGGATTGGAATATCATTGGCCTTGGTATATACCATGGTGTTCTAATGAGTTTACCAATTTTATATATTTAGATATGAAGGAAATGTTGTCATATAGCAAAGGGCCTAACTACTTCCATTGGTCTGTTGTGACAGGATACTGACCCTACACATCATTTAATCACCGTGGGCATTATTTATCTTTTTAAACCAGGGAACGATCACTTGTTCTAAATAATTCAAGTTTTGGGAAGCATCAAATGAAATGATCAAAATGAAATCTGTTTATACAGTGTAAGTTAAAGATACCCATAACTATTTTAAACATTGCATTTGGTATCATGACTTTAAATTACATAAGTTGAGAAGTTTTATGTTATCTCTAAATAAGGTTTATTTACCAGAAAATCATGGACAAAAATTATCCTATAACAAAATGAAAACATCATGTCATCTGTGCCAATTGCAATTTTAGGAAGAGTACTTATTAGGGCTTTGATTATTCTTTGATGTTCTCTGTTGTCAAAGTGAAGTAACCTAAATGATGTTATGCTTGCATCCTGGAATGAAAGGAGGAATGAGAATCTTCTATTATTGTTTTTCTAAAAATTATATTTCTTAATAAACAGAATATATCCATATGTATCATCAAGGATGAATTTTCCTCTGATTTGGCTTAATGAAATCTCTGGGAATTATGAAAAAATTCCTTTGCCGCTCTTGTTGCCATAAACCTTGTGTTATCAGTGTTGCACAGACCATGGCTAGCCATTTAATGCCGTGAATTATGGCATATAATTTGAATTGAGAGCTTTGTTTCTATCAAAGGTAAAAATGCTTCTGGAGTGAGTGAGGAAGGCTTTGAAGCAGTGAGAGCGTTTCCCCTATAGCATCATTGGGCTCTGACAGTAGGACCTTGAAGAGGAGGGTTCTAATCCTGTCTGCCACTATGTGACAGGCAAGTCACCTGATCTTTTTTTTTTTTTTTTTTTTAGAGTCTTTCTCTATAGCCCAGGCTGGAGTGCAGTAGTGCCATCTCGGCTTACTGCAACCTCTGCTTCCTGGGTTCAAGCGGTTCTCCTGCCTCAGTTTCCCGAGCACCTGCGACTACAGGCACGTGCCACCACGCGCCCAGCTAATTTTTGTATTTTTAATAGAGACAGGGTTTCACCATGTTGGCCAGGCTGGCCTCGAACTCCTGACCTCAAGTGATCCACCCGCCTCGGCCTCCCAGAAGTGCTGGGATTACAGACGTGAGCCACCGCGCCTGGCCCCGATCTCTTTGAACTCAGTTCCCTCATCTGTAAAGCCAGCGGCTTGGGTTGGATAATCCATACTGTCCTTTAAGCCAAGATATTCAGGGCTTGTAAATAATGCTGACTTTGCAAAGTAAGATATTGCCCGGTGTCTGCAGAATCAGGCAATTCCAAGGCCATTGTAAGGCGAAACAAAGCTCAGATTTGATGAGAGAAAATTTCTTTTCAAGGACTTCTTCCGAAGCATAAATATACGGCAGATAGCGTCAACACAGGAGAAAGGCAGTCTATTTTATGCAATGTAAAATTCCGTCTTAACTTCTAGGATTACTGTTACATCCTATTGCAAAAATGGGACTCAGGTAGACCATTTGACTACAAGACCCGAAATAAGTCAGTGGTATTTCTTGGGTACTCTGGCATTGTTAGGGACGATCACATATGTTTACTCATTTTATACTTATAACACCTTGAAAACTTCAAGAAACGGAGATGGAGATTTTGCGGCTTGCCCAGGTCCCACAGCTAGTGAGTGCAGAGGATTTTAAACTCAGCTGCGCGCCTAGTGCAGGTTCCAGAACCTCAGAAACCTCCGTGGGGCTTTATGAAACATAAGGACGCAGGCCGCTAGTAACAATAGCTAACGTGAATGCCTTCTCTGGGCCAGGCTCCATGCTGCATGCTATAGTCGCATTTTCTTGGTTAGCCCTCAGAACAACCTTCTGATGGAGATACTGCTAGTACTTGTTTACTCTTTGAAGGGCGGGGTAGGCTCTGAGACCCGCGAGTTGAGCTGCAGCGGGGTGAGTGTTACGCTACCAGGTAGACGAGGGTCTGTGTAAATTTGGCGGAAGGGAAGTGGTGGGTTGTCTCCCAGTTTGGGTTCTCTGAAGGAGTGAGGGGACTCTCCAGCTATGGTCTCCACGTACAGTCGGTCTCTGATCTCCCGAGGCTTTGTGCCACTGCGCGCCCAGGGATCTTTCTGTCCCAATTACCGTGCAAGATTCTTGCCTCCAGTTGTATGTACTGAGGCGGCGGGAAGAAGCGCCGAGGGAAGGCTCAGACCGCAATGCCCCCCAGCCTGTAGCTATTCTCGGGGGCTGCAGCTCCCGCACCCGCGACGCCCGGCTTTCAGCGGGTGCAGGCGCAGCCTCCTCGTTCCCCTCCCGCCCGCGGCTGCGCCCGGAGAGCGCTCAGCTGACCTAGGGGCGGGGCCGGGGCGGGGACCTAAAGCCTCGGCTACTTCCGAGGGGGTGAGTGGCTTCACCGCCGGTCCCTTGCAGCGCTGCCTTTCGATCTCTCCACATCTCGGTGGCGCGGGATCTCAAGATGCGCCTCCACCTGCTCCTGCTGCTCGCGCTGTGCGGTGCAGGCACCACCGCCGCGGAGCTCAGTTACAGCTTGCGTGGCAACTGGAGCATCTGCAATGGGAACGGCTCGCTGGAGCTGCCCGGGGCGGTCCCTGGCTGCGTGCACAGCGCCTTGTTCCAGCAGGGCCTGATCCAGGTATGGCGTGCGGCCGACCCGCGGCGAGCCTGCGCCCGCCTTCTTCTGGTGCTGAGAGGGGCCCAGGAACCGCCTGGCAGCCCCCAGCTCTGGGCCATTCTCGTCGGTTTGGTAGTAACTTCCCCTTTGCATCTTGTGATCTGCGGGGGGAAATGCCCAAGCTATGGGGTACGGGCTTGACGGAGACTGAGCGACCGACCCATGTTGGGACATCAGTAACTCTGGAAAGGGGAAGTTTAGATAGGGGAACAGTGTTGCTACTAGCAGTTTACTTACTGCAGTCGTTCTCTACTGAAGCGTGTATACAAAGGGCATGCCGTCACTGACAAGCATAAGGTCGGGAATTACTGTCTCTACTGTCTGCACGCCACAGGGGACAACAGCGTTTTGTTAAGTAAGGGTTAACTCTATTGAGTAATGTCTCGGTTTTTTATTTTCGCTGTTAAGCGTCAGGGAGTCAGATTTGGGATTGACGCAGCACAGACGTTGTGGAGAATGACCTACAAGAGTAAAGTTGGGTTTGTCAGTGCTAGTGTGGCTAACAACGGGTAAATAATTTTTAAGGCTAACTTGGTGATGAAGAAAGGTGCTATTTCCTCTCAGGGCGTGTGTGTGTGTGTGTGTGTGTATCCCAATGGAGTCTCCAATTTACAGACTACTTGTGGGGAACGTTTTCGTGTTTGGCTGCCTGTGCGCATAGGTTTGCAAACTGACTTCCATCCTCCAACTGCTTTTGCTGTTCCCTCTTGCACAGCGTTCCCACGTGTTGTCTTTACTTGGGGCAAAATGTACTTGTAATTGATCTACTTGTGGGATGCATACATTGTCCAATCCTCATAACAACTCTGTATAGTAAGTGTTCATATCTGAATTTTATGGATAATATGGAATTATGGAACACAGAGAAATTAGGAAGGTGACAGCAACTAAATGGAAAGAAATGGAATTCTAACCCAGGTGGTCTCAACTCCATAGCCTGGTCTCTATACTATGTGGTATGCTTAGTTTGGTGTTTTAAAAAATCATGTGTTTTTGAAGCACTGTGGCTGACTTTCAGGAGCACCATTCTAAGTTTATTTGCATGACAAGGTGGTCATCTAGGGTTGTGCCAAATTTCTGACCTGGTACTTAGTAGTTTTTTTTTTTTTTTTCCTGAGATGTGTATCAGAAAGGAGGTGAATGTTGTAAATGACATTGACCATTGTCCGATGTATTTTTAGAGTAGATCATTCCCAAACTTTAGTACTTTATTTTAAGTTGACAAACTACTTGTGATAGAGAACACAGCTGACCACAGTATACTCTGAGTTTTCACTTATATCTGCTTTGAGAATGCCTGTGTTTATTTTGTAGGGTTCCTCCTTGCCTGATTTTACTGAAATAATTAAGCCAATGGGTGCTGGTACGTGAGAGCTTTGGGAGGCCAAGGTAGGAGGATCCCTTGAGTCCAGGAGTTCAAGACCAGCATGGCCAACATAGAAAGAGTCTATGAGGCCGAGGTGGGAAAATTTCTTGAGGCCAAGAGTTCAAGACCAGCATGGCCAACATAGAGAGATTCTATCTCTAAAAAAAAAAAAAAAGAAAGAAAGAATTAAGCCAATGGGAAATAATGAGTGGCTTCAGTAAGTCAGATTATTGTGCCATATTACAGAGCTAAGAAGCTAAGAAACAACGTTTGGTTACAACAGATACTTAATGAAAATGAATTTGCTCATAGTATGAAATAACTTCCTCATAGGAACAATTTGAAGAGATTTCTTAACTCTCTTCATAAATTCTTAGCAAAACCTTGAGGTTTCAATCAGGTGGCCATGGGTCTCAAATGGCAGTGGAATGAGAAATGGGAAGGCTTTTGGGGCTTAGGAAACACAAGGCCTGTTGAAAATAATCATCAGGCTGGGCACAGTGGCTCATGCCTATAATCCCAGCACTTGGGAGGCAGAGGTAGGTGGAGTTTAGACCAGTCTGGGCAACTGGCGAGACCCTGTCTCTACAAAAAATTAAAAAATTAACTGGGCGTGGTGGCGTACACCTGTGGTCCTAGCTACGAGGGAGGCTGAGGTGGGAGGATCGTTTGAGCCCAGGAGGTTGAGGCTGCAGTGAGCCGTGATCTGTACTCCAACCTGGGCAACAGAGTGACACCCTCTCTCAAAAAAAAAAAAAAAAGAAAAAAAGTAAAGAAGCAATCATCAACATCAGATCAGTATCGTTATTCAGTAATGTGAGACTGTTGTCCGACCTGCTTTATTATAACATCCCTTTTTGGTGTTGACTTGAGGAAATATTCTACCGTTTATAGTAGACACTGGGCCAAATATTGTGTTTGTGTAAGAACTTGAAACATATCTTGGTGATATCATTCATTTATTTATCTATTCACCTAGTTAATTATCTCATATTTATTTTGTACCTCTAATGTGGCAGGCACTATTCTAAGTACTTGAAATCGAGTGGTAAAGAAAACAAAGTCCTTTCCCTAATGGACATTCTAATGGAGGAGATAGACATATATACCAAATTAATAAATAATGTAAGGCAGGTGGCACACTGAAGAAAAATTGAGCAGGTTAAAGGAAGAGACAGTGAAGGCTGGTTGGAAAGCATTGCTATTTTTTAAAAAGTGGTTCAAGATAGGTATTTTGATAAGGTGACTTCTAAACAAAAAGACCTGTTTGAAAAGGTCACTTTTAAGGAGAAGTGCATTTCCAGCAAAGAGGAAAAACACAGGAGTGGGGAGGATAGAGGCCCTGAGGCAGGCACGAGCTTGACAAGTTTCAGGAATAGTCAGCAGGCCAGTGTGGCTGGAGACCTGGGAACCAGAGGGTAGGAGAGGAGTTCAAAGTCTAGGGCACATCATGAAAGGCTGTGAGCCATAGGAAACACTTTGGCTTTTATTCTACATGTGATGGGAAGTTATTGGAGGCTTTGAGCTTAGAGTAGCATGATTAGATTTGCCTTTTTAAAGGTCACTCTGTTGTGTGAAGGCTACAGTGCAGGAGAGTGGAAGCCTGGAGACCAACCAGGGGACTATTGCTGGTCTATGTATGGGCAAGAGATGACTTCTGGCTTGGACAAGCATGGTGGCAGTGAAATGGTGAGAATGGTTGTGAGAACACGTTTTACATGTAGAAACAAGAGGATTTCTTCAGTTGGATTTGTTAATGGATTGGGAGACAGAAGGGGGAGGTGCAGGAAAATACCAGGATTTTTTTTATCTGAGCTGGTTAAATGAAATTTGTATTTAGTGAGAGATTCTGTGGCTAGTCTTGGCTATTTCCTAGGTGATTCTCTGGGTTTTCTGTACAGAATCTAAACCTTTGGTTTCTTAGAGAGTCTTTTGGGTTCTCTGTGAAAAGTTATTCCTTCAGCCTGCTATTTTTTTTTTTTTGAGACGGAGTTTCGCTCTTGTTGCCCAGGCTGGAATGCAATGGTACTATCTCGGCTCACCGCAACCTCTGCCTCCTGGGTTCAAGAGATTCTCCTGCCTCAGTCTCCCAGGTAGCTGGGATTACAGGCATGTGCCACCATGCCTGGCTAATTTTGTACTTTTAGTAGAGACAAGCTTTCTCCATGTTGGTCAGGCTGGTCTTGAACTCCCAACCTCAGGCCATCCACCTGCCTCGGCCTTCCAAAGTGCTGGAATTACAGGCATGAGCCACCGTGCCTGGCCCTCAGCCTGCTATTATGCCACACAGTGTAATAGGCATTAGGAATAAAAAAAGAAATTGAGAGTGAGACTATAGTTCCTATTTTGTGGGAGGCCACTTTAGTGAGGCAGAAAACTAAATAATTTCCATATGTTATGTTAAGTGCATACATAAAGGGACCCTTGTTAGGAATGTTCTCAGCTTTTCTGTGGAATTTCTCACTGGTGTAAGTTTTGAAGCAACTGCTTCTTTTTTTTTTTTTTTTTTTTTTTTAGATAGTCTCTGTATGCCAACATTAAAATATATAGATAAGTAAGAAGAAGGTTGGAAACATCACTCCCAGAGATAACCACTATTTTTTTTGACAGCTGTTCATGTGACTAATGCCCCCAACAGTTTTATATATTTATTTATTTTTATTTTTTATTTTTTCCCTTTTTTTGTTATACTTTAAGTTCTAGGGTACATGTGCACAACGTGCAGGTTTGTTACATATGTATACATGTGCCATGTTGGTGTGCTGCACCCGTTGACCCGTTAACCTCATTTACATTAGGTATATCTCCTAATGCTATCCCTCCCCCAGCCCCCAACCTCATGACAGGTCCCAGTGTGTGATGTTCCCCATCCTGTGCCCAAGTGTTCTCATTGTTCAATTCCCACTATGAATGAGAGCATGTGGTGTTTGGTTTTCTGTCCTTGTGATAGTTTGCTCAGAATGATGGTTTGCAGCTTCATCCATGTCCCTACAAAGGACATGAACTCATCCTTTTTTATGGCTGCAAGGTATTCCATGGTGTATATGTGCCACATTTTCTTAATCCAGTCTATCATTGTTGGACATTTGGGTTG
Organism: Homo sapiens; assembly: GCF_000001405.40. Classification (NCBI taxonomy): domain Eukaryota; kingdom Metazoa; phylum Chordata; class Mammalia; order Primates; family Hominidae; genus Homo; species Homo sapiens. Next base: position 102,756,218 of record NC_000004.12, on the reverse strand, counting down.
GTTACAAGTCTTTGCTATTGTGAATAGTGCTGCAGTAAACATACATGTGCATGTGTCTTTATAGTAGCATGATTTATAATACTTTGGGTATATACCCAGTGATGGGATGGCTGGGTCAAATGGTATTTCTAGTTCTAAATCCTTGAGGAATTGCCACACTGTCTTCCACAATGGTTGAAATAGTTTATAGTCCCACCAACAGTGTAAAAGTGTTCCTATTTCTCCACATCCTCTCCAGCACCTGTTGTTTACTGACTTTTTAATGATCACCATTCTAACTGGTGTGAGATGGTATCTCATTGTGGTTTTGATTTGCATTTCTCTGATGGCCAGTGATGATGAGCATTTTTTCATGTGTCTTTTGGCTGCATAAATGTCTTCTTTTGAGAAGTGTCTGTTCATATCCTTTGCCCACTTTTTGATGGGGTTGTTTGATTTTTTCTTGTAAATTTGTTGAAGTTCTTTGTAGATTGTGGATTAATTAGCCCTTTGTCAGATGGATAGATTGTAAAAATTTTCTCCTATTCTGTAGGTTGCCTGTTCACTCTGATGGTAGTTTCTTTTGCTGTGCAGAAGCTCTCTAGTTTAATTAGATCCCATTTGTCAAGTTTGGCTTTTGTTGCCATTGCTTTTGGTGTTTTAGTCATGAAGTCCTTGCCCATGCCTATGTCCTGAATGGTATTGCCTAGGTTTTCTTCTAGGGTTTTTATGGTTTTAGGTCTAACATTTAAGTCTTTAATCCATCTTGAATTAATTTTTGTATAAGGTATAAGGAAGGAATCCAGTTTCAGCTTTCTACATTTGGCTAGCCAGTTTTCCCAGCACCATTTATTAAATAGGGAATCCTTTCCCTATTTCTTGTTTTTGTCAGCTTTGTCAAAGATCAGATGGTTGTAGATGTGTGGTATTATTTCTGAGGGCTCTGTTCTGTTCCATTGGTCTATATCTCTATTTTGGTACCAGTACCATGCTGTTTTGGTTACTGTAGCCTTGTAGTATAGTTTGAAGTCAGGTAACGTGATGCCTCCAGCTTTGTTCTTTTGGCTTAGGAGTGTCTTGGCAATGTGGGCTTTTTTTGGGTTCCATATGAACTTTAAAGTAGTTTTTTCCAATTCTGTGAAGAAAGTCATTGGTAGCTTGATGGGGATGGCGTTGAATCTATAAATCACCTTGGGCAGTATGGCCATTTTCATGATATTAATTCTTCCTATCCATGAGCATGGAATGTTCTTGCATTTGTTTGTGTTCTCTTTTATTTCATTGAGCAGGATAACCACTATTAAAGTAAAAATTCAGTGCATCCATTCTAATTTTTTTAATGCATACACTTTTATAAGTATTAAATATACAGCTTAACAACTCTTGGGCAGGCACAGTGGCTCACGCCTGTAATTCCAGCACTTTGGGAGGCCAAGGCGGCAGATCACGAGGTCGGGAGATCGAGACCATCCTGGCTAATACGGTGAAACCCCGTCTCTACTAAAAATACAAAAAATTAGTCCGGCGTGGTGGCCAGCACCTGTAGTCCCAGCTACTCGGGAGGCTGAGGCAGAAGAATGGCATGAACCCGGGAGGTGGAGCTTGCAATGAGCCAAGATCACGCCACTGCACTCCAGCCTGGGTGACAGAGCAAGACTACATCTCAAAAAAAAAAATAAATAAATAAAATAAAATAAATAACAACTCTTTCACATTTAATGTATTGTGATGCTCTTACCTGCATTAAACAGGTTTCTATAAACCATGTTTAGTGGCTTTTTAAAAATTATGTTATATACAATTACCATCAGTTATAATCTGTTACTTATTGTTGGATAGTTAGATTGGACTCCATTTTTTTCTATTTTTCTGATGAGGATCCTTTTAACTAAATTTTACTGTACATCTTTATTTTCTTAGACAAATATTTAAAAGTTAAATAGCTGATTCATAGGATATGTACTTTTATTAGTCATTTAGTACGTGCTTCTAAGTTGCTTTTCATAAACATTGTACCAGTTGTACACTGCCACCATTATTTTATCAGAGTGCTTATCTTAGGTGCTAGATTTGAATATTATTTAAGAAACAAAACAAAATCAATTTATTTTCTAGTAAGGTCAAATACCTTTATACGTTTATTTCATAAGTTTATTGGTGACATGGGCATTTCTAATTCATCTTCTTTTGGCTATTTATCTTTAATGGTGATTTTTTTTTTCTTTTTTTTTTTTTTTGAGACAGAGTCTCACTCTGTCGCCCAGGTTGGAGTGAAGTGGCATCATCTTCCTCACTGCATTCTCTGCCTCCCAGGTTCAAGCGATTCTCATGGTCTCACCGTGTTGCTCAAGCTGGTCTCGATCTCCTGAGCTCAGGCAATCCGCCCACCTCGGCCTGTCAAAGTGCTGGGATTACAGGTGTGAGCCACCATGGGTGGCCTCTTTAATATAGATTTATAAGGCCCCTTTGTTATATATTTTCAAAAATTCAAATTAAAACTAAATCCCCAAATGTCCCATTTATTAATGAAGTATTTTGTCATATGGATGTTTTAAAGCTGTGTATGTTGAAATCTTTTGTTTTCCTTTTATGATTGTTTCTGTCTTTGGTAGTTTGCTTAAAAATAATTCCTCTCAGCTATCTTTATAGTTCCTATATTTAAAATTTTGATTCATTTGAGGTTTCTTCCAAATAGTTAATTGGTTGCCTATAACTCATGATTTGAAGAATTTCTCTTTTGTCCGCTGATATATTACTTTTATCATGCACTAAATTCGCATATACTGATATAATATTGTTATTCCTTCTCTTTTAATCTTTAGAAAGGTTACATGATTAAAATTCTTTTAAAAATACGTATTTATGTAGTGTTCATTGGATAAAAGAAATACAGAAAATATAAAGAAGGAAGAAAAACCAATAAAACACATAATATAAAGCAGAAAAAGACCACTGTAAAAAAGTGTTTATCTTTCCACATTTTTTTCTAAGTATATAGAGACAAATATAACATAAAAATGAAATCATCCCCTAAGGTGGTTTTATTAGCTACTTTAACATTTAAAACATATCATGAATATATTTGTCTGTGTCTGTAAATATAGATCCAGGATTATTGCAAATAGCTTCATACACCCCATTATAAAGATGTGTTCTTATTCAAAATCTACACTTGAAAATAAAAATTATAAGTATATAAATATACACATATACTAAAAAGTGGTAGGCAACAGATACTTAGTACTTTTTCCGTAAATTTTATTATTACCTTATATTCTTCACATGCAATTGGGACAAATGGCCAGAGAAAGATATATTTTAGATGTGTAAGTTAATTAACTATAAACTGTAAGAGTACATCATAGTAGCTATACATGTGATTAACAAGCTAGTCACAATCATTCTTTTTATTTTATAAACACAAACTATTATAAATACAAAATAAGAAAAAGATAGTTAAATGTTAGCTGTTATGAAGAGTGAAAACATTATATAAATTTCAAACGGCTGCTTTCTGCATCTGCATCAGTATAATTTCATGATTTTCTACCAAGTTCATTTGTATAAAGAATCTCTATGATCAATTTATCATTCACTTTCATGCCCCCACATGGAAAGTGGTAGGTGAATATCTGTAGGAATACAATTTATTGTCTGCTTGTCCACTGAAAAGTAGCCCTGTGTCCCTATCCAGTCTACACTCAGAACTTTGTCTTCATGAGCAGCCAGATCATACAACTTCTTGTATCCCACAACTTGACAATGTTATCTAAAGATCCTGAAATCAGTTGCTGTTCATGGGTAGGAGACCATTTTACTAATGTCACGCAACCTGTATTTGAAGTTAGGGACAGTGACACCAAAGAATGGTCTTTAGTTCGGGGATCCCACAGTCTGGTATGCCTATCTGTGCTTCCAGATGCTAAACGTTTACAAAGTTGGAGAATGGGAAATACAATTAAGCACTTTATTTCCTGTCAAAGCTTGCCTTCAGACTGTCAGACTCAACATCCTACACTCTAATTGTATGGTCCCAAGATGCACTGCAGATTTCTTCAGCATCTGACCACAGAACTGAGGAAATTGCTTCCTTGTGACCAGAGAGGGTCACTATGGGAGTCATAGCTGCTCTGTGTTCTCTGTCGATTTGTGGATTCCTCCATTTCATCTTCTTCTTCTGTAGGGACTGTAGACCAGATCTTTAGCATCTTATCCCAGGAGCCACTACAAAATTTAGTTCCTGAGCTATCAACAGCTATAGACTCTGCACTTCCAGCATGACCTCTGCAGCACGGTCGGGCTTTCACTTTGTTTCTCTCTATTCCACTCCCATAAGAGAATAGTTGGATCCATAGAGGCACTCACAAATAAGCAAGACAAACTATCTTTTTTTTTGGCCCAGGCCACATCTTTTAAGACATCCCTATGTCCAACAATTGTCATTATTGACTTTCTTTCCAAGGACCGGATTTGAGAGGTCTTATCATAAGAACCAGTCAAGATCCATTCCTTTGCCCCTTTAACTGAAAGGATCCAGTCATCATGGAACATGCATTGCTCTGGCTGGGGTGCTGTGTACTTCACATATTCTATTTCCACAACTACTTCTGATGACATGTTCTCCAGTTCCATGTGTTTGACCAAGGACATTCGCAGAAACTGGCCCTTAATAAGGAAATAAAACTCCATATGTTTGTGGAACTCATTTTTGTCCTTTAGTAATTTATTGATGATGTTACTAAGGTCAGCAAATTCAGAGGCGGCAGGGATTGAGAAGGAAACATCATTTACAGCATATTTCTTGTTATCGGTGTAGAAATGTGTTTGGAGCTGAGCCAAGGCAAGGAGTACACACAAGACTTTTGGGTTAGTAGAGAGAGAATGGGAGCTCCTGTCTCTTAACTACAAAGAGGCCGCTCAAAATTAGACTGCACAGGTAAGCGAGAAGCTGCAGTCTAAGCCTGGACTCTGCTTTTCCTCCTTGGGTCTGCTCCACCCACAATCATTCTTTCTAAGGAGCCATGAGTCTGTCTATGGAGTCTCCAATCTGCAGGTTATCACTCATAAGTACATTCTAACAATATATGTGCATCAGTGTACATTCTACTTTTGTATTCTTTAAGTAGCAAATAAGCAGTTTCTATGTGAATTTTGTTAAACTTTGGGTGAATTTCAAACAAATAGTAAAATAGAGATACTTGCAAAATGAAATTTCATGTATCCATCACCTGGCTTCAACATGATCAATTCGTGGCTAATTTTGTTTCTTCTCTATCCACTATGCCATCCCTTATTATTTTGTTTTGTTATCATTTTTTTTGTTTTTTGAGATAGGGTATTACTCTGTCACCCAGGCTGAAGTGCAGTGGCGTGGTCATGGCTCACTGCAGGCTTAACCTCCTGGACTCAAGCTATCCTCCCACCTCAGCCTCCCAAGTAGCTAGGACTACAGGTACACACCACCATACCCAGCTAATTTGTTTCTTTTTTGTAGAGACAGAGTCTCCCTATGTTGCACAGGCTGGTCTCAAACTCCCAGGCTCAAGCGATATTCCCACCTCGGCCTCCCAAAGTGTAGGGATTACAGGTGTGAACCGCTGCTCCTGGCGCCCTTAGTATTATAAAGTAATCCCAGTTATCACATTATTTCATCCACAAACATTTCAGTATGGGTCTTTAAAAGATAGGGAGTTCCTTTTTCTTCAACATAACCACAGAACCATTATGACTTGTGAAATATTTTTGATGTGTTTCAGAGAAGAGAGTCCCATTATTATAATCCAAAATGACTAAACATACATTTTTTCTCAAAACAGAAGGTTTTCTGGTTGTTATACTAACCTTCCACAGAGATCTTAAGACTTGTAAGGATGAAATATTTGTTTGAATACTGAGAATGATAAAAAATGTTTTTTAAATAAAAAAAAAACTAAGGAAATATTTGGCTTTACGTGATCATTTTATGATGTGAAATGATCTCAAAAGCTTTTTAGGAAATGACCCTTTAAAGATATGTATGTCTTCTTCTAAAAGTTTGACTGACTTAAAGTAAAATTAAAAAAAAAAGTTTGACTGCTTCTATCAGGTGTGACATTAAGGAGATAAAATAGCTAATGACTCTGCATTTGAAATTTAATTTAAACAGAAATAGTCATCAATTAATAATGTTGCTCAATTTCTGGGAAGAGAGAAGTCCAAGGTTTTTAAGCCCTCATTTAAAAAAAACAGATAGTTTAAAAAATCCTGATCCTTAAACCTGGACATATACTTTCTTGTTTGATGCCACATGAGGTGTATTTAGGGTATGGGAGGATTTGCTTTGCGTGGCCCCGAACTGAAAATCAAAGGACCACCTGAGAGCTAAATTTTTAGGTAAGCGTTGGCTGGTCCTTATCATGTATAAGTATTAATGCATGTAGTCAGCCTATACAATTCATTTTCATGTAACATTTATTTTATGTCTTCCACGTGTGATGCACTTTTCTTGGCCCTTTCATGTGCACTTGTTCATATAATTTCAGCAACAACCCTCTGGAAAAGGTATAATAATTCACAGTGACTGAGGCTCAGCAAAGTTATTGCCTAAGATGATGCATATAATGGATGGTGGAGCAAGGATTCAAACCCCGATGTTCTTTTCACCATTGCACGCTGCCTATTGGCAGAAACAGTAAATAGTAAACAAATGGAACAGTTATTTTAATTTAAATGTGTCTGATGAAAATAGAGACATGAGTACAATATACTTTTGTTCAAAATATGCCACTAAAAGCACCCCATTTGCTAAAAGCTCTCAAAAAATGTAAACATTTTCTCAGGGTTAATTCATATATCACTTCTTTCTGTATTCTCCGTCTCTTGGAATTCTCTTTGTTTCAGCCATCACTTCTGTGCCACAATTGCTGAAATGCTTGTGTCTAACCACCACATCTCACTTGATTTCCAGCTAGAAATTCTGTTCAACTCTCCTACCTGAATGTCTTCATGGCATATGAAACTCCATATATCCAAATATTTCTTCTCTCAATTCTCCCAACCCTTACTTTCTCTTATTTTACCTATTTATAATAAAAGCATAAGTATTTTCTCAGGAAACTAAGCCTAGAATCTTGGTTACAGTTTTTTGTTTTTTTTTCTCACGTCTGTTGTTAGGTACTGGATCTTTTAAGTCCCATCTATACTGTCTTATAACCATTCCTTAACATTTCTACCGCTATCAACCTAGCTCATTGTTTTCTTTTTTTTAAAAAAAGAGATAAATTAATCTTAATGACATTTAGAAACAGGTAAAGGATATAAATAGCAAATGGGTTTTTTTTTTTCTTTTTAGATGGAGTCTTGCTTTGTCACCCAGGCTGGAGTGCAATGGCACGATCTCGCCTCACTGCAACCTCTGCTTCCTGGGTTCAAGTGATTCTCCTGCCTCAGCCTCCCGAGTAGCCGGGATTACAGGCGCCTGCCACCACACCTGGCTAATTTTTGTATTTTTATTAGAGATGGTGTTTCATCATGTTGGCCAGGCTGGTCTCGAACTCCTGACCTTGTGATCCGCCCACCTCGGCCCCCCAAAGTGTTGGGATTACAGGCATGAGCCACCTTGCCTGGCCAATAGTAAACAGTTTTAAAGGTAGGCTATGTTATGAAAAGCATCCCTGTCTTCTAGGTCCAGTTCCCTTCTATAGAAACAACCATGATTAACCGGTTTCTTGTGTATTCTTCCATAGATGTTATAAACATATACAGACAGATATCATATATAGATACATGTATTTTCCCCCCACAGATGATTGCATTCTATATATATATATAGTTTTATATTGACCTTTTTCTTTAACTTAATATATCTTAGACATCATTTCAGATCAGTACATGTAATAGAAAAGATAGCTATCATTTTTGAGTGCACACTATGTACCAAGAACTGTTCTAAGCACTCTTCATAATTGTCTCATGCACTCCTTGTACTGATCCTGTGAGGCATGTAGGTATGATTACTATCTCCATTCAAGAACTGAGAAAACAGGTGTACAGAGATGTTTTTTGAGCTTCACAAAGACTCACAGGTATTAGGATTAAGCTGGGGATCAAACCCATGCAGAAAAGGTTTCACCAACTGCCTCTTCCACATGTCAGCTCCAGTCACCTCCTGGCTTCATCTCAGAGGCAGTGGAACCATGTAGCTGCCCAGCCTCACTCCCTGAGCAAGTGTGATCTCCTCTGACTCTTCCTATCAGCTAGGAATCTGTCTGCAGGCATTTATTCTAACCTTTCATGAGGTCCAGTCCTGGGAACCCCACCGCTACACTTCAGTCAGGTGTCACTTGTCTCTGTGTCTCCTTGAAAACCTTGCATAATGCCTGGGACTTGTAGTGGGCCAAGCAAATAGTTTGTCTTGTTTTCCCTTTTAAGTTTTAGTCTCTTTGGTCAGAAAATTAGGACTCTCCTTAAACTGCAACTTTTTTCACTTAGAGCTATGTTAGATGGGAAGCAATATTTACTAATTTAAGGATTTTAGAAAAAGATAATGTTAAGGCTGACCAAAACATGTTGCCAGACTCGTGGGCTGGGGATCTCTTGTACCTGTGTACCCTTTGAAGTAAGAATCATAGCTGAAGATCCTATTTGACAGAGGAGAAACTGAAGTTTGGAGACTATAGCTTCTGAATGAAACATTGTGATGGTTAATACTGAGTGTCAACTTGATTGGATTGAAAGATACGAAGTACTAATCCTGGGTGTGTCTGTGAGGGTGTTGTCAAAGGAGATTAACATTTGACTCAGTGGACTGGGAAAGGCAGACCTGCCTTTAATCTGGATGGGCACAATCTAATCAGCTGCCAGCAAAGCCAGAATAAAAAGCAGGCAGAAGAACATGAAAAGACTATAGTGGCTTATCCTCCCAGCCTCTATCTTTCTCCCATGATGGATGCTTCCTACCCTCAAACATCAGACTCCAAGTTCTTCACCTTTAGGAATCAGACTGGCTTCCTTGCTTCTCAGCTTGCAGATGGCGTGTTATGGGACCTTGTGATCATGTGAGTTAATACTCCTTAGTAAACTCCCCTTTATATATATATATATCCCATTAGTTCTGTCCCTCTAGAGAACCCTGACTAATACAGATTTTGGTACCAGAAGTGGTTCTAGAGGAACAGAATATTAAGGATGGAGTTCTTTTATTGGTTTTGGGGTTTCTGGAGTTGGCTGCTTAATGTGATTAGACCAAAAAATGCTAAAGGTTCTTTTTCTTTCTTTTTTTTTTTTTTTTGAGATGGAGTCTCGCTCTGTCACCCACGCTGGAGTGCAGTGGCGCGATCTCTGCTCACTGCAAGCTCTGACTCCTGGGTTCACGGCATTCTGCCACCTCAGCCTCCCAAGTATCTGGGACTACAGGCGACCGCCACCACGCCCAGCTAATTTTTTGTATTTTTAGTAGAGACGGGGTTTCACCATGTTAGCCAGGATGGTCTCGATCTCCTGACCTCATGACCCTCCCGCCTTGGCCTGCCAAAGTGCTGGGATGACAGTCGTGAGCCACAGTGCCCGGCCTAAGAATTCTATTTCTAATAGTATGGAGAACACCCATAGTCCTTGGCATGAACTGTTTAGAGAGTTATGCAAAATAAATGCATCTGATACTCCTGATTCACTGCTCGTGAGAGGCAAGGAGTTTAGTGACTTGAAACATAATACCTTTGACCATATGTGGAGAACCAAGGAACATAATAAAGCTGGTTGGTTGCTCCTACGTTCACTGGACAAAGTGATGAAAGAAAAATGATGAGCTCAGGGATTCATTTTCAGCTTCAGAAGTAGTACTGAGCCTCACACCTGCTAGATTACCCTGTGTAAGAGTCTTATCTCCTATAGAGAAAGAGCTGAAATTGTGGAAAAATAGACACAAGCTCTTATCATGTGAGTGGCTGACCTGCAACGAAAGGTGCATGCACAGCCTTTCCAGGTGTCTACTGTTAAAGTGAGGGGATTGACTGGAAAAGAATGGGACCCTGCAACTTGGAATGGGGATGTGTGGTGGAGGGCCTAATGAAGCTGGGGACACTGAGCTTGTTAACTCTGATGAACCTTTTTTGCCAGAAGAAACAGCTTCTTCATCCCCAGTAGTGGCAACATCCCCTCCCCAACACATGCTGCCATCAGCCTTTCCACCTTTGTCTGAGGAGATAAACCATGCGCTGCCTGGAGGCAACAGTGATGGCCTCCTCTGAGGCAGTTGCCAGGCAAAATAACGTTGATTCTCCTCAGGAGCCACCCCCAACACCCCTGTTTGCTTCTAGACCTATACCTAGACTAAAGTCCCAGCAGACCCCTAGAGGTGAGGTTCAGAGTGACCCTTGAGGAGATGTGCTACACTAGAAAAGAACTGCTTGAGTTTTCTAATTTATATAAGCAGAAATCTGGAGAAGAGTCATAGGAATGGATATTAAGGGTGTGAGATAATGGCGGAAGGAATATAGAGTTGGATCAGGCTGGACTTATTGATTTGAACCCACTAAGTAGAGATTCTGCTTTTGATGTTGCAGCTCAGGGAGTTAAAAAAGGTTTTAATGGTTCTAATAGTTTATTTGCTTGGTTAGCTGAAATATGGATAAAAGATGGCCCACTGTGAGCAAGCTGGAAATGCCTGATCTCTCTCAGTTTAATGTAGAGGAAGGGATCCAAAAGTTTAGGGAGATTGGATGCTGGAGTGGATTGGTCACTTTGGACCTACCCATCCCAGCTGGGAGGGTCCAGAAGATACACCCTTGACCAACGCTTTGCGAAATGGATTTGTGATGGCGGCAACTGCATCTCTGAAGAGTCCTGTAATTGCTCTTCTCTGTATGTCAGATCTAACGGTGGGAACAACAGTCACTCCACCACAAAATTTATAGGCCCAGAAACCCTTGAATGAAGGGGAGGCTGGGTCCCCTTGAAAAGGACCCCACTATGCTAGTGACTATTTATGCTGTTAATATTTCTCCCATCCTTCCCCAAGGAGACCCCCAGTCTATTACCAGGGTAACTGCATTGAAGAAAGGGAAATGATCAGACATTTTGGGGACTACTGGACACTGGCTCTGAGCTGACATTGATACCAAGGGACCCAAAATGTCATTGTGGTCCTCCAGTTGAAGTAGAGGCTTATGGAGATCAGGTAATTAATGGAGTTTTAGCTCAGGTCTGACTTACAGGTCTGACTTCCTTCCTTGGAAGGAAATCCAGGGACCCACCCTGTGGTCATTTCCCAGTGCCAGAATGCATAATTGCCATAGACATACGTAGCAGGTAGCCAAACCCCCACACTGGCTCCCTGACTTGTAGGGTGAGAGTTATTATGATGGGAAAGGCCAAATGGAAACCATTAGAGCTACCCCTACCTAGAAAAATAGCAAATCAAAAACAATATCACATCCATGGAGGGATTGTGGAGATTAGTGCCACCATCAAGGACCTGAAAGTCTCAAGGGTGGTGATTCCCATCACATCCCTGTTCAAGTCTCCTATTTGACCTGTGCAGAAGACAGAAGGATCTTGGAGAATGACAGTGGATTGTTGTAAACTTAACCAAGTGGTGACTCCAATTGCAGCTGCTGTACCACATGTGGTTTCATTGCTTGAGCAAATTAACACATCTCCTGGTACCTGGTATGCAGCCATTGATTTGGCAAATGTCTTTTTCCCCATTCCTGTCCATAAGGCCCACCAGAAGCAATTTGCCTTCAGCTAGCAAGGCCAGCAATATACCTTTGCTGTCCTACCTCAGGGACATATCAACTCTCTGGTTTTATGTCATAATCTTGTTCGAAGAGACTTTGATCTCTTTCGCTTCCACAAGGTATCACACTGGTCCATTACATTGATGACATTATGCTGATTGGATCCAGTGAGCAAGAAGTACCAAACACACTGGACTTATTGGTGAGACATGTGCATCCAACCAAAATTCAGGGAACTTCTACCTCAGTAAAATTTCTAGGGGTCCAGTGGTATGGGGCCTATTGAGATATTCCTTCTAAGGTGAAGGATAAGTTGCTGCATTTGGCCCCTTCTACAACCAAGAAAGAGGCACAACGTCCTGTGGGCCTATTTGGATTTTGGAGGCAACACATTCCACATTTGGTTGTGTTACTCTGACACATTTAGCAAGTGACTCAAAAGGCTGCCAGTTTTGAGTGGGATCCAGAACAGGAGAAGGTTCTGCAACAGGTCCAGGCTGCTGTGCAAGCTGCTCTGCCACTTGGACCATATGACCCAGCAGATCCAATTGTGCTTGAGGTATCAGTGGCAGATAGAGATGGTGTTTGGAGCCTCTGGGAGGCCCTCATAGCTGAATCATGGCAGAGGCTGCTAGGATTTTGGAGCAAAGCCCTGCCATCTTCTGCAGATAACTACTCTCCTTTTGAGAGACAGCTCTTGGCCTGTTACTGGGCTTTGGTGGAAACCAAACCTTTGACTACGGGTCATCAAGTCACTGTGTGACCTGAACTGCCTATCATGAAGTGGGTGCTTTCTGACCCATCTAGCCATAAAGTAGGTTGTGTACAGCAGCATTCCCTCATCAAATGGAAGTGGTATATACATGATTGGGCTCGAGCAGGTCCTGAAGGCACAGTTAAGTTACATGAGGAAGTGGCTCAAAGGCAGAAGTGGCTCACTTCTGCCACCCTGCCGTCTCTCCCCCAGCCTGCACTAATGGCCTCATGGGGAGTTCCCTATTATCAGTTGACAGAGGAAGAGAAGACTAGGGCCTGGTTTATAGATGGTTCTGCACGATATGCAGGCACCACCCGAAAGTGGATAGCTGCAGCACTACAGCCCCTTTCTAGGACATCCCTGAAGGATAGCAGTGAAGGGAAATCTTCTCAGTGGGTGGGACTTCAAGCAGTGCACCTGGTTGTGCACTTTACATGGAAAGAAAAATGGCCAGATGTGCAGTTATATACTGATTCATGGGCTGTAGCCAATGGTTTGGCTGGGTGGTCAGTGACTTGGAAGAAGCATGATTGGAAAATTGTGACAAAGAAATTTGGGGAAGAGGTACGTGGGTGGACCTCTCTGAATGGTCAAAAACTATGAAGATATTTGTATCCCATGTGAGTACTCACCAACAGGTGGCCTTGGCAGAGGAGGATTTTAATAATCAAGTGAATAGGATGACTCGTTCTGTGGACAACACTCAGCCTCTTTCCCCAGCCATCCCTGTCATTGCCCAATGGGCCCATGAACAAAGTGGCCATGGTGGCAGGGATGGGGGTTACACATGGACTCAGCAACATGGATTTCCACTCAGCAAGGCTGACCTGGCCACGGCACTGCTGAGTGTCCAATTTGCCAGCAGCAGAGACCGACACTGAGCCCACGATATGGCACCATTCCTGGGGGTGATCAGCCAGCTACCTGGTGGCAGGTTGATTATATTGAACTGCTTCTATCGTGGAAAGGGCAGAGGTTTGTTCTCACTGGAATGGACACTTACTCTGGATATGGGTTTGCCTATCCTGCACGCAATGCTTCTGCCAAGACTACCATTCATGGACTGACATAATGCCTTATCCACCATCATGGTAATCCACACAGCATTGCCTCTGACCAAGGCCCTCACTTTACAGCTAAAGAAGTGTGGCAGTGGGCTCGTGCTCATGGAATTCACTGGTCTTACCATGTTCCTTATCATCCTGAAGCAGCTGGATTGATAGAATGGTGGAATGGCCTTCTGTAGTCACAATTACAATGCCAACTGGGTGACAATACTTTTCAGGGCTGCGGCAAAGTTCTCCAGAAGACCATGTATGCTCTGAATCAGCATTCAATATATGGTACTGTTTCTCCCATAGCCAAGATTCATAGGTCCAGGAAGCAAGGGATGGAAGTGGAAGTGGTACCACTCACCATCACCCCTAGTGATCCACTAGCAAAATTTTTGCTTCCTGTTCCTGCGACATTACGTTCTGCTGGTCTAGAAGTCTTAGTTCCAGAGGGAGAAACGCTGCCACCAGGAGACACAATGATTCCATTAAACTAGAAGTTAAGATTGCCACCTGGACACTTCGGGCTCCTCCTAAGTTTAAGTCAGTGGGCTAAGAAGGGAGTTACAGTGTTGGCTAGGGTGATTGACCCAGACTATCAAGACAAAATCAGTCTACTGCTCCACAATGGAGATAAGGAAGAGTATGCGTGGAATACAGGAGATCCCTTGGGGTGTCTCATAGTATTACCATGCCCTGAGATTAAGGTCAATGGGAAATTACAACAGCCCAATCTGGGCAGGACTACAAATGGCCCAGACCCTTCAGGAATGAAGGTTTGGGTCACTTTACCAGGAAAAAAACCATGACCTCCTGAGGTGCTGTTTGGTAACATGAAGTTCTTCAGTGGTGATTTCTGAGATTTTGTTGCACCCATCACCCAAGCAGTATACAGTGCACCCAATGTGTAGTCTTTTATCCCTCACCTTCCCATCCTTCCCTGCAAGTCTCCAGAGTCCACTATATCATTCTTAAGCCTTTTGCATCCTCATAGCTTAGGTCCCACTTATAAGTGAGAACATACAATGCTTGGCTTTCCATTCCTGAGTTACTTCACTTAGAATAGTGGTCTCCAACTCTACTTTATTTTGTTCCTTTTTGTGGCTGAGTAGTATTCCATATTATGTATAACATATACCACATTTAAAAAATCTACTTGTTGGTTGATGGGCATTTAGGCTGGTTTCATATTTTTGCAATTGCGAATTGTGGTGCTATAAACATGTGTATCCAAGTGTCTTTTTCATATTATCACTTCTTTTCCTCTGAGTAGGTACCCAGTAGTGGGATTGCTGGATCAATGGTAGTTCTACGTTTAGTTCTTTAAGGAATCTCCATACTGTTTTCCTTAGTTGTACTAGTTTACATTCCATCCAGCAGTGTAAAATTGGTCCTTTTTCACCATATCCATGCCAACATCTATTATTTTTTGTTTTTTTAATTATGGCCATTCTTGCAGGAGTAAAGGAGTATCTCATTGTGGTTTTGATTTCCATTTCCCTGATAGTGATGTTAAACATTTTTAAATTTTTTCTGCTATTTGTATATCTTCTTTTGAGAATTGTCTATTCATGTCCTTAGCCCACTTTTTGATGGGATTATTTGATTTTTCTTGCTAATTTGTTTGAGTTCCTTGTAGATTCTGGATATTAGTCCTTTGTCGGCTGCATAGTTTGTGAAGATTTTCTCCCACTCTGTGTGTTGTCTGTTTACTCTGCTGATTATTTCTTTTTCTGTGCAGAAGCTTTTTAGGTTAGTTAGGTCCCATCTATTTATCTTCGTTTTTGTTGCATTTGCTTTTGGGTTCTTAGGAAGTCTTTGCCTAAACCAATGTCTAGAAGAGTTTTTCTGATGTTATCTTCTAGATTTTTTTTTAATGGTTTCAGGTCTTAGATTTAAGACTTTGATCTATCAAGTTGATATTTATTTATATAAGGTGAGAGATGAGGATCCAGTTTCATTCTTCTACATGTGTCTTGCCAATTATCCCAGCATCATTTGTTGAATAGGGTGTCCTTTCCTCACTTTATTTTTTTCTTTCATTTGTCAAAGATCAGTTGGCTGTAAGTATTTGACTTTATTTCTGGGCTCTCTATTCTGTTCCACTGGTCTATGTTCCTGTTTTTGTACTTGTAGCATGCTGTTTTTGTGACTATATCCTTATAGTATAGTTTGAAGTCAGGTAATGTGATATCTCAGGATTTGTTCTTTTTGCATAGTCTTGCTTTGGCTATGCAGGCTCCTTTTGAGTTTTATATGAATTTTAGGTTTGCTTTTGCTAGTTCTGTGAAGAATGATGATGGTATTTTGATGGGAATTGAGTTGAATTTGTAGATTGCTTTTGGCAGTATGGTCATTTTCACAATATTGATTTTATCCATTCATGAGCATGGGATGTGTTTCCATTTGTTAGTGTTATCTATGACTTCTTTTAGCAGTGTTTCATGGTTTTCCTTGTAGAGGTCTTTCATGTCCTTGGTTAGGTATATTCCTAAGTATTTTATTTTATTTTTTGCAGCTATTGTAAAAGGGGTTGAGTTCTTGATTTGATTATCAGCTTGGTCGCTGTTGGTGTATAGGAGTGCTACTGATTTGTGTACGTTGATTTGGTATCCCAAAACTTTGCTGAATTTATTTATCAGGTTAAGAACTCTTTGGATGAGTCTTTAGGGTTTCCTATGTATATGATCATATCATCAGTGAACAGCAACGGTTTTACTTCCTCTTTACTGATTTGGATGCCCTTTATTTCTTTCTCTTGTCTGATTGCTCTGGCCATGTCTTCCAGTCCTATGTCAAAGAGAAGTTGTGAAAGTGGGCATCCTTGTCTTGTTCCAGTTCTCAGGGGGAATACTTTCAACTTTTCCCTGTTCAGTACAATGTTGGCTGTGGATCTGTTGCAGATGACTTTTATTTCCTGAAGGTATGTCCCTTCTATGCCAATTTTGCTGAGGATTTTAATCATAAAGGATGCTAGACTCTGTCAAATGCTTTTTCTGCATCTGCTGAGTTGATAATATGATTTTTGTTTTTAATTCTTTTTTATGTGGTGTATCACATTTATTGACTTGCATATGTACCTGCATCCCTGGTATGAAACCCACTTGATCATGGTGTATTATCTTTTTGGTATCCTGTTGGATTTGGTTAGCTAGTGTTTTGTTGAGGCTCTTTGCAGCTATGCTCATCAGGGATATTGGTCTGTAGTTTTTGTATGTTATGTCCTTTTCTGGTTTTGGTAGGTGATAGTACTGGCTTCATATAATTATTTAGGGAGGATTCCCTCTTTCTCTATTTTTTGGAGTATTTTCAGTAGGATTGGTACCAATCTTTCTTTGAATGTCTGATAGAATTCAGCTGTGAATCCATCTGGTCCTGGACTTTTTTTTGGTCAGCAATTTTTAAATTACTCTTTCAACACCACTACTTGTTATTGGTCTGTTGAGAGTTTCTATTTCTTCCTGTTTCAATCTGAGAAGATTGTATATTTGCAGGAATTTATCCATTTCCTCTAGGTTTCCTAGTTTGTGCACATAAAGATGTTCATAGTAGCCATGAATGATCTTTTGTATTTCTGTGGTATCAATTGTAATATCTCCCATTTCATTTCTAATTGAGCTTATTTGTATCTTCTCTCTTCTTGATTAATCTCACTAGTGGTCTATCAATTTCATTTATCTTTTCACCGAGCCAGTTTTTGTTTCATTTATCTTTTTTCTTCCCTTGTTCGATTCTATTGTTGAAACTTTCCAGTGTATTTTGCATTTCTCTAAGTATGTCTTTCATTTTCAGAAGTTGTGATTGTTTTTTCTTTATGATATCTGTTTCTCTGGAGACCTTTTCATTCATATCCTTTATTGTTTTTTAAATTTCTTTAAGTTGGTTTTCACCTTTCTCTGGTGCCTCCTTGAGTAACCCGATAATCAACCTTCTGAATTGTTTATTTGGCAGTTCAGAGATTTCTTCTTGGTTCGATCCATTGCTGGAGAGCTAGTGTGATCTTTTGGGGGTGTTATAGAACCTTGTTTTGTCATATTACCAGAATTACTTTAACTGGTTCCTTCTCATTTGGGTAGACTGTTTCAGTGGAAAGATTTGGAACTCAAGGGTTACTGTTTAGATTGTTTTGTCCCATGGGGTATTCCCTTGATGAGATGCTCTCCCCCTTCCCCTAGGGACGGGGATTTCTGAGAGCCAGACTGCAGTGATTGTTATTGCCCTTGTGAGTCTAGCCACCCAGCGGAGCTACTGGCCTGCAGGCTGATGCTGGGGACTGTCTGCCAAGAGTCCTGTGATGTGATCCACGTTCAGGTCTCCTAGCCATGGATACCAGCACCTGCTCCAGTGGAGGTGGCAGGGGAGTAAAGTGGGAGTCCTTGGTTGTAGCTTCATTTAGTGCACTGGCTTTCTCAAATGCTGGTTATGCTAGCAGTGAAGTTGTCATGTGAACAGACTCAGTACTTCTGGTTAACCAGGATATTGCAGGCAGTGGAATTAGTTGTTTTCTTCTTTAGGCAGTGGAATTAGTTGTTTTCTTCTTTAGAGCAGGGTTGTTCTTTTATCAGTTTGAGTTGATTGGTCTCCAGCCAGGAGGTGGCCCTGTCAAGAAAGCACTAGCTGCAGTAGCAGAAGGGGGGATATAATATTGCCCTACATTGGCCAGGATGAGTACTTGGGTTTCTCAGGTGATGGGCAGGACCATAGAGGTCCCAAGGGTTTATGTCATTTGTCTTTGGCGACCAGGTCTGGTAGAGAAAATCCATCAGGTGAGGACAGGGTTAGGGTCTGAGCTCAGACTCTTTTTGGGTGGGGCCTGCCATGGCCACTATGGGGTTCTCAGGCTAATGGAATTATGTTGCCAGGGGGATTATGATTGCCTCTGCTGCATCATACAGTTCGCTAGGGAAAAGCCAGCACTGACAGGCCTTACCCGGCCGGGCGCAGTCGCTCATGCCTGTCATCCCAGCAGTTTGGGAGGCCGAGGCGGGCGGATCACGAGGTCAGGAGATCGAGACCATCCTGGCTAACACGATGAAACCCTGTCTCTACTAAAAATACAAAAAATTAGCCAGGCGTGGTGGCGGGCGCCTGTGGTCCCAGCTACTCAGGAGGCTGAGGCAGGAGAATGGTGTGAACCCGGGAGGCGGAGCTTGCAGTGAGCAGAGATCGTGCCACTGCACTCCAGTCTGGGTGACAGAGCGAGACTCCATTTCAAAAAAAAAACAAACAAACAAAAAAAACACCACAGGCCTTACCCATCTTCCATGAAGCCAGCAAGGCCAGTCTCACTCCTACTGTGCCCCCCCAACAGCACTGACTTTATATCAGTTCCTATCCAGGCAGCCGGTGAGCAGGACTGAGATCTTGCCCCAGGCTATAAGCCTCCCTGCTGAGAAAGCAAACATGGCTCTCAGGCCTCACCCCTCCCCACCTGCTCACACCTTTGGCTGTGCTCATATCTGTTCTTCCTGTTCACCACCCCCAAGCTCCTGGATTCTGCTCAGGAAAATTCATGCTTGTCGAAAATATTACAAAGTTCAGCCGGGAGCTTCCTTCACCCTGTGACTCCCCTCCAGTTCTGCTGGGTGCCTTCCCTTCCCCAAAGACCTCTGTGAGATAGGCCAGGAATGGCTTCCCTGGACTCAAGCTGGGGACTCGCTCTTTCCGGTGCTTCTTTTCTCGGTACTATTATATTTTGCTTGGCTCCTGAAATCCATTTCAGCTCTAGGTAAGGTTAAATCCTTCTCCCGTGATCTGAATTTTCAGGTTCCCAGAGGGGATGTGTGTTTGGAGGCAGACATTTTTCCCTCTCACACTTTGGGAACTCACAGTTTTTGGCTGTTTCACAGAATTTGCAGTGGCAAACCACTTGTTTCAAAGGGTCTTGAATTCTTTTGGTTTTCCCGGTATGTTCCTGTGGTGGTTCTTGGAGCAAAAATTCACAGTGTGAGTCTCCACATGCTGTTCTGTTCATCCAAGTGGGAGCTGCATGTTAGTCCTGTCTCCTATCTGCCGTTTTATCTCAGTTTGCCAGATAATTATGTATCCTAATCCACATTTTGCTTGTTTTTGATAAGTGTTTTCTTAACATCTATTTATTTATTTTTGCCCAAGTGTCTAAGAAAACAACGCCTGTAAACAAGATAGTTGAAAAAACTTTCTCCATTTAATTCTATTCGAAGTAATTGTATCTGGGGTAAAGTCTGACATTGGTCTGAAGCAGAACTGGGGAGTGGAAAAGCTATACCTGGTTAAGTAGTCTCTGTATCTATAATCAGGTATAATGATGGAGTCCAGAAGCTTACTGAGAAAATGAGACTGATGATATTGTCATTTGCATGCTCTGATGACACATGGTTTGTTGATGTACAGTAAACATAGTAAATATGGTAAGTATCAATTATAAATCACTAGCCGAGGCACACACGGCATGTTTATTTCATGGCTGCTGCTTTATAAGCACTGACATTGTAACTATTGGTGGTGTTGTGATGTTAATGGTAGTACTAGGTAATGACTAAGTATATGGACCCTGGAGCCATCTTTCCTGGTTCTGAGTCAGTCCTCCACCACTTAATAGCCATTTGAGTTGAGCTTTAGAGTCTTTGTTGGTAAATGGGTATGATAATAGTACCTACCCCACTAGGGTCACAGGCAGTAACTTTTAACTATTATTATTGTTGTTGCAGTTACCAGCTGGTATAAACGTGTAAGTATATGTAGCATGAGGCATTGTAGTATAGTCCAAAAAATTCAGACCTTGGTGTTAGACTAGATTGGTTTCTTTCCTCAGTGTACATACTTCTGCTTAGTTGTGGCACCTCAGGAAAGCTACTTCACTTTTTGGAGCTTTAGTTTCTTCCTCTATTAAATGGTATTTACTGTACGTGTTTATTATGAAGATAAGAGTGTATGAGTGCCTACTTTAGAGGCTGATGTATAGTAAATGGTTGACAAATGATACTTTTATTTGTTTTAGGGTTCATGGGTTTGCTTAACAACTCAGGCTGACATGGGTCCTTAGTCATGAGAGGTAACCCTGAGCTGCTGTTTGCTATAAATAAGGCTCAGAATTTCAGTATGATCAAATAGGGTCAGACCAACCTGGAACCAAATTAGGTTGGTTGATTGGCCTTTGGAATAGTT
This sequence comes from Homo sapiens, assembly GCF_000001405.40. Taxonomy (NCBI): domain Eukaryota; kingdom Metazoa; phylum Chordata; class Mammalia; order Primates; family Hominidae; genus Homo; species Homo sapiens. The sequence goes on along the minus strand of NC_000004.12, from coordinate 102,735,567 downwards.
ATTTTAAATGTAATTTAAGCCTCTATAACTTTTTTTTTTTTTTTTTGGTATTTTCTCTTAGTAAGAGAAAAATTTTTAGTAGACTTTTCTTTCTTTTTTTTTTTTTTCAGCATGCATGCAGTTTATTCGCCACATTTCCCCCAGGAACTCTCTCTGGTTAGGGAATGAAAGAATTGAAGGAATGGGGGATGTACAGGTGGAAGTAAAAGGCACACCTTGAACGTGCTATGATGGGTTGAAGGGTTGAAAAGAGGTTGGTCTGAAATTGATGAGCCTCCCATTTCAGAAGCTCAGGAAGTTTGTGTCCAGGAAATATGCATGCCTTCAGCCAAATCCCTTGCACCTGATAGAGCAGAAGCAGGCACTGCCTACCCTGGCCTGGGCTGTCTGCTGGCTCTCATGTCAGGCATTTTCTGGGCCTGGCTGTCGCAGCTAGTGGGATCACTAACATTGCATGGCCATGGCGTTTTGGCCTAAACAAACAGGTGAGGCCTGGCTCTGTCTACACAGCAGCAAAAAAGGTGACTGATTAGCAGGAGATCTGTAGTGCACAAATAATGGGAGAGGGTGGGCTTGTCAGCATTAGATAATGACTCCAAAATGTAATGTAAACTCACAAGGAGGGGGTGACTCAAGGCTGGACACATGACTAAGTAAGAAAATGTGACTCTGTGAGCTGACCCAACTTCTAAACAAACCTCCTAATACAGTCACAGTGTGTTTCAGTCCCCTTGACTCTAAACCATCACAGAAGCAGAAGGAAGAGGAAGTGGTGGACTGCACAGCTGGAGCCTGGGGACTGTCATGACTGTCTAGATCTCTGAGGTCAGAGGGTGTCACAGCCTCCTCAGACCCTGAACCTGGGATGGAGAGGGGGAACAGGATATAGATTCCCAGGAGGGCTGTCCCCAAGGCCCTCTCCCTGCCTGTCTGGCTCCTCGGGCCTCCTCTTCTACCGCTTCTTCTTGGTCTCTTTCTTGGGCCTCTTGTTCACAGAAGGAACAGTAGCCTTGGGCTTCCTCGTCACCTCAGCACTTCTGAGCTCAGATGGTTCAGCCTCCACCTCGTGGAACTTGGGAATGGGTATGATGATGGCCAGCACACAGATGAGCTGGAAGATGGCTCCCAGGAAGAGTCCGTACCATAGCAGGTTCTCCAGGAAAGTGGGCTCAGGCACCTCCAGAGGTGAGAAGTCTAGGTCAGAGGCCATGGCCCAAGTCGCTTGCTGCCTGAGGTCTCTTCTGACTCACCACTCTTCAGAGCCAACTCTCACGCTGCTGCCCTTCTCCCCCGGAAGAGTAGACTTTGTAGGTTTACAGCAAAATTGAACAGAAAGTACAGAGGGTTCTCACATAACCTCCTACCTCCTTGCATGCACAGCATCCCATTCTTCAACATTCCCCACCAGAGTGGTACATTTGTTAGAATCAATGAACAGACATTGACACATCTTTATCAGTCAAAGTCCACACTTTACATTAGGGTTCATTCTTGGTTGTACATGCTGTGGGTTTGGACAAATGTATAATGACTTGTATTCACCATTGCAATATTGTAAAGAATAATTTCCGTGCCATAAACATTCTCTGTGCTCTGTTTATTCATTCTTCTCCTCTGCTTAACCTATGGTAACCACTGATCCTTTCACTGTCTCCATAGTTTTTTCTTTTCCATGTCAAAAGACAAAATTACAACAAATGTAGTTAAAGATCAAATTGTTTTTTATTTGTGATTCATGAATCAGGAAAGCATCCATTCTACAAAATACAGTGAGCACTTTCATGGGGCCATGGAAGAATAGTGGGTTTTGTAAGGAACAAAGAAACAGAACAGTAGGAAAAAAACTGATTGATTAACATCAGATTACTTCAGGTTACTTTTCTAGAAAGGGTAAAAGCAGAGAGAACCGGCCAGTGTGGTGGCTTACGCCTGTAATCTCAGCATTTTGGGAGGCCAAGGTAGGAGGATTGCTAGAGCTAAGGATTTTGAGACCAGCCTTGGCAACATAGTAAGATCTCCATCTCTACAAAAAAATAAAAATAAAAAATTAGCTGGGAGTGGTGGCATACATCTGTAGCCCCAGCTCCTCAGGAGGCTGAGCTGGGAGGGTTGCTTGAGCCCCGGAGGTTGAGGCTGTAGTGAACCATGGTTGTGCCACTGCACTCCAGCCTGGGTGACAGAGCAGAGCAAGACCTGTTTCAAAAAAAAAAAAAAAAAATGCAGAGAGGACTTCCTTACTCAGGTGAACAGGAATCTCAAGTTTTCAGGAAAAACTGCCCTGTTTGTGGATCTACCTCCTTCGTTAAAGTTTCAGTTTGATTAAGTGGTACTTAGCATGAGTGACTGTTTTGGTTTGATCTGGTCTGCTGAGGCCTAGTATAGGAGCTCAGTCAACAACGGCCTCCTGTAATTTTTATTTAACATCCAGAATGACATATAGTTGAAATCATACATTATTTAGGTTTTTCAGATTGGCCTCTTTAAGATAAAATTTTAACCTATAAATTATGTTTGTGTCGAAAAAATATATCTGGGAAGATTGCCCTCTTGAACCAACTTGCAGATTCCTTCAGGGAGCTGGGAGAAAGGAAGGGGACTTGTGCCCCGTCAACCAGATCATCAGCCAGCCCCCGGGCTTAGTGTGTTGATGTGTTGTGGCTGAATTGCTCTCACACCTTCCTTCTCATGATATTTTTAACTGTATTGGACTAAGTCCACAGTGTAGAGTTATAAATAGGTCTTGGGGGAATGACATGGTCATGCTAATAATTAGGTGCCTCTTCAACCCTGTGTCTGTAAATATGTGTTCCATGTTTGTTCATTGGAGAGGCCGAGTCCTGTGTGGGAGATAAGTTGGCTGGGCTTGGCACACGGCATTTAACAGAACAAAACCTTACCATTAACCAGACCTTAAAAGCCAGTTTGGTGATTACGTGTTGTTTTAAATCTCATCAGTCACTCTCTCCTCTAGTAGCTTATCAAAATATTTCTTCCAGTTTGGATCAGTTTCTGGCAGATACCTATCTTGATCTTGATACACTCCCACTGATGTTGTAGTGCTTCTTACAGATTTGCCCTGGGCAACTGCCTAACTGGCCATTGCCAGCCTAACGTGTTCATCTGGCTCTTACCTGTGTGGAACTTAGACAGAGTTGGCTTTTCCTTCTTGACTTGGAGTTACGGTCCCTAAGGAAATAACTTGGATCTGTCCCTGACAAAGGAGGGGAAGCCCCTCCATGCCTGCACAATTCCCTTCTATATATTGTTCATGGATAGATGAACTGAAAAGATTTGTTTGCCACTTTCTGTTCTGCCTCCTGTCTTGAGTATTCCTCTGGGAGATAAAGAGTGGAAAGAGTCCAGATGCGGTGGCTCATGTCTGTAATCCCAGCACTTTGGGAGGCTGAGACAGGCAGATCACCTGAGGTCAGGAGTTCGAGACCAGCCTGACCAACATGGTGAAAACCCATGTCTACTAAAAACACACAAAAAATTAGCCAGGTGTGGTGGTGCATGCCTGTAATCCCAGCTACTTGGGAAGCTGAGGCAGGAGAATCGCTTGAACCTGGGAGGCTGAAGTTGCAGTGAGCTGGGATTGCGCCATTACACTCCAGCCTGGGCAACAAGAGTGAAACTCCATCTCAAAAAAAAAAAGTGTAAAAAGAGTGGAAAGGGGGTAGGAGAAGAAAGACTTAAGGATTTATGAAGAGGCAGACTTGGGTCTAGACACTCAGATGGAGCAACATCTATGAACATCTAGGAGGCCAGTCATCTTGGGCAGGGGTTAGCAAACACGTTCAGTAAATAGCTAAATACTAAATATTTTAGACCTCGAGGGCCAGATGGTCTCCATCATGTCTACTCAACTCTGCCACTATAGCACCAAAGCAGCCATATGTAAATTGCAAAGGAAAGGGCATGGCTGTGCTCTAGTAAAACTTTATTTATGGGCACATGTCCATTCTTACTTAGCTTGCTAGCCACACAGAGACATGTAGTGAGCTGAATGTGGCCTGTGGGTGGCAGTTTGCTGACCTGAGGTAGGATAATATAAGAAACCTGATGTTAATAAGTTTTGAAGTATCTCTGCTGCCTGTGTATTCTCTGTAGAGATCCTTTTCATGCTCACTTAGCTAAGTGAAAAATAACTGGAAATGCTAAGTGAATCCAATGAGCGGAAGGGAGTTGTGCTGACTTTTGGGCAGTAGAGAAGTATTCCCCCTGGAGGCTGGCTGGGATAGTGGCGCAAACAGCACAGTGAGAACCACAGGGCAATGAGAGACTGCTGGCTACACACCACAGATTCAGTCTTTCATTCTCTGCTGATACTGGTGGTTTTGTGTTTGGTTTTAAAAGGGGAAGCCAATCTTTTTTTTTTTTTTAATTCTTTCAGCAAGGCAATTTACTTCTGCAGAAGGGTGCCACTTGCGTCAATCAAGATCGCAAGAGCACAGAGAACAAAGGAGACCAGGGGGTTTTTATCCTCAACGCAGTCCCTATCTCTGTGCTACTCCCCCTTGGGCTGGGGTTGGACTGCACAGTTTGAGCTGACCCAATTGGCTACTTGTACATATTTTTTTAAATATAGAAGGGGAGGGGGACAGAGGTGGAGCGTGTGAGATGTGCAGTTTCAGGGGAACATGGGGTGCAGGTAACCAAGGGAACAGATGTGAGTTATTGATTAGAGCTGACGGGAAGCGGGTAGGCTGTTTATGGTAACTAGGCGCAAGGAAGAACAAGATAGTTGAGTTTGAGGACAAAGTATAAGGAAATTAACAAGCTAAACCCTATAAGAGAAACTCAGAAAGACTTATTGTGTCTTACCTGACAGTTGAAGAAGCATCTATCTGTAGGGAATCCAGAAGGAGCGTTCATGAAGGTATTACAAGCCCGGAAGAAGCACACGAGCACTGAGCTGACTACTGAGCTGGAGGCGGCCTCAGACAGCAATGGCATCAACTTGTCAGGCTTTGGGAGTGAGCAGCTAGACATCAATGACGCACTAAATTACGTCTTGCCTTATTTCTCATAGAAAAATCTATAAGATGTAGAATCAATGTTGTTACTGTTAGGGACGAGCTGCCCCAGGAACCGCCCCCGCAGTGCAGCTGACCCTTACCCCGAATACTCTGCAGCTGCATTCCTGAACCCTTATCTAGGTGCCACAGCAAGGTTGCCGACTTGCTACACTAAGCAAACCCTGCTTACAGCCCTCCAGGTGGCACAGGGAAGGTCATGAGAAATGTGGATAAATCTAAGTTATACCCTCTTGTAAATTCCTCCGGTCATGAGACGATATGTGGTAAAGTTAACTGAAAAGACCAAGAAGCAGCTTCTCCACTCCTTCTGGGATCTCTATCTGGTTCGGCCTTCCTGCCCCCACTCCTGCCTCCACCATGTCCATCAGGGTGACCCAGAAGTCCTACAAGGTGTCCACCTCTGGGCCCCGGGCCTTCAGCAGCCACTCCTACACAAGTGGGCCCAGTGTCCAGATAAGCTCCTCAGGCTTCTCCCTAGTGGGCAGCAGCAGCTTCCAAGGTTGTCTGGGCGGAGGCTATGGTGAGGGCAGCAGCGTGGGTGGCATCACCACCATCACAGTCAACCAGAGCCTGCTGAGCCCCCTTAACCTGGAGGTGGACCCCAACATCCAGGCTGTGCGCACCCAGGAGAAGCAGCAGATCAAGACCCTCAACAACAAGTTTGCCTCCTTCATAGACAAGGTATGGTTCCTGGAGCAGTAGAACAAGATGCTGGAGACTAAGTGGAGCCTCCTGCAGCAGCAGAAGATGGCTCAGAGCAACATGGACAACATGTTCCAGAGCTACATCAACAACCTTAGGCAGCAGCTGAAGACTCTGGGCCAGGAGAAGCTGAAGCTGGAGGCGGAGCTTGGCAACATGCCCGGGCTGGTGGAGGACTTCAAGAACAAGTATGAGGATGAGATCAATAAGTGTACAGAGGTGGAGAATGAATTTGTCCTCATCAAGAGGATGTGGATGAAGGTTACATGAACAAGGTAGAGCTGGAGTCTCACCTGGAAGGGCTGACTGACGAGATCAATTTCCTCAAGCAGCTGTATGAAGAGGAGATCCAGGAGCTGCAGTCCCAGATCTCGGACACATCTGTGGTGCTGCCCATGGACAACAGCCGCTCCCTGGGCATGAACAGCATCATCGCTGAGGTCAAGGCACCATACGAGGAGATCGCCAACTGCAGCCAGGCCAAGGCTGAGAGCATGTACCAGATCAAGGATGAGGAGCTGCAGATGCTGGCTGGGAAGCACGAGGATGACCTGCAGTGTACAAAGACTGAGATTTCTGAGATGAACCGGAACATCAGCCAGCTCCAGGCTGAGACTGAGGGCCTCAAAGGCCAGAGGGCTTCCCTGGAGGGCACCATCACAGATGTCTGCAGCACAGGGGGCTGGCTGTTAAGGATGCCAACGCCAAGCTGTCCAAGCTGGAGGCCGCCCTGCAGCAGGCCAAGCAGGACATGGCATGGCAACTGCTTGAGTACCAGGAACTGATGAACATCAAGCTGGCCCTGGACATCGAGATAGCCACCTACAGGAAGCTGCTGGAGGGCGAGGAGAGCCAGCTGGACTCTGGGATGCAGAACATGAGTATCCATACAAAGACCACCAGTGGTTATGCAGGTGATCTGAGCTCGGCCTGTGGGGGCCTCCCAAGCCCCAGCTTTGGCTCTGGTGTGGGCTCCAGCTCCTTCAGCCGCACCAGCACCACCAGGGCAGTGGTTGTGAAGAAGATCGAGACCCATGATGGGAGGCTGGTGTCCTAGTCCTCTGACGTCCTGCCCAAGTGAACAGCTGCGGCAGCCCCTCCCAGCCTGCCCCTCCTGCGACTCTCCCAGAGAGCAGAAGGGAGCACAGGGAACGTGAGACCCACCTGAGGCCCAGCCCTAGCCCTCAACCCACCCACAGGGTAGTTTACTACCTGGGGACCCCCCATGCCTATGCCTTCAGCTACAAAACAATTCAATTGCTTTTTTTTTTTGGTCCAAAATAAAACCTCTGCTAGCTCTGCCAACAGCTAACCTTATAGTTACCTGTTTTTTTCAAATGTGAAAGATGGGTATTCCGAAAAACCATACAAAGAGTCCCTCTCTTCAATCTGCATCCAAAAACTCATGAAATTAGAAACTGTCCAACCACAGGAAAACAGCCTGGCTAAGATTCAAAGTGTAGGCAAAAGCCTGCAGAGAGTGAACAGAATCCTCATGGGCCCAAGGAGCATCCAGAAAAGTCACTTCAAAGAGGTGGGAAAGCAGAGCAACAGGAAGGAACAGGGTGCCTGGGCATTTGTGGAGAATGCTGCCAAAGAAAAAAGGCTCAGGAGTCCAGCCCCAAGGGAGCTGGAACAGCCTCACATAGAGCAGGGGCATGAGAAGTTAGCAGGAAACGCCATCTATACCAAGCCTTCGTTCAACCAAGAGCATAAGGCAGCAGTCTTCTCTTTGCTGAAACCCTTCTCCATGGGCGTGCCTTCTATCTCCACCCCTGCAAAAGCCCTACCTGTGGTCAGAAACAGATTGAAAGACTTACCCATTTTGGTTTTAGAAAATGCAAAGTTGAGTTAAAACCAATCGTACATTCCAGAAAAGTTCTCTCAGTAGACTTTGCTTGCAAAGAGGCCTCCATTCTCTGCAGTGAAAAGCCTCATAAATGCCCCTTCACAAGGGGCTTTTTCATCTTTAGGAGACCTGAGTCTTCAGGAAAATCCTTTTCCGGAAGTATTTCTCCATCAGAATGTTTTAAAAGCACCACTGCAAGAAATGCCTTTGAACAAAACATTTTTATGGAAAACACTACTATGCCAGAAGGCACCATCTCTGAAAACACAACCTACAACCATCCTCCTGAGGGAGATTCTGCTGAGACTGCGTTCAACTTAGAGAAGACTGTGAAACACAATGGGAATACAACAACATGGGCACTGGCCTGTCTCCCGAGCCCAAAAGCTTCAATTACCCATTGCTCTCGTCCCCAGGTGATCAGTTTGAAATTCAGCTAAACCAGCAGCTACGGCCCCTCATCCCCAATAATGATGTGAGAAGACTCATTTCTCATGTTATCTGGACCTTGAAGATGGAGTGCTCTGAGACCCATGTGCAATTGGCCTATACCAAGCTCATCTCCAGGACAGGCCTCCTGATTCATCAGTGAGCAGCAAGAAGTAAAGATGTCCAAGGCAGAATGGGATACAGACCAATGGAAAACTGAGAACTATATCAATGAGAGCACGGAAGCCCAGAGCAAACAGAAAGAGCAGAAGTCAAGTGAGGTGAGGACCACACAGAAACATGAAACCCAGATTTTCCTATCATTTAGCATCTTCCAGGAAAGTGCCCACACAGGAGAACCTGGGACTCCCAGACCATAGTTTGTCTTGGCCATGTAACTTCAGCCGTGACAGTGATCTCCCACTTTGCTCATTTAGAGAGTGAAACAGGTTAGTACACAAGATAAACTGTAGGCCGGACATGATGGCTCATGCCTGTAATCCTAGCACTTTGGGAGGCTGAGGTAGGTGGATCACTTGAGGTCAGGAGTTTGAGACCAGCTTGGCCAACATGGTGAAACCCTGTCTCCAAGGGGAAGCCAATCTTAATGCCCACCAATTTTCTTTGATAATGAAGCTGTATTATTTATATCTCAGAGGATTATTTCATTTCAGGTAATTTGTTGGAATTTTCCCTTCACATTTTTCAGTATTAACGATCTGTCCCCTCTTTGTACTACTAGGCTAAAAGTTCGTTAATTTTTAGGTGATAAATAGCTGTTGTTAATAATTTATTTTATGTTTGTTTTATTAATTTATTTGTGCATATTTAACCATCTACCATAATTTTTACCTTGTATCAACAGGATTCTTACTACAGATTTAATGACCTTAACTACAGATGGGTCTCTTTGGATAACTGGACCTATAGCAAAGAATTTAAAATCCCCTTTGAAATTAGGTATGTATGTTTGTGGGTGTATTTTTATTATTATTTGAACTTTTCTTCTTTTTCTATCTGGGCAAAAATGTTGTGTTTTGTTTGTTTTTTTTTTGTTTTGTATGTTTTGTTTTGTTTTGTTTGTTTAGGTTACATATCTGAGAGTTAAGTAAGATGAAAGCCTTGTACTATAAAAGTGAATATATTATTTATGTTTTGTTTTGTATATGAGGATGGTGCTACTAATCAACAGTCACCAAATTGTGTCTTATGGAGTCATTTTTCCAGTGGTTATGCCCTATGTAGTGCTAACCAGCCATTGAGACTATGACCTTGACCTATACTATGTGGTGAAGCCAGGAGGTGAAGCACAGATACTGTTTTCAGTAATGTTCTGTTATTATAAGCAAATATTTCCATATGAGGTAGAATGTTACCCAAAGGTACCACCACTACTGCTAAATGAAAAAAAAAATCCTTCTGTCCCTTTTATGTGATTTTTTTTTTTTGGTAATTATTTACTAGTCTTTTAAAGGGGGGAAAAGGCCAGAATATTGTTATCAATATCATGGAGTTACTGCTGTGCTCCAGGCTTTTATTTACAGATAATATTTAGAATATCTTTCGTAATGGTTCTATTTCACCTTGAACTCAACATATCCAATTGATTTTCCCCCTTAAAACTAACTTTATATTCTAACAGCTTCATTGTTTTTCTTGATGTAACACCATTTTCCAGTCTATGTCTAAGGTGCTTTGGGCTTATTACATCTTTTCTTCATCTTCCTGTGTTCAGTCTGTTCTGGGTGGGTCTTGCAAATTTTTGTTTAACATTTCTCTTGGTTTGGCCCCTTCCATCTCATTTCCATCTTTCCATCTTTGCCTAGAAGAGTGCCAGGAAAGAGGCCAAAGCTGCCTAATCAAATTTCTTGCTTTGTTCTTTTATTCTCCAATCTTTTCAATTTAGAAACATTAGATTAATCATCACAGAATATTGATTGTGCCAAGATAGGTATTCGTTCAAGAATAGCAAGTGTCTATTTTACTTGGCAAATCAAGTATAAACTTCTCACTTGTCTGTGAAAATACAGCTGAAAGATGTCTGTCCCTGTAACACTGCCCGCACCTCTCTGCCCCTTGGATTTGTCCAGCTTTTTCCTCCTTAGCTCCCCAGCCCAAATTACACATATGAGTCGATTACCTAAAAGTAATTCATGCTGTCAGCACTTCCTTGTTTTGGTTTTGCTCTTTGCAGGGGTAAGGGGTTCCTGCAAAGAGCAAAGGGTATAAGGGGAGTAGAAATGCCTCCACCCAGTCATTTCTACCTAGTTTTAAAAAAAATACTTTATTGATATATAATTAACATATTGTACAATTCAGTCATTTAAGGTATATAATTCAATGGTTTTTAGTATACTTACAGTTACAAAACCATCACCACAATCAATTTTAGAACATTTTCCTCATCCCCCCACAAAAAGTTACACCCATTAGCAGTCATTTCCCATTGCCCACTCCTCCTGCCCCTGAATTCTTACCCCAGCCCTAGGAACCACTAATTTACTTTCTGTCCCTCTGGATTTCCTTGTTCTGGATACCTCATATAAATGGAATCATACAATATGTGGGCCTTTGTGACCGCCTCTTTCACTTAGCATAATAATGTTTTCAAAGTTCATCCATGTTGTAGCATGTATCAGTACTTCATTCCTTTTTATTGTTGAATAGTATTTTATTGTATGAATACAACACATTTTATTTATTCTTCTCTTCATTAAGTTCTTGTTTCCATTTTGAAATCTTTTCTTATGAGATAAACTCTGATAGCACTTGTAGTTGTTCAACAATATTGCCAGCCAGCCACCAAATGCCAACCAGATTGCAGACTCCTTAAGTACAGGCACTGTTATAGTTTCCTGTAAGGCTTAGCAGAGTGCTGGGTGCATAATATTCACTTATAGATGATAGTTTTCTAACGTGTTCTCTTAGACAGGGTCAGTAAATGTAGTTTGTGAGAACATTTTATGTCTATTATTTAACTTGGTTCTCATTTTTTTTTTTTTTTTTGAGACGGAATCTTGCAAGTGCAGTGGTGGGATATCCACTCACTGCAACCTCCGCCTCCTGGGTTCAAGTGTTTCTCCTGCCTCAGCCTCCCTAGTAGCTTGGATTACAGGCACCCGCCACCACGCCTGGCTAGTTTTTTGTAATTTTAGTAGAGACAGGGTTTCGCCATGTTGGCCAGGATGGTCTCGAACTCCTGACCTCAGGTGATCTGCCTGCCTAGGCTTCCCAAAGTGCTGGGATTACAGGCGTGAGCCACTGCTCCTGGCCTAACTTGGTTCTCATAATAGCTTTCTGAAGTATTAACTAGAAAAAGTCAATATATTTGGAAATTATAAGTTGTGCTCTTGGTTTTATGGTGATTTATTGATACATTATAGAGAAAGATAAGCTGGATCACTCAAAGGACGTAAGTATGTTTTAAAGCAGTACTTCTGAAAATGTCACTGGAAACTGCCTTTTAAGAACATATATTTTTTGTGGAATATTTATTTCTTTAGGCCTTAAATAATAAAAAAGAGACTTATCTAAGTTAATGCTTTACACATCTTGTTTTAAAAATCTTTTCTTTTTTTTAGCAAATGGCAAAAAGTAAATTTGATTCTTGAGGGAGTGGATACGGTTTCAAAAATCCTGTTCAATGAAGTCACTATTGGGGAAACAGACAATATGTTCAATAGATATGTAAGTATATAATGACATTAGGTTAAAAAAAATTTATGTGTGTTTATGTTAATTGCTTTTGTGAGTAGAGAAAAGTAAATGCATAATTGGCCATGTGACAAATATGAGCTCATTAAAGCACTGGATGAGTTACTTGATTTCTCAGTTGCCACATTTGTGGAATAATGGAAACCTTACAAACCCCATGGGGTTAGTGTGGGGATTTAGTAAGCTAATTGTATAAAATGTTGGCAAGTTCTTGGCACATAGGAAGTGTTCAAAACATGCCAATCCCTCCTCTGCTGATACAGTTTCATTGGACAAATGATTTTAAAATAAAATGTCATTTCCTTTCTGGAATAGTTATATTAAGAGATTATATGCTGATCTTCCTTTCCTTTCAAAGGTAGACTTTTCAAAACAAAAATAACTCATTACTTAGAAATGCATGCTGTTCATACCGGAGAGGCAGGTTGTCATGAAGTGTCTAGGAAACCCTTGGCAGTTCAAGGCCACATATAAGTAGACAGAGCAGACATTCCAGAGCTAAAGTTATTTTTTGCTCTATCCATTTCCCTAGGACCATCATTTTGCCAGGAAAAATAGAAGGAGAAGCCTAGAAACTTGGATTGGGTAGGAAAATATGCTTAGTTTTAACTAAAAGTGGGCAACTAAGTGATAGATACTACAGTGTTTCAGAGAAGTGTTCCCTCCTGCAAGGAGGCTAAACCTAGATCGGCATTATATTATGTGTCTTTCATACAAAATGCCTTTATCTAAAATTTTACACACAAGACTACTTCCACATCATGGGTTTGTCTGATTGTTCCCTTTAACTTAGAGCTTTGATATTACCAACGTGGTCAGGGACGTGAACTCCATTGAGCTGCGTTTCCAGTCAGCGGTGTTGTATGCAGCACAGCAGAGCAAAGCTCACACTCGCTACCAGGTTCCCCCAGACTGCCCTCCACTTGTGCAGAAGGGTGAATGCCATGTCAACTTTGTTCGGAAGGTAATGGTCTCTCAAACAGGTCGGGTTTTATTTTTGAGGACGGGGTGTGCTGGCATATGAAATGCTTATTTGAAGACTCCCATGGCATTTCAGAAGTTAGGAATCTCTTTCCTGATCCCTTAGTGGGGTTTGAAAATTTGAAATAAGAACCAAAAGATTATTTGAAATATTGTGGAGAATCTTTATCTTTTTCTAAGTTTTCTTCCTGAAGCGTGTTCAGAACTTAGGTAACAGAAAAAGAAAGGAAAAATATGTGGCTGATAATGGAACTTTACAAATTATTTTTTTAACATTTAAGTTTATCAAACTTTTCACCAGATTGTGAAAATGTATTAGTGATTCTTGTTTCTAGGAAGCCCTCTGCAAATATTAGTATATTTGATGATATGTTCTTGCATCTTACTGTCAGGTTCTCATAAAATCTAACAAAAAGATAACAAAGTCCACAAAAGTAATTATTTTTCTTAGAGTATGATTCCAGTCTAAGAGGACTTGGATCTATTTTACTACATGATTGAATCAGTATTCTATGTGACATTTGGTTTTTTAATGTTTATTTCATTTTACTTCATATTTTAAAAATTTTAATTGTATAAACTGTACATAAAATTTATCACTTTAATAATTTTTAAGTGTACAGTTTAGTAGTGTTAAGTATATTTACATTAAGTAACCACAGAGCTTTCTCACCTTGCAAAACTGAAACTCTACCCATTACCCATTATATTATATTATACCCATTATTGTTTAAACAATAGCTCTCCATTTCCTTCTCCCCAGCCCCTTGCAACCAGCATTCTACTCTTTTCTTTTCTTTCTCTTTTTTTTTTTTTTTTTTTTTGAGACTGGGTCACACTCTGTCGCCCAGGCTGGAGTACAGTGGTGCGATCACAACTCACCGCAGCCTCCACCTTCTGGGCTCAAGCGATGCTCCCACCTAGGTCTCTTGAGTAGCTAGGACTACAGGCGAACACCACCATGCCCAGATAATTTTTGTATTTTTTTTGTAGAGACAGGATTTTGCCATGTTGCCCAGGCTGGTCTCTAACTCTAAGGCTCAAGCAATCTGCCCACTTTGGCCTCCCAAAGTGCCGGGATTACAGGTGTGAGCCACCATGCTTGGCCCATTCTACTCTTTTCTATGTGTTTGATTCCCCTAGAAATGTTATATAAGTGGAATCATACAGTATTTGTCTTTTTGTGACTGACTTATTTCACTTAGCATAATTTCCTCATGATTCATCCATGTTGTAGCATGTGAGAGAATTTCTTTACATTTTAAGGCTGAATAACATACCATTCTATGCATATACCACATTTTGTTTATCCATTCATCTGTTGACGGACGTTTAGGTTGCTTCCACCTTTTGACTATTGTGAATAATGCTGCTATGAACATGGGTGTACAAATATCTTTACATGACCCTTCTTTCAGTTCTTTTGGATATATTCCCAGAAATAGTATGGTTGGATCATATGGTAATTCTATTTTTAATTTTTTGATGGATTGAATTTATTTATTTATTTATTTATTTATTTATGTATTTGAGATGGAGTCTTGCTCTGTTGCTCAAGCTAGAGTGCAGTAGCGAGATCTCGGCTCACTGCAACCTCCGCCTCCCGTGTTAAAACAATTCTCTTGCCTCAGCCCCCTGAGTAGCTGGGATTCCACGCATGCACTGCCACACTTGGCTAATTTTTTAATTTTTAGTAGAGACGGAGTTTCGCCATGTTGGCCAGGCTGCTCTTGAACTCCTGACCTCAGGTGATCCACCCGCCTCGGCCTCCCAAAGTGTTGGGATTACAGGCGTGAGCCATGAAATTTAGTTTTAACAACAAATGTAATGATTGGGCTCATTGTGAAGATACTAAACATATTTTCCCAATACTCTTTAGGTAGAACTGTTACATTAGCTAATATGTTCTGATTAAATTAAATGGCTCTTTTTCAGCTGGATTGATTTACTATTAAATTATGTTTCCTTAATATAAGTACTAGGATTAAAATTATACCTCCTCCTGTTTGATTCAACCTACCTAAACTTGTGTCAATGACCCATTGACCATTTGTTCAAATTACTGTAATAACAGCCTTAGAGTATTGCTTTGACAATTTTCAGTAGTCAAGTATTCCATGGAATATTTGTCTGCTTATAAGTCTGGATAAGATTTATCTTTTGATTCTTTTGCCTTTGGCTTCCAATGACACAGTGGTTTAAATGCTAGAGGTTGTACTTTTTCCCTCTCCCCTTCCTTTTTTTTTTTTGAGATGAAGTCTGACTCTGTTGCCCAGGCTGGAGTGCAGTGGCATGACCTCGGCTCACTGCAACCTCTGCCTCCCGGGTTCAAGTGATTCTCCTGCCTCAGCCTCCCGAGTAGCTGGGATTACAGGCGCCTGCCACCATGCCCGGCTAATTTTTGTATTTTTTTTTTTTTGAGACTGAGTCTTGCTCTGTTGCCCAGGCTGGAGTGCAGTGGCACAATCTCAGCTCACTGCAAGCTCCGCCTCCTGGGTTCACGCCATTCTTTTGCCTCAGCCTCCCAAGTAGCTAGGACTACAGGCGCCTGCCACCATGCCCGGCTAATTTTTGTAGTTTTAGTAGAGATGGGGTTTCACCATGTTGGCCAGGCTGCTCATGAACTCCTGACCTCAGGTGATCCACCCACCTTGGCCTCCCAAAGTGCTGGGATTACAGGCGTGAGCTACTGTGCTGGCTTCCCCTTCCATTTTTAACCTTTATCAAAACTGAAACTATCCTGGATCCTAATGTGAAAAGTTACTTTTCAAGTCATCAATAAAGATAATATAAATGTTATACATATATCCATATGCTATTTTGCTCCACCCTCTATTCAATTTGTGGCATTTAAAACATACTCTCAAGTTATCTAGATAGAACATAGCCCTTTGTCACTAACATCAGGAATCAGATCCAGTTTTCTGCTATCACAATGTTTTGGACACTAACCTCTGGGTAGGCTTCCAGAACAATTGCAAGTTGCATCTAGGTATTTCTGACTAGATTGACATGGTCCAGTGGGAAGACACCTGAGTTGGAGACCAAGTGAAGAGTCTTGGGTCTGAATTCTGGCTTTGTGAACATAGAATAACTTGAGGTATGCCCGTCATTTGTACATGGAGCTAATCCCTGATATGAAGATATAGTGAAATAACAATGTAAATGCACTTTGCATGTTGTAAAGTGCTATACAACCATTCAAAAAGTAGAGTGGTGATATCTATTTTGGAGGCTTATTACTATAATTACAGGTAATGAACAAGATGCTCAGCTTAGGTTATATGAAGTTAGTGGGGTCTTTACTTTAATCTCTTAATCCTGTTATCTTCATAAACTGAGACTGTACATCACCTCAGGACCACTATTGTACAAATTGATTGTAGAACATGTGTGTTTGAACAATATGAAATCTGATTGTAAAATGTGTGTTTGAACAATATGATCAGTGCACCCTGAAAAAGAACAGAATAACGGCGATTTTCAGGGAAGAAGGGAAGATAACCATAACATCTGACTGCCTGTGGGGTCAGGCAGAATAGAGCCATATTTATCTTCTTGCAGAAAGCCTATAAACGGATGTGCAAGTAGGAGAAATATCGCTGAATTCTTTTCCCAGCAAGGAGTAACCCTGGGGAAGGAATGCATTCCTGGGGGTAGGTCTGTAGACGGCCACCCTGGGAGTGTCTGTCTTATGCGGTTGAGATAAGGACTGAAATACACCCTGGTCTCCTGCAGTACCCTCAGGCTTACTAGGATTGGGAAATTCCAGCCTGGTAAATTCTAGTCAGACTGATTCTCTGCTCTCGAACCCTGTTTCCTGTTAAGATGCTTATCAAGACAATGTTTGCACAGCGGGACATAGACTGTCATCAGTAATTCTAATTTTGCCTTGCCTTGTGATCTTTATTGCCCTTTGAAGCATGTGATCTTTGTGACTTACTCCCTGTTTGTACACCCCCTCCCCTGTTAAAATCCCTAATAAAAACTTGCTGGTTTTGTGGCTTGGGGTCGTCATCACGGTCCTACCAATATGTGATGTCATCCCCAGAGGCCCAGCTGTAAAATTTCTCTCTTTGTACTCTTTCTGTTTATTTCTCAGACTGGCTGACACTTAGGGAAAATAGAAAAGAACCTATGTTGAAATATTGGGGGCTGGTTCCCCTGATATTCTCTTTCACCAGTTCTTTGAACCTCCACTTTCCCTGTAGCAACCTAAGTCCCCTATTGTCTCTGCTTCCTTTTCTGTCCAGAATGGATAGTGGGACTCATCACTTCTGCTACCCTCTTACCAGTGTTTGATGCCATCTTCCTTGTTTTCCGTTTACATCTCTGGCCGTTCCTTGTAAGTCTCTTTATCCACATCCTTGTTCTCCTAAAAGTTATATTATAGGGCCTTTCTCTGTTCTAGACTCTTTTCTCATTTTATACCCTCTCTAGGCTATCTCATTTTTCATTTCTTCCATAACAAATCTATTTGCCATTGTCTCCCAATATTGTGTCTTCCGTCCAACTTGTCTTCAATTCCAGACCTTACATTCAGATGCTTATTTAGCATCATCACTTGTCTGATTCACAGGGACCTAAAGCTCAGTATGCGCCACACCGCACTTGTGATTTAAGTCCTTCTCCCAGGGTTCTGTCTCTTGCTGAATGGAATACTATCCACAACAGGTGCTCAAGCCAGAAACTTGAGTTTTTCTTGACACCTTTCTCTCCTTTTTCTCTCTTCCAATCTATTGCTTAGTCCTCTTGATGATGTGAATAGTACCTCTTCAATAGCTCTTCAGTCTGTTCACATTTCATTTCTGCCACTGTGTCTTGAGTTCAGTCATGCCTTGCATGAAATATTGCCCTGGTTGCCTAACTGGCATCCCTGAAACTTCACTTGCCTTCCTCTAGTTAATCATTTACAGAGCAGCTAGAATGGTCTTTTCAGAAAAAAATGATCACAGCACTGCTTTTCTTCAAACTCTTCAACAGCTTCTCATTGCCTTTAGGCCAGTGTCCATGGGTCTTAGCTCTGTCTGGCCCATGCTCACTTCTCCAGTCATCTCCCTGCCTCTTCCCATTGTTCTCTCTTCAGCTTCTGGAATGCATCAGACTGTCCTGCACCTCCAGACCTTTGCACATGCTGTTCCTTCTGAAAGGAATGCTTCTGGGCCGGCACAGTGACTCATGACTGTAATCCCAGCACTTTGGCAGGCCAAGGCAGGTGGATCACTTGAGTTCAGGAGCTTAAGATCAGCTTGGACAACATGACAAAACCCCAAGTCTAAAAAAAAATACAAAAATTAGCCTGTAGTCCCTGCCACTCAGGAGGCTGAGGTGGGAGGAGCCTGGAGGTTGAGGCTGCAGTGAGCCAAGATTGTGTCACTATACTCCAGCCTGGGTGACAGAGTGAGACATCTCAAAAAAAAAAAAAAAAAGTTCCTGCCTGCTCACAGTGGATAAACGGTACTCACCCTTCAGGGTCTTTTTTTTTTTTTTCAGGAAAACTCATCTTGATACCCATCCTCCTCAACCTCTCACTGTATGTTCCCTGCCTATTTCCATTGTAAAACTCATTATACTTGTAATTATTTATTCAATGCTTGAATTTCGTGCTTGACTGTGAGCATTATAAGCAGAAGAGCTGTGTCTGTTGTGTATATTGAAGTACTCCCAGCCTGAAACATAGAAGGCACTTAATAAATACTTCTTGAAGAGGTTAAGAGTGATTTGTAGCTCTTAATGGGGAAAATAGTCTCCCTCATAAGATGTTGATTATTTTGCTCTCCTTCTTTTCCCTATCTCCAATGAAAAAATTACAAATAGATACTAAAATTCTCCCATAAATGTCCCCAAGATGGTTTTCATTCTGAATATGAGAATCTGGTGCTTAAGTGGTAAATTTAGACAGATGTGGATGCTATAAAGTAACTTTAGTTCTTTGTTTTTCTCCATAGTAAAAACAAATTTGTCTCTATCTTAGGTGAGTACAGAGCTAAGGAAATAATACCCAAATGACAACAGTTTGGCCAAATCTTCAGGTTCTATTTCACAAATGACTCCATCTAGAAGGATTTTAGTATTTCCTCTGGTGCTTGTTACTTTTTTTCCCCCCATAAAATGTATGACCCAAACTTATTCCTTTTTAAAAGCTGAACTTATAGCTTTACACATTTTAATTAACTGTTCTGAAAATATTTTTTTCTTTTAAGAAGTAGAAATTAGAAAACATTCTGTGTGAAAGGGATTTATTTTACAGAATTATTTCTTATTTTTGAATTTGAACTCTGTAACTTAATATGGAAGTTGAGTGTCATCAAGGGAGAGACAGGTACCCAGGTCAAATAAGATTGGATAAAATGTCTGCCTTGGCCACCTGTTTCAGGGGCTAAAGATCGAACTGATTGCTTTTGGGCTTCACGTTCAGAAACAAGGACTTCTGAATTCATACCTGAGGTTGGCAAGTTTAGCCAGAGCTTTTTAAAACCTATTTATAAGTGTTTGTCTTTCAATATGTTTCCTCATTCTTTTTTTTTTTTTTTTTTTTTTTTTTGAGACTGAGTTTCACTCTTGTTGCCCAGGCTGGAGTGCAGTGGTGCGATCTCAACTCACTATAACCTCCGCCTCCCGGGTTCAAGCGATTCTCCTGCCTGAGCCTCTTGAGTAGCTGGGATTACAGGCATATACCACCACACCCAACTAATTTTGTATTTTTAGTAGAGACGGGGTTTCTCCATGTTGGTCAGGCTGGCCTTGAACTCCCAACCTCAGATGATCCACCCGCCTCGGCCTCCCAAAGTGTTGATATTACATGCGTGAGCCACTGCGCCCGGCCTCCTCATTCTTTTTAATTATTACATGTAAGCACAATATTCTTTGTAACTATTAGATTTAAATACAATGGTTAGGTTCAGAGATATTATAGAGAAATTTAAAGAGGAACTATTGAGTTGCTTCAATGTAGTAAGCATTTGAAGAATAAATGTACAACTCTTCATAGATTTTATGTTCTTAGAACATTTCTGCCAAATTTATCTGTTTCATAGGTTACGTGCAACATAGATATATTGGATATATTGGATATTGTATCAGTTATCTATTGTGATGTAACAAATTATGCCAAAACTTATCAGCTTAAAACAACATTTATTGATGAGAACACATGGACACATAGAGGGGAACAACACACCCTGGGGCCTGCCAGAAGGTGGAGGGTGGGAGGAGAGAGAAGATCAGGAAAAATAACTAATGGGTACTAGGCTTAATAGCTGGATGATGAAATAATCTCTATGACAAACCCCCATGACACAAGTTTACCTATATAACAAACCTGCACTTGTACCCCTGAACTTAAAAGTTAAAAAAAGAAAATATGTGGACTATAGGTTTTCTGATTTCTAAAAAATAATATAAACAAAACATTTATTATGATAGCTTCTGTTAGTTAGGAATCTGAGTTGAGTGTGGCTCAGCTGGGTGCCTCTGGCTTAAGGTCTCATGGCTGCAGTTGTCTCAAGGCTTGGCTCAAGTTGACTCAAGGCTGAAGAGTCTGTTTCTGAGCTCACTTGTAGTTATTGGCAGACCTCAGATTGCCCATATGGGTCTCTCCGCAGAGCTGCCCCATGACACAGAGGCTGGCTTCCCTCTTGGCCAAGAGAGGGCATGAGAGAGTACCCAAAATTCAAGGCTTAGTCTCTTATAACCTAATTAATAAAATCACATCATTTTTGCTATATGCTGGTGGTTAGAAGTGATTCACTAGGTCACTTCAAAGGGGGGATCATTGTGGGCCACCTCAGAGGCTGTGTATGGTGGTTGGGGGGCACACACAGTTTTGCACTAACTTGTGGTCCCCCCAAATTCATATGTTGAAGTCCTAACCTCTGGTATCTCAGAATGTAATCATATTTGGAGAAGGTCTTTAAGGGGTGATTAAGATAAAATGAGGCAGTTAGTGTGGGCCCTATTCCAATACAACTAGTGTCCTTTTAAGAAGGGGACATTTGGACAATGGAGAGAGACACCAGGGATGCCTAGCACAGAAAAAGACCATGTGAGGACACAGTGCAAACAGAGGAGATCGGCTTCAGGAGGAACCAAACCTGCTGATAGCTTGATCTTGGACTTCACTGTGAGAAAATACATTTCCATTGTTTAAACCACTTAGTTTGTGATACTTTGTTATGGCTGCCATAGCAAACTTATATACACATATGTAACATTTTTAAAGAAAATGTTTTTCATAATGTTTAAATTTCACCATAATCAGAATATATCTTCTTTTTCTCCTTGAAATTGCAGGAGCAATGTTCCTTTAGTTGGGACTGGGGGCCTTCCTTTCCTACCCAGGGAATCTGGAAAGATGTTAGAATTGAAGCCTATAATATTTGTCACCTGAACTACTTCACATTTTCCCCAATATATGGTAAGCTGAAAGATGTGATTTTTTTTTCTTTTTGAGTCTTCTTGTTATAAAAATTGGGTTTATAATTGAAATACAGAGGTATGTTTTTCAGAGATTTAGAATTTTTAAAAACTTTGTGGTACAATCAATTTATAAAAGTAAAAAATAGGTACAAACTGATTTTACATGAAAATTGACAATATAAAGCAGATATGTAGGTAGGTATCTTTTAGCATATTTTACAGAAAAAGGAAAAAATAAAATGGAAGAGCAGCGCCAAGTTTTCCTGAGATAAGTATTCTTTCTTGAAAGAACTGGGCCTGCTGGCTGTGCTCCTTTTTGCTGCCTCTGTAGTCACTTTTAGTGTCAAATTCTTGCTTTGCTCACACCGTTAGACTGGCTTTCTGTCTCTGTACATTTTCTTCATAACCCAGAGCACTACTCTGAGGGCCCTGACACAAGGGCCCTGACACAACAGCCTTGTGAAGAGTTAAAAATAAACTGGAAGGTAAACAGGGCAAAAGAAAGATTTCTTTTCTTTTCTTTTTTTTTTTTTTTTTTTGAGATGGAGTTTCACTCTTGTTGCCCAGCCTGGAGTGCAGTGGCACAATCTTGGCTCACTGCAGCCTCTGCCTCCCGGGTTCAAGCGATTCTCCTGCCTCAGCCTCCTGAGTAGCTGTGATTACAGGCATGTGCCACCACGCCCAGCTAATTTTGTATTTTTAGTAGAGATGGGGTTTCTCCATATTGGCCAGTCTCGAACTCCTGACCTCAGGTGATCTGCCCGCCTCAGCCTCCCAAAGTGCTGGGATTACAGGCGTAAGCCACTGCGCCTGGCCAAAAGAAATATTTCTAAGGTGAAAAATAGTACTTTTTAAGTTGAAGCAACTATTCAATATCAAGGAGCATTGAAATAGAACCTCAGAAATCTCACAGATGTCAGTGGATAAGTTAAAAGCTGGTTAAATATTTGTTGCTTTCTTTGCTCAGCGCTGTGTTTATTTGATAAAAGAAATAGAGTAGGTACACTGATCCCTTCATGTGTGGGGAGGGGAGATACAAACAATTACCAAACAAAACAAATAACCTTCCAAGATAAGAGCCAGAAAATCAAAGATCAGTGAGGATTTGAGAAGTTAGGGAAATGAAGGATGAAGATGGAGGCAAGTGAGATCTTAAATGAGAGCGTGCAATGCTCAGTGTAATCACACGGAGGCCTAACTAGATGAAATCAGTAAGAAAGAATGTGGTGTGTCAGTTCAAGAGTTCTGTTATCTTGAGAGCCCTGGTGACCTTAGCTTGCTATTCAATTGAGCCAAATCTGTATTTTCTGAAGGCAGAAGATGAAAGCAAATGATAGATGCTTAGATTTGAGGAGGTTATTTGGTGCTGTTGGTATTTTTAAACTTTAAAAAGGCATTAAAAGATCTAATTTAAATTGCACATGTAAATGTGGCTGTGCTTATAATTCTCTAGTTTAGTGCTTCCCAAACTATTCTTCTGAGGTGTAATCCAACTAAAGATTTTCGCTACTAAAATCAAATAATGGTTTAATCTCCCTTCATCCCATGCTACCACCCATACGTTTTCTCAGGTATAAATAACAGAATCTGGTGTGAGAAGTGGTCTGAGCTGAGCGCAGTGGCTCATGCCTGTAATTCCAGCACTTTGGGAGGCCAAAGTGGGTGGATTCCCTGAGCCTAAGAGTTAGAGACCGACCTAGACAACATGGCAAAATCCTATCTCTGACAAAAAATACAAAAAATACAAAAATTAGCCAGGCCTGGTGGCGTTCACCTGCAGTCCCAGCTACTCGAGAGGCTGAGGTGGCAGGATCGCTTGAGCTCAGGAGGTAGAGCTGCTGTGAGTTGTGATTGTACCACTGCACTCCAGCCTGGGTGATGGAGCGAGATGCTGTTTAAAAAAAAAAAAAAGTGGTCCGATTTAGCAAAAAGTTATTTATTTATTTTGAAGCTTAATCAGTATTTTGGGTGGTCTGCAAAATGCATTATAAGCTCTGGGTACCCTGATGCCTGAAAAAAATTTGAATAATACTGCTCTGGTTTAATTTACAATTTGAATATGAAACTAAACATTTCTTCCTGAGTTATTAGAGTTCACTTTATTAGTCACTAGTGACTGAGTGAATTTTATATGAATTAATTTAAATGATGCTTAAAATTCAATTTAGATTCAGTGTAAACAGTTCCTCCTCTCAACTACATTGGT
The DNA here is from genome assembly GCF_000001405.40 of Homo sapiens. Lineage (NCBI taxonomy): Eukaryota > Metazoa > Chordata > Mammalia > Primates > Hominidae > Homo > Homo sapiens. The sequence goes on along the minus strand of NC_000004.12, from coordinate 102,712,229 downwards.
GAAGGTTAAATACATTTTTTAAATTGACACGTAATATTTGTACATATTTATGGGGTATGTGTGGTATTTTGTTACATGCATAGAATGTGTAATGATCAAGTCAAGGTAATTCGGGTATCTATCACCTCTAGTATTTATCATTTCTCTATGTTGGGAATATTTCAAGTCCTCTCTTCTAGCTATTTTGAAATATACCATACATGTTGTTAAGTATAGTCACACTATTATGCTGTCAAACATTAGAACTTATTCCTTCTATTTAAATGCATGCTTGTACCCATTCATCAGCCTTTCTTCATTCCTCTCTGCCACTCATATACCCCTCCTAGCCTCTCGTCTCTATTATTTCACTCTCTACCTCCATGAGATCAACATTTTTACCTCTGACATGTGAGTGGCAAGATGCAAAATTTGTCTTTCTCTGTCTAATTTCACTTAACATAATGACCTCCAGTTCCATCCATGTTGCTGTGGAAGACATGATTTTATTCTTTTTTAGCCATTCATCTGTTGATGGACACTTAGGTTGATTCTATATCTTTGCTATTGTGAATAGTGCTGCAGTAAACATGGGGTGCAAGTATCTTTTTGTTATACTGATTTCTTTTTCTGTGGATAGTTACCTATTAGTGGGATTCTTGGATTGTATGGTAATGACTCTACTATTAGTTTCTTGAGAAATATAGTATTTCCATTGTGGCTGTACTCACTCATATTCCCACAACCGTGTATAAATGTTTCCTCTTCTCTGCATCCTCTCCAGCATCTATTATTTTTTGTCTTTTCAGTAATAGTCATTCTAACTGGAGTAAGATAGTATTTGTGGTTTTGATTTACAGTTCCCTGATGATTAGTGATGTTGACCATTTGTGCATATACCTGTTGGCCATTTGTATGTCTTCTTTAGAGAAATGTCTATTCATGTCCTTTGCCCACTTTTAAATGGGGTTATTTGCTTTTTTACTGTTCAGTTGAGTTCCTTGTGTATTCCAGATATTAGTACCTTGTCAAATGAATAGTCTGCAAATATTTTCTCCCATTCAACAAGTTGTCTCTACATTCTGTTGAATGCTTCCTTTGCTGTGAAGAAGCTTTTTAGTTTAATATAGTACTATTTGTCTATGTTTATGTTTGTTATCTTTGCTTTTGAGGTCTTAGCTATAAAAATCTTTGTCTAGATCGATGTCTTGAAATGCTTCTCGTATGTTTTCTTCTAGTAGTTTTATCGTTTCAGGTCTTATGTTTAAGTCTTTAATCCATCTTGAGTTTATTTTTATTTATGGTGAGAGATAAGAGTCCAGTTTCATTTTTCTGCTTATGGATATCCAATTTTCCCCGCACCATTTATTGAAGAGGATTGAAGAGGGTATTCTTTCTCCAATGCATGTTCTCTGACCAAGATGCCTTTGTGAAAAATCAGTTAGTTATTAATAAGTTGGTTTATTTCTGGGGTTTACACTCTGTTCCTTTGGTTTATGTGTCTGTTTTCAGGTAGTGTGATGCCTTCTTTTGACTCAGGATTGCTTTGGTTGTTTGAGCTCTTTTTTGGTTCCATATGAACTGTAGGATTTTTTTTCTATTTCTGTACAAAGTGACTTTGGTATTTTGATAGTGATTGCATTGACTCTGTAGATTGCTTTGGGTAGTATGGTGGTCATTTTAATGATATTAATTCTTCCAACCCATGAGCATGGGATGTTTTTCGATTTGTTTGTGTGACCTCTTCAATTTATTTCATCAGACGTTTATAGTTTTCCTTGTAGAGGTCTTTCACCTTTTTGGTTACATTTATTCCTAGGTATTTTATTTTTTGTAGCTATTGTAAATGGGATTGCCTTCTTGATTTCTTTCTCAGCTAGTTCATCATTGATGTGTAGAAACACTACTAATTTTTGTATGTTGACTTTGTGTCCTACAAATTTGCTGAATTTATTTATCAGATCTAAGAATTTTTTTATGAATCTTCCAAGTTTTTGCAGATGTAAGAGCATGTCATCTGCAAAGAGGAATAATTTTACTTCCTCTTTTCCAATTTGGTACCTTTTATGTTTTTCTCTTGCTTTATTGCCCTGGATAGGACTTCCAGCATTTTATTGGATAGGAGTGGTGAACGTGGGCATCTTTTTCCCATTCTAGTTCTTAGAGGAAAGACTTTCAGCTCCTCCTCATTTGGTGTGATGTTAGCTCTGGGTTTTTATATATGGCTTTTATTATGTTGAGGTATGCTCCTTCTATGACTAATTTGTTGATAGTTTTTATCATGAAGGGATATTGAATTTTATTAAATGCTTTTTCTGCATCTGTTGAGATGATCATCTGTTTTCTGTCTTTCATTCTGTTGATGTGATGTATCACGTTTATTGATTTGTACAAATGTAAGATCCTTGCATCCCTGGGATAAATTCTGCTTGCTCATGGTATATTATCTTTTTGATATACTGTTGGAGTTGGTTTGCTAGGATTTTGTTGAGGATCTTTGGATCCATGCTAATCAGGGATAATGAGCTATAGTTTTCTTTTCTTTCCTTTTATTTATTTCTTGTTGCCTCTCTGTGTGGTTTTGATATGAGCGTGATGCTGACCTCTGGAATGAGTTAGAGAGAATTATCTCCTCTTCAATTTTTGGAATAGTTTGTGTGGAATTGGTATTAGTTCTTCGTTGTAACTTTGGTAAAATTTGGCAGTGAAGGCATCCAGTCCTGGATTTTTTTCTGTTGGAAGATTTTATTGCTGATTCAGTCTTGCTACTTATTATTAGTCGTTCAGGTTCACTATTTCCTTCCTTCCTTCCTTTCTCTCTCTCTCTTTCTCTTTCTTTCTTTCTTTTTTTTCTTTCTTTCTTTCTTCCTTCCTTCCTTTCTTTTTCTTTTCTTTTCTTCCTTCCTTCCTTCCTTCCTTTCTTTTTCTTTTCTTTTCTTCCTTCCTTCCTTCCTTCCTTCCTTCCTTTCTTTCTTTTCTTTCTCTCTCTCTCTTTCTTTCTTTCTTCCTTTCTTTTTTCCTTTCCTTTCCTTTTCTGCCTTGCCTTGCCTTTTCCTTTTTCCTCCCTCTCTCCCTCCTTTCCTTTCTTTTCCTTTCCTTCCTGACGGGGCCTTGCTATGTTGCCCAGGCTGGTTTCCAACTCCTGTTCTCAAGCAATCCTCCTGCCTTGGCCTCCCAAAGTGTTGGAATTACATGAGCCACTGCGCCTGGCCTCTATTTTTTTGTCAGTCAGTATTGGCAGGTTGTATGTGTCCAGGAATTTACCTATTTTCTCTATGTTTTTCAGTTTGTTAGCGTATAGTCGTTCATAATAGTCTCTGGTGATCTGTTGTGTTTCTGTAGTATCAGTTGTAATGTATCCTTTCTCATTTCTCATATATATATTTTGTATATAATAATATACAAAATATTAGTATATTTTGTAAACGTGTATTAGGTTCATTTGGTCTAAAGTACAACTTTCTGATTTTGTTTATTTGGGTCTTCTCCTTGATTAGTCTACATAGGGGTTTATCAATCTTGTTTTCAAAAAACAAACTTTTCATTTCATTGATCCTTTGCTGTTTTTTTTGTCTCTATTTCATTGAGTTCTGCTCTGATCATTATTATCACTTTTCTTCTTCTAATTTTGGATTGAGTTTGTTCTTGTTTTTCTAGTTCCTTGAGGAGCATTGTTAGGTTGTTTATTTGAAATCTTTCTACTTTTTGGATGTAAGTATCTGTTGCTATAAACTTCCCTCTTAGCACTGCTTTTGCTGTATTCCATAGGTTTTAATATGTTGTGCTTCAATTTTTATCTGTTTCAAGACTTTTTTTATTACCTCCTTAATTTCTTTCTTGACCCAATTGTCATTTCAGAGCATGTTGTTTAATTTCCATGTGCTTGTGCAGGTTTCAAAGTTCCTCTTGTTATTGATTTCTAGTTTTATTCCGTTGTGGTCTGAAAAGATACTTGATATGATTTTAATTTTTAAAAACTTGTTGAGTCATTTTTTTGCCTAACATATTATCTATTCTTGAGAATATGCTATGTGCTAATGAGAAGAATGTGCATTTTGTAGCTATAATATATTTTTTAAATGTGTATTAGTTTCATTTGGTCTAAAGTACAGCTTAAATACAGTGTTTCTTTGTTAATTTTTTGTCTAGATGATCTGTGTAATGCTGAGAGTAAGATGTTGAAATCCCCCACTATTATTGTATTGGAATCTATCTGTCTTTAGATTTGGTAATATTTGCTTCATGAATCTGGGTTCTCCAAGTTGGGTGCAGATATATGTAGAATTATTATATTCTCTTGTGGATTTGATCATTTTATCATGATATAGTGACCTTTTTTGTCTGTTTTTACTGTTTTTTGACTTAAACTTTGTTTTATTTGATGTTGATATAGCTATGCCTGCTCATTTTTATTTCCATTTGCATGGAATATATTTTTCCATTCCTTTACTTTCAGTCCATGTATGTCTTTAGGGGTGAGTTGAGCTACTTGTAGGCAGCATATAGTTTGGTCATGTTTTTAAAAAATCCTGTCAGTCAATTTATATCTTTTAAGTGGAAAGTTTAATTCATTTACCCTCAAGGTTATTATTGATATATGAGGGCTTATTCCTGTCATTTTATTAATTGACTTCTGGTTGTTTTGTATACCTTTTTTTGTTTCTATTATTGTTTATCACTGTGGTTTGGTGTTTTTCTGTAGTGTTAACATTTGGGTCCTTTATGATCCTCATTTGTGTTTACTCAACCAGTGGTTTTATGCTTTTATGTATCTTCATGATGGTAGATATTGTCCTTTTGCTTCCATATGTAGAACTCCCTTAACCATTTCTTGTAGGTCTGGTCTAGTGGTGATGAATTCCCTCAGCTTTTGCTTGTCTTAGAAAGATGATTTGTCCTTTATTTATGAAGGATAAATTTGCTGGGTATGGCATCCTTGGCTGGGAGCTGTTCTCTTTCAACACTTTGAATATATCATTCCATTTTTTCCTGGCCTGTGACGTTTTTGCTGAAAAATCTGATCTGCTGTTAGTGTGATGAGGGTTTCCTTATAAGTAACTAGGTGCTTTTCTCTTGCTGATTTTAGAATTCTCTCTTTGTCTTTGACTTTTGACAGTTTGACTGTAATGTGCCATGGAGAAGGCCTTATTGAATGGATCTGTTTGGGAATCTCTGAGATTTTTTTATCTAGATATTAAATCTCTTGCCAGACTTGGGAAGTTTTCAGCTATTATTTTGTTAAATAGGTTTTCTCTCTTTGTAATTTTCTGTTTGCTTTCTGGCACACTGAAAATTAGAATATTTAGTCACTTTATGGTATTCCATATGTCATGTAGTCTTTTGTCAATCTTTTTTATTCTTTTAAAAAAGTTTTGTTTGACTGGTTTACTTCCAAAAATCTGTCCTCAAGTTCTGAAATTCTTTCTTCTGCTTTCTCTAATTATTGTTGAATAACTAGATTCTTCAGTTCCAGAATTTATGTTTGGTTCTTTTTTATTATATCTGTCTGTTTTGTAAATTTCTTATTGATACTTTGAATTGTTTTTCTGATTTCTTTTTTTTTCTGAGTTATCTTGCATCTCAATGAATGTCTTTAATTTCCTTATTTTGAATTCTTTATATGGGATTTCATACATTTTATTGGAATCTGTTGTTGGATAATTATTGTGTTCCTTTGAAAGTGTCATATTTCCTTGCTTTTGCATGTTTCTTGTGTCCTCATGTTTATATCCACGCATCTGGTATAACAACCACTTCTTCTAATTTTTTTGAATTCTCTTTTATAGGGGAGGAATTTTTCCTGAAGATGTATCTGTGGTATTGTTTGGGTAGGGCACTTTTGCTTTGATTTTGAGTGCTTGCAATAGTATAGTTTCTGTTTGATTTCTTCAGCTGTAAACAGCATCAGTGGTGTTTGTGATTTCCTCAGTGGCTTAGGGTATAGTTGTTAGTGGAGGCTGTAGTGAAGTTTTGCTGGGGATGGGGTCATCAAGAAGGCCAGTCCTTGGACTTCACTGGTGGCAGCAGCAGGCTGAGTGTGCCTGTCCTTGGGCTTCAGTGCAGTATATGCTGGCACTGGTGTTAGTGAGTCCAAGCATGATGAATCTTGGGCCTCCAGGTGACTGGCCTGCTTGGGTGCTGGCAGTGGCAGTGGTAGACCACTGGTCTGGATGGCTGGGTCTTCAGGCCCCTGGACAGCAGGTATGGCATGGGAAATGGCAGTAGCAGTGGCAGGACAATCCTCTGGTTTCCAAGAAGTCTGCATTGGTGTTGACAGTGGCTGCAACAGGCTGGGCACACTAGTCCCCAGGCCCGTAGGTGGCACATGCAGGCAGATGTTAGCTGTGGTAGTAGCTGCAGGTTTAGTGGGCCTGTCCTCAGGCTCCTGGGAGGAGTGCTGAGGTACCAACAGTGGTGGATGGGGCAGGGTCATCCCCAGGCTTCCAGACCATTTGCTCAGGCACTGAGTGGGAGTGTAGAGCCAGGGCAGGCCTGTCCTCAGACCCCTCTAGTGGTGCATGTGGGAGCTGGCTGTGGTAGGCAGGCATAGGATGATATCCAGACCACTGGTGGAATGCTTGGGTGGGGGCAGTAGTGACTGTGCTGCTGCCCTGCTCCTGGGGAGGATGGGGTTGCTTTCAGTGGCAGTAGCTATAGGTGACTGGAGAGCATGCACTTTCGCTCCAGGTAGTGGAGATAAGCAGGGTAGCCCTTCCACAGGGTGTTTTGAAATGTGCAGCAGCCCTGCTCCTGAGGGGGTGGAGTTGCTTCAGCATTGGTGGCAGCAGCCAGCAGCAGTGCCTGGCTACACTTGGGGATGTCAGTAAGTCTCCAGGAATGTGGAGATGTAGGGGCTATTAAGCCCAAAGTCAGCCTGCAGTCCATTCGGGGCTAGACTCTCAAAATGGTGCCTTGCTTTAACCGCTTAGGAGCTCCCTCTCTGGAGCAATGCCATTGCATATCTTGTAGCTCCCTATACTAGTCCTGGGGGCTGCGAGGGTGGAGGTGCTCTCTCATGGCTAGGATTGCAGGAGTCCATAATGGGAATGTAGACCACTGGAGGCCACTCACTTACCTTCTCCCAGCATTGGGGAGCCTCTCCAGGCTTTCAGCTGGTCCCTGCTAAGCAGGGTTCCTTCCTTTTCTCTCCTTCCTTACCTTAGGTGTTTTCTGTCACTTCTCTGTTGAATTTCAGTGTTTTTTGATAGGTGATCTATCTGAAGGGGTTCTTCTTTGTGGAGGTGGCAAATACCAGATGCCGCTAGTCAGCCATCTTGAAGCTCCTCCCTCATTTTTGAAATATTATGACAGTAATATATTTTGTACTTAACATAGAGAAATATATGTTTCCTGTTAAGAAGATGTGCTTTGTGCATGTTAAGCAGTAATTCCTATATTTCTAATTAATTTTATAGTTATCAATTTGGTTGTTTGATGTAATAAAATTAGAGTGTAAGCTCATGAGAGCATTAAAAGAGTTCTACCTTTAGGAGTTTCTCCAGAATTTTTTTTTTCAATTTTTATCTGGAAGACAGCAGTTATCACTGATATCAATAGACGTTTAAACATTGAAAAATAATAAAAGAATAAGCTAATGTGGTCTGGATACTTTTATGTATTTATTTGGTATATACTATGAGGCAGGCACTGTGAGAGTTACTGAAAATTTTTAAAAAAGCTTAGTTCATAATAAAAAAAGGTACATATAATTTTTATTTAAAATAAAATGTATTCATTTTTAAAATTTAAGTGTGAAATGAGGTGGGTCAAAACTAATGCAAGGCTGGGCGTGGTGGCTCATGCTTGTAATCTTTAGCGCTTTGGGAGACCAAGTTCAAAGGATCACTTGAGGCCAGAAGTTTGAACCAGCCTGAGCAGACATTGTCTCTACAAAAAATAAAAAAAATTAGCCATGTGTGGTGGTATATGCCTGTAGTCCCAAGTATTCGGAGGCTGAGGTGGGATTATAACCGCCCAATAAATTCACCTTGCCTGCTGCCTAGACAGAGCTGATTTATCAAGACAGGGGAATTGCAACGGAGAAAGAGTAATTCAGGCAGAGCTGGCTGTGTGAGAAACCAGAGTTTTATTATTACTCAAATCAGTCTCCCCAGACGTTCAGCATTTGGGATCAAATTTTTTGGTTTTTTTTTTTCGAGATAGAGTTTTGCTCTGTTACCCAGGCTGGAGTGCAGTGGCGCGATCTTGGCTCACTGCAACCTCCACCTCCCAGGTTCAAGTGATTCTCCTGCCTTAGCCTCCCGAGTAGCTGGTACTACAGGTGTTCGACACCACGCCTGGCTTATTTTTTGTATTTTTGGTAGAGATGGGGTTTCACTGTGTTAGTGGGGATGGTCTTGATCTCCTGACCTTGTGATCCACCCGCCTCAGCCTCCCAGAGTGCTGGGATTACAGGCGTGAGCCACCATGCTGGGTGGGATCAGAGTTTTTAAAGATAATCTGGTGGGTAGGGGCTTGCAAAGTGGGGAGTGCTGATTGATCAGGTTGGAGATGGAATCATAGGGGGAACGAAGTAAGGTTTTCTTGCTGTCTTCTTTCCTGAGTGGGATGGCAGAACTGGTTGAGCCAGATTACCAGTCTGGGTGGTGTCAGCTGATCCATCCAGTGCAGGGTCTGCAGAATATCTCAAGCACTGATCTAGGTTTTACAATAGTGATGTTATCCCCAGGAGCAATTTGGGGAGGTTCAGACTCTTGGAGCCAGAGGTTGCATGACCCCTAAACTGTAATTTCTAATCTTGTAGCTAATTTGTTAGTCCTGCAAAGGCAGACTCGTCCCCAGGCAAGAAGGGGTCTTTTCGGGAAAGGGCTGCTATCCATTTTGTTTCAGAGTCAAACCATGAACTGAATTCCTTCCCAAAGTTAGTTCAGCCTACTGCCAGGAATGAATAAGAACAGCTTAAATGTTACAAGCAAGATGGAGTAGATTAGGTCTGATTTCTTTCATTGTCATAATTTCCTCAGTTATAACTTTGCAAAGGCAGTTTCAGGAGGATTACTTGAGCCTGGGAGGTCAAGGCTGCAGCGAGCTATGATTATTCCACTGTATTCTGGCCTGGGTGACAAAGCAAGACCCTGTCTCAAAAACAAACAAACAAGTAAACAAACAACAACTAATGCAAACAGTAGCTATCTCTGTAGTAGTGTTAAAAATGGTTTGCATTTTATTCTTCTGTGTAACTGTCTTTTCTAAATTTCTATATTGGGCATCTGTTATATATATGTATATGCAGTAAGTGGATAAAGTAGTTATTAAAACAAACTAATTTAGTCTAGTAACTTCAGCTAACTTGATATGAAAGCCTAAACTAATTTGTCTATGGGACACTTTCTGCCTTCCCCCTGTTGAGGCTAGAAAGAGATACTGTCATCTTTGTGCTTTTTCAAGTGTTCAATTTATATCTTGACTTAAAATTAGTGAGTTTACTCCTGAAGATCAAAGGACCAACCATAGTTCCCTAACTTGTGTATGACAGAAAGAAGGCTATTAAACATTTAAAAATTAACGTGAAATTCTTGTGAATTCATTTACTTATATATATGTATATATCTATGTTTCTTTTCTGTATTCTTAGTCCTTAAAAATAGTGGTTTCTACAGGGTCTGGAGTGGACCTCTAGCAAACTCCAACAGACCTGCAGCTGAGGGTCCTGTCTGTTAGAAGGAAAACTAACAAACAGAAAGGACATCCACACCAAAAACCCATCTGTACATCACCATCATCAAAGACCAAAAGTAGATAAAACCGCAAAGATTGGGAAAAAACAGAGCAGAAAAACTGGAAACTCTAAAAAGCAGAGCACCTCTCCTCCTCCAAAGGAACGCAGCTCCTCACCAGTAATGGAACAAAGCTGGACGGAGAATGACTTTGACAAGTTGAGAGAAGAAGGCTTCAGGCGATCAAACTACGAGCTACAGGAGGAAATTCAAACCAAAGGCAAAGAAGTTAAAAACTTTGAAAAGAATTTAGACGAATGTATAACTAGAATAACCAATACAGAGAAGTGCTTAAAGGAGCTGATGGAGCTGAAAACCAAGGCTCGAGAACTACGTGAAGAATGCAGAAGCCTCAGGAGCCGATGCGATCAACTGGAAGAAAGGGTATCAGTGATGGAAGATGAAATGAATGAAATGAAGCGAGAAGGGAAGTTTAGAGAAAAAAGAATAAAAAGAAACGAACAAAGCCTCCAAGAAATATGGGACTATGTGAAAAGACCAAATCTACGTCTGACTGGTGTACCTGAAAGTGACGGGGAGAATGGAACCAAGTTGGAAAACACTCTGCAGGATATTATCCAGGAGAACTTTGCCAATCTAGCAAGGCAGGCCAACATTCAGATTCAGGAAATACAGAGAACGCCACAAAGATACTCCTCGAGAAGAGCAACTCCAAGACACATAATTGTCAGATTCACCAAAGTTGAAATGAAGGAAAAAATGTTAAGGGCAGCCAGAGAGAAAGGTCAGGTTACCCACAAAGGGAAGCCCATCAGACTAACAGCGGATCTCTCAGCAGAAACTCTACAAGCCAGAAGAGAGTGGGGGCCAATATTCAACATTCTTAAAGAAAAGAATTTTCAACCCAGAATTTCATATCCAGCCAAACTAAGCTTCATAAGTGTAGGAGAAATAAAATCCTTTACAGACAAGCAAATGCTGAGAGATTTTGTCACCACCAGGCCTGCCCTAAAAGAGCTCCTGAAGGAAGCACTCAACATGGAAAGGAACAACCGGTACCAGCTGCTACAAAATCATGCCAAAATGTAAAGACCATGGAGACTAGGAAGAAACTGCATCAACTAACGAGCAAAATAACCAGCTAACATCATAATGACAGGATCAGATTCACACATAACAATATTAACTTTAAATGTAAATGGACTAAATGCTCCAATTAAAAGACACAGACTGGCAAATTGGATAAAGAGTCAAGACCCATCAGTGTGCTGTATTCAGGAAACCCATCTCCCATGCAGAGACACACATAGGCTCAAAATAAAAGGATGGAGGAAGATCTACCAAGCAAATGGAAAACAAAAAAAGGCAGGGGTTGCAATCCTAGTCTCTGATAAAACAGACTTTAAACCAACAAAGATCAAAAGAGACAAAGAAGGCCATTACATAATGGTAAAGGGATAAATTCCACAAGAAGAGCTAACTATCCTAAATATATATGCACCCAATACAGGAGCACCCAGATTCATAAAGCAAGTCCTGAGTGACCTACAAAGAGACTTAGACTCCCACACATTAATAATGGGAGACTTTAACACCCCACTGTCAACATTAGACAGATCAACGAGACAGAAAGTTAACAAGGATACCCAGGAATTGAACTCAGCTCTGCACCAAGCGGACCTAATAGACATCTACAGAACTCTCTACCCTATATCAACAGAATATACATTTTTTTCAGCACCACATCACACCTATTCCAAAATTGACCACATAGTTGGAAGTAAAGCACTCCTCAGCAAATGTAGAAGAACATAAATTATAACAAACTATCTCTCAGACCACAGCGCAATCAAACTAGAACTCAGAATTAAGAAACTCACTCAAAACCGCTCAACTACATGGAAACTGAACAACCTGCTCCAGAATGACTACTGGGTACATAACGAAATGAAGGCAGAAATAAAGATGTTTTTTGAAACCAACGAGAACAAAGACACAACATACCAGAATCTCTGGGACACATTCAAAGCAGTGTGTAGAGGGAAATTTATAGCACTAAATGCCCACAAGAGAAAGCAGGAAAGATCCAAAATTGACACCCTAACATCACAATTAAAAGAATTAGAAAAGCAAGAGCAAACACATTCGAAAGCTAGCAGAAGGCAAGAAATAACTAAAATCAGAGCAGAACTGAAGGAAATAGAGACACAAAAAACCCTTCAAAAAATTAATGAATCCAGGAGCTGGTTTTTTGAAAGGATCAACAAAATTGATAGACCGTTAGCAAGACTAATAAAGAAAAAAAGAGAGAAGAATCAAATAGATGCAATAAAAAATGATAAAGGGGATATCACCACCGATCCCACAGAAATACAAACTACCATCAGAGAATACTACAAACACCTCTACGCAAATAAACTAGAAAATCTAGAAGAAATGGATAAATTCCTCGACACATACACTCTCCCAAGACTAAACCAGGAAGAAGTTGAATCTCTGAATAGACCAATAACAGGATCTGAAATTGTGGCAATAATCAATAGCTTACCAACCAAAAAGAGTCCAGGACCAGATGGATTTACAGCTGAATTCTACCAGAGGTACAAGGAGGAACTGGTACCATTCCTTCTGAAACTATTCCAATCAATAGAAAAAGAGGGAATCCTCCCTAACTCATTTTATGAGGCCAGCATCATCCTGATACCAAAGCTGGGCAGAGACACAACCAAAAAAGAGAATTTTAGACCCATATCCTTCATGAACATTGATGCAAAAATCCTCAATAAAATACTGGCAAACCGGATCCAGCAGCACATCAAAAAGCTTATCCACCATGATCAAGTGGGCTTCATCCCTGGGATGCAAGGCTGGTTCAATATATGCAAATCAATCAATGTAATACATCATATAAACAGAACCAAAGACAAAAACCACATGATTATCTCTATAGATGCAGAAAAGGCCTTTGACAAAATTCAACAACCCTTCATGCTAAAAACTCTCAATAAATTAGGTATTGATGGGACGTATCTCAAAATAATAAGAGCTATCTATGACAAACCCACAGCCAATATCATACTGAATGGGCAAAAACTGGAAGCATTCCCTTTGAAAACTGGCACAAGACAGGGATGCCATCTCTCACCATTCCTATTCAACATAGTGTTGGAAGTTCTGGCCAGGGCAATTAGGCAGGAGAAGGAAATAAAGGGTATTCAATTAGGAAAAGAGGAAGTCAAATTGTCCCTGTTTGCAGACGACATGATTGTATATCTAGAAAACCCCATTGTCTCAGCCCAAAATCTCCTTAAGCTGATAAGCAACGTCAGCAAAGTCTCAGGATACAAAATCAATGTATATAAATCACAAGCATTCTTATACACCAATAACAGACAAACAGAGGGCCAAATCATGAGTGAACTCCCATTCACAATTGCTTCAAAGAGAATAAAATACCTAGGAATCCACCTTACAAGGGACGTGAAGGACCTCTTCAAGGAGAACTACAAACCACTGCTCAATGAAATAAAAGAGGATACAAACAAATGGAAGAACATTCCATACTCATGGGTAGGAAGAATCAATATTGTGAAAATGGCCATACTGCCCAAGGTAATTTATAGATTCAATGCCATCCCCATCAAGCTACCAATGACTTTCCTCACAGAATTGGAAAAAACTACTTTAAAGTTCATATGGAACCAAAAAAGAGCCCACATCGCCAAGTCAATCCTAAGCCAAAAGAACAAAGCTGGAGGCATCACACTACCTGACTTCAAACTATACTACAAGGCTACAGTAACCAAAACAGCATGGTACTGGTACCAAAACAGAGATATAGATCAAGGGAACAGAATAGAGCCCTCAGAAATAACGCTGTATATCTACAACTATCTGATCTTTGACAAACCTGAGAAAAACAAGCAATGGGGAAAGGATTCCCTATTCAATAAATGGTGCTGGGAAAACTGGCTAGCCATATGTAGAAAGCTGAAACTGGATCCCTTCCTTACACCTTATACAAAAATCAATTCAAGATGGATTAAAGACTTAAACGTTAGACCTAAAACCATAAAAACCCTAGAAGAAAACCTAGGCATTACCATTCAGGACATAGGCATGGGCAAGGACTTCATGTCTAAAACACCAAAAGCAATGGCAACAAAAGCCAAAATTGACAAATGGGATCTAATTAAACTAAAGAGCTTCTGCACAGCAAAAGAAACTACCATCAGAGTGAACAGGCAACCCACAAAATGGGAGAAAATTTTCACAACCTACTCGTCTGACAAAGGGCTAATATCCAGAATCTACAATGAACTCAAACAAATTTACAAGAAAAAGACAAACAACCCCATCAAAAAGTGGGCAAAGGACATGAACAGACACTTCTCAAAAGAAGTCATTTATGCAGCCAAAAAACATGAAAAAATGCTCATCATCACTGGCCATCAGAGAAATGCAAATCAAAACCACAATGAGATACCATCTCACACCAGTTAGAATGGCAATCATTAAAAAGTCAGGAAACAACAGGTGCTGGAGAGGTTGTGGAGAAATAGGAACACTTTTACACTGTTGGTGGGACTGTAAACTAGTTCAACCATTGTGGAAGTCAGTGTGGCGATTCCTCAGGGATCTAGAACTAGAAATACCATTTGACCCAGCCATCCCATTACAGGGTATATATCCAAAGGACTATAAATCATGCTGCTCTAAAGACACATGCACAGGTATGTTTATTGTGGCACTATTCACAATAGCAAAGACTTGGAACCAACCCAAATGTCCAACAATGATAGACTGGATTAAGAAAATGTGGCACATATACACCATGGAATACTATGCAGCCATAAAAAATGATGAGTTCATGTCCTTTGTAGGGACATGGATGAAATTGGAAATCATCATTCTCAGTAAACTATCGCAAGAACAAAAAACCAAACACCGCATATTCTCACTCATAGGTGGGAATTGAACAATGAGAACACATGGACACAGGAAGGGGAACATCACACTCTGGGGACTGTTGTGGGGTGGGGGGAGGGGGGAGGGATAGCATTGGGAGATATACCTAATGATAGATGACAAGTTTAGTGGGTGCAGCGCACCAGCATGGCACATGTATACATATGTAACTAACCTGCACATTGTGCACATGTACCCTAAAACTTAAAGTATAATAATAATAAAAAAATAAAATAAAATAAAGATTTGTCAGTCTTGCTTATTTGATAAGCATGCATTTTTTAATGCATTCATTTGGAATCAATTTTTCATTCATCTTTAAATTATTTTTTCCATAAAATAATCCTTGAAAATAACTTTATGGGTATTTTGCTTGAAATACCCATAGAGAGGGTAGGTTGCTTGAATAATTTTTCCTGTGATTAGTCTCCTCATTGCTTGAGTAAATTTTCTTCTTTGGAGCTTACTAACTTATCCTTGTTCTAGGAAACATTTTGCCTTGCGTCTCTTTTGCCTTGATTTCAGTTTCAAGGATTTTGTACTGCTGAGTAGGTAAGGAGATCTTGCTGCTTGGTGAAGAAGAGGGAAAACAGCTGTTTTAACTAACTGTGGGCCAACATTTTTGGCTAACGCAATGGTTAGCTCTTTGAAAAGCAGCTGCTTAAGTCTGTCCCATGATTCTGGCAGGAGTACCGGAAAATATCTAATGTTTGAATTTATAAATTCCATGGCTTGTTCATTTCATTTGGTGTCATTGCTGTTTCTTTAAATGCACATAACTACCTTTCCCTGCAGCTTTTCATACTCTATTAAAGATGGAGGAAGAAGAGAGCCTGCAAAAGGGGGAGCTGTGAGGAGCTCAGCAGGGCAAAGCTAATCCAGGCAGCTATCTTTGAATAGGTTTTCCCCCCAGTGAGATGAAGCATCTTTTTCATCTACCAGTGTTTGCAGATTCATCCCTTGCTGACTTGAATGTGCCCTGCCTCTGAACTTTCACTGCCCTGCTAGTCCTTATGGTTCCTGATGCCATCCTGTATTCTTAACTGCGACACTTGGGTATATTTTATCTTTCTAAATATGTTCAGAGAGTTAGAGACAACATATTTGCCTTTTTGGATTGGGATATAATTTATAATGCCTGTCAAGGTTTTACAGACAGTAGTTATTCAAGAAATAGATTTCATTTGCTTGACACAAATGCTCACATAACTATTTTAGTGCCTTTTCAGCTAGTTTAGGTTACAAAGACAGTATTTTGATAAGTACAGGAACTGTGGCATCATATAAATACACGTTTAGCAGAGGGTCAGACATATTCTCTATGTTTGTAGATTTCAGTGTCCTTTCTTTTTTTACTTTGAGACAAAGTCTCATGCTGTTGCACAGGCTGGAGTGTAGTGGAGCAATCTCAGCTCACATTAGCCTTGACCTCCTGGGCTCAAGCGATCCTCTCATCTCAGCCACTGAAGTAGCTGGGACCACAGGCGTGCCACCACACCCAGCTAATTTTAAAATTATTTTTAGAGATGGGGTCTCATTATGTAGCCCAGGCTGGTCTCAAACACCTGGGCTCAAGAGATCCTCCTGCCTCAGCCTACCAAAGTGCTGGGACTATAGGCACGAGCCACTACACCCTGCCCATTTCAGTATTCTTTTTTTACAGAGACCCTCTTAGGCTAACATTTTATTATTACAGTGCCCCCAGAATGCTTTGTTTTACATTGAATATATTCGACATTTGGCTTTAGGACTCTGAAAGGCAAAAAGTACCTTTGCTTTTGCTTTTCCTCATTATTCATATACAAATGTCAATCGTTGTGTACCTGTGAGTGTCATTCCTTTTGGTAGGCATCGCTGCGAGAGGCTCATGGAAAGTCGAGAGCACCAGAGTTAGGAAACCTGGACCCTTGGCCTGTCCACTGGCTCAAGAGGGAAGTGCTGCAGTCAGGGCCTCAGAAACATCTGCAAAGTGATGAGAACATCTCCAAGTTTCTTCTACCTCGAACATTTTGTGGTTCTTTTCCTTTGTTTGTAAGTTAGAATAGTCATTACCACCCAATGAGGGTATAAGTATGGAACAACCCAGTTTTTCTTGAAACTAGACATCACATGACTAGATGAAAACATTGATACTTGAGTCTTTATTACAATCAATTAAAGCAAGGTTCAGTGTATAGTTTGGGAGTATGTCTTCCTGTTACTTTTTGACAAACTTGAAGTAATGTAACTGAGTCCTCTTATTTTTCTACTTTCTATATCTCTCCTTATACCTTTTTCTCCTAGACAATTGAATAAAGCTTTTTTTCTTTTTTTTTGGCTTTTTGTCCCCCCTCCAACTACATCTTAATAAAGGAGTAGACTGTATGAGAATATAAGAGGAAGCTGGCGTATTTGAGAAGATTTTGAAGGCTGATGTACTGGACACATCTACATGAGCTAGAGTTGTCTTGTGATACTCTGAACGAAGGAGCAGTATACATTAATCTAGGCTATGTAGCTGTTTACCTTTCTACAAATTCCCATCCAGGTCAGACACATTGTGCTCTTTGTTTTTTTCTTTTTTTAAAGAACACTCACTGAGTCATCTCTGGGAAAACCTTAAAGCGAATTAGTGGCCAGAACCACATTCTCTACCATCCTCTGGGTTGCCTTCCTGATTGAGGTTATATGAACAAACTGTAGAACATAATCTCTTCTGCTTGGGCTTAGGACATCAGCGAGGACACCAATAAGCCTTCAGGCCAGGGAGGGCCTCAAGGCCTTGAATTGTGGAGAGGGCAGGCCAGCATTGCCTTTGCACCTGTTTTGATAAAGAATTCCTGTCCTCTTTGTGCTGAGTTGTTTAGTCAAAGTGAAGAGAGGATGCAGAACTTGGTGGTGTGATTGGAAGGATGAGCTCTGTAGGGGATTCTAGAAGATGTAGCAATCCTTCTTTCCTGCCCTCACCCCCAGTACTTCATCCATTTTTGAAGTGATCTTGCATTTTACTTCAGGAGAGCTGGTGATGATAAGTGTTCTTCAAGACATGGTGACTTATTAATGCTAGGAGAGAGATGATAGGAAGCTGTATTCTAGAAATGGGGCTTAATTTATAAGATGGAGTTCTTCTTAACTACAAATAGGATTATGCAATTTATAAATTTAATTTAGCAAGTGAAAAGGAGTGACCAAAGAACATCAGGAAAACTACTGGTTATTTAAGACTTTGCGCCTTGTGAACCTAAATTACCTACTTTTCCATGTGCTACTGGAAGGAAGGGGTTTACTCTATTTGAAAGAAGAGGAGAGGGGAAAAATATGTTATTAAGTATATCTGGTGATAACTTTGTAGGCTTGTAGATCTTCATACTGTGTTTTTAATTCTACAACCTTAGTTTTTTCATTTAGTAGTTCCCAGGGGTGTTAACGGGTGATGCTCTGGAGGAGTGCGGACTTGCTCGAGAACCTTCCAAGTTCAAAGCAAGAGAAACTGGGGAATTTTGCCGATGACCTTTGAGGATTGCATTATTTGTTTTCCTGTCAGAGGCTGTCACTAACAGCTGATTCTCCTACTAAAGAAGAAGTAACAGAAAACAACACAGGAGCCTGCTTCGTTGGTAGGAGGTGCTCAAAGGACAGAGCTAAAATCTTTAGTTGGATATTAAGGAGAAGTATATTTCAAATTCAGTGTAAAGGGAGTCTTTACAATAGCCAAGCCTGGCAAAAATGGGAAGGCTATTTTGTGAGGCAGAGGTTTTTTTGTCATTAGAGATATTTAAAGAAAGGTTGGAATGGCCTTTTTTGGGGGTAATATTCTAGGGCAGGGATTAGCAAACTTTTTCTCTTAAGGATCACATAGTAAAATAGTTTAGGCATCTGTCACAACTACTCAACTCTACTGTTGTATTGCAAAGGTAACCAAAGACAATAAGTAAACAAATGAGCATGACTATTAAGTTAGTCTGCTCTGGCTGCCCTAAGAAAATACCATAGGCAGAGTGGCTTAAATAACAGAAGTTTATTTCTCGTAGTTCTGGCAGCTGGGAAGTCCGAGATAAAGGTGTTGGCCCATTTGGTTTCCAGTGAGGGCTCGTTTCCTGGCTTGCAGACAGATGCCTTCTTGCTATGTCCTCACATAGTAGAGAGAGAGACGGATATCTGTTTCTTCCTCTTCTTATAAGGCTGCAATCCTAACAGATTACTGCCCCACCCTTATTACTTCATAAAAAGCTGGAGGTTAGGGCTTCAACATAAGAATTTTAGGGGAAGAGTCCACCATTTAGTCCATAACATCTGTGTTCCAATAAAAGTTTATTTATAAAAACAAGAGGTGGGCTAGATTTGTCCCAAAGACCATAGTTTGACAACCTATTGAATAGAGGAAATTAAACACTGGTGAGCGAGCAGACTAGGTGATCTACCAGCTGATAGATTCAAAACCTGGAGGCTATCGGTAAGTAACCTGCAAAATTAACTGGATCAGAACAAACCTAACTCAGAGCTCATCGACTAGTATTTCTCAGAATAAATCACTTAATAAACAAAAATAGTTCTTAAGTCCAGGATTAATTTTACTTCAATGTGCATCAAATCTATGCTTTTGGCTGATGGGAGATGCGAATGATAAACTGTGCTGGGGTCATCTTTAGAACAGGCCTGGTGTGCTCCTACAGTTGTAAACAGTGCCGGTTATAACGTCTTTTGTCATTGATCAGCATAGAAACCTAGCTTTTTTTTTTTTCTTTTGCAGCAAAGCCATGATTATTAATCTCTTCTTTATTTGTAGGAGAAAGGTCTCTAAGATACTTCTCAGCTAGTAGCCTTCCCCCTCCCCTTCCTTTGGAGAAAAATAGAAGCCACTAAATAGGAACTCCCTCCATACTTTGCCACGAATCATAGAAACTTAAATGCCTCTGCACAGTCACTGCTCTTCTCCTTTCTTTCTGTGGCAGCAAAGAATGAGAACTTTTTTTGCTGACTCTAACCCCCTGTACCTCCAAGCTTTTTTGAGATCTCATGACCAGTTTCTTCTGCGTAACTTTAAAAAACGGTCTGTTTTTCCACCCAGCTCTTGTCCCAAGTCTGTCCCAGTGCTCTATCTTGTTTAAAAATAAAAACTAAACACAAAACCAAACCCGGAGACATTATACAAACAATATAAATTTGACAGGAAATGGAGGACAGAGTCATACTGCGCGTATATAAAACTCTACTTCAAAACCTCTTCGAAACATTCTGACAACCCCAAACTCTGCACCCAAAGTTCATCCCTCATCTTTCTTCTTTCCCTATAATTCTCCTCTTCGGTCTTGTTTTCTCTTCTTTCTGATCAACACTCTTCTTTGCCTCCTCTCTGTTCCTGGCTTTTCCAAGTGGCATTTTCTGGGGCTTTTTGTACACAGAGAGATTTTATATCTTTCTGCTTCTTTCATATTCATCCTTGTATATCACTGTGCTGGGACCTTTAGCAATTCTTATAAAATGCAGATCTGGTCATGCTCTTTGATGAAAAATCTTCAATGACTCCGCATTGATCTGGGGTGAAATTGCCAGACTCCTTACCTGTTCGAAAAGACCCAGTGTCATTTGGACCGTGCTCAACTTTTCAATTATGCTGACCCCCTCATCAATTTTGTTATTGCCCAAGTTCCTTGTTTTCCTTGTTATGGCATTGCTGTCTCACTCATGGGCCTTCACATGCTTCTCTGTGCCCAGAATCCTTATCATCTTCCTCTGTACTTAGCTGAGGCATCCTTCTGGTCTCAGCTAGATACCACTTTCTAATGAAAGCATTCCTTGGCCAGGCATGGTGGCTCATGCCTATAATCCCAGTGCTTTGGGAGGTAGAGGCTGGAGGATTGCTTGAGGCCAGGAGTTCAAGACTAACCTGGACAACAAAGTGAGACCTCATCTTTACAAAAAGTAAAAAGAAAATTAGCTAGGTGAGTGGCACATGCCTATAGTGCCAGCTGCTCAGAAGGCTGAGGCAGGAGGATTGCTTGAGCCCAGGAGTTCAAAGCTACAGTGAGCTATGATTGTGTGACTCCCGGGGCAACAGAGTGAGAACCTGTGTCAAAAAAAAAAAAAAAAAGGAAAAAGAAAAGAGAGAAAGCCTTCCTTCACCCTCTCTGTATTAGCTGTGCTTTCTGATGTCCTGTTTTTATTTCTCAGGACAACCTTTTATTTCTCCTGTCCTGATATTATTATGCTTTTGAATTTGTCTATAGACTTTTAGTTCATGAGAGTAGGGGCCATGTTTATCCTGGTCACCATTTAATTCCCATCACTTAGCAGAGTATATGGCACATAGAAAGTCCTCAGGAAATATTTATTGGATAAATTATCTACATTTAAAGTATAACTTTATTTTTTCACATTTGATTAATTTTAATACATATAAATTTATACCTTATTACATAACTTTAAAACCCATTTACATTATAAAGTAAAATACTATTACTTTTTACTTTATAAAGTATTTTTACTTAATTAAAAAGGAACAAATGTGTATTATTCTTGGAAAATTTATTTTATCTTTCCATTTGTCATTTTCTGTTTATGCTCCATAAAGTTTTTATGACTTACAATCATAACATTTTTAGAGTGGAAGTCTATGTAAAATATACCATTTTTGTTATTCTTCTTCAGAATGAAGGATTAAACTGAAGATTAAAAGAAAATTTCCACGAAGTTTTGATTATGACAGCATTGTGGAGCACATACTGGGTTTGAAGCTGCTTTAGTCTTACCTTCAATGAATCCTGAGAAATGCAGTGATAATGCTTAGCATATTATATATATATATATATATTTCTTTTTCTTTTTATATTTTAGATAAGAGTGCCCAGGAGTGGAATCTGGAAATAGAGTCTACATTTGATGTTGTCAGCTCAAAGCCAGTTGGTGGTCAAGTGATCGTAGCCATCCCTAAGTTGCAAACACAACAGACATACAGCATTGAACTTCAACCTGGGAAAAGGATTGTTGAGCTATTTGTGAACATTAGCAAGGTAAATGATGGTACTTCCTGAGAAGCACTGGATGAAAAGCAATACCTGTGCTAAAGAAATGATTAGAAAGGAGGGACTAAGTATGAAAGAAAATTCTACTTTCTCTGCTTATATTTGTCATTTTCTTCTCTATTTTAGTCTCTCATATATTTTCTGTGAGTATGAGCTAAAGAATGATTTTCCCAAACTTTAAGATTAAGAAAATAGAGAATATATTATTAATTTGGCAATTCTTTCTCTCATTTTATTTTTATCATTGTATTTTAATTTTCTGTAGTATTTGTAGTATCCTAAAGCCAAAATACATTCTATGGATTATATTTAAATAGCAGTGGTTATTTTTGATACTTGTCAATTATTTTGATTATTGATACTTATTCTACATGCACAATTTTAATTCTAAACTCATGATCTTTCATATATCAAGGTAGAACGGATTATTTTTATCTTTTCTTTTTCTTTTTTCTATTCCTCTAATTGATAATTGTGTACTGAAAAAGGTGGAGCAAAATAACATTCAGTAGCTGTTGAGATAAAGTAAGAACTCAAAATGATTTTTAGTTTTTGGCTTGAAAGAAGAGTCAACTTCAGAGTCCCATTTTAAGTGTTAAGAATGTGGAATAAATGTAAGCTCGGTGTTAGGGATAGGGAGAGTTGTTTTTCTGAACACTCATGTTATTCTGTTCTTTCCTTTTGCTTTTGATGTATTGATCCATGCTAGATTCCCAGCATGCTGATTTTTAAATATTATCAATGAATTGGTCTGATTGGGCATAATATAGGTGGGGAGACTTACATTGTTTTAGAACCTAGAGTTTTGTACTTGACTATTTGAGAAATTGATGTAATGCTTTGAGCCTTTTTTGCTGAAAATATGACATATTAGAGTGACTTTTAAATTTTCTTAAAAGAATATTACTGTAGAAACTTGGTGGCCTCATGGACATGGAAACCAGACTGGGTACAACATGACTGTTCTTTTTGAACTGGATGGAGGCTTAAATATTGAAAAATCAGCTAAGGTAAGTAAGTAATTTAAAATATTTTGTGAAATAATTTTATTTCTTTTAAAAATAGTAATACAGATCTTCATGGGAAAAGAAGAAACCGTCAAAACTCTTGTGTCCCCACCCATCAGAGATCATCTTTAGTAACAGCATTCAAAAGCTTCTCTCTCTGTGTGTGTATATATACATACATATATATACACACACACATATATATATATATATATATTTTTTTTTTTTGAGACAGAGTCTTGCTCTGTCACTCAGGCTGGAGTGCAATGGTGCAATCTTGGCTCACTGCAACCTCCACCTCCTGGGTTCAAGCAATTCTCCTGCCTCAGCCTCCCAAGTAGATGGGATTACAGGCACCCGCCACCACGCCCAGCTAACTTTTGTATTTTTAGTAGAGATGGGGTTTCACCATGTTGACCAGGCAGGTCTTGAATTCCTGATATCAAGTGATCTACTGCCTTGGCCTCCCAGAGTGCTGGGATTACGGGCGTGAGCCACTGCGCCCGGCCTTATATTTTTAAATGGATCATACTTTAGATATTATTTTGTCAATAAGTAGTCTCCTGCTATGATTTAAAATTGTACCTTATATCAAAATAATACATGTGTAATTTTAAAACTCAAATATTACTAGTAAGTTTATATGAAAAATAAGACCTCTTGCCCATCACTTCCTATTCTTACTTCCTACTCCCCAGAACCAACCATTTTTAACTTTTATTTATTTCCTCTGACATTCTTCTTCATTTTTCTGAATAAGGTGCTTCTACTGGTGTTTTCTGATTTTTCAGTTTTACCCATTTTAGGATATAGCACTAGGAATTGGAAAGAACTGCACTTTGTTATTTATTAGCTATAGGCTACTTACTTAATCTCAAAATATGTAAAATAGGGACAATAAGAACGAGATGGCTTGGATCTGGCTTATAAGAGTCATGGCATATAGTTAGTAGAAATGGTATTAACCCTCTTCAAAGATCTCCTCCTCTCCCAGACACCAGCTTCGGTGTTTACAGTTGGCTGGTGTCACCTCTTACATTTGGTATTTCCTCTCCTGTGGGCCAGACAACATGCTAAGGATGGAGATATGTCCTTCAGGAGTGCATTTTCTGTTTTTCTTTTGTTCAATCATGCTGTGTATTTTCTGAGACACTGTGAATGTGTGTGTGTGTGTGTGTGTGTGTGTGTGTAAGGGGGGAGGGGAGAGAGAGAAAGAGTGTGTATGTGTGTGTGAGAGGGGAAGAGAGTGTATGTGTGTTTGTGTGTGTGTGTGTGTGTGTGCGCGCGCACGCACACATGCACAGAGTTATGTACAGGGAGAACATCCTGGACCCGTCTTAAGGGCCAAAGCATTCACTCTTGTCGTACCCCTCTTGGCTGAGAGGATGTGTGCTGTCTCACACAGTGAGTTTGTTGTGTGTTGTTTTCATGAAAATGTAAAAAATAATGAGTCATTCCAACTTACTACAGAGAAAGAAGAGGAACTTCTGTCTTTTTCTAAGGGAAATAATTCTTTTACATTCAGGCTAATATGACTGTATTATTGTTCATTACACATAAAGATGCCAGCCTTTGAATCGAGCAGCAACAGGAGTTTGCTTTAAGGAGGATGTTTAACTGCCCCACACCTTGAGTTAATGCATGTGTGTGAAATGTGCTCTTTGGCTGTGGCTGCCGTAGAGTTGCTATTTTTTGAGGCTGATTCATTCAGTAAATACTTAGGGCACACCTACTGTGTTTTGGCTATTTTGCTAGGTGCTGGTGATAGAGCTGTGACTAAGACACTGTTTCTGTTTCTCTCTGAGACCTTAGTAGAACTAATGATCTGATTGGGAAGTTCAATCATTAAATGAGCCATTGGAATATATTAGCACTCTAGAGATGTAGAGAGTGCCATGGAAGTGCAGAGCAGGGGCATTCTGGGAAGATTCCCAGAGCCTGTGTCCTGAGGGATAAGTAGAATTTGGCCAAGTAATGTAGCAAAGAGGCGGAGGGAAAAGAACGTGAAGGCCCAAGGACTAGAAAGGATGTTGTGTGTTTGCAGAAGTGAAAGAAATTTCAATGCAGTTGTGGTTGAGTTTGAAGTTGAAGAACAAGAGATGGTGTTGTAAAAGTAGCTAGGACAAAGTCCTGCAGGGCCTAGTGAGCCACGTGAAGGAAGAAGCACTGTCCTGAGTGCTGCCAGGATTCTTGGAAGGATTTTAAGGAGGGGGTAAGGATTATATGCATATTTTACAAAGATTGTGTAGATCAGATTGGAAGGATGGCAAGAGTAGGGGACCAGTTAGAAGACTGTGGTGGTGATTCAGACAAAAAATGAGGATTGGTTGGTCTACAGAACTGCTGAGGAAATAAATCTGAAAGAGATTTAGGATATAACCTCAGCAGGCTTGATGATGTGGGGGTGGGAAAAAAGAAGGAGTTAGGAATGGTTCCTCAGCTGCTGGTTTGGGCTGCTGAACAGGCAGCCTCTGAACAGGCAGGGCAACTCTGTTCATTGAGTTACATTACTCAGAAAGAAGAGAAGGTTTGGGGGAAGGGGTTGGGTGGAAATTATTTCAGTGTTAGATGTGTTTTGTGTGGGGTGATTGAGAGACACCCAAGGAATAATATTTGATAGGTGTTTCATTAGATAGATCTTAAGCTTAGGGATTGCATGTGGGTTAAGGATATAGATGTGTAAGTTAGCAGAATGTAGATAATTGTAGCCATGGTAGCGGATGAAATACCTCAGGGATGGCACAGAGAAAAGAGCTAGGACAGAACCCCAGGCAGTCATAATTAGTAAGGTTGGGGTTTGGGGAGAAGCCAGTAGAAGAATCTAAGAAGGAATGGTTGACGAGGTGGAGGGAAAACCAATTTGAGTGGGGAGTCACAGAAACCAGAGGGAAAGAGTGTTTTAAGAAGCAAAGAATGTTCAGAGTGTTGAATGCTGCAAGGGAGTTCAAGTTAGAAAAGAATTGAGAAAGATTCTTTAGATTTGGTGGCAAGGAGATTACTGGTCACCTTGATCAGCATGGAAATCAAATTGTAGTGGGTTGAGGAATGACTCAAGGTATGGAAGTAAAGACGGTGAATATAGGCAACTCTTCTGAAAGCGTCTGATTGGAAACTATGCTTAGACCAGGTGGTAATGGTGGCCAGTTGGGATCAGATTGGCTTCACATAGGCAACTGAACAAATAAGTAAATATATTGAAGTGGTGGAAGCCAGCCTTTTCATGAATGGAGAAAGGTGGTATCAACATAGAAGGGGGGAAAGCTACAGTGGATTCAAATTGGAGCTAATAGTATGAAGTTATGATTTTCAGTATGTGTAGACAGAGAAATAAATGTCTTTGTAAATGCATGTGTATGTGTGGGTAGACACACACACACACACACACATTTCCTAGTTCTTTTCACACATTTCCTAATCCTTTCTCAGAGCGCCTGGGAAGAGTGGCTCTCTAGTAGCAGTGAGTAGATTTAGGACCCATATGTTGATTTGGAATACCACTCTGTGCTGAAAGCAATCAGGGCTCTTTGGAGAAATGACTGATTCTCGAGCTGGAGCCTGAAATATCTTGCTGTTCCAGGAAGTAAGGAGGTACTCAATAATAATGTGACACATTGAAAGGACACAAGGGCCTTCAGTCTTCAGTCTTCAGTCTTCAATCTACTATAATCTTCAAAAATGTCAAGGAAAGATTGAGGAACTGTCCTACAGTGGAAGAGACTATGTACGAACTGGGTGCAGTGCAGTGATCTTTTTTGTCATAATGTTATTGGGGCAACTGATGAAAACTTGAATGGGGGGGTCTCTGGATTCTTTGTATTATATATAGGAGTTCTTTGTATTATTGTTGGAACTTTATTACAAGTTTGCAATGATTTCAACATAGAAAAGGATACCATTAAGAGAATGGAAAGCAACAGCAAAATCCTGATGGAAAGGGGCCAGTAGCGAGGGAAAGACTAAAAAGAGTTAGAAAGCAGGGAGGTAGTTGAGAGGGCAAGGTCTCTGGGAGGTAGGAGATAAGAAGAGGATGGATTCACTTTGGGATGGGGGGCTCTGTTTTCGTTGTAATAGTGGTGAAAGATAACACATGGGAGGAAAGGATGCAGCTTGAGGATGGAGGTAATTTTGAAGGTCTCTAGGACCATTTAAAGTATATTTTCTTTCTATAAGACTGGCAAACACTTTTGTCAGTGGAGTTTTAGGGTGAAAAAGTAAGCCTGAGAAAGAAAGCTAGGGAGTTTTGGTCAAACAACATTTTATTTTTTATTTATTGTGAAATATGACACATACAGAAAAATACACAAGCCATAAGTGAAAAGCTTAATGAATTATGAGAAAATGAACACTCAGGTAACTGTCAACATGTTCAAGAAACAGAACATTAATTACTAGCACTTCACACCTCAAACTCTCCCCTCCCTTCTGCGAGCCTCCCCAGTAATGACCCCTGTTTCCTTCCCGAAGATCCACTATCCTGACATCCATCACTAGGTTACTTTTGTCTCTTTTTGAATTTTATGTACATGGAACCATATAGCATGTATTTTTTAGTGTGTGGCTAATTTGGCTCAGCATTATGTTTTTGACATTTAGGTACAGTAGTGCCTCCTTATCTGTGGTTTCAGTTACCCATGGTCAACTGTGGTCTGAAAATAGTAAATGGAAAACTCCAGAAATAAGCAATTCATGAGTTTTAAATTGCTCACTGTTCTGTGTAGCATGATGGCATCTCGTGCTGTCCTGCCCTGTCTTGTCCAGGACATGAATCATCGCTTTGTTGAGCATATCCTTGCTGTATACATTATCCACCTGTTAGTCACTCAGCAGCCTTCTCCTTTATCAGACAGAAAAAGTCATAGTATATATGGGGTTCGGTACTATCTGCAGTTTCAGGCACCTACTGGGGGTCTTGGAGCGTATCCCCTGCAGATAAGGGGGGACTGCTGTTTATTGTTCTGTGTAACTGTAAGTTTGTCTATTTAAGTTGTATAAAATTTTATTATACTACACATTTTGCTGTTGCAATTTGAGTAGTTGCCAGTTTTGGCTATTCCAAGTAATGCTGCTGTGAACATTACTGATATAACACTCGGAGCACATATGCCCCCAACGGCATGTCTGCTGGGAGTGGAATGGCATGATTATGGAGGATGCATGAGTTCAGCTTTGTAGATTATGCTAAACTGCCATCCAAAGTGGTTATATGAGACTTGCCTAGGCTCCTCATGCTCGCCAGCACTTGGTACTGTGTCAGACAGGACATTGAACACTGTTTTCTCATCACCAGCCCCTCCTTATTTCACCTCTATTGCTCTTGTTTATTGTTACCCTGGGCTTGCTTTATGCAAAAATAATTCTGTTTTAAATATACCTCATTGAAATCCATCTTGCTTCAGTTTTATATCTTTGTTTCATGCCTCTCCTCTTCCACTGAGCTTAGAAACGTGTTTAGGATTTTTTTTTTTTTTAACTGAGTATATCAGGAGACAGCAGCATATCTGACTCAGACAAAAGGTCCTGGGGAAGTTACAGATTTTGAATGCAGCCCATACAGCAGAAATGTATGGAATCATGAAAAGAATGCAGACACTTGAGAGAGAGGAAAGGGCCGACTACATTTCTTTGTGAACATGGCAGAATATCTTGATGACTGAGAATTTTCTTATGTTGAGTGACATTGGGGCAAATGGTTTAAGCAAGAAGGGAGGTAATATAGGGAAAATATCAACAGGCAATTTAAACATTAATAAATAACAAAATAAAAAATAAATGTTGGGATATCATAAATTCTGCCAAATAAATCATTGCCTGAGGGACCTTAGAATGTGAGTCTGGGAGAGTTAGCTTTATCAGTTTGGGAAACCAAATTGATTTTTTAACAAAAGAAAAAGTTTTGTGTATAAGTGGGAATGGTAGAGGATACTCTGGGTAAATGGAATAAAAAATCTGACCAATCAGTTTTTGCCATTTTCTGCCCAGGTTAACTGAGTGTTTTTATCCTACTAATTGATTGTACTGAATTGACTAGGTAACGTGTTTTAATGAACTAATACATATTTTTGAATGCTTATTATGGCTTGCCTTTATGGAAAAACAGGAAACCAATTAGTTGATATTTCTCTTACACCTAATTTATTTTATAAGAATTTCTCAAGTATTCTATGTATAAGGTATCGTTTTGCTAAAAGCAGCAGAAGGCTGTTGCTGTGTACGTTTGCTCCTGGGATCAAGATTCTCCAATTAAATTATTGTAGGAAAATAGATGTAATAATAAGTACTCTACAATCAATTAAAACTTGTGTTTCATAGTTCCCAAGCCAGAGGAGGTGAATGATTGTCCATGGCTACTACAATTAGAAAAACAATTGGGATTTTTTTTTCTTTTTCAGTTTTTTTTTTTCTTTTTTAATGTCACTTTGTTCTTTGTTTCTTAAATTCCTGTCTTCATCTTTGCAAATTGCACAGGGCAAAAAACCAACATAATACTAGTGGAATTTTTTCTAAGTGCTACTCTTGGCTCTCTAAAGACCTTAAAAGTACATAGCCAAAGATATGGAATTAGGAATAATCAAGGTGTATTTTTGTATTGAGAGGGCACAGAGATTATGAAGTGTGTCTCCTTCTGTATTAGGTTTCTAGGTCTATTATTACAAATTACTATAAACTGAGTATCTTAAAATTTATTTTCTCACAGTCTTGGAGGCTGGAGTCCAAAATCAAGGTGTCGGCAGAGCTGTGTTCCTTCCGAAGGCTCTGGGAAAGAATTCTTCCTTGCCCCTTCCAGTTTCTCATCATTGCTGGCAATCCTTGGCTTGTAGATGCATCACTCTGATCTCTGTCTCCACCATCATATAGCTTTCTCCTTGTGTGTGTCTCTTGTTTCCTTTTCTTATAACTACACCAGCCATTGGGTTAGGGCCCAGTATGACCTCATTTTAACTAAACTAAATATATTTGCGAAGACTTTATTTCCAAATAAGGTTGTATTTTTGGGTGGACATGAATTTTGGGGGGACACTGTTCAACCCAGTACACTGTCCTTTTGGCCTTATTCTTGTCAGAAGTTTTATTAAATATTTCCAAGATGGCTATAGGCAGTGACTTCTCCAGGTGGGCCTTGGGAGCAGTTAGCCCTAGGTGCAGACAGTAAGTGGGTGAATTGTGTGTAGACTATAGATTGGCCTGTTTTTCATTATTACTATATACTGGCAATCCTATTAATAAATAATGCCAGTGATAGAATACTTCTCCTACCCTCCCCCTCCACCAATCATATGTTGGTCTAAGTTTTAACTATGTGTTTGGTTACTCTTGAATGTTAATAATATACATGTATGCTTAGATTTGGCACATTTTTATTACCAGTCCTGTAATAGACATTATATTCTACATGAAAGTTAATTTGGAGTACTTTTTTTTTTTTTTTTTTTGAGACAGAGTTGTCTTTTGTTACCTAGGCTGGAGTGCAATGGCGTGATCTCGGCTCACTGCAACTTCTGCCTCCCAGGTTCAAGCGATTATTCTGCCTCAGCCTCCTGAGTAGCTGGGATTGCAGGCACGCACCACCATGCCCGGCTAATTTTTGTATTTTTAGTAGAGATGGGGGTTTCTCCATGTTGGTCAGGCTAGTCTCAAACTCCCGACCTCAGGTGATCCACCCGCTTCTGCCTCCCAAAGTGCTAGGATTACAGGCGTGAGCCACTGCACCTGGCCTGGAGTACTCTTAGTTATACAGTCATTCCCGGATACATGAAGATTCAGCTTCATACAGTCATTTTGAAAGCAAATTTATAACAGTTTGGAATTGTATGAGCTTGTTTTGAACACAGTTTGTGCTTCCATTCCCTGCCCTATACATGCCTGCATTTAAAAGCATTGCAGATTAGAAATAAACAACAATAGCACAGTGATTATAAAAAAGGAGAAACTCAACATAAGTTACTTCAATTCGATGTGATCTCTTGGAGTTATTTTTATGCTTTAAATTTACAGTTGAGAAAGCTATGGACTCTGAGGTGTAATGTGTAATATTTTGCTTGGTAAGTGCATATTTTAGTTCATGTATGAAGTATATTCTACTAATTTTAATAGTGTCTTTAGAATTGAAATTTATTTTTTTAAATTTGTTGTTTTGAAACTAAAGAAAGAGTCAAAGTAAAACATGACATCAGTGGTATGCTTTAGTAGGGGGTGGCAGATACTGAAAAAAATGCTTTAGAATTATTATTATTATTTTGTTCTTTTTAGAGACAGGGGCTCACTCTGTCACCCAGGCTGCTCATAGCTCACTGCAGCTTTGAACTCCTGGGCCCCAGTGATCCTCCTACCTTATCCTCCTGAGTAGCTAGGACTACTACAGGCACATGCTACCATGCCTTGCCTATTTTATTTTTCTAGAGATGGGGAGTAGTTAGCCTTAGGTGCAGACAGTAAGTGGGTGTTGCAACACAGCCTGCCATGTTGCCCAGGCTGGTCTCACACCCCTGTCCTCAAGCAACCCTCCCGCTTCAGCCTCCCAAAGTGTTGAGGTTATAGGCATGAGCCACTGCCTGGCTGGAATTCTTTTTGACAGCACTCTGGATACTTTAAACAGAGATCAAATGTGTGAATTGGTCAGATAGGCCTATATTGAAGGTGGCAGAGTGGAAATAAAGAAGTCATTCTTACCTTTCTGGAAACAGAGATCAAATGTGTGAACTGGTCATAGGGAAGGTAGTAGAATGGAGATAAAGGAGTCATTCTCATATTTCCAGAACAACTGCTGCAGAATGCACAGAAAATAGCTTCAAGGAATGGGATTATTATTTCATAAACCTCTGCTATGGGCCAGGATAAAAGATGCTGCATATGTGGCCAGTATTCACTGTGGAGTTCATGCAAAAATCAAAGAAATTAATCCAAAATTTTATTTCAGCCTCTTGGAAATTATTCTCTGAGCCTTGTGGAATTTGCTTTTTTGGAAACTTTTTTTTTCCTGTGTGATTTTTTTTTTTTAGAACTTTGGACAAATTGTATTCATTCTTTCTCATCTCACCTCATTGATGGGAAAAGCTGCAGAAAAGCTTTCCTAGACAAGATGGAAGGTTCATTATGAAGCTGGGCCACAGTAGAAAAATTTTGAAAAGTTAATCTCAACTCTGAAGTACCATGTAATCCAAAGAAAATGTGGACACGTGAATCAGCTCAGACATTTCTCTCTGCTGTGTGCGGTTTTCTCTCTGGAATTATCTTTTTTCTGGTATAGTTTTAGATGACATTAATCAGATACAAAAATATTTGCAAATAGACTCCATCTTGAACAATGTACAGTGAAATACCAAACTTTAAAATTCTTCTTTGAAGATAAGTGCACAGAAATTTTGGTGAAGCCTATTTACTGTGCAACAACAAAATATAAGGAAATCAACATTTACATAGAAAAAAGAATCAAATTTTGAAGGAGAGTGCCAGGAGAAACAACAAAGAGTTGCTGGTTTTCCATTGCTCAGAGAAATCCACATAGCAATGCCAAACGCCCCAATTGTTGTCCCTGAGAACTGGACACTTGTTCTACAGCAATTAATCAAATAGTATCTGTGTTCACAATCATTTAGCCATTTTCTCTGATTTTACAGAAGAAATACTTGAGAAGTGGGATTTTTTTTTTTTTTATACCTCAGAGGCATTTGTAAATTGTTTGAATGAAAGTCAAAAGAACAAAGGCATGGATATGACTGCATTTTTTTGGAGTTTAATGTGATGTGGGATTATTATGAATCTCTACCAAACTTATTATGTTTAATACTTTTCTAAAATATTTGCATATCTCTGGCCTCATCTGGAAGAACATTTCTGAGTTAAAATTAATAAAAGGTGTTTTTCCATCAGCTATGACAAATAAATCAAAAGAGCTGGCTATACCCTTTGTTGAACATGTATGTCCAAAGAAGATCAATTTTGAGAAAGTTGTTGACAGATTTTTAGAAGGTAAGGCTGAAAATAGCAAATATTATTATTTCTTACTATAGCATACCATTATATATGTTATTCCCTTTGTTTATAATTTTATTAAATATATTAATATAATCAAAACTTGAATCTATTAACTTTTCCTTTTTTGTACGCTAATATTTGTTTTACTTTTTTAAAAAACTGGCGTGATTATACAAAGTTCAGGGAAAGAAAATTTTTAATGTCTACATTCTTTTCTGGACATTATCATTATTCATTTCATTTCATTACTTCTATTGAAAATAACTTTGTCATATGGAAGAGGAGGTCTTAAAAAGTGATCCTATCTGGTGTCAGATATACTAGATACACATCTGGCTACAAGGATGCATAACTGTGCCGATGTCAATGTTAATCTGTTAACTTCTGGTTGTGCTGTCTGCAAATTGCAAGGGCACGACAAAGAATGTCTCTTGTGTCATCCTGCACAGACCTGTTTGACAAGAGCTATTTGTGGAGACCCAGAGCTTGTTTTCTCAATACTTTTACATGGGGGAGCACTTTCAGAACAAAGACAGAAATGCAGTGTTTGGTTGTCTCTTAAAATACATGTAAAAGGATTTTAGCAGGTTTGACATTTGACAATGTTTAGAAATAAGTGGATTTCTTTTTAAGAAGAAAATTGCCCTTTTGAAAATGTAGTGATGCTATTACAGCTTTTTAAGTATCTGATACAAACAGCTGAGAAGCAGCCTTGGGTTTGTGAATCAATGATTCATTACATATCATCTGTTTGGTCTGCCAGAGAAAGAAATTTGAGGAGTACCGTATTTATCAGTCACGTACCTCTTAGGCCCTTTAGTTCAGATATCCTTAATTCTTGTTTGAAAGAATGCATTCAACTATCCTGCACTTTTAAAGTTAATCCTTCTATTTTGAAAATGAAATCTTTTTGAAGCTAATAAAAACACTGATCTAGTGAGGAATAGAAACTTCAAAAATAGATAAAAATTTAGAAGTTAAAATTTTTAATTTTCTAACTGCCCGACTTACACATTTTTTAGTTTCTTAGGTATTTATACCTTTTTCCTACTGTTAGACAATAATTTGCTTTGTTGGACTGTTTAAAAAATTTTAGTCTCATATGAAGATTATATATTTACTTTGGATGCAAATATGTGTTACTCAAGGGTCTTTTCAAGAAATCTTTTAGAACCCATTATTTTCTCTGAAGTAAAATACCTGTTGTAGAAGAAGGCTTTTATGTGACTATCAAGACTGCCAGAGGACGTGGAAAATTACTGACACTTATCATAGAAGCGGGAGCCTTTCACTTGTGAAAGAATGCCCAGAGGGAAAGGTGGCTGGTAATTACTACTTCACCTCTGAGGCACTGTCAGGTGGTTTGGGTTTATTGTCACCCCAGTCATAACTTGTTATTGCAAGAGTTGGGGGATAGGGAGAGATGCCTTTTTATAAGAACATTTGCACAGAAAGGAAAAATATTCTGGAAAGTGTTATGTTGTATAGTTAATACAATTTGTAGCATTAATGTATATTAAGAAACAAATAAATTCTATTTTCTGCAGTAGTGATTCTCAAATTTTTCTGGACTCAGCACTGCATTATACTTACAAAAGTTATTGAAAACCCCAACATGCTTTTGTTTATATGGGTTATATGTACCGATATTTACCATATTAAATATTAAAACTGAGAATTAAGTATTTACTTATTCATTTTAAATAACCATAATAAACCATGGCACATATGACTGTTTTTATATATGACTTATTTTATAAAAAATATATTGACCAAAAAAACCAGTGGAAATAATGACAGTTTTACATGTTAGCAAGTCACTTTAACGTCTTGTTTAGTAGGAGACAAAGGGATTCTCATCTGTATCTGCCTTCAGTCAATTTGCAATATGTTGTTTCGGTTGAAACAGATTAAGGAAATCTGACCTCACACAGATGTACTTGGAAAAGGGAAAAAATAGTCTTTTCAGATAAATTGTGGATTTTCTTTTAACCAATGATAGTTTTCTTTTAACAAATGATAGTTTCTTAAACTTTTTGTTCTCTGTTACATTAAAATTCATTTGTCTATCTTGCACTTTGTGTGAATTCTTTACCCATATTATGTGATATTGTAATATAATGCATTGGTTATTGGAAAATGTTTGTTTCTTGAGAGTTACAGATCTTCCAAATGTTGAAACATTTCCTTTTATAATATCACATTTGTTAATATCACCACTGATGTCATCTAAAAAGTTTTTAAGTATTTAAGTAGTATCTACTACCGTGAGGTAGTAGATACAAGTTTTCCCTAATCCCAATTTTTACTTGAAAGTTTGAATTTTATCCTTGGCCACAAATACTGCTAGTTGTTTTTCTTGAAATGATAGGCTCACTCCATTCATTTTCTAGAGAATGTCTGCCAGGTATCCAAGTCTGAATAACCATCGTTTGTCTGTCAGTCCTTCTTTCTATCAAGTAAAAATGGAGTGTCGTGAACAAGGCCAATTCAGCTTACATACAACTCTATTAATGGCCCAGAGGCTTTTCCTCCAGCTATCTATTGTGAATGGTGCTTTATGGATATTGCTCATTTCATAATGCAGGATATTAAAATGATGCATACTGAGGGTTGGGATTTAATGAAATTAATGTTTACTGCTTTATCAAGGACAGTCTTAAGTGAAACTGTTTTTTTTTCATTTTCCTGCTGCTAATGCATGAAGGTGAAAGATGTAATGACTACTAGCAGTTTGGAGCTACTGCCTTGATTCCTGCTAAGGCACCAGCAGTGTTAACCCACCACTGCTTTTGTAACGTCAGTGCAAATGTTAACACAGTAATTACAGGATATTATTCAAAAAATTATTTAGTACTTTGAATATTTCAGCACCTCTTGTATATTGTTGCCAAAAATTCACAGAAAAGAAGTTTTTTGATGATTTATCGTGCTGATAACAGACAAATACAGGCAAACTGGCAAGTCCATCTATATCTGGAGATTCACTCATTTGTAAAGCAAAAGTATGATTATTTCAGATGAGATATCAGGCCAGTCTTCATATTGCAGTCAAATCTCTTAATTGGACGAGTTACTCTGTCATTGCAAAGTGGCAGTGCTGTTATTTCCTCGACTAACTTTTCATCTAGTAAGCATTCTGCAATGTCAACAGTACAACTGTCTCTCAGCTAGTATGTGTGCTTCTCCAGCCAGGGGTGCATAACTAACCCTGTAAGATGCTTCACTGGGTTTTTTCATGTCTGGTTTGAAAAGATGTAATAAACACTGTTTGACTTTTAATGAGCTTATCATGTATAAGTTTAAATATTCAATTCTCTTTTCTTCATACTGTGAATGATTTGTCTCAATGAGACACTACAACTTAACTGGCACCATAAATATTATTTTTAAATGTTCCATTGCATAACGCACAAAAAGGTAAGTTATTAACATCCATAAAGTCAAGAGAAAGGTGGCTTTCATCATAATTTCACTTCTTATTCATAATTTTACCCAGTTTGTTTAGAGTAGATTCTTCCCTTCCATGAGTCAAAAGACTGTCTGATATGTCAGTTTCACTTTTTTCAGCATCCTCAGATATAGACAGATAGTGCAGTTATAGGTTGAGAAGGTAAGCCTTCTTTTTTTTTTCAAGACGGAGTCTTGTTCTGTAGCCCAGGCTGGAGTGCAATGGCATAATCTTGGCTCGCTGCAAACTCTGCCTCCCGGATTCAAGTCATTCTCCTGTCTCAGCCTCCCAAGTAGCTGGGATTATGGGCATGCACCACCACACCCAGCTAATTTTTGTATTTAGTAGAGATAGGATTTCACCATGTTGGCCAGGCTGGTGAGAAGGTAAGCCTTCTAATCCCATTTTGACAATTCATCCCTAAATTGGAAAAAAGTATTATAAATAAATTTTCTTTTAGAACAAGATAAAATATTATTAAAGTGTAAAATGAGTTTCAATTAAAATTAAAATTTGTTTTTATTTGAAAACTTAAAAATATTGCTGTGAAACAAAGGAATAAGTAGTACCTACTCCTTTTGTGCTCCTGTGTAGGTTGCAAGGGAAACTTTGGGGTTCAAAGTAAGAATTTATTGAACAACAATGAGGGTACAGAGATTACAGCAGGAATAATCAAAGACAGCTATTAATAGTAAGAGCACAGTAAAAGTACTGAGAACAAACTGAGTTAATCTCTGAAAATGCACTGCTTCATACCATAAACCTCTGCCGCAGAGCTACATCACAGTGGAATACACAGCACACATTCCATTAGCTGTCAGAGTGATGAAGTAGGCACACATCATGTAGTCTCTGGAAAATTCCACTGACACTCAGAGACTGAGAGAGATAAAGGCAAATAATGTTTTAGTTTTACTCTAAGTAAAGTCAAGGACACACTGACAGTCTCCAAGGGACCTCCTGGAGTCCCCAGGCCACACTTAAAGAACCATGCACTGTTCTAGATATTGGAACCCACCATCATGGTGTTTTAAAAGTCACCTCTGAAAATCACTGTGCATTCTTGACATTTTGCAACCCTGAAGCAGGAGTGATCATCGCGTGTCAAGATCCTCCTTATCCAGGACATATTCTGTATCTTCTTGTAAAGTTAATTCTGAGGTCTTTTGTCATTTCATATAAATAAAGTCAGGAGTCAGGAAGCAGGAGAATGGTGGACACTTTTATTACATGAAATAATTTGACTAATTCATTCACTGATTTTTTAAGTTAGAGAAATGTGTGCTTTTGGCTTAAGGCTAGGCTTTATTGGTATAAAATCTTATATAAACTTGATCCAATTTATGGCTGGCAAGAATAAAGATTTTGATAAAAATGTCAAAGCTTCTCTATCTGGGGTCTTGCTGCCCATGCTTAACTGGGGGAAAACCTGGCTAGGCTGTCACTAGGATGGAGCCTCTGCTTCCTCTCCAGAGCACCAATAGCACAGAGTGCGTGGTCCTGCTGCATCTACTTCCATTAGAACACCATGTACATCTCCAGTCAAGAAACCAGAGCGTGCTCAAACATTGAGTTTAATGTGTAATTAGGATTAAATTACCCATTAAACAAAGTGATTTTATGGTAATGTGTTATTAAGATTGCAAAGTTGTTAAGTTATAACATTTGATTCTAAGATGCATGTTTGGCTACCTTTTAACAACACTGAAATGAGAATGTGTTTTTCAAAGACAGCATTTTTTTCTATTTTTTTGAAATAGCATGTTTTTGTTTTAATTTAGAGATGTTATCTTCAAATTGTCTTTTTTGATGTTATCACAAATGCCTATTTCATGTGGAAGACTACAGTAGCTCTTTAGTGGTTTCTATATTTCTCTTTTAAAAGAGAAATAACGGATGCTAGCAATAATTTATATGTGTATATTCCTGAAATGTGCATTTCCACATTATGTGCTTCATAGTAAATAGGAAAATTAGCATTAAACTACTGAATGTAGTTTTTCAAAAAGGTCTGCTTTTTTTAAAAAAACTATTTTGCTTATGTTTAAATTTGATATTCATCATTTAATTCTGTTCATTGCAGGTTTATTTTAGGACAGTGGAACTTATAGAAGAGCCTATAAAAGGGTCTCCTGGTTTGAGTTTCTATTTCAAAATTAATGGATTTCCCATATTTCTAAAAGGCTCAAACTGGATCCCAGCAGATTCATTCCAGGACCGAGTAACCTCTGAGTTGTAAGTTATTGTCTTTCTTTTCTTGTTCTTCTTTTAATTAGCAGTCCCGCAAAGCTTGAGGTTTACTCATTTTTACTTTCTTTAGTCTCTGGGCAAGGAACTAAGAGGTAGTATAGAATTCTAGACGATGGAAACTTCAGAATGGACAGGATTTTAAAAATTATATATTCCATTCTCCTGGGTTACAGGTGGTCTTACAGCTAAACTATTTGAGACTGTTGAAGCCATTCGATTTTTAGAAAACTATTATATGTTTATTCTGGAGAAATAAGAAAATGAGTAATTTATATTTTGAATAGTCTCCGAAAAAAATATTACATTCAACTATTTTCAGCTTTTCAAATGATACGTTAAATGTTTTGAGCATGGTTTTGAAAGATAAGAACACATATTTACCTTTTTTTTTTTTTTGAGATGGAGTCTTGCTCTGTTGCCCAGGCTGGAGTGCAGTCGCGTGATCTCAGCTCACTGCAACCTCCGCCTCCCAGGCTCAAGCGATTCTCCTGCCTCAGCCTCCCAAGTAGCTGGGATTACAGGTGCAGGCCACTACCGCCCAGCTAATTTTTGTATTTTTAGTAGAGATGGGGTTTCACTATGTAGGCCAGGCTGGTCTTGAACTCCTGACCTCAAATGATCCACCTGCCTCAGCCTCCCAAAGTGTTGGGATTACATGCGTAAGCCACCGGGCCAACCCCATATTTACCTTTCTATGCTAAGGTATTTGCATATTCTTTTACTTTTATCTCAACAAAAGAACTAAACAAAATCTCGTGTGTAGTGGAGGCGCGGTTGTGGGAGGGTGGGGAGGAAACTGGGAGCTGTTGGTCAGAGGATACAATGTAGCAGATATGCAAGAGAACAAGTCCAGAGATCTGATGTGCACTAGGAATATAGGTTAAAAAAATTGTGCTATTTATAGGATTCATGGTAAATAAGTGAGTAGATTTTAGCTACTTGTGCCACAAAAGCAAAAAAGAGTGGATAACTACGTAGGACAGCAGTCCCAAACCTTTTTGGCACCAATAACCAGTTTCATGGAAGACAGTTTTTCTACAGATTGGGGGTGGGGGATGAGGGGATAGTTTTGGAATGAAACTGTTCTACCTCAGATCATCAGGAATTAGATTCTCATAAGGAGCATGCAACCTGTATCCTTCGCATGCACAGTTCACAATAGTGTTCCTGCTCCTATGAGAATCTAATGCTGCCGCTGATCTGATAGGAGGTCAGGTAGTAATGCTTGCTCACCAGCTGCTTACCTCCTGCTGTGCCACCTGATCCATGGTCCAGTCCGTGGCCTGGGGGTTGGGACCCCTGTTGTAGGATGGTAAGTACGTTGGTTTGTTTCACTATAGTAACCTTTTAACTATCTATCTATATATCCCATAACATTATGTCATATACCTTAAATATACACAATACAATTTATTTAAAAACAAAATATAATCTTAAAAGTTCTAGATCTAGGAAAAAAAATGTTTTTCCAAGACTGAAGGAATAGAACTTTGGAAGAAAATAATATTTCCTAATTGGATCTGTAAACTTAAATCTTTGCAATGCTGAAAATAAACTTTATGAAATGAAAATAAACACATTTAAACTTATTTATTATCTAAATTAAATAACATTTTAGCATATTTACAAATGTATAAATGTGCATTGTAGTATATTATTTGATGTTTAGAATGTAAATGTCATCAGTAACTAAACCCTGATTTTTTCCAAAAGTTGTAGTAATTTCCTTTTACTTTAAAATGTGTATATTATTTTAGATTTCATAAGAAAATGAAATTCTTCTCCAGACACAGCCACGGGATAATTGGCTCTATCTTTTTCCTTTTCAAATGCTCCTCTCCCCTCCCAGCTGGGGCTGGGTTGGCTGTGGTCCTTCAGCCCAACTGGGCCAATTGGTAAGCCTGCCGTGGTGCCTGTGCTGAGCCCACAGTGCTCTGGGTCTGCCCAGCCTGTTACTTGGTTTGAGCACTGTTCTGGGAATGGAGGGAAGGTACATGCTCTCAAGCTGCCTGTAAGTTTCTAGATTTTCCTGAGGGTAATGTGAATAGGAATTGGAAAAAGTAGAAAGGAAATTTACTAGAGAAAGAAATACTGGGCTGGAGAAATTGCATAAAAGGAGATAGGGGTGCTAGGCACTAATACTCAAGTCTTGATTTTGTTTTATAGTTTGGAGGGTTTGTATAAAATTAGTGCATACTTTCCAAGGCTTACAACTGTATTTTTTATAAGACTAAATATAAAACATAAATTTAATTTTAAAAAGAGTATAATAATGTTACTGAAAATTTAATAGGTAAAGATATCACCCATACTTTTTCTGTTTATTTGTTTTATGTGGTTATAGTTAATGTGTATATAATTTTATCTTACTTTCTTTAATTTACATTGTAACCAAACCATCATGATTTTAGAGTGTGTTTTTCTAACAGATTAGAAATGTGTTTATCTGTCACAATCTGTTTTTTTTTTCCAAATTATGATTTGTTTCTAAAATGTCTTCTACAGGTTACGGCTCCTTTTAC